>NC_000010.11:121620867-122245950 GCF_000001405.40 Homo sapiens | reverse complement strand
CTAGGAGCCTCTGAACTGCCTGAGTTCGAGCTCTCACTCTGACACTTTCCATACGAGTGACCTTGAGCAGGGTTTTAAACTCTCTGAGTCTCAGCCTCCTTGTCTAAAATAGGAAGAAAGAGTATTTGTATCTCCTGGCATTTGCAGGAGATTAAATGAGAAAATGTATATAAAGCCCCCAAGAAGGAGGAAGAGTCCCGTATTGGTAACCCATTATTAAGAGCCTCATTGTCCATAATAAACTCTGTGACCCCTGGAATCAGAGCAACAGTGTCACAGTGGCTTGCGAAGAGGGAGCTTTTTAACATAGAATCGCCAACAACCTGCTTGCCACACCCACACTCCTAAAAGAAAGGGCCTTTCAACATGTCTCTAATAATCAAATGCTTGTTTTTATTCTTGGAATTCTGGCTGCTTTCTTAGTTCCCAGCACGCTGTATGGTGTATATTCTGGGCTGATCTGAGCCCATGTGTATGTTTCACCTGACTTGGTAAAGGAGCTGTTTACCAAACCAAGTCCATCTGATTTCCTGGATCCAAGACTTCACCTGCCTCAGGTTTCCTTTCCTCTCAACCTAACCCTTTTTAAAAATAGAATTACCCCGTTCCCAGGAGACGGGGGAGGCAAGAATGCTTCACAAATCCTTTTGTACATGACAAACGCAGTTAGGTTCTTCAAATCAGGAGAAAGACACCCTACACTCAACAACAAAACAATGCTCCTGAAGACTTTTCTGGCTTTTTCAGGCAAAACATCATGAAATCATGTGGGGGGAATGCAGCAATACACAAAGCAAAAATAACAAAAATAGAAAAACAAACAAACAAAGGGTTGCAATGGGCAGGTGTCAAATTAGGGGGAAAAGCGTTTACTTACCAGGCTTGCCTGTTTGTTTTGCAAGCAAAGGGCAAGAAGCAACAGAAAATGGAAGCAAAACAGATAATCAGGGCAGTTGTTAGAAAAGCAGAAAAAAATCAATTGCAACAACCTGGAATGCAGAAAGCACAGAAGTCTCTCTCTCTTCTGAATTCTAAATAGTCACTATGTGAGCTTAACAAAACATATCTCTCCAGTAACATTTGATGCAAATGAATAACAACGGCAGGACTGATGTCACACTGGTGTGGAGCATCTGTGAAAGCTGAATGGAGCAGAGCCAGGAAGAGCTAGACATGTGGGCTGGAGCTGGTTTGACTTCAAAATACGACTACAGTCACGGTGGTCCTGAACTGCCAATCTCTCTGGGCCTGAGTTTCCTCTTTCACAAGGGATGCTGGTTACGTGAGTGAAAATGGAAAGAAAAGCATGGAACCCAGGTGGGCCTCCTGGGCATGTTACCAAGCATGGAGAGACCCTGACCTGAACCGTGCCAGAAAGAAGGCACGTCCTGCCAAGAGCCACAGTGAGTCCCAGCCATGCCTCAGCCCCCTGCTGTCTTCCACAAGGACACAAGGACCTTGAAATCTACGGTGACCTTAGTCAATGACCTGCAACAGTGGCTGAAGGAATGACAACCACAGGCCTGTCACCTGATGAAAAAAGCCTTGGAATGACAGAGGACGGTCAATGGGTGAATGAGGATGGGGATCGGGGAACGGACACACAGTGAGATGCCCCTCTGTGTGGCAGTGCTGCTCCCAGCCAGGGACACTGGAGGAGTCTCAGGGGCCACCCAGAGAGTACCCCAAGGACAGGAAAATGTTCTAAGGGATTGTGTGTACAGCTCTTGAAGAGAGGGCCCCTCAGGCCAAACACATCAGGGAGCAGGGGTGGGGATGGGGGGTGATGTGTGGCCCTAACCCCTGGCACCAGGATGAGAGGAAGGCAGGTGGCATTCTCTCCAGGGCTTGGAGGGAACTCACACTGCCTAGGATTGAAAAGGTCCTCACTGCTGTCACCTGCAGATATTCTTTGAGGAAACCGTGGGAGTAATCTTTCTGTCATGACAAGGACAGGACATTTATGCCAACTAGAGAAATTCTCCACTTTTAATTTTCAAGAGGGAATGTCTGTTTATATCAACTTCGCCAGCTGAGCAATAAAAGATGGCTTGGGTAGCTTTCTCTCAGGAGCAAAAGCTCACACCCTTTCCCCCGCATTTCAACATTTACCAAAATGTCATCACCAAGGGCAAAAATGAAAGTGTATGGCTCTGAGATGGAGCAGGATGTTTCCAGATGAACTATGGAGGGCCTGAGTGATGTTCTCAAATCCCAAGACTCCAGGAGGCCAAAAAGTTGTGTTCTACTTGCCAAACACCACATAAGGAAGACATCAATCCCTTAGCCTGACCATTTTTGCCAGCATTTTCAACTCCAAGAGTTTTTTTTTTTATCTTATCCATATGTGTTCATAAATTCTTATACCAATTTAATAAAGAAGTTTCACTTTGATAGGAAGCATGCACCATGAGGCTAAACATGAAAGGGCTTCTTTTCTGGGTGAAATGAACTTTGTTACAATAAATCAAAATTGAAGCTCCTTTGAATGGAAAGCACTCAATTGTTGGCCTCTTCACTCTTCCTGAGGCTACTATTATATTTACCTTGGGACAAGCTAGAGGTGTGATGTGACTCATACATCCATATGCTTGGGGGTGGGGACCAGGTGCCAGCACAGTGTCAAACTTGGACACATAAAGCGTGGTCTGCAGTGACCTGGAGTTTTTACTCCATATATCCTTAGAAGAAAAAAAACTGGTTATCGGGCCAGGTGCAGCGGCTCACGCCTGCAATCCCAGCACCTTGGGAGGCCGAGGCAGGTGGATCACTTAAAGTCAGGAGTTCAACATCAGCCTGGCCAACATAGTGAAACCCCGTCTCTACTAAAAATACAAAAATTAGCCAGGCATGATGGCAGATGCCTATAATCCCAGCTACTTGAGAGGCTGAGGCAGGAGAATTGCTCGAACCTGGGGGGTGGAGGTTGCAGTGAGCCAAGATCGTGCCACTGCACTCCAGCCTGGGTGACAGAACGAGACGGTCTCAAACAACAACAACAAAACTGGTTATCATGGGCTGGGCATGGTAGCTCACGCCTTGTAATCCCAGGACATTGGGCAACCAAGGCAGGAGGATCGCTAAACCCCAGAAGTTTGAGACCAGCCTGGGCAACGTAGCAAGACCCCATCCCAAAACAAACAAAAAATGGATTATCATAAACCTAAGCAAATAATTAATTAATTTTAAAAAAATCCCACAGACCCAGTTATAATATGATTTCTGAATAGTGACCATTAGCATAAAAACTTGGGCTTAGAACTTCTGCAAGATCTTTTCTCATTATTTAAAAAAAAAGAAAAGAAAAGAAAAAAAGGCCCAGGGATGTGTAGCTTATAACTTGAGGCCTTCTTTTATTGTGAGCCAAAGCAAATTTCTCAGTACTGGCTGCCAGGGACGCCGTGTTAAGAAGGATTCCGAGGCAGCGTCCAATCTCAGTGAGAAACAGTGCTGGGGTCAGTGAACAGGGCCTGCCATGGTCACGGGAGGAAGGAGGCGGACAATCACGCCGTGGTCCACTGTCCTTGTCCCTGGGTCCTTGTGGAAAGGCTGAGGTGTCATTTGAGTCTAAACTAAGTTAGGGTCTAGGGATTTGATTCCTATTATCTCCCACAAGCGAAAAGAAAAAATCCCCCAAATATCCCACCCAAAAGGAATCTCTTTCCCCACAAAGTAGAGAGTCCTTGGCTGAGTCAGATGGTGGCTGGCAGGTGACTGCCATGGCTTTCCATGGGTGTGAATAATGCTATGGCACAGTTCAGGGGGGTGTTACCAAGAAGCCCCAGACTCTGTCCTGGGGCAAAGCCATATTTTCTGGAATGCTCTGGTCCTTCCCTGAAAGGCTTCACGCTCTACCAGAAACCCACTCTGAGCCTCCTATCTTCCAAGGCCTCCTCATAGTTCAGAAACATCGGGGCCGGCCTGAGCCCCCGCAGGTCAGGACACCTACCTATCATCTGAGCGATGGTCTTCTCATACTCGGCCACTATTTTCCTATAAGAGAAGTAAAGACACGTTGGAGTCATGACAACAGAATGGTTTTCCATCTCACACAGCTGGACGCCACAGCCTGACCCATGTCCAGCAGGGCCCCAACTTCCAGGGTCACCTTCAATGTCAGCCCTCGCCCTGCACGCTCATTTTCCTGGTGCGTGACTCTAAATATGCCACTCCCTTGTGCAAAGCCTTCAACATCCCTCACTGCCCACTAAGAAAAAAAATCAAACCAGGTAGAGTGGTGCATGCCTGCAGTCCCAGGTATTGAGAAGGCTGAGGCTGGTGGATTACTTAAGGCTAGGATTTTGAGACCACCTTGGGCAACACAGCCAGATCCTGCCTATACAAAAATGAAAAAAAAATTAATAAGGCATAGTGGTGTGCACCTGTAGTCCTACCTACTCAAGAGGCTAAGGCAGAAGGTTTGCCTGAGTCCAAGAGTTCGAGACCAGCCTGGGCAACATGGTGAAACACCATCCCTACAAAAAATACAAAATTAACCAGGTGTGGTGGTCTGCGTCTGTGATCCTAGCTACTCGAGGGACTAATGTGGGAGGATCACTTGAGCCCAGGAGTCTGAGGCTACAGTGAGCTATGATTGTGCCACTGTACTCCAGCGTGGGCAACAGAGCGAGATTCCATCTCTAAAAAAATTTAAAAATTAAAAATAAAGCCAAACCTCCAGCCCGACAACTGAGGTCTTTGCAACCTGGGCCCAACCTCCCTCATCCATCTTACCTCCTTCCACACCACGTCATGAACACAGTGGCTCAGCGAGAACCAACGATTTCTTGTTTGCTCTCGGCCTTCTCATCCCCATGCCTCTGCCCATGTTATTCACTTTCTCTCTATTTCTACCCCTCACAGTCTGTTTCTCAAGGTCCAATTCAAATGGTGTCTCTTTCAAGAAGCCTTCCTTGATTTCTCCTTGGAACCCTATTACCTTTTATCCGCATCTTCTTCCAAAGCATCTCATGCATCTGGCATCACTGAACACAAATCTCATCTCCTACTGGCCCAGAGTAAACTTCTTGGGAAGCCTCAATAGACAGTAACTGCACAAAAGCACTAAGATCCCCTGTTTGTCATACTGCCTCCCAGCTGTCCCCAAATGGAAGGACTGATGTGTGAAGACGTCCTTTCTCCAAAGCCAATCTGCTGGAAGAAACTTCTCAAAAAGAATCAGGGGTTCACCTACATTATCCAATAATTATTCCCCACAAGAGAACCAAGAGCGGATAACTGTTGAAGATCCAGGACCCTAATGACAGAAAACCATAGAGACCCCCACCCCGGTCAGGAGGCCTGGGATCCCGCTGAGCTTGCCCCTCCCAGCTGTGTGACCCTGAGCACGACATTCATGGAAGCTGCGGGCGCTCTGCTTACTCCTTGGTAGAGTAAGGATTTTCCTAGACCCCACCTTTCAGGGCTGTATGGGAAATTCAATAAGGGTAAAAGGGATAATGAAGGTAGAATGCATTCTGCAAAGTCTAATGCTGGGTGCCTGCCCTTGGCTGCTCAACCTTGGTCCCAAGGTCAGTGTCTCACCCCAGAATGGACTCCCAAGAAAGGTAACCATGAGATGAGCCTCCGAGGGTTCTTTCCAAATCCTACACAGGAGCAATTCTGTGTTTTCTGCCATTAAACAACACCTCCTTGCATCTCAGAATCACCAAGCTGTGATAGATCTTTGAGGCTGCCCTGTCTAACCACTCATCACTGCTGAGGACACAAGGAGGTAAGGGACGTGTCCTTTTGGAAGCGTGGAGAGACCGGGGACCTGAAAATACCTTAGCTGTGCTGTTTTTTCACTTTACCCTCACAATGACCCTAAGAGGCAGTGCTCTCACTGTTCCCAGCATTACTGATGAAGACACTGGGGTGGAGTCAGAGTGATTCAGAAACTCTTCCAGGATCCCAAGGCTGCCAAGTGGCAGAGCCCAGATGTGAATCCAAGCATCACACTCCGCAGCCTTTGTTCATAATCCTTCTGCTCTACTCTGTTGAGGCACTGTTATTTACCCCCATTTTCAAGTTAATAAGCAAAGTGAGGCAGAGTTAAGTAAGATGCCCCGGAGTGGCTGGGAAGCAGAGCCTGGTTTTCACCTAGTCTAGCTCCAGAGGCTGACGGGCTGACATTCGGGCTACCAAATGCCGGTACATCTGCACCAGCTGGTGACATCTTGAAATCCTACCACATCAGCTAGTAAATGGCACCTCCTGGGGGCCCCTCAGTGGTACGACTTCTCAAACCACGAATAAGCACTCCCCAGGCACCAAGAAGGCAAAGCTCCCAGGAGGCAAAAGAAATTAGAGACAGAACTTACAGCCTTCCTGGGTGCCATGCCTCATTTTCAGTGCATGTAAAAAAACTAGAACCACCCATACCCCCAAATAAGAGAAAAAACAAAGAGGTTTAAAAATAATGCAAATGCAGGGCTTTCGTTTGAATGTGAAATAGCACGCTAGGCTCAATGTCCAGAGGTGGTCACAGGGAACCATCAGCAGAAAGAAGGAACGAACAGGAGAATTTTCAGGAAGATCCTACGATGACCTAGAAAACGGGATATGATTACCTACAGTTCGCTTTTCTGCTTAAAATGGTAGCCAGGAATGCAATTGATTTTGATAATAAACTAGTATCGGGGCTGGGTGCAGTGGCTCATGCCTGTAATCCCAGAACTTTGGGAGGCCAAGGCAGGCAGATCACCTAAGGTCAGGAGTTCAAGACCAGCCTGGCCAACATGGTAAAACCCCATCTCTACTAAAAATACAAAACAAAAATTAGCCGGGCATGGTGGCAGGTGCCTGTAATCCCAGCTACTTGGGAGGCCGAGGCAGGAGAACCACTTGAACCCGGGAGGCGGAGGTTATAGTGAGCTGAGATCGCACCATCGCACTCCAGCCTGGGCAACAAGAGGGAAACTCCGTCTCAAAAACACACACACAAAAAAAACTAGTATCGGCCATTGCACTTATGTACACTATACATGGTGACTATATTTCTATTACAACATACCACAAATGAAAATAAATCATTTAAGCTACAGTCAGGAAACATCCTAAATGTTTGTCCACAGAGACTGTTTAAATTAATTACGTTATATCCATACAATGGACCATTAAGCACCTGTTAAACAGAGTGAGGCAGAGAGGAATAAAAAATACGTCAAAAATATGCTATTAAATTTAAAAAGAGTGGTGGGTCAGGCGCAGCGACTCATGCCTGTAATCCCAGCACTTTGGGAGGCCGAGGCGGGTGGATCATCTGAGGTCAGGAGTTTGAGACCAGCCTGGCCAACATGGTGAAACCCTGACTCTACTAAAAATACAAAAAATTAGCCAGCCATGGTGGCAGGCGCCTGTAATCCCAGTTACTTGGGTGGCTGAGGCAGGAGAATCACTTGAACCTGGCAGAGTTGGAGGTTGCAGTGAGCCGAGGTGGCGCCACTGCACTCCAGCCTGGGCAACAAGAGCGAAACTCTGTTTCAAAAAAATAAATTAATTAATTAAAAAGAGTGTAGAATGATGTATACTGCAAGCTCTCATTTATTTTGGAGAAAAAAGAGGCTGTTTACACTCATTGTTACATTTGTGATGAGAAATGGAAAATTCTTGGAAGGATCCACCAGAAACAGAAGATAGTCACCTGCGAGTTGTGGAACTGGAGGCTGAGTGGGGAGATCTGTTTTGCATTGTACATACATTTATTTGAATGCATTCTTTAATTCATGTGCATGCTATTTTAGTAATAGTAATAGAGTAAAAATACTTTTAGAAAAATATGAACTGTGTGTAATAAAGAAGAGAGAACTTCCACAGAAGACACTCTTCTGTGGACCACACCAGCTCCGGTCATTATTAAACCACAGGTAAGTATCCCTCAGGCACGAGGAAGGCCCAGCTCCCCAACTGACCTCATTTCCATCACTTCCCGCCTGCTTTCTTCATATTTATCTTTCCATTCTGAGACCTCTCTCTCCTTGGTTATGATCTAGTTTCAGAGAGAAGAAGAGAAAGGTTAGCCCCAAATGAGTGAATTCAGCTCTGAGCAATTCATAGATCAAGAAAAGGAGACGGTGAATAAATGTGGAATGAAAACTTCCTACAACAAACCATAATTACATTCAGAGAACTTCCCCGAGCATAAAAAAGAAAGCAGCCAGATATCAGACTTTCACAGTGCCCACTGGGGAGCAACTGAAAGGGGCATGCTTTTTGTTGTAAATTCAACAAGGCCAAAAGGCCCATTACACGATAGCGTCTAGGAAGATCAAAACGCATGGTGTGCCACACATCTTTGCCTGCAGCGTTCAGAGGACAAAGTCTGTCTCCAAAGACTCTGGCTTTGTGGACCACGAGCATACGTATTTATAAGTGGCAGGAAGAGGGTAATTACACCACATGCCACGATACCTCTGCTCTGGCGATCTGGAGGGCAGAGTCCAGGTCGGGCTGCTGGAACAGAAGGCCTGCAGGTTTCTCCACCTCAGCGGTCCCGATGCGGGAGTACAAGGCTGTTTTGGAGATGGAGACGTCTGTTGGGTGAGCAGCCTCTCTCTGTGGAATCGTTTTTAATTAAAAAAAAAACAGTTAGCATTAATCATACGACAAAGAGGATTACACTCACCCTCTCATGAATGGGCCAATTGTATGGTTTTGAAACAAAGAACATCAAAAGTATGAGAAAGTGCAAAGACTGATGAACAGGGAAATGCCGAGTCCAGTCTATGGATGGAGATCTATCATTCTGCACCTGGGCAGGCAGACAAAGGGGCTAATGGCAGAGGCCCCTTAAGCTCCGAGGCCTTGGAGTCCAGCATGTCTGGTACCTGCTTATCTCTGCCATTTATCACTCACTGAGCCACTTAGGCACAGCGCCTGAGAACCCAGGGCACTATTCAGCAGCCTCCACTTCCAAAATGAGATCTCAATGGTGAATAATGTTGAATTCTAGTCTATGTTTTCCTAGTTTTGAATAACCACAGATTTGATCACTTTTGTAAGACTGTTTACATTTCCATTTTGGGGGCATTTGTTTAGCTCTGTTTGAAAGGATGTGAGTCACGCAAAGCTTAAAGCCTACTGTAGTTGTCAACCAATATCACCTTTGGCTAGGTAGAGTCTCTGGATGTAAGAGTTATGTTGGAGTTATGTTAGAGTTATGTAAGAGTTCTGTTGCCATGAAGTCTGTTACGTTAATGGGAAAATTAAAAACTGGGTCAATGACAATATCCACATCTGCTGATTAGACCCTGAACAAGTGGCATGATCCACCACCCCAACCCACCCAACTGATGTTGGTTGAGGCTTTACAGCCTTTTGTGGAGGACAGATACTGGCCTCCCACAGGTGAGGAGGAGGAATCTGTGGTTATTCTTTTTCCCTTTGCACAAAATGCTCGGCAATTTGCAACACAGTTGAAATGCGGTGTTAGCAGCATCACTGACCAGCACAGCCGGGTTGTCAGTCTACTTCTACTGCAAAAGAAACATCAAACCAACCACACTCTCAGTCCTATGCATTAACCTCGTGGCGCTGTCATGGCTGCCCAGCGAACCTCTACCCTAGTTATCAATACTAGAGTGCTCTAACAGGCAGAGTAGGCTGCTTCTTCCCTTGGGAAATTATGAGAAGAAATTGAATGGTGGAAGGCTACCACAGTGTAGTAGAGAGAGAGAGATTTGGGGAAAGAATAATGAGGGCTTATCAAGGACAGCAGGTAAGATTAAAGAGCCAACATTAACTGGGAAGGGGGAGGACCTAAAGGTACCTGTGCAGAATTTGTCTCTTCCACCACCAGAACAGGCGTGCCTACCCTACGACAGCATCAGGGAAAATGAACCCGAGAAGGGAGACAGCTTGGAAAACTCAAGAAGTTTAATGGATAGGACCGGAGATGACTGAGTTAGGACCGGTTAGTTAGCTGTATACATGCAGGGTGAAACTATATAGTTTCGGTTGTCCTGGAAGATTGAACGTCTGTTGCCTGGGTTTCTTGGCCCCTGCCTGGCCTTGCATACTTGGGGTGACCCTGAAGCAGGACCCAAATGATCCACTGGCCAGAGATGGAAGTACACAGTCCCCTTCAAGCAGACCCCAGAGACTCGCTCATGTGAGAACAGGGCAGGCTCAGGCCCTCAAGAAGTCCCCGTTTTAAGGACGCTTGACCAGAATATATACTAATAGCCCTCAGCAGAGGCAGGCTGACCTCCCAGAAGCAAGGGCACCACCAAGCCGCAGGGCCGGAGCCTCACATGCAGGGGTTCATCTCTGCTATTGGAAAATGGGTTTCACAGTTCTGCTTGTCATGGGGGAACTTCTCAGGAAGTAGCTGAAAAATGACACAGAGATCAAGACTCAATATTTGTCCTTATGGAGAAAGTTCATAAACACACAATTCTGAAAAAAATTCTGGGCCGTGTGCGGTGGCTCACTCACACCTGTAATCCCAACACTTTGGGAGGCTGAGGTGGGAGGATCCCTTGAGGCCAGGAGCTTGAGAACAGCCTGGGTAACATTGTGAGATCTCATCTCTAGAAAAATTTTTAATAAAAAAAAATTGGGGGCCGGTTGCAGTGGCTCACACCTGTAATCCAAACACTTTGGGAGGCTGAGGCAGGTGGATCACTTGAGGCCAGGAGTTCAAGACCAGCCTGGCCAACATGGCAAAACCCTGTCTCTACTAAAAATACAAAAACTAGCCAGGTGTGGTGGTGCATGCCTGTAATCCCAGCTACTGGGGAGGCTGAGGCACGAGAATCGCTTGAAACCCAGGAGGCAAAGGTTGCAGTGAGCTGAGATCGCGCCACTGCACTCCAGCCTGGGTGACAGAGTGAGACTCTGTCTTAAAAAAATTTTAAAAAGGCAAAGGATTTTAAAAGGAAAAACAAAAACTATTCACTTTTAAAGTCAACAAATGTGTGTGTTTTTTTTAATGAGCAATAAAATTTCAAAATGAAAACAACATTAGTCACCATCAAACTCAGCGTGGACCTTCTGAAGATGAATAAAATGGAGAATCTCAGAGACTGGGGCACAAGGTTTCCCAGAATGAGATTCAATTCTGATCAAAATAAGCAGGCTCCCTGCAGCGCAGGAGAAAATTGATTTAATTAAAACTAACTTTATCATAGTGGGCAGAAACTAAATATGACTAATGAAGGAATTAATTATCTTTATGCTGCCTAAAATCCTTTGTAAAACAAGAAAGGGAATGAAAAAAAATAAGTAAAATAATGGGGTTTCTAAGAAAATTCAAATGGACACTACCATGTAGACTGTTCACTGACCCCTTCATCCCGGCCACCTGGAGTTTTCAATAAAGGAACAGATGACTTCAGAGCCCTCTTGAATTACTGCCTGAGTATCTGCATGTTGATGAAATGCATTGTGTACACTCTGGTTTCCCCTTACAACCAAGAATTGTTTTTAACAGAAATTGATAGCTTTGTCTGTCGCTGATATTTTAAGATCAGACATTTTTAGATTAAGCTTTGTTTCTCTCACATAACCCCCACTTGCTACTTTAGAGGGGCCAAAAAAAGCCACTAGAATCACAAATTGAAATGTGAAATGGCTGTGACGCAGAAGGCATGGCCTTTGTAACCAATTTCCAACCTTCACTCCACTGAAGTCCTGCGACCTGTGAGAACCTCTGGCCACTGTCACCCACTTCAGACCTGCAGGCTGTGCCTGGGGTCCTTCCTGCTGGCAGCTGGGGGTGGCATCGTAGCCCCCTTGTCGACAGTTCCCTGCTGCCAGACATGGAGGGGAGGGGCTAGCACTGTGGCAGGATCCCTGTCCCCTGGAGCAGAGAGAGGCCAATTCTGGGGAGAGCACCTGCCATCCGAGGCTGGGAGAGCCATGCCAGAGGGGCCACGGAGGGGTGAGGCCAGGAGTCAGGATGAGCTAGGGAGATGACAGCCACCTGGACCAAGGCCACGGTGCATGGACACAGGCCTGGTGCTCAGAGGGTGTCCAGGTCATGTGCCGCCACCCGCGCAGGAGAGTGGCCTCCGCTGGGTGCTGCCCCATCCAATTCTGACCACAGGCAGTCCCCAAGCCCAGCAGGAGCGGTGATCATGGGGAGGCACTCAGCATCAGGCCTTATGCCACTCCCACAGGTGGCACCACTGGCAACAGCCAGCCGCTCCTGCCCACCGAGTCAAGACACAGCCTCCAGCCAATGACCACAGAGGCTCCAAACGGCCAAATACACAGGCGCTCGCGAGCTGGTCCTTGTCACTCCTCTCAGGCTGTACTTGTGGCTTTTGGGCATCACGTCTCCCTCCTTTTGAACCTCGGCTCAATGTGTGTGTATGGGTGGGGGTAGTCTGTGACACAGCAATGGAGAGGGAAACACAGAGCATGCTGCCAGGCTGCTCAACGACAACACAGGTGGCCCCAACTCCTTCTCTTGCTCATGTAAGCTCCAGGCATCGGCCTCTTCTAAGCCAGGACTGAGGGGCCACACCACTCAACCGTGCTGGGGGCCTCTTGCTAGGACTTGCCCCCTTCCTGAAGCTTGTTATTTGTATGGCCTTGTTCCTAAGGAACCCAGACACATCCTTCCGTCTTTATATTGGGTCCCCCAATCCAGAAAGGCCCACAGCCTGTGCCTCTTGGAGAGCCACCCAGACACAACATTCAGGTTCTATCTGACGTGGCTGAGTGTTAAATTCAGGGCTCCTGTACCACATTTCCAGTGACCTTGGTCAGGTTCACTCCCAGGAGGACACAACCAAATTCCGTTTGACCAGAAGGATGTGGAAGGAAAGTAATGGTGAGACTGCAGCCTGACACCCCGGCCCCTAAGGACTTCTCCTCATTTCTCACATTTTCTAACTGAGATGGAGAAACCCCCACTGCAGCTCCTGCAAGGCTGACTCAGCTCTCCATCAGTCTAGAGAGATATGGAAGTCAAAGCTGCTCTAGGGAACAACCGGAAAATCACTCCCCACTCTAGCTTATGGTGATTTTCATCCATGCAATATGATATTTTTCATTCCAAGTGATTTCATCTTTGTGCTAGCAACAGCTTAAGACCATGTTGGCAAAATGACAGAGCTGTGTCACCTACCGCTGAAATATATGGCCAGAAAAAAAGGCAAATTGGATACACAGCTGCTGTTTTCTCTTCCTATGCATCAGGAGTTTCCAATGCAGCAAGGAACAATCTTTCTATATGAAAAAGAAACCCACAGGGACCAACTTGAGGTCAGGCCCGTGGACCACCCTCGGGCTGGGTAGCTACAGGAACACCATCTATTTTCCACAGGCCAACATCACCAGGTAATGCACTTTTTAACAAAAGCAATACAAGTTACTCTGCTAGAGAAAAATATTCCCTATATACTCCAAGACAGTCACAGAATACTCCTTTGAGCATACGCCTCTGAAATAAAAGAGGTGGCTTGGGCTGCCTCTCCGACCTATATACTATGAACACACATGACTCTATTTTCTAACTCAGAATTGGGGCACATATTCTGAGAACAGCCTGTAATTGACAAAAAGTCAACTCCTGGCCATTATTTGCCAACAGTCATCTCTGGCCGCTCTCCAAAGGAGGTGGCAGGGGGACCAAAGCACTCAGCACACTCCATATCCACCCTGAGCTACTCACCAAACATGCTCAATTCCACCTCAAACTCTGGACAGGAATACATGGTACTTACAGTGGCCAAACTGCATGCAATTCATTCTGTCTTTAGGCCCCAAGGATGTCTAGAAATAAATCTAGTGGGGGGAAAATCCTCACTGCTTCATGCTTTCTAAAAATCTCGCTTTCATGGAAATTCAACCTAAGCTTATGGTTTGGCAACAAGAACGAGGACATCCCCAATCTGTATTGACATTCTTGTCCCTGCCTTGGGTCTCGCTGTTCCCAGCCTGCACACCCACAGTGTAAGCACCCACTGTCTCTGGGAGGGGTCTCTCTTTTGGGTATGGCCAAGGAGACCTCACTGCGGGGCCCTCAGGGCTGGAGCAGCAGCCGGAACTCCTACTCTTGTACCAAGGATGAGAGACACAGACCTCACTGCCCCCCTGCAGATGAGCTGTTACTCCAGGCAGGCAGGCCAGGGGCTCCCATTTGTATTTTTTCAATTAAAAGATAGGGTCTCGCTCTGTCACCTTGGCTGGAGTGCAATCAAGTGATCACAGCTCTCTGTAACCTGGAACTCCTGGGCTCAAGCAATCCTCCCACCTCAGTCTCCCGAGTAGCTGGAACTACAGGTGTGTACCACCACACCCAGCGAGGGGCCTCTCACTTGGAGACCTGAGTTCTAGTCCCCAACAGGCTGGTGAATCACTGTCAAGTGGCTCCATCTCCCATCTGTAAAATGGGACCCGGATCCACCCACCGAGGAGAGATGCTGGGAGCACCTGATCAGGTAACAGAAGCAAGAGGGAAGTGTCAGCTAACAACAGCAGCTTTCCTTTATCACACACCTACTATGTGTCAAGCATGGTGCCACTCTCCGCACACCAGACATCTGTCATCCTCACAGCAACCTGTACACTGGCTATTATTGGCCTCATCTCACGAACGGCAATACTAAGGCTCGAAGAGGTTCACCTACTTGTTCAAAGCCACAGAGCACAGTCTGACACACCAGGTTCATCGGGCTGTCCAACTTGGGGTGGGGTGAGGGGTGGGAACGAGGCCGCCCTCAGAGACCAAGGTTTGCATGGGCAGTCCAGGGGCAAACACACGTTCTGCACGTCATCAGCAACTCATTCAAATTGTTAATAAAAGTTACCCCAAACTTGGAAGCCAGGCGAAAAGATTTCTGCATGCCCTGTCAATGTCATACTCCATGCTAAAACTAGGAATTGGGAAACTCCACAGGCCAAATGGCCCACTGCCGTTTTTTGTAAAAAAACAAACAAACAAACAGACAAATAAAAGTTTTATTGGAACAGTGCCAGACAGTACGGCCCACAAGGCTGGAAATACTTATCATTTGCACTTTACAGAAAGAATTGCTTAAGCCTGGTCTAGAATATTATCAAATGTCTTGGTTTCACTTACTATGTATTATTGATTAGGGCCTTGTCTCAACAAAGTCAGATGTTAACTTGCAGAAAATAGAAAAGTTGCAAATTATGTTTGCTCAATAGAGAAGCAAATGGTATCTGTAGAAAAAAAAAACCCTCAAAGGTCATGATTTTGTTTTGCTCTGTTGAATTGGTGCTAACCAGTTTTCTATCCAACTTTGCCATCTTAGGCTAGCCTTCTTTACCCTACTGACCCATACATTGGTCTCTGTATTCTCTCTCATTTAACCAGCATTACTATCCCGCGGTTTAGCATTATCGACTTAAATGGATCTTAGCTATGTGCTCAGTGTGTATTTATGCAAGAGTGACGCTTTCAGCTTTTTGGAAACGACTCTTTGCTGGACACCGATGATGCCCGCCTGGCGGATGGTTAGCAAAGCAGCTTCTGGACCCCAGCGGCACACATGACATTCTCAGGAGGTGGCGCACGCAGCAGCAAACCGGTACCTTGGCATCCTGGTGGCTGCGGGAAGCCAAAGCAATCTGCCTGGCCAGCTTCAGGGCTTCTATCCGCATGATGGCAAACTCTAACTCCTCCTGCCCACAGGGAGTGTGGGCAAACCGCAGGGAAATGCATCAAGACAGACGTCAATGGTTTCCACATCCGAGAAATGAACGTGCCACGAAAATGTGTCATGACAGGCACTCGGGAAAAACACGCGCTCCGCCTTTCTCTCACAATTAGCACCTCAGCAGATCATGAAATAAGCATTTAATTTCCTTTTCTAAAAATCACCCTTCTGATTGTCAGGAAGTATTGTGCAGTTGAATACGAAATGATTTTCAAAATGGGATCAAAATTTTTACTGTTCTCTTTTCTTTCATTTCTTTCCCTTTTTCTTTCTTAAGGTAAAGTTGGCCAATAGTTTCCATGAATGGAGCTGCATCTCTCAGATGGCTGTTAACAATCTCTCTAGGTTTGCTCTGAACACCCTAGTCTAGAGGATATCAAATTAAGTTGTCAAATTTAAAGCACAGAGTAGATCATTGTTTTTGGTTCCAGATGCAAGACTGAGCCCAGATGTTATCTCACTGGGAGTCTGAGATAGCCACGTATATATAAACGGCTTGGCTCAGTGGTGATCTAATATTCTTGGTTCAGTGAATAAATCACAGAAACTGCTTTGGGGGCTATCAATGCTTCTAAATAATGACTATTTGGGCCCAGTTTGTAAATTGAAATAGAAATGGTTTGTTCAATATGTAATCACACAATTTACATCACTTTGGTATCGTGGGGAAAGAACGTCACATATACCATCCTTTGAGGGGAAGATATGTCACTGGGAACGTTCTCGGCAGTTCCTCATCAAATCCTGCCTTATTTCATTTGGGCCTCGGGGGTTCATTCTCTACTGAGGTTTTGACAAACTCCCAAAAGGTCACACGTGGGCTACAAACCTGGAGTTTCTGAGCGAATAGTGGGGGGTTCTTTTCTGCTAAGTCGGGCTCCAGATAGTCAAGTGCACCACAGAGAGAGACGGGGTGAGCTAGCCTGCTGAGGAGGGCGTCAGCAGAGGCAAAGGAGCCCTCGGGAGCTGTCTGAAAGCCGGCAGAGAGGAGGACACACAAGAAAAATAGAGGAGAACAGAGAGTGATATTGATTCCAAGCAAGGGCCATGCAGCCATTTGCTGGACATTTTTGCCTTGAGGCTAAAGAGAGTATCAATTAGCTGCCATTACTTGTGGTTTCATCTAGACTAATTCCCACATGCTGACAATGCACATCTTGAGATTGGCAGACCCGACCCCCTCCCCAAAAGCATAGCCTTCAGTGTCCTCCCACCCCCACGCCACCCTCACTCCCTGGTCAGTGAGTGGGAGCTAGCCAGCGGAAGGTGAAAGGCCAGTTAGCTGGTGGGTTTTCCAAACGTAACATAACTCTTCAAGAAATACTTCCAAATATATATATATATGAAGTAAGGTTTTGGTAAAGGTCATTTTCTAAATCACGGAAAGATGATTTCAAATGAAAAAGTGTCTTCTGATAGATCAGAAAGACTTCACAATCAGAAGCCAGCTTTGTAGAAGGCGAACCATGGACGTGTGCTTCAGAGTATTCATGTGAGAGATTGATTCACATCTAGACCCTCTTTTTGCTATTGTTTTTCTAGTATCCACCCCAGCATCCAACTGCCAAACACATAGTAGGTGCTCAATAAACATTTGATGCACAAGAGAAATGGCCTACTAACACAGAACAACAAAAATAACACACTAAATCAAGGGCTTCACACCTGCTTGGGGATTGCTGGGCGGGAGGTAGAGGAAATAAAACTAAAATTCACCTAGAAGGATGGTGCATTTCAGATGTGTGGAAGACCGTGGCATGGGCATCGCTTACTTTGGGGAATGCACAAGGCCATGTGACACGTGTGCTGTGCAGGGACTGGGGGGTAGGTGAGGCCTTCAGCTCAGCTCTGTTTGCTCTGCAAGACCCCACAGGGCTTGGGGAGAGGAAAAGTCCTGGTTTTGAACAGGAGAAATTCCCATCACTAAGTCCCAGGAAAACTAACTGTTTCCCAAAAAAGGGTCCCTTGCCCTCTGCCATCAAGGACGAAGCGGCAGAGGACTGCTTAACGACTGCCCTAAAGCAACAGTCTAGTCCTAAGTGGCAAAAAATGGAAACTAAATAACCCTGAAGGCATATAAAGTACTTAAGTGGGAAATGCAAAACCATACTGGTGGGAATAGAGAACCTTCCCCTCATCCTCATGGTATGGGATTTCCCAGGTTGGCTTCTGTGGTCAGGGAGTCAGGGTGGGACCCATGGCAGGTGCCAGGTGAGTGTTGCTCTGAAGGCCTGGCCTTCTTGGTGACAATACGCAGCTGGCCCACACCTCATCCCCTGTGATCTGGGGCCCTCCAACTCCACTTACAATTTCAATCGCTTCTGAAGGGGTGCCCAAGCCCATGGCCTCCAGCTCCTTCTGGGAGGATTTCTCTGGCACCTGCAAGTGTGACTCTTGGTTAGGGGCCAGTCCTCGTGGGACAGGATGCTGGTTTTTCGCAGCAGTGTTCACAAGGGCTTCAGTCTCTTCAAAACTTGACCTGGGGGAAGCAAAGGGCATCTTTCTTTAGTCTTCTCATTGGGAAACCCACTGAAATCAACCAGGATGCCCTGACCAAGTCAATATCACAAGGAATCCTGGACTTCCAGAGGGATATGAGCCAGGTCTCCAGTGGCCATGCAGCCTCTAGGCTGGGCAGTCACCCCAGGACCAAGTGACAAGGGAGGGGCAGAAGCACAGATGCCACTGGCTACAGACCCGAGCTCTGCAGTTCAGCAGACCACCCGCTGCTTGGTTGTGGACTCTGGGAAAGTGACTGGATACCGTGCCTCCATTTCCTTCTCTATAAGATGGAGACAATGGACCTCTCTGTGAAGATTAAATGAGATGCTGCATGCCTGTAAAGCACTTAATGTGGTACCTGTCACCTGGTGCCACTACTGTTTTAACAACATAACCACCATCATCATTGTTCTCACCACCCTGGGCAGCCTGCAGAGTCTCTTTTGTAAGTCTGAGAAGTCAATGCAAGCACTTTTACTCCTGCTTAAAGGGGCAGGCAGACAAAAATAGGCTGGTCCAAATCTCACAGCAATGCCCACACTTACTTGATCAAACAATGCACTGCTCCAAACATCAGCCCTCATAAATGCAAACATGAACACCCATATCAATAATGTACATTTACCAGGCACTTGAGGTGTGCCAGGTACTTCAACAAGAGCTTTACACACAGCATCTCTCTGGTAGACAGAGTGCCCTCTCCCCGTCACACAGCTCGGGGACGCTCTGGAAGACGGATAGCCTCCTTTAATCTTCATCAAATCCCTGCAAGGTCCATTTCATTATTACTTTTACTTTACATTCAAGGAAGCTGAGGCCCAGGAGAGGCAAGTACCTCACTTCAGGTCACACAACCAGGAGGGGGTACAGGTGGGATTCGAGCTTTGAATGCTGGGCCACAGTGTCCCCCTTTAGACAAATGATGGAATAAAGTGTGTGTGCACTGGGCGAGATTATAGGGAGTGGGACACACAGTCAACTGCTGAAGGATTTCACTTTAGTCCAAAGGGTAGCCAGTAACAAAACCAATGCGTTTATGTCCCTGTGGACATTCAGAGAGACTGAAGTGTGGGCTGGCCAGGTATTGTGGCTCATGCCTATAATCCCAGCACTTTGGGAGGCTGAGGTGAGAGGAGCCCTTGAGCCCAGGAGTTTGAAACCAGCCTGGGCATCATGGTGAGACTCTGTCTCTATTAAAAAAAAAAAAAATATGTGGCATGTCAGCCGCCTGAATCTATGCACTGAAATGAAGTCAAAATAACAGCATGAAGGTGCTCAGAGGCTTTAGAACATCCAGCATGATGTGTAACTCTCTCATCATGGAAGTCATACCCTGAACACGGCGTCGGGGACTCTGACATGCGGACGGGAGATGACTTGACAGGGCTCTCCTGAGAAGTGTCAAACATAAGGTACAAGGCCTGCTTCTTCGGGGCATCGTCGTCCTGCTGCAGGGATCAAAATCACATATCAGCTTGGGTACAGTTGGCCTGAACGTGCAACGGAGATGAAAACTGGAGCACTCTTCAACAGAGAACAAATAACCCATCAGGGAAAAGCCTTCATTGTTCTGGAGCCACCAGGAAGAGAGGAGGAAGTGGGGCCTGGTTAGGAGTGAGGTGGGGAGGCCAGGAGGGAAGGAGGATGCAGAGAAAGTACAACTGAGTTCAAGTAGGAACGTGGCCAGGGGAGAAGACGCCACGGCGTTGGTGAGCTGGACTTTGTTCAATTCACCAACATTTACTGAGCACGCTCTCTGGGCCAGGAGCTGTGCTGGCCACTGCAGATAAACAGAGAGGTAGGGCAAGAGCCTAGACCTGGGCTGACCATAGCTGAATGAGCCCAGGGCAGGGGCAGGGCCTGGAGAGCAACTCAGCTGGACTAGAAACAGGGGCTGTGGGACTGGCATCTCTCAGTGATGGGAAGACCTTGAAAGACCCCCTCCACATGCCCTGCTGGGGTCCCCAAATAAGTCCCTGCAACGGCCGGCAGGTATGCTGCTCTGCACTGCCATGAAATCTCTGGGTGGCTCTGCTGTTCCTGAGCAGGGCATGCTCCTCACGAATTCATCCGCGAGGCCTGCCAACGCACCAGGCAGTGGGTGGTGGCACAAGAGGAAGGGGCCCCTTGTGGTTTCAATCCATTTAAATCAAAGATCTCAAAACACACGACAGTTCCCCTTCAGCGGTAAAATGTCTCGCCCTCAGTATTATGTATATGGCCTCAGCTACTGGGGACACAGGTGTGGCCACAGAGCTAAGCTCTTTAAGCAACGCACAAGGGGATGATGACAAAGCCCATGTGCTTTACTCAGGAAGCTGTGATCTCACTGACGTGGCGCATGAGTTAAGCCTGTGCATGGGGACATTCTCCCACCCAACCTTCAGGTCTAACTTACAGCAACCTGCAGTTTGGAAGCAGTAACCCCGGCATCTATGACTAATGCAAAGAAAGATAAAGAGCAACATATCCAGGGCCACGTAGTGCTGTAAGCAAGCAAGCCCTCCTGTGTGCCACACGTCTCCGAGGGCATCGCTGACAACAGCAAGAGGTCACCCTTGGAATAACATGCCCTAGGGCAGCAGGTATTATGCCAGGAAAGACAGTGCCCATCATAACCTCTTAAAATGAAAAACCAGGGAGAAAGGCTTATTGCCCAGAGAAAATATTCAGTTAATTAAAACAATTTCTCAAAAACAGCTAATCGTATACCTGAAAAACCATCACCACCTCTTTTTTTTTTTTTTTTAAAGAAATCTCTAGCTCTTTCTCAGTCTAGGAAAGTAATTCTGCAGGACGTCTAATTGTATTCTATCATTTTCTCCCTGAAAATGTCAAACGAAGTGGATTGAGTACAAACCTCAACCCCCCAGCCCCAGTCCATCACTGCTGTGCACCCGGGAAGCTGTGTACACAGAAAACACTCGATTTGGGGTCTGAGCTCCCAGAGACACTCTGCACAGGGGAGGAGGCCCCTGAAGGCAGGAAAGCGAGTCCCCTAAGTGGCCCGAGGCAGACGAACTTACAGGTAAGGAGGAGCCAATTTTCTCCATATATTCAATTTCATAGGAGTTTCTGTAATCCAACTCTGCAAAAACAAAAACAAACACAAACACAAAAAAACAAAAGGTGAGGTTAGTGCCAGAGGAAAAAAATGGGAAGATCTGAGCCAGGCAGGGTGGGAGCTATCACAAGGCTCTGGGCTTTCTGACGGTGCCCACTGTCTAGAGACTTCTCATATAGCCTGAAGAAAAGGCTCAGTTCGGCTATTTTCAGACAAACGGTAAATGTCTTGCTGTAAAGGGGCTTCTGCCATTAGGGAGGCTGAGAAAGTCCTGAGGAATTCCATGGCACGACCAAGCACAGCCCAAGTGTGGCCAGACCTGAGCACTCTGCGCTGAGTGTTCCCATAAGACAGCACGTGCATTCTGGGTGCGGGTTTCCTCTGTAACTGTCAGGTGAGACACGTGGGATGATACATCCTCATGATGTTTTGGAACTGGACCCTTACTTGTCCCTCTCTGGGTATTCAGCTCTGGCCACCCTCTGAAGTGAGGGAAGGACGATATTGTTCCTTCAGCGCTGCTGGTTAAGAGAAGCTTTGTAAGTCACCTGGAGCCTTTCCCAGGGTTCTACCAGTGTCTTCAGGGCTGGTCCAAATCTATTTTCAAACTCAAAGACTAGTAAAGTCCAATGGGTGGAGAAATGACCTGTTTCAAATTGATTGGTGAAAATCCCATACACTCAATGGAGACGGCAAACACCACTGCCTGCCTCGAGTACCTGGAAACTAAGCTGACACTCAACTGAACTCCCCATCCAGCAAACGGATGAAGCACCTCCTATATGGTTTGCACAGTGCCAGGCATAGCAGATACAGTGGTGGATAAGACCAGAATGGACTTCTGTCTTCACAGAAGCCACAATCTAGAGCTACCAGATACCTCTTTTCTACTTAAAAAGAAAACCAAGAGGTGAAGAGTGACCTGCTCAGAAACCCACTGTGAAAAAGCATCAGTGGCAATCCATCAAGTTTAATCTTTCAACTTTTTTTAAGATGAAAATAAAGATAAATAGCAGTTCTGGTTTAAAGCCCCTTTATTTCTGCCTATTGCTAAAGGCATCGTCAAAAAAATATCAGCTTTAAAATGAGCTATTTCCTGGAGGACTTTCATAAAACCTGCAAATGGCTGAATAACCTCAACTACTTAAACACGTGGACAATCTTTCAGGAATCTCTAAATCTCCCTTGGTGAGGCAAACATATCCTTCTACTCAGCATGGCCAGCTCATGAAATCGAAGACAGTTTTGTGATTAAAGGCCAGAAAGCCCTGTTGCATCCTGAATAAAGATGAGTAGAGAAAGTGTGTTTCCAACTCTCACACCAAGCCTGAACCCCAGGGTCTGCCCCAACTTAAGACAGAAGCATTAATTTGTAAAGTCTTAATCGCCTCCTCACCTTAAAAATGAGAAGCAGGACAGGGCACAGTGGCTCACACCTATAATCCCAGCACTTTGGGAAGCTGAGGCTGGCGGATCATTTGAGGTCAGGAATTCAAGAACAACCTGGCCAACCCCATCTCTACTAAAAATACTAAAATTAGCCGGGCACATACCTGTAGTTCCAGCTACTTGGGAGGCTAAGGCAGAAGAATCACTGGAACCCAGGAGGCACAGGTTGCAGTGAGCCAAGATCGCACCACTGCACTCCAACCTGGGTAACAGAGTGAGACTGCCTCAAAAAAAAAAAAAAAAAAAAGAGAGAGAGAGAGAGAGGAGGAGGAAGGAGACAGGGATGGACAGGGTGATATTTAGGGTCTCTTCCAGATCTATCTATCACTTTCCAAGTATAAAACTCTGGGACTATCATTTTACTGTTCTATTATAAGCTGTTTAAGTTGAGAAAATAATAGTGAATCAGCTGCCTCTTCTAAGGTATCATTACGATTTCCAAGGCATTACATGCCCTAAATGATGTAACAGAAATCTCTAAGCACACTCCAGTACAGCACAGGGCACCCAGGACACACCAAACGAGCAACAGACCACCGCAGAGTTTTTCCAGGGGCCTGTGGCCCCGGGCGAGTGCCCGGCTCTGGTAACCAGCTCGCCTCACTAAAGTGTCCCACTTGGAACCTCAGCTCTTCTGGTGGCTGAATCTGGGTGAGTTTTAGGTCACGGAGCTCACTCATCTGCCTTCTCTGCTACCTGCCAAAAGGAAGTCCCTTCCCACTGTCCTGTGTCCCCATTCCTCCCTTCAGAAGGAGCAACTGACGGTGCAAAAGTGGGGTACTCTGACACCCACATTAGTGTTTGCATTTGTGAGATGCCTGGTTTCAGAAGGCCCGCACTCCTCCCCATCAATCCCAGATGAGTGGCAGACGCCTGGAGATGCTGCTTCAGAACACGCCCTGCTTGTTGCAATCACGGTCATTTGGGATCCTGATTTATAATTTACAGAATGACCTGGAGAGGATGTAAAAAAAATAAATACTTCCTCCTGTCATCTTGGGTGATCTCTGCTATTTTGAGAAAACATCTTCCTGAACTTGGTTTTCAAAATTTCACTCATCTGCTTCAAATCCTAAGCCTCAAAGGGCAGGCATGGGGGTGAAACCACATCCAATTTCAGCCCTATTTTCACACCATGCCACACACAGCTGGCAGGCCAGGAAGGGTGATGTCACCACACCAAGTGGCACATCATATTCTCAACTGGAGGAGATGGTCCTTGCTAACGTGTGTGGCTGCTCCTAGCTGAAGAGGCTCAGTCATCGTTCACGGGTCCTGTCGTTTCTGAGGGCTGCTTTTGGTAATTATTTCATATGGGGGCACTGCACAGCGAGGGGCCTTCAATGCTGCTTTCGTCTGTCTCTAATTGCTGGGGGCTTGCTAGGAACAGGAAAGAGCCCCATGCAGAAGCCAGAAGGATGCCACTGAGTCCAGGTCTCCATTGCTAGGATCAGGGAAGCCAACTCGCCTGATATCTCCTTGCCTATTGACTTATCTTCCAAGTGGAGCTCAAAGTGCTTATATTTTGTAGGCTAAAATGAAATACTTTAAGATAAAAACCCTTCGATGGGTAACACAAATGTAAAGGAGCATGATCAGATATATTCCTGCTCATGGCTAGTATTTCTGGAACTTTTAACCTAAGTGACATTATATTAGGGGAGAAGAAAAGAGTCCAGGGAAAGAGACAGGGAGGCTGCTCCCAGCTTCCCCACCGTCACCCTTCTAAGTGTCTGCAGTGTGACAGAGACGGCGCCTGCCGTTAAAGAACAGCTGAGGCTTCCAAGGAGGGCACTTTCCCCTCTGTCAGAGTGGGAAGGAGGGACTAACAGAGCTGTGTTAAAGGACACAGGGCAACTGGGTGACCACCAAAGAGTCACTGAGACTTCTGAATCTAAAACAACTGCACTCTGTCAGGGTCTCTTGGACAGCCAGGAGAGGACTCAGCTGTGTAGACCAATAGTTCCTAATCTTTTCCTCCACAAGGACTACATGGGTTAAGTTTTCTCCCACTGCATCACGCTTTAAAAGACTGCACCAAAAAAGGGCATTTACTAAGCAACCACGCAAAGAAAACCATTTATAATTGTCAATGAGTTCTTCATCCGTGGAAGATGACCAGTGTCATCCTAGTGAGTTGATACAATTACAGCCCAAATATGGTATTTTAATCCCCTGGGCATCTTTCTAACCTAGTTACATTCAGGTGTTTTGAAATATTAAAGACAACTTGAAGCTCTGCAACATTCTGCTCCTATGGACCTAGGTAGGAAAGTGTGAGTAGGTCAACAGCCTCATTCTACAGACGCAGGCAGCAAGCCTGTTCCATGCTCACATAAAGAGCACAGCTGTTAAGTCAGGCACACCTGGCTCTCCACGGATTTGTGCCAGGACACTGGGGGAGTCACTAACAGCTCCAAGCCTCTGTATCCTTGTTCCTAAAATGGGGAACTGTAGAAAAGCACTCTGCAGACTGAGAGGATGAAATGAAATCATGAATGTAAAAGACTCTGCACAGCTCAAAGTAAGTCCTCACCCAATGACAGGCCCTAGCTTATTATTGTTACCTATAGAATTAATGATAGTGAATATGTATTTAAATCATAATTATTATTTCTCACCCAACATTTCCTTTTCCTGTGGTTGGTGACTTTAGTGTAAGTCTCACATCACAGCTGGGGCCCCGCCCCACACGGATTCTTTCTGACGATCAATCACATCAGCACCCCTGGGTGTGTGTCTGGTGCTGCTAGACTGGACCTCATTACATTAATGGTATTTCCACGTCCAGATGCTGGGGGGACCCTGGGTGTGTTAGCGAGGTGGATGCAGTGGGGCCCACACCTCCTGAAACTGCAACTGTTGTGTCTTCACATTAATGGATTTTTTATTGTCTACCAGCTTAAATTATAGTCATGACTTCCCAAATCTTCCCATTTTCTAAGGTAATGGGTTTAACCAAGTTTTGTTCCAAACCCATATATTTACATATTTGTTCAATTTTTACAGAAAAAAACAACTGTCAAATATGTCACTCAGCTAGTAAGTTGTCTGTTTTAGTACAATGTAGAAGATGGACAAATAAATGCCACCATTGAATGAGGTATATATTAGCCCTAAAAGTACTGTTAGTATTTTTATATTTCCTAAGGAAAAAAAAATGCATGTATTTGGTTCCTGATGGTAAAACTAAAGACACACACATATCAAAATCATATGTCCAGCTCAAGTTGGCTTCTTTCTTTTTTCTTTTTTTTTTTTTGGAGACAGAGTCTCACTCTGTCACCCAGGCTGGAGTGCAGGGGCATGATCTTGGCTCATTGCAACCTCCGTCTCCTGGGTTCAAGCGATTCTCCTGCCTCAGCCTCCCTAGTAGCTGGGATTACAGGTGCCCACCACCATGCCCAGCTAATTTTTGTATTTTTACTACAGATGGGGTTTCTCCATATTGGCCAGGCTGGTTTCAAACTCCTGACCTCAAGTGATCTGCCTGCCTCAGCCTCCCAAAGTGCTGGGATTAGAGGTGTGAGCCACCACGCCCGGCCCCAACCTCAGGATGGTTTCTAAATGCTTTTCTCCGATATTTAGAAATCTCTTACCAAGCTCAAGAGATGTAACCCACCATAGGTGCTATCAAAATGGCCAAGTCTGAGGCCTGTGCTCAGATGTCCCTTGCTGCCTCTGGAACATAAAGCACCTTCCCCGCAGTGCTCCACATCTGACGCAGGTGATGCCCACTGCAGGATCAAATTGCTGAGCTGACATTACTAAGCTGTTGACCTGCCTGACCTTGTGTTACCATTATTTCACAAACCTGTCTTTAGCCCCTACGACGTTGAGGGTGCTGTGAGGAACAGAGATGAACCTGACAAAGTTCTTGCCTTCAGGAAACATACAAGCTAGTTGGGAAGCAAGAAATGCACACACATCATTATTACGGTGTTTCATATCCCCAGCTCAGCCCAGATCAAGCACTGAAGGCGGGCAGAGCCAGGAGCGGAATTCCAGGGAAAGGCTGGGAGGGGCTAGCACTAAGGAAAGGGTGTGAAACAGGGATGAGGTGGGGGGAGTGCAGTGAGGGTGGGGGGAAGGGTGTTCCAGCAGGCGGGGTCTACAGCAGCACTGCAGAGGCAGCTGAGTGAGGGGTGTTCCGGGAACAGGCTCCTGCCTCGGATGCAGGTGCAGAGAGAAATAAGGATCCAAAGGAGGCTGAGGCCAGATCGTAGGGCCTCTGGGGTCAGGGGAGAGCAAGATGGTCACTTTTCTTTTTTTTTTTTTTTTTGAGACGAGTCTCACTGTCACCCAGGCTGGAGTGCAGTGGCACAATCTCAGCTCACTGCAACCTCTGTCACCTGGGCTCAAGCAATCCTCCCGCCTCAGCTTCCTGAGCAGCTGGGACCACAGGGACACACCAGCATGCCCAGATAATTTTTTGTACTTTTGGTAGAGTCAGTGTTTTGCCATGTTGCCCAGGCTCGTCTTGAACACCTGGGTCTTGAGCTCATGTGATCTGCCTGCCTCAGTCTCCCAAAATGCTGGGATTACAGGTGTGTGCCACTGTGCCTGGCCAAGATGGTCACTTTCGGACCTCTCAAACCCCAAACCAGAGGGCCAACCTGACAGCCAACCAAAAGGCTCTATTTTACAGAAAACAAAATGCCAAAAGGTACAAGTATACATAATTTGGATCATCTTTTCATTGTCAAATTTAGAAAGGCAGTTTTGGGTAGGGAGAAGATATGCATCCAATACTCTGAAAAACATGAAATAGATCTACCATAATTGCATGCTGGTACCATTCCAAGACCTCGTGGGCACAAAGCAAACCATGCCTCCGGGCCTGACTGTGGAAGAGCGTCCAGAAGAAGGTTGGGAGTTTTTGAGTTACGATTAAAATCTACCTGCACCCTCATGACACCACCACTCCACTCAGACAGGGAGGAAGCCGTTTAAAGGAGATCTTAGTCTCTTATTAGCAGCAAAAAGTGGAGACCAGACCTTCACATGTGATCTTCTTCACAGTGATTTCTACTCAGTTCAAAAAAACTGTTAGAAATCGGTCAGGCGCGGTGGCTCACACGTGTAATCCCAGCACTTTGGGAGGCCGAGGTGGGCAGATCACAAGGTCAGGAGTTTGAGACCAGCCTGACCAACACTGTGAAACTCTGCCTCTACTAAAAATACAAAAATTAGCTGGGCGTGGTGGTGCGCACCTGTAATCCTAGCTACTCAGGAGGCTGAGGCAGGAGAATCGCTTGAACCCAGGAGGCGGAGGTTGCAGTGAGCCGAGATCACATCATTGCACTCCAGCCTGGGCGACAGAGTGAGACTCCATCTCAAAAAAATAATAAAATAAATTGTTAGAAATCGAGAAAGGAAAACTCAAAACCATCACAAAAGCTGGAGTGTCAAAATGCCAACTGGGCAGCCTCACAGAGGTGGCTGGAGGAGAAAATGGGTTGGAGGACTGGGAACGTGGTGCACCAACAGGTCAGGGCAATGGGGTCATCCCTCCCAAGAAAGGTGCTAGCTCTCCTTCAAAAAGGTTTTCCTATCAAAAAGGAAGCATGGGGTAGCTCACACCTGTAATCCCAGCACTTTGGGAGGCCAAGGCAGGCAGATCACCTGAGGTCAGGAGTTAGAGACCAGCCCAGCTAACATGGTGAAACCCCGTTTCTACTAAAAATACAAAAAATTAGCCGGGGGTGGTGGCACGCGCCTGTAATCTCAGCTACTCGCAAGGCTGAGGCAGGAGAATCGCTTGAACCCAGGAGGCAGAGGTTGCAGTGAGCCAAGATCGTACTACTGCAGTCCAGCCTGGACAAGAGTGAAACCCCATCTCAAAAAAAAAAAAAAAAAAAAAGAAAAAAGAAAGAAAAAGAAAAAACACTGAAATTGAATATACATAGGAGGAAGGATATTGAGATAAGCAAAGTTGTCCGGAGCCCATTTCTGCCCATTTCTGAGGAGGGAATCATGCCCTCTCAGCAAGCCTGGGGTGAATCTCTGGTTTGAGGCTTCATTAAAAGGTGTGGCCATAGTGTCTGAACACAGTATGGGGCCTAGGAATAACGGTGGCACCAAGCGAGTCCAGGTCAGTGACCTACACTGAGAGTTTGACTTGAATGACACTCCCTTGGAGCTGTGTTTATCAAAATCACAGAGGGGACATAAGCCATGGGCAAAGCTCGAGTGGGCGCTCAGGACCCACTCGATGGAGTCCTGAGGTGGAGTTAGAGGGCACCGTGCTGGCTCTTAGCAGGAGTCTTGGGTCAAGGGACAGCTGCTTTCAAGTCTCAGGCTGTTTTCAAACACAGCCTGAGCTGCAAGTGCAGCGGGAGACGTGCAGACGATCTCACAATGATGATCACGTGGTTACCTGGCTGAGAAGTTTCTCTCCTGGCCTTTGGCTCCCTAGGGGCAGGATTCTCCGAGGCAGAGTGGGGGTCCAGCTGGCTACAGAGTTGCTTACCCTCAGTGGGTGAACTGAATTTGGTCTCGTTTACAAAGGTGGACAGGTCCGAGGGCTGCGGGTAGTCCTGTTTGTCAGCCTCTAGGTCCACTGTCATGCACGTCCACTTCTGGTTGGTGACCGCCAGCTTTTCCTCATCTGTGGCGTGGACCACCGCAGAGATCACTGGTGGTGTTTCTGGTGTAGCAGCTGGGGTGGGGTCCTGCAAAGAGAAGAGAAACTGTTTCTTGTCTCATCAGACTCTTGGTCAGAAACTGTGCCCACCCTCAGGTCTGGGGACCCATTAGCCAGGACAGGTCCCGGTCACAATCCTCTGCATGCTCTTCTCAGACTCTGCTCCAAATGGTCCATTAAGGAAACAGATGGACACACAGATTCTTCCCTCTATGAATCTCCTTTTATGATGGTTTGTTTCAGGGAATGACCATGAATTTAAAAAAAAAAAAAATCAGGATTTTGTGTCTTAGTTACTTGAGCATTCCTGCTAGTTTTACGACTGTGACTGCTGTGCGAGGCTCACACAGTGCTTCAGGCCTGCACATCAATATCACCAGAATCACCTGACAAGCATCTCATCAGTCCCTGGAGGCAGAAAAAGGGGGATCTTATCTCCATTTCCACTGGAGAGTGGGAAGTGGAGTAGGGCAGGGTGGGAACCTAGAGAGGTCAGGACAGAGCTGCAGCTGGGACCTGAGCCCCTATCCCCAGGGCTGAGTGCTTCCCTCCACTGCCCCCACTCTGGCCAGGGTCTGCAGGCTGGGGCTTTGCTGGCTCAGATTTGGAGGGGTGGCAGGTCTGTTTTGTTTTATGACCCAGAAATTAGCCCTAACATACTGACAGGCTTGACGATAACTTTCCTTGGTCTGTAAACAGGGTAGAAGAAATGGAATCTATCTGATGGAGGAACTGGTAAGAGGGACTCTAATCAAGACAGAACCTAAGCCCCACTTCTTTAGGGGAGGGGCTTCCCTTTTCTTCCCACTCCAATTTTGGCTGCACAATTCAGTGCTCCTGACACTTGCTGAGTTTCTTCACCTTCTCACTGCATATTTGTTCATCTCAAGAGACTTTCTCATCTCGACAGTCCTAGAAGTTCACAGCAGATGAACTGGCCTGAATGGAGCAGAGTGGGTCCTCCAGAGCCCAACTAATGTTTTTCCTGAACGTCTTCCCACTCTCGGGACACACTCTGATCTTCCGCAAAGTGAAGGGACCAAAACAATGTGAAGCAAACATCGAGGGACCCTCCACACAGAATGCAAGAAGAGGGTCTTGGAAACAGGCCCGGGATGAGCAGAAAGCAAAGCTTTGTCAACAAGCGAAGAAAACCTCCCCCGGGGGGGGCATAAAACCATCAAGATCAAAGGAACACTGTACCTGGGAAGGTGGATCAGAGAGAGGAGACCGTTTTGGCGACTTTTTCACCCTAAATGTGTCACTGGAAACAAAATGGAAAACGTAAACACAACAAGCAGAGGGACGGAACACTCCAGAGCAGTACAGAGCGGACCGAAGCTACTGCCTCTGCGGAGCCATCTGGCCCAGGCCACCCTCCCACCTCTGTCACTCCAGCACCAGCGAGAGGCCACGCCGGCTACCCACTCTCACTTTTTAACAGCTATTATTTTTGCCCCCAAGGGAAAGATCCATCAAGCTGGAGATCTTTAAAGAGATGCCATTTTGGAGAATGACCCAGAAAATGAAGCTAAATTTAACTAAATGTTCGTATTTTATAAAGCAAATTTCTGGTGAGCAGATTAATTTATCTGGATTCTTCCAGGGGTATCTGAACCCAACTAAGGCTAGGGGAGGGGCTCTAGGCTCAGGACACCAATTTACAGACGGGCAAGGCGACACCTCACTTAATGAACAACTGAAGGGGGCCACGCAGAAATAGAAAGTTCGGGGTCCTCAAGGAGAACCTCCTGAATCCTCCCTATCACAGGATCTTTGAGCTCAATGGATTCCCATGCTCTGAAGGCTTCTAGGTGGAATCCTGACTAAAGGTAGGGCCAGGGGAGAGATGATTTTTTTTGTCTTCTCCTAACCATGGTAAACAGACAAGATTCACAGCTCTTCTCTCCCTTTTTCTCCTCCATATGAATAGCGGGGCTGAGAGGCAAAGGAAACCACCAAATCAGACTCCTGAAGGGTCAAGGAAGCAGATCCCAGGAGAAAGGGATGCCTTTTAGCCTGAGCAGTTCCATTAAGTCCACCGAGCAGTCTGGGGGTCACTTCCACAGTCAGAATGGGGGCTCTTTCCACCCTGTAGACTGGCCCCTGCCCCGTCTCCAGCCCCTCCATGGGTTGGTCCCACTCCCAGCAAAGCAAAGGCTTTGGGGGGTGATCCCTCTCCTTAGATCCCACCACCCTCCCCTGCTTTGCATGTTAACTGGGTGGGCAGAGCAATTTGGCATTCAAGTTCCTTCCTTGTGTTCTCTCAAATCACTCCAACAATGGCATTTAATCATGAAAAAAAAATAAATGGCTATTTACAGCATTTATAATATTTGCCATTAAAACAGTGCAATCGCAGCTTGAAGCATATATTTATTCATGCATATAAATATATAACCATATATTTTATAGTTGCTAAGTGGCTCAAAAATACTCAAGAAATCCCTTGGGCAGAAGAGAGTCTGATGGACTCGACCCTATCCTGGGACTGCTGGCCACCTGGACTGGCCGGCTTCCCTTCTAAGGACAGGGAAAAGTTGCATGTCTTTGGACCCCCCCGAGCTGCCCACAGATCCCTCCTGGCCATGGGAGGCAAAGCAGCAGAGGCACAGAAATGGTCAGCTCTGTTTCTACTGACAAGTGGCAGGGTGACCCACAGATGGCAGACAAGGCATGCCGACACCCAGCCAGGTCCTGGGTGACTGAGGATGCAGGACTGGGGCAGCCTGGCGATGGCTCTCACAGCTGTGTGCTCCACTCTGCACTGACCCTGCATTTCAGGGCACTCTGTGGGCCTCAATTTGGAACGGCCCAAATATTTCTGCTTTACATGTTAGCAAGAATAAGCTGTGGCCGTCGCTGCCTGTGGTTAGACCAGACAGTTATTTTAACGTGAAGCCACAGTAGTGTTGAAAGCAATCGCCCACTAGCCCAGTTTAAAATGAAAAAATGTAATGAAGAGTTTAAAAAAAATGTTTGATTTCAGATGAAGACATCCAATATGCAAGGGAAGGAAAAAAGTTCCATTCCTGATAAGCAGGCAGATGCTGGATAATCACATTTTCACAGCCAAGCAGTCTCTTATGCAAATCACTATGAAACAGAAAAGTAATCTTTGCTACTGGGGAGCCCCATGCCCCATCATTCGCAGGCCCACCACAGAAACACATCAGTAGCAGCCAGAGGGGAAATAAAAATGGCTTGGAAGCAGAAACAAAAGGCAGAAAAATAAGCACATTTGGCATAAGAGGCAGATTGCATTAAATTTACTTACAACAGAGAACACACAGACATCACATCTTCAACCATCCTAAGACAAGAAGACAAAGAAAAAGAGAGACAGACAGAAGGAACTGACAAAAAAGATAAATCTGCAGACAACTGGTTATTAATGGGTTAGGATATGGCGGCCACCGCTGTAGGGCAATGCCCCAGCTTTTTGGAAGGAGCTGCTGGGGAACAGCTTCCTCTCTTGATCCTAATGATCCCACAAAGCCGTGGTGCCCCAAGAGCTTTGTCAGACCCACGCAGGGTCTTCCACGCCAAAGTCCCTGTCTGCACTAGAGGTGAGGACACAGTTGGGTAAACTTCCCTGACCCCTGTTAGCTCTAATATTCAAACAAGAAAGTGACTGGGGACGCCTATGAGACACAGAACATATCTTGGAGAAGGAAGAGGTGGCGGCTAAGGTTGGCTCTCATTCCAGATGAGAGAGCACGGCCTTGCAGTCTAGCCATTGCAGACTTCTCCTATTCCAGGCTTGAAATCAAGTTTCCAACGTGAATTCTAGAGAGTCTCTAGTAGGGACCTAGTTGAGTAACTGATCTAAAACAAAGTCCCCATTTTGGCCAGGATGGCCTCCAGCCACCACTAGACAGTGGCAGGTTGATCTAAGGTAACCTGCTGTAGAGACCTCCTCTCAGGAGGCCCTGGGTTCTTCTCAGAAATTCAATGTTAGGGGGAGCCCAGAATGGGAGGTAAACATGTCGTTCTGTCTCTTTCGTGCCAGGCAGACCCAGAGGGGCCAGCGCTGTGGTCTGTTCTGCTGCCCCTGGGAGACTGATCTCCTCAGCCTTGTTAAATTACTGACAATACTTCCCGTAAGAGTAAGGAAATCGCCAAGATATTAACCACAGGGGCCAAAGAATAAAGGACCAGCAGCCATCCACATTAGAGCCGGGTCCTGGGGTGGATTCTGGAGGCATGGGTGTTTGATATTTAAGCACGATGTACTTGGCCTTGTCAAGTGTCTGGGGACCATAGAGCCAAGGACCAATGGCTTCCTGGGGATTGTGGGGATTTGCTCCCCACTTTCAGGTTCCATTTATCTCTTCAGAACTTGCAGGGACTTTGTCTACAAAAGATGACTGGAGAGAAGGAAGGAGACAAAGAAGGGTGTTTCTTACGGGCTGGTTGGAGTGCAGCAGGGAGGGGCCCAGGCCACATCTCTCATTCCTGAGCCTCCTGGAATCTACTATGTTTGTAGGTTGGGCTAATGTCTCATTAATAGGCAGAAACAAGTACTATACATTTTAATATTTTAAAGGGTGTATCTCCCAGCTTCTCCAAAAAGCAATCAGTCACCAACAGGGAGATGAACCAGATCTCTAAGGACCTTTCCCCTTCCATGGGATCTCCCAGATTGCTCTGGAGTTGAACATTAGGTCTTTGGCTACAAGTAAAGCTCCAGCCCATTGATTTATTAAAGCAAAAGATCAAGGACACAAAGGGGTATGTGGATGGGAAAATGCCACCACTGTGACCGCAGAGAGGAAGGAAAACACGTACATTGTCTGCTTGGTGCAACGGCCGTAAGCGTGGCATCATCACAGCACCCAGGGGCAAGGTTAGGGCAGTCGAAGGTTATCCAGGCACATGACCAAGGGTCACAGCCAATGCGCACCCCCGCCTCTGATCCTTACCACCTCCACCCCTGAACTTACGTCTTTAGGGGCGTCTTCTTCTTCTTGGCGGGCTTGTTTAGCCCATCCCCGTCCACTCCATTGGCTTCCATAGCACTGGCTGGGATCTCAAAGGAGGCTGGGGATTTAGAAGGTGAGCTGGGGGTCTTAGAGGATGTCTTAAAGGGGTCAACGGACTCATCACAGGTGTCTGGGTCAAAGTTGTATGATTGTTGGGGCAGTTTGGGAGACTCCTGCATTTTTGAGGTGGAAGAAAAAGGGTTAAAATTGGGGTCATCCCACTTGTCAATATCAAAGGTGTAAGTACCTTTAGCAATGGGGATGTCATTGGGTTCAGCAGGGGATCTGGGAGGTGAGGCAGGAGTGTTGTCAAGTTTCTCGGGTGTCTTTTTCATCTTTGGCCTCCTCAGGGGCATTTTGGCAACTGGCTTTTTGCCTATCTTTTTGGTAGGAGGGGGGTTTTCCTGCTGGTTGTCCCAACTACTCTTGTCCTCAGAATAGTCAAACTCCAGCCTTACGGAGAGCCCTTTGGCTGGAGAGTCCTCTTGCCCCCCGCTATCCGATGGGGTTACCTCCCCTGCCTCCGGGGCCGTGGTAAGAGGCAGCGTTTTCCTCCCGACAGGGGGTGAGTTCTGCACTCTGCCACCTCCAGAAGCCGGGGGGACAACCCCTTCTGCACTCTCTGAGTCCAGAGGGCAGGCAGCTTTGGGCCCCACAGCGGGCTCAAGGGGCGTCTCCTCCAATAAGGCTGGGCTAGGACCTTCCGTCTTGGCAGATTCCGTTTTCGTCTCAGATGCTAGATTCTCCCCACTGGGGACAAGGCTCTCTTCATCTGGCTCCTGTTGCGTCTCCTTCACTGGGGGGGTCTCTGTGGGTTTCTTGGTGGTCTGTTTCTTTTTTAAGGAAGGCGGCCTCGGTTTTTTAGTTCGCTTAAGGGTACTAGAAGCACTGCTGGAACCCGTGCTATATGCATCTGGGGCAAGGGCCACGGCCTCGGGATTGCCTGAGGAAGAAGCACCATCAAAGTCACTGGCTTGCAGGCTGAGCGACCGGGACAGTGTAGACTTAGAGATGGGGACGGAATCCGTGGACTTCCTCCGTGTGTTCACTTTGCCCTCCTGATTCTTAGCGTCTGAGGCACGAGGCTCCAAGGTCTGAAAGGTATCCACAAGCTCAATGTTGTCAAAGTCCAAGTTGTAAGTCCCACTGCTGGCTATCGGCTTGTCTTCATCGAAGACGGCAGAGAAGGAGTGTGACGGGGGACGGAAGGGACTTCCTTCCACCGAGTCGCTCCGTGGGCCATCAGGGACAGGGACTGTCTCAGAACCACATCCTGGGGAAACACAGACAACGCCATCAATTACAGACACAGGACGCATTGGGGCACCTCTCCTCTTGTACCAAAACATCACCCTCCAGCGTAGGGGTTGACAAACCACGGCCCCAGGCCACCCCGCCCATCACTGTGTGTACTACTTGGGTACAGAACCTGACCTACCCGTAATTAGCTCAAGACCCAGGCCAGGTTCGCCCAGAGTTCCCTCATCTGTACAATGAGGATCATGAGGACCGATTAAAGAACAGCTCAGAGTATTCATTCAAAAACATTCACCAAGTGCCTAATCAGGACCAGACATGGTTCTAGGTACTAGAGATTCAACAAGGAACAGAAATAGACAAAACCTTTCCCTTCCTGGAAGTCACATTCTTCAGGGGAAGATAGCGAATAAACCACCAGGGCCGGGCATGGTGTCTCACACCTGTAATCCCAGCACTTTGGGAGGCCGAGGCAGGCAGATCACTTGAGGTCAGGAGTTTGAGACCAGCCTGGTCATCATGGTGAAACCCAGTCTCTACTAAAAAAACACAAAAATTAGCCAGGCATGGTGGTGAGCGCCTGTAATCCCAGCTATTCCGGAGCCTGAGGCAGGAGAATCGCTTGAGCCTGGGAGCCAGAGGTTGCAGAGAGCCGAGATTGCGCCACTGTACTCTAGCCTGGGTGACAGAGTGAGTGAGACTCTGTCTCAAAAACAAACAAACAATGTACAGAATTTCAGAGGGTGATACATGCTAAGGAGAAAAATAAAGCCGGGATAGGAGAGTTTCACTTTTAAAATAAGGTAGTCAGGCAAGATCTTCTGAGGAGACATCTAAGCAAAGGCCAGAATCAAGGTAAGTGCATGAAACAGGAGGACTCCTGGGGAGGAAGCATCCTGGGTAGAAGGAATAGTGCGAGTAAAGGCTCTGCGGCAGGAGCACCTGGTGCGTTACAGAAACAGCGAGGAGGCCAGTGTGGCTAAAGCAAGGGTCAAGAGTGGGACAGGAAGACAGAGAAATCCTGCAGGAAGGCATACGGAGGCTTCCATAAATATTCATACTAGCCACGGCCACCAGCAAGCCTGTTCTTGACTCCTCAGAGCCACTGTGAAGATCAGGGGAGCCTGTACACGGAGGCCCCCGGCACCTGTAGTAGCACTTGCTGTCTGCCACCTGCCGCTCCAGCCATCACCTGTAACCTCTCCTTCAGTCCTGCCTGCCTATCCTTGGCCCTGCCTCTTGCCTAGTCTCACTGCTCTCCCAGCTGCCTCCTCTCAGCTTTTCTACCTCATCAGCCCCTGCCAGTCAAGGAGGTTGCTCCTATTTCCCAAACATGCTGCAGATGCTGCAAATGTTGGCCAAATGATGCTCAAAGGTGCCACCACCCTACTGCCCATGGGGATCCGGCCAGCCCCAGCTTTGGCTTGGCTACTCTAGGTTCTGCTGGCACCCAGCGGCATCTTTCATGCATTTCTGAGGTCACAGCTGCTCCAGGCAGTCAAGGATGCCAGAAAACTAAAAGTGTGTCATTGGACAAGAGGGCAAACACGATAAAGCGGTCTGCAGGCCTAAGTACTGGGAGATGCAGAATGAGGAGTAAACGGAGCTGGCACAGGTAAGACCTGGGACAGCGTTTCCAATGTGTGCCTCGTGACAGGTGTTATGTACCCCCAGTCCCCTTCTGCCACCGGCATGGTTGCCAGACAAAGGACAGGATGTTCAGCTGATTTGAATTTCAGATAAATGAACATGTTTTTTAATATAAGTATGTCCCATGTCTCGATGATTCTTTGTTTATCTAAGATTCAGATTTAATGGGCACCCTGTATTTTCATTTGCTAAATCAGGGAGCCCTATCTCTCATCCCAACAAACAAACAAGGTTTGGGAAATGCACAATTAACCCCTGAACTGGTCTCTTCCTGTCGATTTTCTCAGAGCAATTCATGCTCCCGACTGCAAATCTCTGGGCAGTGAGTATTCTGCAGAGTGCTTACCAAGCTTTGCTCATAGCAACCTTTCTCCTGGAGTACCTGGCAGAGAACTCAGCTCACAACACAAGAAAACTTCAAGGTTCTTGAGTTCAGGAACTGGCCTTGGCTTTGTTTCCCCCTTGACTGGTCACACTTTCTTACAGGATCAATAAACGCTTGGATTGAAAGCATCATTTGGAAGCACATCTATGAGCTAGTCCTGGTTTCAAGCCTCTCACTCTCCTCTTCTCCACCCAGGGCCTACCTGGAGCAGACGCCCTAAATACGGAGCTCTTTCTACCAAACGGTTTCTCCAAACACTCCTTCCTTCTCATTTCAAAAGGTGTTGCCTCGCTTCTTTCTAAAATCAACTCCCTGTTTCCTCTAGGCCCTAGTACTCTCAAGTACCCCATCCTCCCACCAGCCGTGACCTCCTCTTCCTGCTCTGTAATTGCCCCTGGATACACGGAGGGAACAGAGGACCAGGGGATGCTGAGGGGGACCAGGTGCTTTCAAATGGGCCTTGGCAGGAGGAAGCACGAGCCTCAGCCTATCCCGTCGTCAAGGCCCACAAACACCAACCCTCTCCCTCTCAGGCCGTTACACGTGCCTCTGCAGCCTGCAGAAGGAAGCCTTCGGAGGCCCTTCAAATGTCAGCAGTTATCACGCAACAATGAGCTTAACCATCTGCTCATTGCTTCCTCCAGAAGAAAGAGCTCCCTGCCTGCTTAGCATGGCTTTCCTCTTTAGAACTGACATGCTCTCATTAGCTCATCATGAACCAGGAAACCTAATCTTGCTGCAGGGTTTCTTATCCTTGGCATTATGGTCATTTGGGGGCAGTCAGATTTTTATGCTGGGGGCTGTCCTGTGCCCTGTAGGATGCTTACCAGCATCCCTGGCCTCCACACAATGGATGCCAGTAGGCCCCACCCTTACCCCAGCTGTGACAACCAACACTGTGTCTAGACATTGCCATGTACCCTTGTGGGGGCAAAATCCTCCCTGGTTGGGAACGGCTGTCTTATTGTGTTGGTTACCAGAGCAGGCTGCTCCACGGGGCCCCTCACAGGGCTAGAAGGGCTCCTGTGGTCCAACTGGGTTCGAAGTCCTCCCTGCTCGCCTACTGCATTTTTTTTTTTTTGAAATAGTCCCATTCCATCACCCAGGCTGGAGTGCAGTGGTGCGATCTCAGCTCACTACAACCTCCACCTCTCAGGTTGAAGTGATTCTCTTGTCTGAGCCTCCCGAGTAGCTGGGATTACAGGTGTGTGCCACCACGCCTGGCTAATTTTTCTATTTTTAGTAGAGATGGGGTTTCATTATGTTGGCCAGGTTGGTCTTGAACTCCTGACCTCAAGTGATCCGTCTGCCTCAGCCTCCCAAAGTGTTGAGATTACAGGTGTGAGCCACCACACCCAGCCTCCCTGCTCCCCTACTGGATTTCTAAACATCCACACGGCATATCTGCATGAAGACCAATGCAGACACAATCAACTGTGTGATTCATTTGTTCATTCCACAAATAACCTGGGGTGCCTCCCATACATCAGCCACTGGGGGGTGTGCCGAGGACATAGAGGTAAGGAAGGATAGGAACCCAGATGAATACATACACAACACTTCCTCCACCTCATGTCTCCACTGACACAGATCTGGGCAATGCCCCAGAGAACAGTGCCTTGCACACAGGCTCCAGGTTTCTGGCTCAGTCTGATGACAAAGTCAGCACCCGCAGTTCATCAGATGAAAAGGGTCACTAGGGTATCCCAGTTACATGAGCTTGCTGGGCTGCCATCACCAAGGACCACAGACTGGGCGGTTTAAACCACAGAAATTTATTTCTCACAGTGCTGGAGGCTGCAAGTCCAAGGTCAAGGCATCAGTGGGTTTGTCTCTCCTGAGGCCGCTCTCCTTGGTTTGCAGATGGCCTTTTCTCTGCACACTCCTGGTCTCTTCCTCTTCGTATAGGAACACTGGTCCCCATGGGCTTAGGGCCCCACCCGTATGAACCCATTCAACCTTAACTGTCTCCTTAAAGGTCCTCCCTACAAATAATCACATTGGGGGTTGGGGCTTCAGCATACAAACATTGGAGGCCACAATTCAGGCCATAGCACCAGTGCTGCCCAGTAAAATGCCCAAGTTGAGGGAAAGCGAATGTGTTAGAGATGACAGGGGGCTCCCAGGAAAGAGACAAAGCCAGGACAGGGCAGCAGACATCACCCAGCTGATGTCACCCTACCTTCTCCAAAGGCCACACCCTTAGCCTTGCTGGACTGTTTCTCACAGAAGCACTTGCTGCCAGCCCCCGCACTGGCGCCTCTCCATCCTCCCCTCTTTCCCCCCGCCCCCCAGTGAGTTCACTGTGCACAGGAATCCTTGGCGCCCAGAGGGCCAGAGGTGTGCCCAGGCATTCACAGACTCTTCTCTTAAGCTGCCGCATCACGGGTAGATGGTCTCCTACACAGAGAGCATGGCTTTGTATCTTCTAAGTACACAAATAGTAATCTTCAGTTAGTAATATTTATTCTGGGAAAAGGTGTCCATTTTAAGTAGGCTAACGAGATACAAAGCAGTACTTGGTCTTTCTGTGGCAGTTTGCTGGTTGCTGTGGGTAGCTCAGAGCAAGTCCGTGATGAATTCAACATTTCCCAAATTTGTCTAGCCTAAGACACACCTGAGACACTCATTAAAACCCCAGACTCCGCCTCCATCCGCCCCTTCCTCTGCAGAGCAGCACTTCCTTCTGCAGGGCTGGGGTGGGGGCTCAGGGCCCCCATCGTAACAGGTGCCACAGGTGCGCCTCCTCATCGGGAAGTCTGGAACTGGGCTATCTCACCTCATCTGCTTCTATCTGGGCCTATCCTCATTCTTAAACCTCCAGTGGGTAACACTTTAGTATTTGGCCACAAAAATGAGTCAGCTTTGAGGATAAGCTTGGATGGGCCTTTGAGCTCCAAGTTCCTGTGGGGTTTTTACCCCAGAGGCGTGAGGCATCAGTGCTGCAGAAGTACCAGGCAGAGGCTGTCCTTTGGTGCCCACCCTCCTCTGATGTGGTCCAAAACAGACAGCTCAAGAAACCAAACCCAAAACCGACCAGCAAGAGAGCAGGAGGCCCGTGCCATGGCTGCCTTCTGTCCTCAGACCAGTGGGTGTTCAGGATCTCACAGAGACCCCAGGAACCCCCACCGGGTGGGGCTGTGCTCCTCTGCTTCCTGAGGTCTATCTTGCTCTCGTATGTCTGCTCTCAAACTTCTGTTCAATTCCCAGAAACCAAGAGGGAAAAGTGCCGTCGAGGCACTGTGGGGACAGTTACTGACCGTGCTAACTCACTTAGTGATGAAGAAATTAAAGTGTCTTTACATAAACCAAATTGTTCCCAGCAGAGTCCGCCTCGTGAGCATCTAAGTGACAGAGCCATAGTGAGGATGGGGAGCACCTAAGGGGAGGCTTTGCTAGGTAGGGTAAGAAGTAAGAAGGCACCCAGGAGCACTGTTGGAGTGACAGCCCCACTGTGCTGTGCGGGCGGTTCAGACAGCTGGGACTTCAGCAGCCCTGGGCTGATCCTGGCTCCACCTAGAGCATGCCACACGTCATTTTTTTTTTTTTTGAAGAGCCAGGGTCTCACTCTGTCACCCAGGCTGCAGTGCAGTGGCGTTATCATAGCTCATTGCAACCTTGAACTCCAAGTGATCCTCTGGCTTCACCCTCCTAAGTGGCTAGCCAAACTCGTGACACCACACCTGGCTAGTTTTTAAATTTTTTGTAGAGATGCAGTCTTGCTATGCTGCCCAGGCTGGTCTCAAACTCCTGGGCTCCAGCGATCCTCCCACCTCAGCCTCCCAAAGTGCTGAGATGACAGGCATGGGCCACCGTACCCGGCCCACATGTCCCTCTCTGTCCTGCTTTGCTGACTGTCACTTCTCTGGTGTCAGCCAGAGATGAGCAGCTTTCCTTGCCACATCCCCACCTGTTGTCCTGCTGGGGTGCTTCCCTGGTGGGCTGCCGACCAAGGGGCCACAGTCCCCCAGGCAGAGCCCCAGCATCAGCACAAGGGCTCAGCCGGTTACTGACTTAACTGCTCATTTGAAGGCAGAGGGAGAGGGCAATGGGGGAAATAACACCGGCTGTGACCTGGGGCCACTCCTCATCCTTTATAAGCAGGCATGAAATGAGACGCTCTGGAAAAGTGCTTTCTTTAAAAGCTAAAGAAGGCAGTTAGAAAAATCTACCCCTCCCCCTCCCCCTCCCCCTCTCCCTCTCCCCACGGTCTCCCTCTCCCTCTCTTTCCAAGGTCTCCCTCTGATGCCGAGCCGAAGCTGGACTGTACTGCTGCCACCTCGGCTCACTGCAACCTCCCTGCCTGATTCTCCTGCCTCAGCCTGCCGAGTGCCTGGGATTGCAGGCGCGCGCCGCCACACCTGACTGGTTTTCGTATTTTTTTGGTGGAGACAGGGTTTCGCTGTGTTGGCCGGGCTGGTCTCCAGCCCCTAACCGCGAGTGATCCGCCAGCCTCGGCCTCCCGAGGTGCCGGGATTGCAGACGGAGTCTCGTTCACTCAGTGCTCAATGGTGCCAAGGCTGGAGTGCAGTGGCGTGATCTCGGCTCGCTACAACCTCCACCTCCCAGCAGCCTGCCTTGGCCTCCCAAAGTGCAGAGATTGCAGCCTCTGCCCGGCCGCCACCCCGTCTGGGAAGTGAGGAGCGTCTCTGCCTGGCCGCCCATCGACTGGGATGTGAGGAGCCCCTCTGCCTGGCTGCCCAGTCTGGAAAGTGAGGAGCGTCTCTTCCCGGCCGCCATCCCATCTGGGAAGTGAGGAGCGTCTCTGCCCGGCCGCCCATCTTCTGAGATGTGGGGAGCACCTCTGCCCTGCCGCCCCATCCGGGATGTGAGGAGCGTCTCTGCCCGGCCGCCCCGTCTGAGAAGTGAGGAGCCCCTCCGCCCGGCAGCCGCCCCGTCTGGGAAGTGAGGAGCGTCTCCACCCGGCAGCCACCTCGTCCGGGAGGGAGGTGGGGGGGTCAGCCGCCCGCCCAGCCAGCCGCCCCGTCCGGGAGGGAGGTGGGGGGGTCAGCCCCCTGCCCGGCCAGCCGCCCCATCCGGGAAGTGAGGGGCGCCTCTGCCCGGCCGCCCCTACTGGGAAGTGAGGAGCCCCTCTGCCCGGCCAGCCGCCCCGTCCGGGAGGTGAGGGGTGCCTCTGCCCGGCCGCCCCTACTGGGAAATGAGGAGCCCCTCTGCCCGGCCACCACCCCGTCTGGGAGGTGTACCCAGCAGCTCGTTGAGAACGGGCCATGATGACAATGGCGGTTTTGTAGAATAGAAAGAGGGGAAAGGTGGGGAAAAGATTGAGAAATCGGATGGTTGCCATGTCTGTGTAGAAAGAGGTAGACATGGGAGACTTTTCATTTTGTTCTGTACTAAGAAAAATTCTTCTGCCTTGGGATCCTGTTGATCTGTGACCTTACCCCCAACCCTGTGCTCTCTGAAACATGTGCTGTATCCACTCAGGGTTGAATGGATTAAGGGCGGTGCAAGATGTGCTTTGTTAAACAGATGCTTGAAGGCAGCATGCTCCTTAAGAGTCATCACCACTCCCTAATCTCAAGTACCCAGGGACACAAACACTGCGGAAGGCCGCAGGGTCCTCTGCCTAGGAAAACCGGAGACCTTTGTTCACTTGTTTATCTGCTGACCTTCCCTCCACTATTGTCCTGTGACCCTGCCAAATCCCCCTCTCCGAGAAACACCCAAGAATGATCAATTAAAAAAAAAAAAAGAAAGAAAGAAAAATCTACTTCTGGAGAAACAAATTACCTTCCCATCTCTTTTGTCAGGAAACTCTTGGATGATGTACTGACCAAAACAGGGAATAACCTAACAGAGAGGAAGACAGGGATTTTAGGAAACCGGAGATCACACAGGAAGGAGGTAAAGGGAAATCCCAGGATGATGGCAAAGGGAAGTCCCCAAACAACAGCTGTGCAACAAGAATAAAGAACAATCAGAGGACCTCTTGAGCCCAGAGGTCAAGGCTGCGGTGAGCCAAGGTCGTGCCACTACACTGAAGCCTGGGCAACAGAGTGAGACCCTGTCTCAAAACAGAAAAGGACCTATCAGCCCCAAGTGGAGCAGAACAGAGGGATTTGGGAGGAATGTCCTCAGAAAAAGATATTAAAACACAGTTATCTGATGAGTTTGAAGATGTAAAAAGTTCTACTGAAAGCCATTGTACATAGCGATAGGAAGACATGCCATAGATTAAAAAAATAATAACCTAAGCAAATCAAAATTAGGTAACAAAAGTCCAGGAAAAACAAAAGCTTATAGATGGGAAATGTAGACAGTATACATCACTTAACTTAGAAATGAGCCATCATCGAAAATAATAAAAACACTGATTATGAATTAAAAAAAAAAAAAAAAAAAAGCTAAAGAAGACAGCATGAAGACAGACCACTAACATAATGTCAGATTCAAAAGAGGTCAGTTTCAAAGAGCGCAGAGTCATAAAAAGCAGCGGAAACCTTGGCTTTGCCACTAATCGGCTTGGTGACCTTGGCCAAAGCTCCTTAACCTTGCTGTGCCTCGCTGTCACTGTCTCTAGTACCACCCCCCACAATGTTACTATTTTTCTATTATTATTATCAAATGTCATCTGTAACAGGACAACACCTGCGGTGCTTGGTTATACCCCTGTCTTCCCGGGAGGATAATGGGCTGAGCCACCAGCCTGGGGTCTGTGAGAGCCCCGAGCATCCCAGGATCCATCCATGGCCCACTGTGCCTGTGTGGATGTGGAGAGCAGTCAAGCCCCTCCAGCGAGGTCATTACGGGAAGTGAATGTGCGTCCAGAGGGTTGGGGCCCTGCCAGGTTGGTGGTGTCTCCATCCAAGGTGCACAGGACACATGAGGTCACCGTCCTCCCCATATGAACACAGCCACTGTGGGCAGGTGACGTCGCCATCCTTTCAGTGTAGATGTGGCCACCCTGGGGAGATGAGGTCACTGTCTTCTCAGTGTAGATGTGGCCACTGTGGGCAGGTGAGGTGGCCGTCCTCCCCATGTGAATGCAGCCACTGTGGGCAGGTGAGGTGGCTGTCTTCCCCATGTGAACGCAGCCACTGTGGGCAGGTGAGGTGGCCGTTTTCCCCATGTGAACGCAGCCACTGTGGGCAGGTGAGGTGGCCGTCCTCTCACTGTAGATGTGGCCACTGTGGGCGGGTGAGGTGGCCATCCTCTCACTGTAGATGTGGCCACTGTGGGCAGGTGAGGTGGCCGTCCTCTGACTGTAGATGTGGCCACTGTGGGCAGGTGAGGTGGCCGTCCTCTCACTGTAGATGTGGCCACTGTGGGCAGGTGAGGTGGCCGTCCTCTCACTGTAGATGTGGCCACTGTGGGCGGGTGAGGTGGCCGTCCTCTCACTGTAGATGTGGCCACTCTGGGCGGGTGAGGTGGCCGTCCTCTCACTGTAGATGTGGCCACTGTGGGCGGGTGAGGTCGCTGTCCTCCCCGTGTGAACACAGCCACTGTGCGCAGGTGAGGTGGTCGTCCTCTCAGTGTAGATGTGGCCACTGTGGGCAGGTGAGGTCGCCATCCTCTCAGTGTAGATGTGGCCACTGTGGGCAGGTGAGGTCGCCGTCCTCCCCATGTGAACATGGCCACTGTGGGCAGGTGAGGTGGCCGTCCTCCCCATGTGAACACGGCCACTGTGGGCAGGTGAGGTCGCCGTCCTCCCCATGTGAACATGGCCACTGTGGGCAGGTGAGGTGGCCATCCTCTCACTGTAAATGTGGCCACTGTGGGCAGGTGAGGTGGCCGTCCTCTCACTGTAGATGTGGCCACTGTGGGCAGGTGAGGTGGCCGTCCTCCCCATGTGAACGCAGCCACTGTGGGCAGGTGAGGTAACTGTCCTCCCCATGTGAACACAGCCACTGTGGGCAGGTGAGGTGCCCGTCCTCTCACTGTAGATGTGGCCACTGTGGGCAGGTGAGGTAACTGTCCTCCCCATGTGAACACAGCCACTGTGGGCAGGTGAGGTGCCCGTCCTCTCACTGTAGATGTGGCCACTGTGGGCAGGTGAGGTCGCCATCCTCTCATGTCTCCTCACCTGGCTCTATGCAGGCCCCAAACTCTCCATCGTCCTTCCAGCCTGGGATGAACGGGGCTTGGATCTGGTGGCTGTGAACCCATATACCCCTGGCTCGATGGCCAGGGCCCCCAGGTGCAGTGCCAGCCTCTGCCTGGACTGCATCAGAATCTCCAGTGGTCTCACCTGTTCCCTGGTCCTGGGCCCATGAAACACTCACATTGTGAAGAGGGAGCAGCCGGCCCAAGAGGGCCCGAGTGCCTGTGGCAGCCAGATCCAGGCCTGAAAAGGCTCGGCCCTCAGCTTGCTGTGTGCTCTGGTCCGAATGTGTGTGTCCCCGAAATTCCTATGTTGAAATCCTCATATAAGGTGATGGTATCAGGAGGTGGGGCCTTTGGGAGGTGATGAGCTCATGGGGGCAGTGTCCTCATGAGTGGATTAGTGCCCTTACGAAAGAGGACTGAGGAAGACTGTGTGTCCTTTCACCATGTCAGGACACAGGGAGGAGGTGCTGTCTATGAACAGAAAGCAGGTCCTCACTAGACACCAAATCTGCCAGTGCCCTGAGCTTGGACTTCCCAGCCTCCAGAACTGTAAGCAATACATTTCTGTTGCTAACAGGTACCTGGTCTATGGTTACGTTGATAGCCGTGTGATCAGACCTAAGACAGTGTGCTGTCATCAGCTGTCATAGGGAATTCTTGTGTGGGTGAAGAGGGAGAGTCTGTAAGCACCTGGCCCAGGTCATAGCAGGTGTCAGGAAAAGGCAACCACAGCCCCCTGCTCTTCACACGCCATGGTGACACCCACCCCTGTGCCCCTGCCCCAGGCTGGGAAGGGCCTCAGCTGGATTCTGGGATGCCCCACCCCATGCCAGGAAGTCTCCCGTGGCTACAGGGAGCACCCACGTATGGCCTCTTTGGAGACAAAAGCAGGTGACAGTGTATACGAAAACCAGAGGCGGGCCCAAAGAAAAGGGAAGCCACTGTGTGCTCTGCAGCCAGGCTGGGCACTGAGCTCCATTCCAAGTCAATGTGAGGACAGCTGTCCACAAACAGCCACTTAGAGCACAACGAGTGCCTGGCGAGGACACTGGTGCTTGGATCTGGTGGCTGTGAATCTGTATACCCTTGGCTCAATGGCTCGGGCCCCCAGGTGCAGTGCCACAATCAGTGCCTGGGGACCATGTCCTGGGAGACAGAGGAAAGGTATAGGCACGCAGGGCACAGGGAGGCCCCCATTACCTCCAAGGCCCCAACACGGGCCTTTCCCTGGGCTTGGCAATCTCCTAGCAAGAATGAGTAAAGAAGCTGCATTCCCCAATGCTGAACAATGTCCCTGAAGGGCAGGTGGGCAACTGTCAGAATGGACCTGCCTCAGCTCTCCTGCCATGTCGCCCCCACTGATCACCCACTGACTCGCAATCCTTTGCCCCATCCTTTGCCTCGGGGGCGTGGCCTAGGCTGCAGCTCTCAGGACAGGCTGGCAGGACTGCCCCAGCACACATCTAAGCAACAGCAGGTCCAGCAACAACTTTCACTCAACACCTACTAAGGGCCTGCCCCAGGCTAGGCGCACAAAGGCACCAGCTCACTGTACCTGCGCAGAGAGCAGTCTGGTTCCAAATGGAAGGGAGCCGGGCTTGGAAGTGGGGAGGCCTGGGTTCTGACACCAGAGTCCCCTTATCGCTGTGAGATGGCGTATGAGGTTCGTAACCTCCGCGTGTCACTGGGGAATCAGGGGAAGACATCCACTATACAGGGATGCTGTGTGCATACGGCTGATCCTCCCTCACCTGAGTGGGAGATGAAACACTCAGAGGACCTAGCATAGCCCTGACAAGGCAAATGCTTGAATGGGAGCTATTATTTAATTACATGACATGTAATTATGACCCTTGGTGGCCGGTTTTGAGTTCTAATAACACGGTCACTGTACATCAGCCAACCATTCCCTTCACAGGACCTCGGGAGGCCGGAGCTGGAAGGATCTGAAGGGACCCACAGATCACCCTCTTCATTTCACAGATAAGGGAACTGCGTTCAGATGAGCTGAGTCCTGGCCCGCCCCAGCTGGCAGCAGGTGCAATCCTTTGCCCCATCTTCTGCCTCAGGAGTGTGGTCCAGGCTACAGCCCTCAGGACAGGCTCATGGGACTGCTCTGGCCCACACATCTTCCATCCCAGGGAGCCCAGACACGCTGGTAGGACCCAATGTAGGGCAAGTGAGTGCTTTATAAAATGTAGGTTGCCAGGGGGAAAAACCATCTTTATTCACAGCCAAAGGTGTTGTGTATTAATTCACGTGGTTCCCACAGCACCTTTCGCAACATCCCGGGCACTGTGCAGAGGAAAGTAAACAATAGATTTTCCCCTGGTACCCTTCTTTCCTATGGTTGAGAGAACAAATCTTTCTTCTCCTACAGCCACCTACACTAGCAAGCACAGCTGCCTTCCCACGCCTTCGTAATGCCCCATGCTGGTCTACAGAATGGACGAGGGGACCCTCCGCCTGGGAGGCGGTTTTCTAACCAGGGCAGCAAATCAAATGGATCTTTGTACAGCCCAAGCTAGGGGGGCTTTCAGCAGACACAGTTCCAACCGTAAGTCTCCTGAGTGTACAATCCTCACACAGCTAGCCTTGCTGCCGTTTTCAAAGGAGGAGAAACATAAAGTCCCCGTTCAAACACTCCAATTGGTGTAATCCAAGGTTCTGAGGGGCTGTGACTCCACAGCAATTAACGTTTCCATCCCCTTCCCTGGTGGGGGTTATCTTTTAATCCTCAATAATGCTCATTCTTTTAGTAACTGCCATCTAAGAAAAAGATGGATGTTGTGCGTGTTCGTTTTAAGAATGGAGATTGTTCTCTGCTTTGTTGAAAGGAAGTTAGGCAGAAGGAAGAAGGACAGGATCAAAGAAGAGAACAGAGTGGCATCCCATTCATCCCAGAGCTGGCAGGATGTCGGACTGGGAATCCCAGAAGACGCACCTGTGGCCACAAGTGGCCTCTCCGCACACTCCTTGGTGCTGGGGATGGTACATGCCCTATAACATGCTATCATTTTCTTCTAAACATTTGTTTGTTTGTTTATTTTGAGACAGAGTCCGGTTCTGTCACCCAGGCTGGAGTGCAGTGGCATGGTCTCGGCTCACTGCAACCTCCACCTCCCGGGTTCAAGCGATTCTCCTGCCTCAGCCTCCTGAGTAGCTGGGACTACAGGCGTGCGGCACCATGCCTGGCTAATTTCTGTATTTTTAGTAGAGACGGGGTTTCACTATGTTGGGCAGGCTGGTCTCGAACTCCCGACCTCAGGTGATCCACCCTCCTTGGCCTCCCAGAGTGCTGGGATTACAGGCGTGAGCCACCATGCCCGGCCAAGCATAGTTTATTCTTTGTTTTTTTGTTTTTTTTTTTTTTTTTTGAGACGGACTCGCTCTGTCACCCAGGCTGGAGTGCAGTGGTGTGATCTCCGCTCACTGCAAACTCCGCCTCCTGGGTTCACACCATTCTCCTGCCTCAGCCTCCCGAGTAGCTGGGACTACAGGTGCCCGCCACCACGCCCAGCTAATTTTTTGTATTTTTAACGGAGATGGGGTTTCACCGTATTGGCCAGGATGGTCTCCATCTCCTGACCTCATGATCTGCCCGCCTCGGCCAGAATAGTTTATTCTTAATCACACATTTGACCTAGAGATTACAATGTGTTTGTCATCCAGCCACTTTCCATTAAAAATTATGGGTAAGTTTTTAAAAATATTACGAGAAATACAGTTTTATATGCTTGGTCATACAAAATAAAGGAAGAGATGCAAACGATGCTCTGAGAACTACAGACAGCCCTCCTGGCTCTTCTCTACTTTCAAATCAAAGAAATATCCGTCACTATCCTCCCAGAGTCTGGCATCTACACTGACTCAGCAAAATCCAGACACTGCTGCAGACTGATGAGCCGTCAAAGACGGGGGACATGGGAGCAGTATTCGGCAGACTCCACCAAAGGCATCAGCTCTCATTAAAACTGTCCTGCCCCCTTGTCCCAGCACGGGGGTTTGCTGGTTTAGGAACAAAGCTCCGGGAGTGTACATCCTTTCCAAAACAACGGGCTGCTCGAACCCACGGCGGATAAAAAGAATTCCACCCATTTCTTTCTAAAACCAACATCAAGGTCAAAATGTTATTGTATTGTTCAGTTTACCTGGCTCCTGGCCAGGGCAAGTACACAGTGGAGGCACCCAGCCCCATCCTTGGTTCCTTCTCAGGTACAGTTTGCCCTCGGGAGGAAGAGCCAGAGAAGGGGACGAGGGGGCCCCTGGCAGTGGCCGCTCCCAGGTATCCAGCGTGTGGTCTAGAAGGGGTTTGGCCCTGCAGACTTCTCATCACACGGGAAGGCTGTGGGCCAAGGAAGGCCAAAGTGGGGTCCTGTAAGTTGTGGGGCCCAGAGCTGTCCAGGCCCAAGGACAATACCACCTGGGCCCCCTGGCCAGCCTGTGGGACCATTTCTGGCAGGCCCTATCTCTTCCAGTCTCCTGTGAATCTTCCATGTGAGAGGTGGTTCTCTGTGCTGGTGTAACTGGGAGGCGCAGAATGCATGCCCCACAGGGGTGGGGTGGGGACGAGATCTATTCCACCTGTCCACTAACCACCCGTCTAAAAGGAACATAAAGGTGTTTTCACTCACACTAAGGGAGAAAGTTGTGGGAAAGTGATATGAAATCAGGTGACACGAGATTCATGAGGAATAAACAAACCACCATGATCTGCTGTGAATGTCTACCTCTCTATCCCCGCCCACTGACTACCTTCCTTCCCCAAGCCTAGTGCTGGAAATACACATGTAGATTCACAGGCCTGTCCACAGCTAATGTTCTTAAAAGAGCAAGGGGCCAAGTGCTGGAATCCAAGACTGTGCTGTGAACTTCCGAGACCCACTGCCCTCCTCCAAACCCAATCTCCCCAGAGGCCCCCCCTAAAATTCTGCAAAGCAAATGCAAAATAATCCAGTGTATCTGTTCACCCTTCATTTTCAAGAAAACTACAAAAGCCACGTCAAGCACAACTCAAAGCCAAGAGGTCGAGTCAGTGCTCGCCTCCAGCCTGACCCAGGAGGAACTGCTGCAAATCTCCCCCAGGGCTCACAACTCTACAGGGCTGTCTGGGGGCCTCCCTGCCCTTGGTTACCTGGTTCTTCCGGGGGTGGCTGTGTGCTGACCTCGGGTTCTGGGATGACTTCGGGGGGTGGTGGGGGTGGAGCTGGCGGAGCTTTGACAGGGGTCGTTGACTCCGGGGTCTCAAATGCCTCTTCAGAATCGGAACTCCTGATGAGAGAGGGAGAAGCACAGGTTAGACAGGGGCCCAGAGCCAGTTCTGCTGAGCCGGTGTGGCCTTCGCACCCAGAGCCAGTGGGTTCTGGCTCGCTGCTCAGTTAAACTGTGCAGGGACAGATGAGAGGAAAGTCATTTTCTCAGTCGTGATTCCTAAGGTTGAATCTTATCACTGGCTCTGATTGCACACAAATGATGTATTCTTTGAACTCGGCTCTACTGGAAATACACGCTTCTCGCCTTAGTGGCAAATACACACACAGCGGACTCTGGATGAACTTCCGCACGCGTTCATTATTAGGTATTGATTCAAATAGAGAGAGAGAGGCATTCTGCATGTTCGATGCCATTGTGCCAACTCACCCACATGATCCCACCCCATCATCCTCTCTACTGTCCTGCCTTCTCAGCGCCTCTCATAACTTGTGAGTATAGACTTATTCTAGTAGTGTTTACTGTCTTTCTCTTCTACGGAGCTCAAAACACAGGAGGGCAGCCGGCCTTGTTTATCACAGTATCTCCAAGCCTACAGTGGAGGGCCGGGAATGAACATGTGTTGAGTGGGTGAATGGAGTGAACGAAGGAAGCCAGCAAGCCGGCCAGGCAGAGGGTGCATCAGACCAAGACACAAAGCACGGCCACCAACCCCGACACAGTGAAAATGGCCCTCGCTGGTCTGCAGGAAAGTCTGTTCTCAAGGAAGACTCTTCACCCAGAGAACTGGACCAAAAATCCATGTGGAGAAACTCTGCCCACTAACAAGGAGAGGCCACTGGCCAAGCCTTGGCCTGGGTTGAAGAGGAACCAACAGGCCAGGTGCGGTGGCTCATGCCTCTAATCCCAGCGCTTTGGGAGACTCAGGTGGGAGGATCGCTTGATGTCAGGCATTTGAGACCAGCCTGGGCAACACAGTGAGGCCCTATTTCTATAAAAAGATAAAAATAAAAAATTACCCAGGCTTGGTGGCATGTGCCTATGGTCTCAGCTACTAGGGAGGGTGAGGCAGGAGGATCACTTAAGCCCAGAAGTTTGAGGCTGCAGTGAGCTATGACTGTGCCAGTGCATCCCAGCCTAGGTGATAGAGCAAGACCCTGTCTCTTAAAAAAATAAAAAGAAGAAAACGAAGAACCAACAGACAGCCCTCCCCATCACCCTGCTTCCACCGGTGACTCAATTTTAAGCCAGAAAGAATAAGGCTTCCCCCAGTACTAAGCCAGCTCCACCTATGCTCAAGATGCCCAAGGGCCCACGGTCCTGAGCCCAGCCTTGCCTTGGAGAACAGCTAGCCTGGCAGCAGCAGTCGCAGTTGGGCTGAGTCCCATTTTGGAAGGGTTAAACAGACTGAAATACTGATTTATTCATTTGCAACGAGGGGGCTAATTATTAAGAGAATGGAAACTTAGAGTGGCTGAATGGCACGAATGATCCCAGCAAGCAAATCTGGTGAAGACATGAAATCGGGGTGACCTGGCAGGTGAGTACGGACAGTGTGTGCACCAAGCTGCACCGGTGTCACCGAGCCGTGCAACCCAATGCTGAGAGATGCTCACGTTGCTGAGCTTCCAAAAAGATCAAAGAACCAGGGACCCCAGTAGAGGCCACCATCTTCTAAAGACCACCAGCCAGCTGGCAGAGAGCACCAGGAACCAAACCAATCCCTCCACTATCCACTGGGACCTGAAGAAAGAGCTATTTGGTGAGTTCCCTTCAGAAAATCTGTATCAATGCTTTTACAACTAGTTTGTCAGTGACTTACTTCATCAGCACCCTTGCCCCTCCACCCCCCAAGGACCTTGGCTCCTCCAACCAGCCACAAAGCCTCCAGGGAACCAAAGGGTTTAAAAGAAACATCATAGCTGCTTTTGATGGGATCCAATGAGCCAAACCTAGTCTACTATTAAATTTCATGAGGAAATAATTCATGCAAACCCAACAGAAGATACTGACTTCTTACAAACACTCATTAATATCAAAGGGCTTAGCTTTTGTCTATGGGGAGAAGGAAAGATCCGCACTTGCACAACAACAGATCGAGGTACCTGAAGCATCTGTTTATCGGTGTGGAAAACAAAAGGAGGTCACACAACTGAGGAGCAAAGAAGAATGAGAGTTCAGATCAGCCTGGCGAGCCCTGGGTGCTGCCCCGGGTGCTGCCCCGGGAACCCAGCTTCCTCACCAGGCCCCCAGCACTGCACCATCATGAGCAACACTGACAAGATACACAGAGATAACTTGCCTTTTTCCAGAGTCTCCCTGAAGCACCAGCAGACTGGAGTCCCCACTGCTGGTCACCGCTGTCCACATCCACCGGGCCCATTCCACTGGGGACCACCTCTGCCAGGAGGCATAGGCCATTTCCGCTGAAGAACAGCCTCTGTCCCCCAAATTCCCACCCCTAATTCCCCTGCTCGTATCTCTTGGACCTAAATCTCTTTCAATGTCACCAAAAAAGTTAGCTGCACCACCGGCCACAGATGCTGTGAGCTTCTCCAGCGTCCGGAGGCCCCGAGGCTGCCCCACTCAAGCAGAGATTCGAGGAAAGCCTGAGTACTCGTCCATCCCCTGGCTTCTGCATTCCTGGGCACTGGCGACAGCAGGCTCTGAAGCACAAAGGGCTCTGCTCTTTCTCAACAGCACAAGCAAGCAACAGGGAGGGCCGGATGCCCCTCGGTTCTAGCCCCTGAATTCCAATGAGTTCTCCGCTGCAGCAACTGCCCAGCCTGTGCACCTGCTCAGAGGGACCGCCGTTCACGATCGCCCTGTGTGGAAGGCAGAGCATGGGGTGGGCCAGGGCACACCAAGCCTCTTTGTGGTCCCTTGCCTGTTTACTATGAACGATCTCTGCATCAAAACACCAGGGACCACCACAGACCACGAGAATGGCATTCACTTCCGGTGCTGCCTGTCTTGTTTTCATATTTCTGAACCCTCTCTTGGGAGCAGACAGCAAGTTAATTAGAGGAGGTGGATGGCAGCTTTTTTAATTAGCTCTTTTTTCCCTATCCAGTTTCCCAGGGGCTCAAATACATTTCTAAGAGCAAGGATTTCGGCAGTCCACCCCCAACGAGTCTGTACATAAAAATAAAGCAGCACTTTGGAGGCCCAGTGTATAAGCACAATTCCCACCGGCTGTTTGATATTTCTTTTCCTACTAGAAAAAACCCAAAGTACAAGAAATTATTCTGTTAAGGCTCCACACATTTTAAAAATGAAAGAAAAGAAAATTAATTTAATTTGCTACAAAAATGTAGCAGAAAGAGAAATGTTGTCATTACAATCTGCTGAAATATCTCTAAATTATAGGCAAATATATTTATCAGACTATGCATATGCTATGTCCACCACAGAAGTAAATATGCAAATGCAATAAAATATCTATATTTCTATAGTGTAAACCAACCTTGTCCAACCCACGGCCTATGGGCTGCATGCGGCCCAGGACAGCTTTGAATGCGGCCCAACATAAATTCGTAAATTTTCTTAAAACACTATGAGATTTTGTTGTGATTTTTTTTTTCCAGCTCATCAGCTATCATTAGTGTTAGTGTATTTTATGTGTGGCCCAAGACAATTCTTCTTGTTCCAATGTGGCCCAGGGAAGCCAAAAGATTGGACACCCCTGGCTTGTAACACTTTAATTCTCAGCATGAAAAGCATGATAATTACCAGCATTTGTTGAATATACTGTTATGTGTCGGGCACAGGAGTAGGCCCACTGTACACACATCTAAGGTCTTCAGAAACGTCCTGCCTAGCCAGGTATCGTGGTGCACACTTGTAATCCCAGCTACGTGGAGGCAGACTCAGGAGGATCGCTTCGTCCAGGAGTTTGAGACTGCAGCAAGCTATGATCGCACAACTATACTCCAGACTGAATGACAGAGCGAGACCTCGACTCTTAAAAAAAAAAAAGGGTCCTGGCTGCCAGACAGCAGGCCCATTTTACAGATGAGACAATTAGGCATTAGAGGTGCAAATTCCTTTGCCAGAGGCCGTATGGTTACTAAATGATGGAAGCTAAGTCTCAAATCCAGAACTGCCTGTCTCTAAAATCTGTGCCCTTTTCGCTACATCTGTGGCTTCCAAACATTTTCAGCAAGCTCAATTTACAATATGCTTGTAATAGCATTTTACGATATGTAATGTAATAGCAATTTACAATATGCTTGTATAAGGTCCATCATCGAGAGCAATTAAGTTGTTTGGAGGAACTCAAAAACCTGACACTGGGGGCTGGAGACATGAGGTAGCCGGATGCCCGTTGGTTTCTCCCCCCGCTGCACATCACTGGGAAGAGTCCTGAGATGCACCCATGAGTCATCACAAACAGCCCCTGATTTTTAACGGCCTGTCCTGTGTTCATGCAATAATTTTTAATAAGGCAGACAGGGCAGGAGGGTCAACCAGCTGTACCAACCGAATTAATCTATCCGTACCAGGCAATCAATGTGCTAATGGTATCCAATAGCACACAGTGCGGTGTGTACAACCAAGCAGGAAAGAGGGAACAACGTAACCCCAGGTGGGGACAGACTGTGCTGGCCACGAAAACAGGACCCTGCCGAGCTCCTCGACTGTGTACTAGTTCGGCTTAAAAACGTTTTTTCAAGTACTTTCTTGGTCTCTAGAGTCCCACAGAGCACAGTCGGAAAAGCTCTGCTCCACACAATGCTGAATTAAACACCTCCACAGCTGACACACCGTGTGAAAGAAGGGCGTGGAAATTGGCCCCAAAGCAAGAGTCAGGTAGCTGGAAAATGCAGACCCTAAGAGCCTATTTCCCTGTATTTGTGATCTGGTTTAAATATTTTCAGGTTTTTACTTCTATGAACTACGACAACAAAATAGTTTAAGATCAGCATCCACACACATACATAATATACACATACACACATATATACACCCATATGTGAACATGTGAGTATATCTCTAACTAAAACATAAGCATCTTGTAATAAAGAGGTACTATAGATATGGTTCCCAGTATATCATTAAATGGTTACATTTGCTCAAGTTTTACTGGAGATAATTTAAGGGCTTGAAATAATAAATTGCAAAGGCCATAAAATCTTGGAAGTTGGAAGAAAATTTAGAGATCATATCCTATTCCAACACACTTATCCCAGCTAAAGCCCAGAGAGCTAAAGTGGCTCGCCCAAGGTAACCAGCCCATTCATGACAGCTAGAGCTGGAAATTCCATAGAACCAGGCCTACCTTCATGGAGCACTGCCTCCAAACAAGAGCCTTTGCTCTAAATACAACACTCATCCTGGAAATCTAAAGTTTATATAACATTTGAATGTTACCTGATTATCAAGAAACAATTCCTTCTTGAGCATTGCTTAAGGGGAAGAGGATACTTCCATATTCGAATCCAGGTCAATTCCTTAGAATTCCACTTTGCAGCTCCCAACATGAAAGTGATCTGGGAACTGGAGGGAGGGTCTTGGGACCACTCCTCAGAGTGAAAGAACACAGTGCAGGCCAAAGACAGGGGCTTCCTTCTTCTGAGCTCCCCTCCTCCTCCCACCTCTTTTTCCCTTGAAGACCAAGCCCAGGTAAAAGCAACAGCTCTGGACAAAAGCCCTGGTCGGGGAAAGCCAGCCAGCATTGTCCAGGCTGAAAGAGCAGCTGCCATCCCTGAAGAGAGAGGGAGACCTTCCAGAAACAAAACTGAGCCCTCGGCGACAGATCAGACAGTCTCATTCATCTCTTCATCTTGTGTAAGGGTTTGAGGACTCTGTGAGTAAATGGATATTTTTGAAACTGCGCATGCTAGATTCTATTCAACAAAATATTCCGCTGAATGAGACCTTCAGATAGTCTTGCCAATAAAAGCTTTCCCCTCCCCAATCTCTGCACACACACACACCTCGCTGGCATAAAACAGTATGATCAGACCGGTCATTTTTTTTAAGGGCTGACAAACTGATCTTTCACTTCAATTCATCCATCCTGCATATACAAAAGGAATTGCTCTGTTGTATCAATATTTAGCTAAATAAGAACATGATTTCAACACAAGCAAATGCCAAGACCCATCTTGGACGGTCAGGTGACTGAGAAGCAGCCAGCCAGGTACTGCCTTCCATGAACAAACACCAAGCTAGCTCTGGCAAGCCAGGCTGCTAGAATTTTCCAGGCTGACACCTACGGCTGCCTCGCGAAAAATCAAAGCAGATGACAACACATTTACCCCGAGATTCCCAGCAGGTCCTATTTTCAGAATCAAGTAGCTATCACTTCGTGGCTATGTTGTGATGTTACTGGGGTTCCCGGGGCGCTGGCCATCGCCGTCCTGACCATCGCTAGGTTATAGCAGCAGCATGACCAAGTGGAAAGAGCACTGCAGATTGAGGAGTCCCATGCCTGGGTTATGGCCAGGTGTTAATTGAATACAGTTGCAAGAAACAGGAACCCAATTCTGAATTTAAACTAAAGCATGGTCAGGCACCGTGGCTCATGCCTGTAATCCCAGCACTTTGGGAGGCCAAGGCAGGCAGATGACCTGAGGTCAGGAGTTCAAGACCAGCCTGGCCAATATGGTGAAACCCATCTCTACTAAAAAAAAAGAAAAATACAAAGATTAGCCAGGCGTGGTGGCGCATGCCTGTAGTCCCAGCTACTTGGGAGGCCGAGGCAAGAGAATTGTTTGAACCCGGGAGGCAGAGGTTGTAGTGAGCCAAGATCACACCACTGCACTCCAGCCTGGATGATAGGGCGAGACTCTATCTCAAAAAAATAAATAAATAAATAAATAAACTAAAGCAAGAATGGGATTTACTGAAAACCCAAGGAGGCTAAGGAACCACATCTGAAGAGACAGAAATGAGGGCACTTCAGTCCTCCAACCATTTTCTGGATCTCAGCTCACGGTTTAACTTCCAGGGAGGGAGTATCTACTTGGCTCCTCTTGGGTCTCTTGGCTGGAAGAGGGTAGGGAACCTTAACAAAGGAGCAACCTGCTGAGACTCAACAGAATGGGGAGACAGACTTCCCCAAAAGGCAGGCAGGATGTGGAAGGGAGGGCAAGCAGTCCACAAACAACCATAGTCTACTACAGGATGCCTCCCAGCTCCCCTTGACAAGCACATGACCTTAGGCAAGACACCTGACCTCCCAGGCCCTGGGACTGTCACATAAATGGGGATATTAATGACCATAAGGATAATGCCTCCCCATTATTATTGCAGCTCTGATCTGCCCTTGGCCTCCAAGCATTAGAAATTTGGGGAAATAAGGGCTGGGCACCGCGGCTCACACCTATAATCCCAGCACTTTGGAAGCCCGAGGTGGGACGAATTACCTGAGATCAGGAGTTCCAGACCAGCCTGGCCAAGGTGGAGAAACCCTGTCTCTACTAAAACTACAAAAATTAGCTGGGCGTGGTGGCAGGCGCCTGTAATTCCAGCTACTCACGGGGCTGAGGCATGAGAATCACTTGAACCTGGGAGGCAGAGATTGCAGTGAGCCAAGGTCACACCACTGCACTCCAGTCTGGGCGACAGAGCGAGACTCTGTCTCAGAAAAAAAAAAGAAAGAAAGAAAAGAAATTTGGGGAAATGTAATTCTGCTAGCAAGCAGACCAAGTCCTCTATTTTACTTGGTCAAAGCTGCTGAGCTGGACAGGAAAGAGACCCTGGAGGCCAGGAACAAACTGTGGCTGGTGCTAAGCCAGGCCACCTGTGGACACCAGAGTGTACCGAAGAAAGGGCGAGCTCCGGGTAGTGCTGAGGTCAACTTCATCCTCCCCTCAAGGGGCACACAACCAGGTCCAGGGCCAAGGGACTGCTTCCAGAATGAAGGGGGCTCAGTGTGGCACTGTGCCCATGTGGGTGTGCATACATGTGTCTGCTGAAACTCACTCCTCACTCCCCAACACAAACATACTTAGTTTTGAAATTGGCTTATTTGTGACAATACCAGGTTCCTCGCAAAAGAGAAGTGACTTTCTAGTGGCTGAGGGCCCACTGCAGGAAGCGCAGAGTGACACTAAGCCGGCCCCCACACCCTGGGCTCATGATTTCACCGATTTGTAACTAGATCCTGCTACGCCTTCCTGGAGAAAGGCCAGACTGAATCAAGTGTCAGGAGAAATAAAGAAAAAAGAGCCTCGGACCACCCTTTTGGTTTCCTTGCCTTCGCACACAGATCTCCCCAAAATCTCTTTGTAGCTAAACTCCTTGATTAACTTAAATTGGAATCTTAAAACTCAGGTTTGGCCGGGGGCGGTGTCACATGCCTGCAATCCCAGGACTTTGGGAGGCCACGGTGGGCAGATCACTTGAGGCCAGGAGTTCGAGGCCAGCCTGGCCAACATGGTGAAACCCCATCTCTACTAAAAATATAAAAATTAGCCAGGTATGGTGGCGGGCACCTGTAATTCCAGCTACTCAGGAGGCTGAGGCAGGAGAATTACTTAAACCCAGAGGCAGAGGTTGCAGTGAGCAGAGATCATGCCACTGCACTCCAGCCTGGGTGACAGAGCAAGACTCTGTTTCAAAAAATAAATAAATAAATAAACTCATTTTATCCCCCCAGAGACTGAGTCTTGCTCGTCACCTAGACTGGAGTACGGTGGCACAGTCACAGCTCACTGTAACCTCAAACTCTTGGGCTCACGAGATCCTCCTGCCTCAGCCTCCCGAGTAAGCTGGGACCACAGCTGTGTGCCACTACACCCTGCTGGTCTCAAACGACCCTCCTGCCTCGGTCTCCCAAAATGCTGGGATTATAGGCATGAGCTACTGGGCCTGACCACTAAAGTGAGATTCTTAAAAAATATAATAGAAACTGAGTTACTTGGCCAGGCGTGGTGGCTCACACCTGTAATCCCAGCACTTTGGGAGGCCAAGGCGGGTGGATCACCTGAAGTCAGGAGTTTGAGACCAGCCAGGCCAACATGACAAAACCCTGTCTCTACTAAAAATACAAAAATTAGCCAGGCGTACTGGTGGGCACCTGTAATCCCAGCTACTCGGGAGGCTGAGGCGGGAGAATAGCTTGCCCAGGAGGTGGAGGTTGAGGTGAGCCGAGATCACACCACTGCACTCCGGCCTGGGCAACAAGAGCGAAATTCCACCTCAAAAAAGGAAGAAAGGAAAATGAGTTACTTATGAATACTAATAAGAAAAGAATATAAAACTGAATTCAAAAAGACACAGAAGGAGCTTTCAACAAGTTGTCATTAAAGTCCTTGTATTTTCTCTAGAGAGGAGAATTACAGTAACATCCTACCTATTCACAAGCCACTTAACAAGCAAACCAGTACCCCCTTACCCATCTGAAACACAACCAGGACCCCAGAAAACACAAACATTTCTGTTCAACCAAGTCATGTGACACAGAGCTTGCACTAAAGGATCCTGCACATTACTCAATAAAAAGCTCCACCTGGTCTTCTCTGAAAAAACACACTTAGCCTTCTCTTACAGTCTAGTCTAATAGGTTTGGTATCTGGTTTCAGAATCCAAATTAAATGAGAAGGGGCAGGGTAATGTTGGAGGCAGGCACATAGATAGCACTGATAAAGAGTATGGCCAGGTGCGGTGGCTCATGCCTGCAATCCCAGGACTTTGGGAGGCTGAGGCGGGTGGACCGCTAGAGGTCAGGAGTTCGAGACCAGCCTGGCCAACATGGAGAAACCCCATCTCTACTAAAAATACAAAAAGTAGCTGGGCATGGTGGCATGTGCCTGTAATCCCAGCTACTCAGGAGGCTGAGGCAGGGGAATCACCTGAATGAACCCAGGAGGCGGAGGTTGTAGTGAGCCAAGATCGCGCCATTGCACTCTAGCCTGGACAACAAGAGCAAAACTCAAAACTCCATCTCAAAAAAAAAAAAAAAGAAAGAAAAGAGTATGTGATAGGCCAGGCACAGTGGCTCACTCCTGTAATCCCGGCACTTTGGGAGGCCGAGGCAGGAGGATTGCTTGAGCCCAGGAGTTCCAGATCAGCCTGAGCCACATGATGAGATCCCAGCTCTACTAAAAAAAAAAAAAAAAAAAAAAAAGAATAAGTGACAGAGGAGACGGAAAAACCATAAAGAAGATGCAAGAAATCAAAGAGCAGTCAGCTCTGGCCAACCACTAGAGCTTCCCCAAGCACCTGGCAGGGGACAGACCCCCCATCGCTATCACCCCTCAGTAACATAATGGCTGTTAACGAAGGTGAGTGGGATTGCATGTACAATCAGGATAACTCCCAGTTAGGTGATAAGTAGGAAAAAAAACCCAGCAAATTAAGAAATGTGTATATAATATGAGCTTATTTCAGATAATTATATATAAACTTACACAAAGATACCTAAATACATATGTATATTCACGTACACAGATGTCTATGTACAGACACACACACATAAAAGCAACACATAGGTGCTGTTTATGTAAGTCAGAAAAAGATATTTAAACACGGGTACCAGCAACAAGGTTGCCTTCGTACAAGGGAGGATGCAGGCCCCAACAAGGCAGAGCTCAGCCACACTGCTGGGGACGCAGGGGTCTCCCCAGATGTGCTCAGCAAGTTCTTCCAAATCTCATCCAGGTCCTGGATACAATACACGGAACCCAGCTGGGATCCGGTTAGCTGGATTTTGTCCAGGGCAACATGGATTAAGGGAAGGAGCCAACAAGGAGTTTGGAAGAAACAGAGGAGTGACAAAAATGTAGCTGTCCCCCTCTGCACTGGCCAGGGAAGACACACCCACCAGGGCACCCCCCCACCCCCAGGCTGTATTATCAGGGGTGCCTCGGGGACCCCCTCCAAGTGCTCCCCCAGCCAGCAAGACACATCCATTCTGCATCGGAGGCTGATGTTCCACACTCACCAAGTGTCCTTCCGATTCCAAGTGTGGTTTCTCAGGCAGGTACCCAAGGACCAGGATGGGGGTGCCTCAGCCAGGGGCTGCGAAGTGTCAGGAATGGGAATAACCCCACGGCCGCTCACCTCAGCTGACATGTTACCGTCCCTCAGAGCTTCCTCATGACTGATCCTTACAACAGGAGAGGCACATGGGTATCATTCCCTGACTATTCACGGTTTCAGAAGGACCTATTTATTCCCCATCACCTGCGGGCACCTGGGCTGGTGAACCAGACAGATAAGCTCCCACTCTCAAGATGCTCAAGTCCTCCTGGGTTCTGAGGATGAGAACTTGGAGCCAAGCGGTTCAGCATCTTGCCTGAGAGCTCAGAACCACTCAGGGGCAAGGGCAGAGCCAAGACAGGCATACGTGTCTTCTGAGCCTCAGCCTGACCCAACTGCCCTCCCCACTCACGGAGGCTCCTGTATGTGAACAGGCTGGAGTCCTTATTTGCAAATCAGTCTCCAGTAGGTTTGGCAGCTGCAGTTTCCCAGAGCAACCTCTCCTCCAGGGGAACGAATCAGCAGAGTTTCTGCATCTAGATCCATAGCAGCCCACGGGGGCAGCCAGCCAGGACCTCCACCCTATTCTTTTGGCCCTTTCGCTCATACAAACAAGGAGGGGGTGTCTCACATGTCTATGCCATGCCATCCCAGCTGCAAAGGCCTGAGATTCTTGGAACCCGCAGGGAGTGACATGGGAAGGCTGTCACATGGAGGTCTTCCCAGACCTCTGCAGGAAAGTCAGGTCAACCCTGAATTCTGTTACTCTCATTACTCACATCCTGGGCAAAGGGCAACACCATCATAGAGCCAACGGGAGACTGAGAGGATGACTAATCTCAGGGTGGACTCTTGCAAACAGGAGGCCACAGGATTCAGAGCAGGAGCAGGTATGGCCTTAGAATCCTGGCTCCTAAGCCCCCACCCCCTGTTGTTTTTTTTGTTTGTTTTTTTGTTTTTTTTGAGACAGAGTCTCACTCTGTTACCCAGGCTGGAGTGCAGTGGCGCAATCTTGGCTCACTGCAACCTCTGCCTCCCAGGTTCAAGTGATTCTCATCCCTCAGCCACCCGACTAGCTGGGATTACAGGCACGTGCCACCACGCCCATCTAACTTTTTGTATTTTTGGTAGAGATGGGGTTTCGCCATCTTGGCCAGGCTGGTCTCGAACTCCTGGCCTCAAGCGATCCACCCACCTTGGCCTCCGAAAGAGCCAGGATTACAGATATGAGCTTAGAAGCCACCAGGCCCGACCTGGCTCCTAAGCTGTTTACATCGAATGTATCTTCACCTATGTGTCTCTGTGTGTCTTTGAACCTGCCTCTGACTCTACCTGCGCCTGAGTCTCCGCCTCTTGTATATCTACCTTTCTTTCTCCACGCCATGCCCCCTCACTCTTCTCCCTATCTAGTCAAAATGAAGAAAAGCACATCTGGAAGCTGCCCTGCTGATGAGAATCCCGCTTATTCCAGCAATAATTAAAGCTCACGTGTTTTGACTTTATAACTCGTCATTTAGTTTTGCCTTAAAAGCGGTACTTCAACACCTTGCAAATATGGGGAAAGGATTTGAAGGCTCTTAGTGCACAGGACAATCACGCCCCTGCATTCATCTCTTGGTAATGTTTCTCTCCGTGGAAACCCATTACTGAGTCCTGCTGAGAAGTCATTGTTTTTAACAAACACAGACACACCTTACATGCAGTTTGCAAACCAGTTGGCTAAATCCCAAGCAACTCAGAAATCGTGGTGAGCTCCTGGTGGGAGCCAAGCAGCTGGAATTTTAATCAGGCATCACACCCTCCCTGCCATGGATAACATGCTCCTGAATGAGGCCTTCAGAGGCCTGAAGCTTTGCCTGATTCAGAGAGAACCTGCGTCCAGAGCAGGTTTCATGTTTGGTCTATTTCACGCATCCAAAAATTGATAGTTCTCAGGGTCCTGCCCAGAGTAGCTGCTCAACAAATACCTCCCACAGCGTTTCTCCCTAATCAAAAAGGCAAACTCTCCAGAGTTCTTTCCCTGCTCTGCTAAATATGGCAACCTGTGGTCTACTGTGTGTCTCAACGAGTCTCAATCATGATTTGGCACATAGAAATAAAGTGAGCAAACCCAGATGTGGGATGGAGAAGCTACAACAGCTTAGTAGAAAGCCTGAAAATCTAGAAAGTCTTAAAAGCTTATTTTCTACTGCAGTCTGCAAGCAGTGCAATAAAGCAGTACAATCACGAGGAAGGAAGACTTAAATCTTTTGTTCCTTTCTTCTAACCTCTTTACATGATAAAAAAAAGAAAAAGAATAGCTGGTAAACAGCACACTAATTGTAGGGAATAAGTATTGTTCAATGCCTTGAAAATGTGCTTTTCCTGCTTCCGATGTTTTCACACTGTTCTCTCATACATAATGCAGCATCCTCAACTCACTCTTTAACCCACTTATTAAAAATTCTGAAATGATAAAGTCTAAATTAAAGCACTTAATATACGAATTACACGATTCTGACATCTTGTAGGAGAAAACAGCACCACAGCCATCAAATATGAGCATCAACTGATCTGGTTCCAAATTCATGAGAGGTGAGTAACTTTGGACAGGTTACTTAACATCCCTGGACCTCAGTTTCTTTGTCTATGCAATGGGCAACAGTAGGTAGTAGATGGGTTGCTTTCAGAGCTGAGTTTATATTTGTAAAGCACCTTGCACAATCCCAGGCACTTAGAAGGTATTTACTGGCTCCAGTCCTCAAAGTGTTAAAATTCTACCACCAAAATTATTGCATCTTTCACCTTAACACAATAAAGAAACATAAAGCACGGCCATGCTCCCAGTAGCCAGGGGACAGCTGTACCAATGATTCATGAGTTTACAGAGCGATGCAAAAAGAATGTGATTTTCTTGCTCTTCCCACACATCCAACAATGCCCCCTCCAACATGCACACACAGACACATACTGCTAAAGTGGCTGTGGGCGAGGAATTGTAAAACTAAGCAATAAATTTCACTTGAATATTTACTGAATTAATTCACAGCCACTCAAGAGAGAAACTGTAATCAGCCAAACAGAAGAAGGGCTGGCTGGCATTGTTTGTTCTAGGCTCTAGGATGCCTTAAAATTTCTCCCTCTTGGCCGGGCGCGGTGGCTCATGCCTGTAATCCCAGCACTTTGGGAGGCTGAGGTGGGTGGATCACCTGAGGTCAGGAGTTCAAGACCAGCCTGGGCAACATGGTGAAACCCTGTCTCTACTAAAAATATAAAAATTAGGTGGACATGGGGGCGCGTGCCTGTAATCCCAGCTGAGGCAGGAGAGGCTGAGGCAGGAGAATCGCTTGAGCCTGGGAGGCAGAGGTTTGCAGTGAGCCGAGACTGCGCCATTGCACTCCATCCAGCCTCGGCAACAGAGCGAGACTCCGTCTCAAAAAAAATAAAAAATAAAATAAGTTATTCCTCTTGCACTCCCTGGGAAGGGAGGCTTCTCAAAGCTGAGACATGAAGAGTGAAAAAAGAGTCAGTCATTAGAACTCGAGGGAAGAGGCCGGGTGCGGTGGCTCATGCCTGTAATCCCAGCACTTCGGGACGCCGAGGCAGGTGGATCACAAGGTCAGGAGATCGAGACCATCCTGGCTAACATGGTGAAACCTCGTTTCTACCAAAAACACAAAAAAATTAGCCGGGTGTGGTGGCGGGCGCCTGTAGTCCCAGCTACTCGGGAGGCTGAGGCAGGAGAATGGCGTGAACCTGGGAAGCGGAGCTTGCAGTGAGCTGAAATTGCGCCACTGCACTCCAGCCTGGGCGACAAAGCCAGACTATTAACCCAAAAAAAAAAAAAAAGAACTGGGGGGAAGAAAGTTTCAGGCAGGGAGAACAAAAAGATGAAGAGCCCTGAGGTGGGAGGGGGAAGGAGGGTGGCAGGTTCAAGGAATGGGCTTCAGGCCATTTAAGAAAACAAAGCAGGCAACGAGGAGAAAGTTTGCCAGGAGACCCAAGAAGCAGGTAACAATGACAATGACCTGGCCTCGCTGAGACCCATGAGGAGTCTGAAAGCCACTGAGGGTTACACGGGGAAAGGACTCGCCTGTTTTTTTGGAGACACCGTCTCACTCTGTTGCCCAGGCTGGAGTGCAGTGGCGCAATCATGGCTCACTGCAGCCTCGACCTCTTGGGCTCAAGCGATCCTCTGAACCTCAGCCTCCTGAGTAACTGGGACCATGGATACACGCCACCACTCCCGGCTATATTTTTTTTTTATTTTTTGTAGAGATGGTGGCTCCCTATGCTACCCAGGCTGGTCTCAAACTACTGAGCTCAAGTGATCCTGTCGCCTCAGCCTCCCAAATAACTGGGACTACAGGTGTAAGCCACCACGTCTGCTAATTTTTTAAAAACATTTTTTGTAGAAACAAGGGCTCCCAATGTTTCCCAGGCTGGTCTCAAACTTCTGGGCTCAAGTGATCCTCCTGCCTCGGCTTCCTAAAGTGTTGGGGTTACAGGCATGAGCCCCCAGGCCTGGCCCCTGAGTTGTTTTTAGAAGGCCATTCTGACAGCTGTAACAACAGCAGCAGGAGCAGGAGTGGAAGAAGGGTATGGAGCTTGCTCGCCTCCAAGGTGAGAAGTGGCCGGGTTTGTGTCACACATAAAAGTAGGGGTTAAAGTGAAGGGCATCAAGGAAAGATCTGAGATCCCAGCATGTACTTTTGCAAAGTTTTGGCTAAAAAAGGCATTGCTTTTTACTTGCGCTATAATTGATACCAGGAAGATAATAGCTTTTTCTTAATTCCAAGAGATTCTGAATCCTTTATATACTGGTTGATTGAAGAGTAACAAAAATGTCAGAGCCATAATCAGTGGTTTAAATACGACAAGGCAGATAAGTAATCTCAGATTTCAATTACATATCAGAGCTCTAATGAGCAGATACAATTTCCCACATCACATAAGCATCACAGTCTCAAGGTTAAGAGTTTAAATAGATGCTCAGACCTGACCTTCTTGCTGACGAACTACTCAATTTCATGATAAAAGAAACAGGATAAGGTATTGAAACTGACAGCAGTCACCTGGCTTTTCCTCTTCATCATGATTTTCAGCCCTGACTTATAAACATGCTTCAGCGTTTTGTTACTTTCATGGCAAGGTGTTCAAGAGCAGCTTTGTGCTTTGTTTTCTCAAAGGCTCCAAGTTTTCCATTATCTCAATGTTCCTGCTACTTAAAAGTCATGCTTCTGGTTTCACTTGGAATTGTAATGTAAATTGCTTTAAAAACAGTAGGGGTTTATCCTGTGTTTTGTTTTGTTGAGACAGGGTCTCACTCTGCCCAGCCTGGAGTGCAGTGGCCTGATCACCACTCACTGCAGCCTCAAACTTTAAGGCTCAGGTGATCCTCCCACCTCAGCCTCCGAGTAGCTGGGACTACAGGCGCACAACCCCATGGCTGATTTTTTGTAATTTTAGTAGAGACGAGGTTTCACCATGTTGGCCAGACTGGTCCCAAATTCCTGGCCTTAAGTGATCCACCTGCCTTGGCCTCTCAAAGTGCTGGGATTACAGGCGTGAGCCACTGCGCCTGACCCTTTATCCTGTTTTCTTAACTCAGCACAGGATGCGCTGATCAAACATCAGAAATAACGAAGAACTGGCAGGGCGCGGTGGCTCATGCCTGTAATCCCAGCACTTTGGGAGGTCTAGGAGGGCAGATCACCTGAGGTCGGGAGTTTGAGAGCAGCCTGACCAACATGAGGAAACCTTGCCTCTACTAAAAATACAAAACTTAGCCACGTGTGGTGGTGTGTGCCTGTGATCCCAGATACTAGGGAGGCTGAAGCAGGAGAATCGCTTGGACCTGGGAGGTGGAGGTTGCAGTGAACAAAGATCACGACACTGCACTCCAGCCTAGGCGACAAGAGCAAGACTGTCTCAAAAAAAAAAAAAAAAGAAAGAAAGAAAAAAACCCTTATAAAAGAGGCCGTACAGAGACCCCTCACTCCTGCCACCATGCAAGGACACAGCAAGAAGGTGCTATGAGCCAGAAAGCAGGCTTTCGCCATAAGCCAAATCTAACTTCATCTAAGACTTCCCAGCCTCCAAAACTGTTAGAAATAAATTTATGTTATTTATAAGCCACTCAATTTATGGGATTTTGTTGTAGCAGCCCAAAAAGTCTAAGATATCCAGAGGTGAGCTCAGCTATCCTATCATTGTATATTAAATGTTGTCCATCTTCGATCTTGGCAGACTTGCTTACTGACACCTGAACCCAGGGTAAATCCAGGGTTCAGGGGCCTCTCAGAGGCATGAAATGCTGCTCCTTCACCTCCTCAGTGAATCTGGGGCATGTTGTTCTACCCAGGATCTGGAGCTTCTAGCAGGGACCATGGCAGTTCTGGAAGGGCCATTCCCAAGTTTCGCCCCTGTACACCTCTGAAATCCACACTCCCAATTCTTTCTGCGACAGAATAATCCTGTTTGTTTGCGATCACAGATCATGGCCCCAGAGGCTTGGGCCTTATCTCCTCCCCAGCTTCATTCTCCTGCTGCTCAGAAAACCTTTCACCTCTGAGCCATCCACTCCCTGGGCCATCATTTTATTATTTTAGAGACAGGTCTCACTATGTTACCCAGGCTGGAATGCAGTGGCTATTCACAGGTGCAATCATTGTGCCCTGTAGCCTTGAACTCCTGGGCTCAAGTGACCCTCCTGCCTCAGCCTCCCAAGCAGCTGGGATTATAGGTTCATGCCATCATCCCTGCAACTCCATCCTCCCATCATTATAATTTTTAAAAGGCCCTGTGCACAAACATCTCATTGTTTTTCAAACTGCATCTTCCAAATGCAGTTGACTTTCTCTCTGTTCCAGCCTCCCTCCACTGCTCCTTCCAAAATGAGAATGCTTTATCTGAAATTCTTAAATTCCTACTGCCCTCCTTTTCTGTGTTGGGGCTCGGGACAATACCACCCCAAAATGCAACTGTAGGAGGCCAGAATATACCACCCCAAACTATACTTGTCATATTTGGGGCTGGTTATTCTGAGAAACTGCAGACACAGGAGTGGCTCTGAAAAGCTGCCCTTTTGTAAAACACAATGATATCCATCAAGAAAATCTACATTAGTAAAGTATCTCTATCAGGACTGGGGCTGCTCCAGGCAACTGTGATGTACCAAGAGATTTTATGGGCATAACAAGACCACATTTACTCACCCTACACTTCCTCCCCTCACTCTTCCATAACTTGTCTCCACCACCCACCAGAAGCCCCAGGTCCCTATTCCTTTCTGTGGCTCAGGGGGCTATATAAGCTTCCCTCTTCGGACCCTTCTTTTGAGTCTCATATTTTGTGGGACTCCCAGGCATATACACATAATTACTGTGTTTTTTCTCCTGTTAATCTATTTTATGTCCATTTAATTTGTAGCCCAGCCAAAGAACCTAGGTGGGTGGAGGAAGCCAGTTTTCCATCTCCCACATTTGCTGACTTGCTGTGACTAATCTCATTCAAATTCTGGCTTTCTAGGGCCACATCAGGCCTTTCAGCAGCTTGAATCTGCATGGTTATCTACAAGGCCACACATTCTACAGAGAAAAAAAAATCTATATTTGTCTACACATACAATGGGATACTAAGTAAAATGCTACGACTCTTGATGAGCTATGAGCACCAGCATGAGTCCCCTAGTCCCTCACAGAACAAGAGCCAGCCTATTCCCAACAACTCCCCTGTGGGAGCCTCTGATGCACAAAACCACTGTCCAACCGAGGGCGCAAGAGTCAAAGTTCTTTATTGACCAGGGAGGACCTGAAGGGAGAATTTCAGGAATGCCAATTTCCAAACAATCCTAAATGACAAAGCCAGCCTCCTACTTCTAAGAATAAGGACCCATATATTAAAAGAGCCAGACCTCTGAGTTTACAAATGTGAAAACTCAGAATGAAAGCCATCTTGAGTGGTACCCAATCTTCATCTGCAGCCACCATTCTACTTTGGCCTTTTCTATCTTACAACTTGACTACTCCAATTTCATCTTCATATATATATATATATATATATATATATAGAGAGAGAGAGAGAGAGAGAGAGAGAGAGAGAGAGAGAGAGAGAAGGTTTTGCTCTGTTGTTCAGGTTAGAGTGCAGTGGTGCAAACACGACTCACTGCAGCCTCAACTCCTGGGTTCAAGCGATCCTCCCACCTCAGCCTCCCAAGCAACTGGGACTATAGGCGTGCACCACCGCACCCAGCTAATTTTTGTACTTTTTGAAACAGGGTTTTGCCATGTTGCCATGCTGGCCATGTTGCACAGGCTGGTCTCTAACTCCTGAGCTCAAGCAATCCACCTGCCTCAGCCTCCTGAAGTGCTGGGATTACAAGCGTTGAGCTATTGTACCCGGCCCATTTTCTAATATTTTTGACCAATAAAATATTATCTCTGGATAGTGAGAAGATATTTCCCTGGTCCCTGAGTTGTAGACAATTCAGACAGTCTCCAGGAAAGTCCGTACCTGGTCACCCCTACACCTTCGGTTCCTTTCCTCTCACAGGCATTTAAGCTCTGAATTTTTGAAAGCATAGTCACATTTGAAGAAGTGGAAGAAAAACAGTATCCAGAAAAATAAAAATTCACATAATTTTGAGCCTACATCGAGAAATGCAATATGTGAACCCAAGGAGTGAGCACAAAGAACAGAAACTGCATTCTGGACAGAACGGGGTCTGGGCAGGTTTGTTTCTGAGGATTAGCACGGGAATGAAGGGGTTTCCTTGTTGTTACAAACAGTTCAGGAGTGATAACTAATGTATCCTTTCCCATATTAACCAATGTATCCTTTCCCACATTAACTAATGTATCCTTTTCCACAATGCATCAGTGTTTCAGTGTTTTTCTTCACCAAGAATTATGCTGTATTTAAAATACAAAGCCAGGCCAGGTGCAGTGACTCATGCCTGTAATCCCAGCACTTTGGGAGGCCAAGGCAGGAGAATTGCTTGACCTCTGGAGTTAGAGACCAGCCTGGGCAACATGGCAGAAACCTCATCTCTATAAAAAATACAAAAATTAGCCAGGGGTGTCCCAGCTACTAGGGAGGCTGAGATGGGAGGATCATCTGAGCCTGGGGAGGTTGAAGCAGCAGTGAGCCATGACTGTGCCACTGCACTCCAGCCTGGGCAACAGAATAAGACCCTATCTCAAAATAAGTAAATAAAATTTAAAAATAAATGAAACCCACAGTGATCGCCTTTTCATGGGGAATCTGAAATAAAGCCAAATTCATAGAAGCAGAGAGTAGAATGCTGTTTACCAGAGGCTGGGACATGGGGGAGAGATGTTGGTCAAAGGCACAAAACTTCAGTCAGCTAAGAGAAATTAGTTCAACTACTGGTTAGTTCAACAGTTAGATCTATTGTACAACTTAGTGACTCTATCTAGTCAATAACAATGTGCTATATACTTGAAAATTGGTAACAGAGTAGATTTTAAGTGTATTCTACACACACAAAAAGGAGGGGAGGTAATACATTAATTAGCTTGATTTAGCCATTCTACAATGGAATTTTTATTTCTCAATTTAAAAAAAAACAGGAGCATAGTGTTTCACGAACGTTTTATGCACCAATTCTTCTCCTGGTTCCCTAAACGCTTTATGCATTCTCTTTCTTACCTACAGAATTCTTTAGCAACAGAGAGGGAGACACGGGTGGGAGGTTAATTCCATTTCACCGACATCATAAATGAGGCCCTGAATGCCAGTCTTCTCAAGCCCATGGAGTGAGTGGGCACTGTCATGTGCCCAGAAACCTAGGGCAGGTCTGCGCTGAGCCAGTGCCATTGCCCACTAGCTATTTTTCTGGGAGGTATTGCCAAAGCGTTGCACTGTTCTTAACAGCAGAGATCGCTGGCTAAGGCTGATCTGGGCAGGCTCTATCTTGGGAGTGCTGGCTGAGTTTACCAGGCACACCCTCAGCCCCTAGGCCACCTGTCTTGTTGGTCCAGGTAAAATATGCAGGTCACAGATATGGACTGATAGTTGCACCCAGTGGAAAAACAAAGAGGAAATGGAGAAACTACAATCAGGACAAAGAACCCTTGGACAGTCCACCGAGCCCTGTGGCATGACCAGGACAAAAGGGACAGTCCCATCCCACAAAGGGAGAGAGGAGGCGGGCAGAAGAGCTCCGCTGGCCGCAGCCTAGGCTTGGCTTGGCTCAGCCCAGCCCAGCCTAGCCCACTTCCCTGTCTATGGGAGCAGGTGGCTGCTGGCCCCAGGTCATGGAGCCTGGAACGTGCATGGGGCTGGAGGGTAAGAGCTGTGCCCCCAGAGAGGGGCTGGCTTTCATGGTGTGTGCTCCATAGCAGGCTCAGCCATGCTCTTCCCTTATCTGTTACCAGAAAGGCTGGGCAGGAAGGACATGAAGAAGGAAGACCTCTGGCTCCTGAAGTCCTGCTTCCCCTCATCTCGCAGGGCAGGCAAAGGACCACCTTCCACAGACATGTTTTCCTTTCTTGCCTGGTGCTCTTCCCCACTGACCCCAGGGCCATCAGCAGCAGGGCTCCTGGGAACACAGTGCCACATATGACCACACTCCTCCAGCCTCTTGCCTCTTCTGTGTCTCGTGTCACTTCTCTTAGGCTGTGCCCTGGCACGTAAAGATGCTCGTGACAAGTGCCAGATCTGGAAGTTGCCCAGGAGCAGGTTGCCTCCCACAGCCTCCCCAGTTAGGGCAGGAGACTGATCTGAGCTGTTAAGGGGCATTCGTGGGCCAAGCCAAAGCCCAGGGCGTGGAGCCCCGCTCTCTTTTCAGACCCCAGCCTGGCTCTGGGTCACTGAGGCTGGGGCACAAACTTCCCCAGCAGCTGGAAGCCAGTATGTCTGCCAAGGAGGTTGCAGAGAGGATGAGGCAGCCCCAGGAAGCCACAGGAGTAAGTCAGCTGTTCTAGATCAAAGGTGATTCTAAAACCCAAAAACTCTGATGCTTTGGACTTTTTGGGGTTGTCTGGGGTGAGGAGGGCACATTTCTCTAAAGCCATCCTAGCAATTACCCCTGTAGGAATCTCACCTGTCAGGCACAGGCGATATATGCCCTCTTTTCTCTAAGTCAGTTTGAATTGGTTTTTTTCTACTTGCAACCAAAGGTACCCAAGCTGAGGCCACAGGCAAAACCTGTCTGAGGATGTTCTGGGTACAGCTCTGCCCAGAAACACCTCTTTAGGCCCCAGGCTCCTGGTCACAAGCCTTCGCCTGCTCACACAAACTCCGCTAGTCACAGGTTTGGGGGTCCAAACTCAGCGCTCTCACACACAGGCCAGAATGCCAAAGGGACAGCCTGCCCCTCACCCCCTGCCCTCCCCGTCTGCTCTTGCTCACCCTCTGTGCACTCCTGGCTCTTCCTCCTCCCACAAGAGCCTGGTGCTGTGAGGGATGCTCCTCACTCCCCCAGCAGCCCTGCGCCCCAGGACGGCGTCTTAGGGCCATTCATGAAAGGCAATGGGCAGTCACAGGATCCTCTTCTGAAAGAGGCTCAGCTGGGAAGTTCCATGCAGGATCTAAATGTGCGCAGATGTTTTCCCTAAAGTAAAGTTAATAAAGCCAACCTCTCCCGCCTTCTTCCTGGAGGGAAAATACTTCCAGACCACTGTAGGCGCCTCCCTTTAACGCAGAACAATGAACAATGTGCAGCTTCCACCAGGGGCCTGGATAAGTGGCACAGAGGAGTCACCGTGAGAGGCTGGAGCCCCTTGGAATGTGGGCTGCTTCTCAAGTACAGAGACCCAGATCTGAGCCCCAGGAAGGGTGGTGCTGGCACAGGACTGCTGCAGCAAACTCAGCTCCTCCTGGGTGGGCAGCAACAACAGGCTGTGCCCTCCCCTGCCTGATTCTGTCACCCAGCAGTAGACGGAAAGCAGCCCAGGTATTTTCTAAATGTCAAGCTTCAACCTAGACCAATAGCCTGCTGTAACCACGAGTCAAAACATAAAATTAAGGCCCCAGGAGTCATGGGTCATATCCCTGCAGCCTTGAGTACAATCTAGCTCATCTCTAGGGCTCCACATTTAGGCTTGGATGGTTTTAACTCAGGCCAGTCTCAACAGGTGTCAGGTACCGAGAGCCCACATGTTTGTCCAACCACCTCTGGGCTTGCTGGTCCTCAGGAGGGGTCAGCTTTCTCTGAAGATGGCTACAGCTATTTTCCACTTGGGCTGAACACAGTAAACACCCACCTTCCTTGGAACTGACCTCTAGAACATCCCCAAGGAGATGTATGGAGACAGAAAAGAAAAAAATACTTCAGAGCAAAGACACAAGGCTAATAAGACTCATGGAAGGGCCTGGCCAAGGGCCCAAGGAGGCTCATTTTTATTCCCAAATTAACCATCCATTGCATTTCCTCATGGGACAAAGAATTTGCAATCTAAGCTGTTTCACCACGTGGGAAGAGGCCTCTGATTTGAGTTTACCAAATGATACGTCCACCTACAAACATTTTCTTTTAGCACATTGAAAGTTAAAGGGAAAAGATTAAAATGACTACCTGACTTATTTTGAATAATGACTAGCCGGAAAGGCCTAAGTCATATTTCACAAATGAAGTGCTGGGGGATTTAAACCCTCTGTTATTTCTAAAATCCTGATGTTTCCAGTTCTAACATCCGCAGACTCTGGAACTCCACAAACACCTTGGAGTAAGTGAAGCTGGAATGTTGATGGTAAACTTGGCCCAGCAGCTGGCCTGAGTTCTCGGCCCCATAAGGACACAGAGCCACTGTGACTGCCTGTCAGTAGGGCTCCGGGAAACCCTGAGCAGAGGGGCCACCCCACCCTACCTCCACCCCCCTACCTCGGCCCCCACTGCTCTGCCCAGAGCCCAAGGCTTCTGTTTTAGGCATGAAGAGCTGCATCCATCCACTTCCATTTAAGGAGAAAGCAGACGAAAAGGCAAAAGCAGAAACTCAGAGGAAACAAGTCCTTCTGAATAAGGAGGCAGACAGGTACAAAACCTGCGGGGAGGCCCACCACCCCCACCGGATTTATTGCACAGCCATGGGGTGCACTGTACAAAAGACCCACCTTCCTTTTTAAAAGGCCCACTGCTTTCCTTTGTAAGGGCTAAGAATGCAGGAACAAAGGAAATCTATTGCTCACGGCCCCTAATCTACTGCTCACAGCCACACACCAGCCTCCTCACAAGCCCTGCAGTGCTTGCAGCAGACTCCTGGTCTACCCAGCCAGCAACTTCCTTGGGTGGAAGGAGATAAAGACAGGAAAAAAGAGACCAGCCAAGGGACGGAGCAGAAGATGCCCGCTGAGGGGAGTGGATGGAGTGTGCTAAGTCTCTGAGGCTGGACGGTGTTGTGTGTTCAAAGAACTGACAGGCGACCAGATCCTGGTGAACATCAGGCGAGGGGAGGAGCGGCGGGAGCCAGGTGGCAGGGCCTGGAGGCGCTAGCAAGGGATTTGGATTTTAGACTAAAAGCAATGGGAAGCAGATACAGGTTTTAACCATGGAAGTCCAATGACATGGACCGTTCTAGAAAGAAGAGAGGTGAGGGAAAAGTGAAGATAAGACTTGATTATCATGGTCAGGCACAGTGGCTCACGCCTGTGATCCCAGCACTTCGGGAGGCTGAGGCAGGCATACCATTTGAGGTCAGGAGTTCGAGACCAGCCTGGCCAACATGATGAAACCCCGTCTCTACTGAAAATACAAAATTAAAACCCCGTCTCTACTAAAAATACAAAAATTAGCTGGGCACAGTGGCGTGCACCTGTATTTCCAGCTACTTGGGAGGCTGAGGCAGGAGAATCGCTTGAACCCAGGAGACGGAGGCTGCAATGTGGCCCAGATCATGCCACTTCACTCCAGCCTGGGGGGCAGAGTGAGACTCCACCTCAAAAAAAAAAAAAAAAAAAAAAAAGACTTGATCATCAGGTTTCTGGTTTGAGCACCTGGGTGAATAAGGTCCCAGGTGTTGAGATGAGGAAGATGGGGGTGGGGCTGGGTTCGTTTGAATGCACATTTGTTTTTGTTTTAAGAGGAAGATGGTCATCAGAGTTCTACGTTGGACATGTTGAGCCTGAGCTATCCAGGAGAAATCCAAGAGGAGATATGAAGTAAACTATTGAATTAAGGCTGGGCACAGAGGCTCATGCCTGTAATCCTAGCATTTTGGGAGGCCAAGGCGGGAGAATCACTTGAGCCCAGGAGCTCAAGACCAGCTTGGGCAATATAGGGAGGCCCTGTCTTTACAAAAAATTTAAAAATTAGCCAGGCATGGTGGCGTGCACCCGTATTCCCAGCTACTCGGGAGGCTGAGGCAGGAGGATCACTTGAGCCTGGGAGATGAAGGCTGCAGTGAGCCATGATTGTGCCACTGTGCTCCAGTCTGGGTGACAGAGCGAGACCCTGTCTCAAAAAAAAGGAAAATTACAGTGCTCAGATGAGAGGGAAGGCTATAAATTGGGGCATTATCGGCACATATTATTTAAGTCCATGAGCATAAATGAGATGTCTTAGAGAGAGAGAACAGAAAACAAAGATTGCCCAGGCCAAAGGGGACATAAGTCTGAGCCCTGTACCAATCATCCGTATAACCAGGAATCAGCAAACTACAACCTGCAGTCTGTTTTTACAACTAAAACTCTACTGGAACATGGATTTACATGTTGTCTCTGGCTGCTTTTGAACTGTAACAGCAGAGATGCTGCACAAAGACGGAATGGCCCAGAAAGCCTAAAATATGTACTATGAGGTCTTTTACAGAAAGTTTACTGCTCCCTTAATTTAAACCATCCAGAGGACTCAGTTTCCTTATCTATAGAAGTCACCCACCTTGCAGGATTAAGGGATATAATTATTTCTATAATGAAAAAAACCTAGCACACAGACATGGTACACAAGAGTTTCTGCTGAATCTGAGCCTGCTCAGTGGGCTTTTCACTCCTGGCTTCAACACTGCAGCATCCAGCTGTTTCCATATTTGGCAATGGCGTTTAAACAGCACACACCTGCACTCCAGAAACAACTGCTAAAGTGAATTTGTAAATATAAACAGAAATGTCATCTGAGCTACTGCTTCCAACACAGGATAGATGTGTGTGAGCAGTTCTGACTCAGTCAGTTCTTTGTGGCCAACCAGTCTCCCCTAAACCCCTGTCCAACCTGAAACAAAGCATCAGTCCATGAACAATTGGTTTTCACAGAACAATTGCTTACAATGCCTAAGTCCTCACCATTAATCTTAAAGGGAAGAAACAGAATTGTTCAGCATCACTTGCTTACCCCAGAACACTGCCCTAGCTTGGGTAATCCATCTGCAAGAACAGCCAATCATGTTTCAGAATAAAGTTGTTTCCTAGGCAACCAAAAATCTAGCCACAGAAACAGGCTGTAGACAGTGGAAAGAAACACAGGGATGGGAATGGGAGGGTCGATGGAAGAGCAACCCAGAATCCACTGACCTTGATCTGATGTTCACCTGCAGTGCCACACTCAATCAGTATCCAAGTCCTAGCTGTTCACCCCATCCTCGACAGGGTACCCTGTCCCAGGGCCCTAGCATGGCATGGCCCCTTGGATGATTGGTAGCTACCTGGAGGACCTCGGAATATATTTGCCTTCAGCCCACCTAAGAGAAAGCCTCCAGGCAAGTCCCCCAGAGAAGATAGTGAAGGCCCAGGACCCTTATGAACACAGGCACAGGGCCACGCTGGTGATATCTAGGAATAATGGCAGGGAAAAATGCACCCAAGCTTCCTTTGGGAATCAATCTCCCCCTCCCACTCTACAGATAATGTTGCAGCTTATTCTATTTTAGGGGAGAAAAAACTCTATTGTGTCCAACAGTAATATCCAAAGTAAAATCTCCGTCCAGGAACTCAGAAACTGGCTGCAACTCACATTAGGAATGCTGTCGTTTAAGCTAAAGCATTTAGCCAAGGGCTGCCCCAAGAAACAAAGCCTTGAAAAAGATCTATGGCTGGGTGCGCTGGCTCATGCCTGTGATCCCAACACTTCGGGAGGCTGAAGCAGATGGCTCACTTGAGCCCAGGAGTTAGAGACCAGCCTGGGCCACATAGCAAGGCCCCTGTCTCTACAAAAAATTATTTAAAAAAAAAAAAAAAAAAAAAAGCTGGGCATGGTGATGTGTACCTATAGTCCCAGCTACTTGAGAGGATGAGGTAGGAAAATCCCTTGAGTCCGGAAGGTGGAGGCTGCAGTGAGCTGTGATCACACTGTTACATATGAGCCTGCGCAACAGAGTGAAACACTGTCTCAAAAAAAAAGAAAGAAAAAGAAAAAGATCTAATGAGAGCTAAAGAAAGAGTCCTGCTTAGAGCCCCAGCGACCGTTTCTGGCCTTCTGAGTGACTGAGAGGCTGGCAATTTCAGGCATAGGGCATTTCCACTTTTGCAGTTTTCTGGCACTTACGTCTTCTCAAGAGTCTTTGCAGATGTGGCATCTCACCTCTGAAAAACCCTGCGAGGCAGGAGGGGCAGGATCAGAGTCATCGGATTTTCTCTACAGCTCCCAAAGAAAAGGTCAGGAACCACATAAGGGAAGGGACCAGAACCCCACTTCTAACCACAGATGTGTGGAGAGCTCCAATCTCTCTACCTACTGCGGTGGTACCCGAGATCCTTCTTTTGCCTGGCCTCTCTCCAGCTACATCTGATCCCACCCACTTCTGAAATCTCAGCCAACTCATCAACTTCCCCGAACTAGCTCCCAATCCAGTTTTCTTGTCTGTCTTGGCCAATGCCACTTCTTTCTCTTAGTTACCAGGGTATGAAACTTCCATTTTGTACTTGCCACTGTCTCTTCTCTTCCCTCCCCCATCTCATCAATCACAGAGCCTGTTGCTTCCTCCTCCATCGCTTCTCTCCCATCCACCCTGGCCCCTCTACTTCGATCCACAGGTCTACAGAGTATGGGTTTCCATATTTGTGATTTGTTTTTTAGAGCCAAGGGCACGTGCTCACTTTGAGAGTAGGGCAACAGTCGGGGCAGGCCGACTTTGCCAACAGAACCACCGCTTTTGCTCTCTGATAATGGCCCCCTGGGTGGTTTTCAGTGGCCAGGGTGTGGGGATTTGGTGGAAGCTGAGGGAACCCCTGAAACGGGGGTCTCCAACTACATAAAGGACAAAGTACTTAATGCTGCCCCACTTAGCAGAAGCCACACCACATGGGGCTGCCACAGAATCAAGGGATGAACAGCAGGTCTGATCAATAGCTGCAGCCCACATTTACTCAAGTACTTCCTGTCCATTCCTGTGTCTCCTACCATCCATACTGAGAAATAAGTGTTTTCTGTGGGAGAATTCTCCCTCCCCTTGCTACTCATATTCTATTTAGAAACAAATGGTCACTATTGCTACAAGAACTTCTTTGCCAGATAGGAAAGGAGCAGTCAGAGAAGTGGCCAGCTGTTTCTCATGGACAGGATGGAGGGAAGACTGAACCAGCTCATGGCTTCTCAAATTTTGAGATGCCTACAAATCACCTGGGCATCTTTACAAGTCCCTGGATGAAATGGAGATTCTGATTCAGCTGGTCTGGGGTGAGGTCTGAGGCTCTGCGTTTCTAGCAAGCCCCTTTGGGAAGCTGATGCTGTCATGTGTGGCCGACCCTGGGAGTAGCAAGAGACTGGTCACCATTTGCACCTTCATCCTCAGGCTTCAATCCCCAGTCCCATGGGACTTCTGCTACTCCAATCTTGATGCCTGAGTTCTCAAAAGGGGAGATACAAAAGTCGCTCCCTCCCTAGCCCAATGCACTCCTGCATAGAATGAAGCTGTCAGCTGGAGCTACAAAAGCTGCCCAAAGGCACCCCAAACCTGCAATTGGAAGGAAAGAAATCTTAAAACTAAAAAATTTAAATTAAAAAAAAATCCTTCAGTCACTTCCAAATCCTCTATCTTTTGATTTCACTCTTACACCATGGCCCTCCTTAAGCCAGTCTTTCACAGGGAACCAGCAGAGAAAAAGGGAAACATTCACTCTAGATTCCGGTTGTCAGGAGCTGTCCCCCGCGGCAGGTGCGCACCCTGTGTTTGTCACCATCCCTGCAGCCCTGACGGCATCATCTTACAATGCAACCTCTTTCCTGCCATGGGCCCCACACTCTGTTGCTGTCTTGTGTATTATTCACGTGCATGCATTTTTAGCTGCATGGAAATACTACCAAGAAAGACCTGTGCCTGGGCAGAAAAGAGGCACTCTCCGAATATATATTTTTAAAACCTCTAGACTGGGAAAGAGCACATCTGCACTAGAAAAATAAGCCCCAGTTATTCAGAGAGCAGAGACGGGTTTTGAAGAGGACAGATGCTAGCAATGGCACTGGCCCCAAATATTTCCTCTCTCTCCATTTTTTTAGAACAAAAATGTTACGGGATGGAGGGTGGGATTTTGTGAATGAGTGAATATACTATCGTAAAGATCTATATTTAGAGACATTTCAGAGGCAGCAGTTCTAGGGAGAGAAGCCTCAGGCGGGGGCATATGGACCAACTCAACTGTGAAAATATTTGATAAACAGCTTCCATCACAATGTGGCCATTCAGCCTGAAATTTTATTTAAACACCACTATCCCAGTGGGCAGAACCTTAAGGGACCTTATCCAAAAAGGCACAGCTACCTAACAGAAGCTATCTAAACTCGGCCCTCAGCTGACGGAACACTGATCATTTATTAACTCAGCTGAAAAAGAGGGCGGGGACGTTAGGGACCGGCGAGCTGAATTTCCAATGACTGAGGAGCACATTTTCCCAAACGTACAGTCACATTGTCCTTTCTGTTTCCTAAGCTCTTCACTAGATAGGTCTGAGCCGTGAGAGTTGGCCAGTGCCTGTCACTGATTAACTCAATTCCACTATAGGGACTTGCAAAAAATAGGTTAAAGTGGTTCTTTTCTGCCTAGACTCGAGTTGTATTTCCATGCACCTAGCAACACTACACGTGCATGAGAAACAAGGCAGGCACAGCACAAGGATCATAACATTTAAAAAGAAAATCCTCAAACGCGATGTGCCTCCATTGTAAGACGATGCTTTCTCAAGCTACAGGGGTGAAGACAAATGATGGGTGCACACCTGCTCGGAAGAATGACTCCCTGCTAAAGAGCTGGAGCCCAGAAAACCACGAGGCTCAGCCTAGCATTACATCACTACGCCGAGCCAGCTCCTCACTGAAGCCCAGGGGTCGAGGGACCAGTGAGGAAGTACCCCCCGGGGCCCCATCCCTCCTACAACACACAGATCAATCCCCACCATCTTTTAATCTACACATCCATGACTCTTAAGAACCCACTTTACTACCCCTACCCCCAAGTCCCCAGAAAATACTCTTCTCTGAAACATAGTCTTCTCTCTGGAAAAGTGGGGGCAGGTGAGGCTGGGAGGTCCACTTTGGATACAAGCCTGAGTTGCTGAAATGCGACCCGGCCGGCAGACCCATTCAATACGCCCCATCGTCCAAACATGCCTGGGTAGGTAATGGAGACGACCATAACAGAAACGTGAATTCTAATAAACACTCGGCCAGGATAAAGGCCACTTCTGAGCACGTTAGCTCTGTGGTTGAGAGAAAAGATCGGATTCCTGGATCGATGCACAGTCAAGCACTGCCTCCACCAATGACAGGACGGTTCGGCCCTTTACTAATAATAGCAAGCGGCCTTGTCCTCGAGTGTTCACCAGAGTATGTGGATGATGCTTAGGCTAACTAGACGGAACGTCCACCAGAGCGCACCACGCCATCTGCCCAGCCACAAGCGCAGCTGCCCGGAAACTGGGCTGTCGCCCCGGGCACGGAGCTGCCACGCTCATGGGTTCTTCCTAGGAGGAGGCAGTCGCTGATGCCTGGCTGTTCCCTTGCAGGAAATACCACTGTGCCGGGGGTGCAGAGGAAAGATGCTGACGGCAGGAGAAGCCCCCCAGCCATGCACCCACTGCTGAGCGACCAAAACTGAATTCCAGGGAATCGTTTCTGCCCACAGCAGTAACTTGGGGCTACCAGATGCTCCTCCCAGAGCAGCCCCAGGTAAAGCTTTCCAAGGCTGCGAAGAACCCCAGGCCAGCCTGGGCTCCAGGTTGCACAGGCATTAGGAAAGGCGACACTAACAAAGCCCGGGCATCCTCTCCTCCTCCCCGGGAGACTCGGGGCGGCCCGGGCGGAGCACTTACATTGCCTCGGAAGCCTCCAGGTTCAGGTCGCTGGCTGGGGCTGGCTGCAGGGACTGCGACCCTCCCATCCTCGCTGTGCCCTGGCGTGCAAGCTAGCCGCGAGCGGGGCCAGCGTCCTGGCGCGATTCCTGCAGCCGGGAGCCGGGGCGAGCCGGCCGGCGGCCGGGGTTGCTGCACTGCAGAGGGGAGCAGCTGCGGGCATCCGTGGCGGCGGGAGCGGCGGCAGGGAGCTGCGACTCGCGGCCCGAGCCGGGGGCCGGGGGGCGAGCGCCGCGTATGTGTGCGCGCGAGTGTGGCCGGCGCGCGCCCGAGTGTGGCCGGCGTGCGCGGCTCTGCCCGGGGCGTGCGGGTATGAGCGTGAGCGCCGGTGTGGTCCGAAAGGCTCTTCTCTTAAACCCCCCGGCAGCCGGCTCCTGTGTGTGACACGATGATGTCATCATCGCCGAGCAGCCCCAACGCCTGCATCTTCACAAAGCTCCATCGCGGGCTCCGGAAACGGGGCTGGGGGTGGGGAGGCGAAGACCCTCCCTCTGCCCCGGCCCCTCCCGCCTCGCCGGGACCGCCCGCATTGTGTAGCTTTGAAATGCAAACGAGCCGCGGCCCGGGAGCTGGGGCCCTAGAAAGGAGGGGCGTGGTGGTCGGGCGGGCTGACCACCGAGAGAGTAGGGGGCTCAGCCCTGTTGGCTCATCCCTCCAGGAAGGAGGAAATGGTCTCTCCCGGCCCAGGACTAAGGGGATGGCTGGAGGAACAGGTAAATAGGCTGCAGTGGGCAGCGGGCAGCGGGAGCGACGCTGGGAGAGACGTGCGCCCTTTTCCACCGCCGGCTTCTGCCTCCTTCAGGCCCCGGGTCCTGGAGGCAGCTGAAGTCTGTACCAGGGAGAGCTGCGGCACCTGGCTCTCCCCTCACAGCCAGCCCGGGGCTAGCCTCCAAGGACCTTTGCACCGCACAGTCTGAGGGCCTGGGGCAAGCTAGGGAGCAAAAGGTACTGGGCCTGCGAGCGGGCTGGGGCTGCAACACCATCTTTGGCCACCAAATGAGCTCCACAAAGCCAAGCCCTGTGCAAAGGCTCACCCTAAACAAGCAGAGGCGCGGCCAGCTGAGCCGCCCAAGGCAGGCCCCTAATGCAGCATGCGTGTACAGGGCAAAGGCAGTTCTCCGTGACATGCATCGGCTCAGCTCTGTGATTCTAAACACGGGCTGGGCCTGTAGGAATGTCCGTGACACCCCATCACCAAGCTCCCAGTGCCCAGTCAGCCCCATTCTGTAGCTGGCAGCATGTCACCCATCAGCAGCCAAATCCCTGTCCCTGGCCTATGGCAGGCTCAGAAACCCTCAAGACTTGAGATCCTGAGCCTCCTCACTGGAGGCTGCTGCAGAAAGAGTTCATCTCTGTATAGGTACAGGAGGTTTGGGGCACACCTGGGAACCCCACCATCCCCTCATGCTGTACATTCAACACAACCGCTTCCTGCGCTCCCAGCCCAGACTCACAACTGAATTCAAATGGAACCTCTGATGGGTAAGTGGAAGACTCTTCCACATTTCCCAGCTTGTCTTCACCCACAGGGCAGTGAGCCTAAAATGTATCTAAACTGTGGCCAAAAGCAAAAGAAAATAAAAACAAAATTGTTCAAAGCATTTTAAAATTGCCTCCAATACACTGTTTTCTAGCGACGTGGCCAAGGATGTTTGGATGGGCTCTTTTGATACTGACACTCGAGGTCACAGTAGTTCCAGAGCTTCACGGGGACTGACTTTCCACTGCTCTTATTCAGTATCAGTGTCAAACAGAATGCCAGAGGATCAACATCGTTTTCTGGGATGTAACAGCATGAAATTTCCCAGAAACACTGAGAAGGTTTACTTTTGCATTTATATGAAAATAGCTAATGATTATGTCAATCTTGCGGGGAAGGTGGCTGTCGGGGTGGTGTGACGAGGTGTGCTCTGGAAAGCACCTCCCGGGGAAGCCGTCACTCACTGTCAGCATTGGATGTCACTTGGTGGCAAGGATCCTGCAACCTGTTCATCCTGTCACCATTCTCAGCACCCTGGGGGTTTGTTTCTCTGTCAGAAAACAGACCTCTTCGGCTCCATATGCAGGTGAGGGCCCAAAGAAGCTTACCACGTGGAGCTGAAACATCTGTAAGCTCTAACCTGGGCTACTACTGTTTTGAAGAAAGTGGCCCTTTCCCTGGGCACCTAGGAACTGGCCTTCAGCCAAGCCTCGTACTCAGAAAATACATGAGGAAAAAAATGAGGAACCACAATTAGAACTCATCTGCCAACTTTTAAAAACATTTTTCAGATGAGGTGCAAAAGCACAAAGCCATCTAAACGTCCTTAGCCTTAATAGGTAAAGGTTCTGCTGCGATAACAAGATAGGGTTTGAAATGAGACTCGAGTTCAAATCCTGACTTCTCCCTCGTTAGCTGTGTGGCCTGAGCCGACTGTTTAACCATACTGAACCTTATTTCCTCAGCTGGCAAAAGAGGAAAAGCATCTATTTTGCAAGGGCATTGGAAAAAGTAAATTAAATACCATCTATGAATGCCCAGGACCAGGATTCTTATTTATAAGAAAAAATTTCCCCCCAAGTATAGTACCATAAAGGAAATTAAGGCAGCATTAAAGTGAAGTGCTTTTACGTAGAATCCCAACAACTGCAAAGTTATGATGTAGTGACAGGGCATATTACTTAGTGGGACAACACCATCTCACGGCTGTCAAAAACACAATCAAGAACCAGGAGAGGGGCTGGGCACCATGGCTCACATCTGTAATCCCAGCACTTGGGGTGGCCGAGGTGGGAGGATTGCTTGAGCCCAGGAGTTCAAGACCAGCCTGGGCAACATAGTGAGACCTTGTCTCTACAAAAAAATAAACAAAATTAGGTGGGTGTGGTGGTGCATAACTGTGGTCCCAGCTACTCAGGAGGCTGATGTGCTTGAGTCCAGCAAGTTGAGGCTGCAGTGAGCCATGATCGTGCCACTGCACTCCAGCCTGGGTGACAGAGCGAGACCCTGTCTCCAAAAAAAAGAACCAGGAGAGAAACAAATAGAATGTGGGCACCATTACAGTCGATACAACTAAAACCCATGTATGATTAGTTTGTGTAAATTATTTATGGAAGAGTCTCTCAGACCCTCATTGAAGACCTTTCCATGCTGACTTTACAAACAATTTAAAACAAAGCTGGTGATCTAGTAACTCGGCCTACAGAAAATGTAAAGCTGAAGAAAATAAGGAGGGAGAATGATAAAAGGGCTGTGCTATGGACTGAATGCTTGCGCCTCCCTCCCAAATTCATGTGTTGAAGCCCTAATCCCTAGTGGGATGGTATTTGGAGGTGGGGCTTTTGGGAGGTAATTAGAATTAGATTACATCATAAGGGTCCCCTCAAGATGAGATTATACCCGTATAAAAAGAGAAAAAGACACGAGACCCCCCCCACACACACACTTCTTCTCTGCTGTGTGAGGCAAGAAAGTGGCCATCTACAAGCCAGGAGGAGAGCCTTCATCAGGAACCCAACCATGCTAGCACCCTGCTCTCAGACTTCCAGCCTCCAGAACTGGAAGAAATCACTGTTTTCTATTTAAGCCATCCAGGGAACCCCACTACTCCTAAGCACGACCCTAATGAGACCCTGAACTCAAACAGCCCCTGGGGGCCTGTCTGTTAGACCACAGTCCACATATTCTAGGGGCCCGAAGGCAGGCTAAGCCCGCTTAGACAGGCTCCACTGCAAACCTTCCTACTGACGTCCCCAAAGACACCCTAGAAACCTGGATAAATCAAGGAATGCATCCATCATTTCTAAAAAGCAGTTCAACGTTTATTAATGCACCTATTATGTGCCTGGCCTATAAGTGGAAACCAGCTTATTCTCACATTACTTTGTGACACCTACCAGAAAGATCAGCAAACCTGACAAATCCCTGTAGCCAAAAGATAAACTGAAGCTATGTAGTGCAGCCTCTTCAGTCCCACAGAGGTTCAACGGACGGAGCCATGGTCAGAAACTGCAAGTAGTTTGAGACCCCTCTGACACCCCAAGAAAAACAAAGGTGAGTGGCTCCACCTTTGCCTCTGGCCTCAGGGAGTCTCCAGTTGCCATAGCAGCAAGACTCTCCAAACACCACCAATGGACCCCGAGCTGCTAATTAGCCCGAGCACATACACTCAGGAAAGTAGGTCAGATCACAGAGAAACCCATCTGGAGGAGCTAAGAATGTAAACACAGATGGAGAACAGGGCTCCTCCAAGCCCTGGGTCTTCACCACCACCCACTATACCATGGTGGCGAGCAGAGGGAGGCTGGACAAAACCCCAGCGACTTCTCTTCAGGGAGCCAAGCTTGAGACCAGCTCTGGGCTGTCTCTGAGAGTGTTATCTTGTTACTCCACCTGAGGCCCCAGGCATCCAGCCCCGTGTCACACAACTCTGCACCCAGCAGTGCCTGAACGCCCGAGCCCTGCACTGAGCTAGGCATGCTCACTGCCTTGCCGAAAATTCGAAGAGCTGGGAAGCTGTGTGGCCTGAATGCAGCACCCACATGTCAACAGGAGCAGGGACATGTGAGCAGGGACAGAACCTGGGCTCAGGCGAGAATGGTGCGGTGCCGGGCTTTCTCCACCCAGGTGTCACAGTCCCAGGATGGATGCTCTTTCCATGTGTCCCCAAAGGACACACTGCCGCATCACTCAGTCTTGTTCCAAAAGTCGTCCACTGCCTTTGCAAAAAAGTCCCAATCCGACCTCCTGGCTTTGATCCAGCATTGGAGCACGGCCAGGTCCTCACCGTGGCCTCACTGCTGAGGAGCTGCCCCCTCCTCAACTTCTGCATCTCTCTCAATTCCTCCAGAAAATCACATCCCAGCTCCCCCAGCTCCCTGGAGGGGTCTGCTCCCTGCCAGCCCCCAGACTTCTTTCTTCCCATCCCCTCGGCTGCCTGCATATTGATGCCTTGGCGCTTTCTTGCCTTGTTAAGAGTCTCAGGTGTGTCTGTGTCTGGTGTCTCCACTCTCCAGCCATGCAGGGTGCCCCAAGCACAGCCAGAGCCCCATAAACACATGCCGCACGAGACCTCAGAGGATGGGGAGAAGGTCCTGGCAAAACTCTGTCTTATGATGAATAGAGAAAAGGCAGAAGATGGTTGTGTTCGTTTATTTGCAGCGGTACAGATATTCTGTTAACCTCTTACATGCCAACATTAAATCTCACCTGCTCACCTCTGGGAGTCTAAGTGGTTTCTTGGGCTTAAGTACAAGCTTCGGTGAAGCCCCATCTTTTCCAGAAGGTTCTCTTGTTCTCTCCTTGCAAAGGGCTGATCTATTTACGGCATCTCTTTCTACCACCTTCACCATATTTACACCTGGAACCTTTCAAAGTTCTTCACAAGCAAGGACAGCTCTACAGGTGACTCTTCAGCAGGAAAAACCCTGTTGATTCAGTTATGACAGAGGTGGAAGACTGGGAATTTTACTATTAGACCCAGGGAGGTAACCCAAATGTCCTAGAAAAGAAGTCAGTAAACACAGATGAGACTGACTTTTGTTTTTTGGGTTTTCTTTTTTGTTTTTGTTTTTTTTTTTGAGATGGAGTCTCGCTCTCGCTCTGTGGCCCAGGCTGGAGTGCAGTGGCACGATCTCAGCTCACTGCAACCTCTGCCTCCTGGGTTCAAGCAATTCTCCTCCCTCAGCCTCCCGAGTAGCTGGGACCACAGGTGCACGCCACCACGCCCAGCTAATTTTTGTATTTTTTAGTAGAGATGGGGTTTCACCATGCTGCCCAGGCTGGTCTTGAACTCCCAGCCTCAAGTGATCCGCCTGCCTTGGCCTCCCAAAGTGCTGGAATTACAAGTGTGAGCCACCTGTAATCTCACAGCCAGTCGAGACTCACTTTTATTTTCAAATTAAGAATTCAGAATATATTTGTAATCTTTGATACCTATAGGAGGGAAGGAGGGAAGGAGGGAGGAAGGCCAGTCCCCAAAATCTCAGGGCTATACAAAAGTTGTTAGCATTAAGAATTCTCATCACATATGAAAAAAAAAATCAGTAACACACATACCACGTTCGAAAAGACTGAATATGATCCTCAAAATCTTTCTTTCTTTACCACATAAATTCAGCTTTCTTTTTTTTTTAAACACACCATTGCTGGCTTGATATTTCAGCTCTTTTGAGACGGAAATGGTAGGAGACGCTCATGAGGTAGCTTTTGAGAGAATATACTCTACCTAATGTCAAAAAGGATTTAAGCCCACAATTCAAGAGAACAAAGAAAATACAGGAAGAAAAGGTGGCTAAAAGCCAGAGGGAGTGAGGTAAGCGTGGAAGTGCTGACCTAAGCCCTTGCTGGAGTGGGGTACAAGTCTGGCTCTAAGTTTCCCAACAGCCAAAGCAAAAAGGGCAACCACTATGATCAGTTACATGATTCATAAAATCCGACAGGTTAAAAAAAAAAAAAATCCCATGGATGAGCAGCTTCTGTTGTGACTTTCTGAACACGCATTCTCCCACAAGCCCTTCACCAGGTGACTGTATGTATATGGTGGCTGATGCCTTCAACAATATCCTCCCACCAATACAATATTCTTCCATATAGCTATGTCAGCAAGCACGGCAGGGGCTCCTCAGCTCTCCTGGCAATCAACAAAATCCTAAAACTACAAAGTTCCCAGGGATGCATTTCTAGTTCCCCCATCCTGCACTAAGGGTCCCCACCGCTCAAGTTTCCATGGTAACAAGGTTACATAAGAGAACACAAAGGGCAGCATTAGGACAATGTCATCAACAAAGCAACCATGTATAGACTTGATCCTCCCTCGTATGCTCCTCCTGTCTTCACAAGTCTATTTTACTGTATTTTATTTGAGACAGGGTCTCACTCTGTCACCCAGGCTGGAGAGCGATGGCACAATCTCATCTCACTGCAGCCTCGACCTCCTGGGCTCAAGTGATCCTCCCGCCTTAGTCTCCTGATTAGCTGGGACCACAGACGTGTGCCACCATGCCTAGCTAATTTTTTCTATTTTTTGTAGAGATGTGGTCTCACTATGTTGCCTAAGCTGGTCTCGAACTCCTGGGCTCAAGTGATCCTCCCAAAGTGCTGGGACTACAGACGTGAGACACTGTGCCCAGTCATGTCCTCACAAGTCTAGTCTTTGGCAGTCTCTTGCTGATTGAAGGAGCAAATATACAGTGCCAAAAACCAGAAAGCAAAACTGCAAACCTGGAAGAAGGAGGAGGATGTCATGGAGTCAATTAAAGTGACACCAGAGAATTGCTCAAAACCTACCCCAAAGCTGTAAGAAAGGGCAGCTGGCACAGTCAGACCTGTGAGCAACTGAAGAAGAGAAACTCAGCCAGGATGAGGACAGAAGGTGGCTTCAAAGAGAGAACGTGAAGATGAAAGAACTGAGAGAAGCCCTCAGAACTGTTTATGAAAGAGTGACCCTGTTGGCCAGGCATGGTGGCTCATGCCTGTAATCCCAGCACTTTGGGAGGCCAAGATGGGCGGATCACAAGGTCAGGAGATCGAGACCATCCTGGCTAACACGGTGAAACCTCGTCTCTACTAAAAATACAAAAAAATTAGCCGGGCATGGTGGCGAGTGCCTGTTGTCCCAGTTACTCGGGAGGCAGAGACAGGAGAATGGTGTGAACCCGGGAAGCGGAGCTTGCAGTGAGCCGAAGTCACGCCACTGCACTCCAGCCTGTGTGACAGAGCAAGACTCTGTCTCAAAAAAAAAAAAAAGTCTACATTTTGTTAAATCTAAAATAAAATCATTTTCATAATTTTTCATTTCTTTTCAGAGTGAAGTCTTAAAAACGTTTTTTGCACCATTGGCCAGGCACGGTGGCTCACACCTGTAATCCCAGGACTTTGGGAGGCCGAGGCAGGCGGATCACAAGGTCAGGAGATCAAGACCATCCTGGCTAACACGGTGAAACCTCGTCTCTACTAAAAATACAAAAAATTAGCCGGGCGTGGTGGCGGGCGCCTGTAGTCCCAGCTACTCGCGAGGCTGAGGCAGGAGAATGGTGTGAGCCCGGGAGGCGGAGATTGCAGTGAGCCAAGATTGCGCCACTGCACTCCAGCCTGGGCGACAGAGTGAGACTCAGTCTCAAAAAAAAAAAAAAAAAAAAAATTTTCCCACTATTAACCATAAAACTTTGATTTATTAAGTGGACTCATTTTAAGTGGCCTTTCTCAGATAACAATTTCCTTCGGATAACCCAGATGTCCTTCCTGTAACTACCTTTATAAACTGTGTTTAAGATCATAGGTGAAAATCGAGAGGGTGGCCCACAGCAGACACGTGGCCAAATAAAATCTCAGTCTCCAAAGTTCAGGCTCCTACTTATAAATAAAGCCCAGTTCCATTCTAAACCTGGGAAGAAAGAGCCAACACCCTCACCTAAGCCAGGTGACTGTATCTGTCTAGGATCAAAAACATAACCAATGTTATCCATCTTTCTTCTCCGGAAACTATTTCCAAGAAGAACAGAAAATTCAGTAAGCACCACAAAAACGTTCTGGTTCTTGTTTAAAGAGGTTTGATGTCGCATTTGCTTTGAATGTTGATGTGTTAATCCACGGAGTTCCTCTAAGGTTTAAAGTCACTGGTTCTAGAGGCTACTTTGTACTAGGAATAAAAGGCCTTTTAAGGAAAACATTTGGGTGTAAACAGAGATGGCGTCTCCCAGCTGCCAAAATCAACAGCAAAGCTGGTTTCTGAGGCCGGACTGGAGAGGCAGGTTGAGAAGGGCGGATCTGCGCCTCTGTGGTGGGAGGGGCTCCCCTCAGTGGCCCGGTGGTGGAGATGCTTCCGAGACGAAAGCACAGAAAGCAAATGCAGAACTTCCCTGCCTCTCCGTCCTTCCCTCATTTTGAACAGAGACAGCAGCTACCTGTGACTGCCCTGGGGTGAATGTGCAGCATCTGGGGTAAATTTCTTCCCACGCCTGCCCGCAGCAGTCGAGACAGAAGCTGGCACAGGGCTGCCCTTCTTGTGAGCCAGGCAGCAAAAACCAGGCGCTGAGGCTCAGAACTGCTGACTCAAGCCTCCATGAAGGAACAGAAATCCAGAAAGCCGGGCCAGAAATAGCATCCGTGAGCATCTATTGATAGCATAAAGTCCGTGGGCAGAGTAAGTGAATGAGCGTGTCAGCGTGGGTGGGTGCGCGCCTGCATGCGTGTTTGCAAGTCCTAAAAATATTTCCCTCTTTCCATAACCAGCCGAGAGGCCCTGTCTGTATAATTCCCTCTACACCCTGCCTAACTGTGGCCAGCTGCAATTAATATACAATTGTGTCTGAGGATAAGAGATTAGTTTTCCTAAATTCTCAGATCTTCAGCAGTTGATGTGTACATGGGAAGAAAATCTTCCCGTGACAACAGACTGACCAAATTCCTGCTTCATCTTTGCTGAGCTTAAGGAATCGTTGTGAGAGAGAGCTGGACACAGGCATGACAAGGTTTCCTAACAGCCTGCAGAGGCTATTAGGCATCAGTTTGGCAAAAACTAAATGCATGGCATATTTACATATTTTTCTGCGTATCTTTAAACTATTACTCCAGGAAGACATGAAGGATTGCTACTTTGCATAAGCATTTCCCCTGTGCAGTGACTGCCTGCCTCGGAATCTACCTGTGCCTACGATCTTAAGACCAGTTTATACACACACCCATGCCCCAGTATGGGACGGCTCCTTTGTCCGAGCAGCAGCAAGTTTGGCTCCAAGAGGGAGCCTGGCCCGGCATCAGGCCCTTGGAAGCCCTCAATAACTATGAGCATATGAATGGAGAAATGGGTAGACAGAGCTGTACTTGCGGACACAGACGAGAAAGGCAGACATCCAAACTGTTTCCAGCTGAGGCCAGGGCTGAAGGCAACTCAAGGAGGTCCTCCCTAGGACGAGCCCTTCCAGGGCTGCAAAGAGACCCCAGGTACCACATGCAGAGCCCAGAGCCGGTCCCCAGTCTCCCTGACCTCAACAATCTCCCTAGTGGCAGATCTTGTTTATTTTTGTGATTGGGGGCCCGGAGGGAGGAAGACAGGTTGGTTGCTCAGCAGTAAGGTTTGAATTAAACTCTCTTCCTCAGACACCTAAGTCAAAAAGATGAATAGAAAGCAAGGGACATTTTTCACTCACTGGCATCCTTAAGCTGACCCTGAGAAGTTATTAGTCCTCTGTGCTTCCGTTTTCTCATCTGTGCAATGAAAATAATAACAGTTCCTCTTCCATAACATCGAGGGTGCAAGGTTTAAATGAGATAATATGTGAAAAAGCCCGAGGCACTGCAGTGCAAGGCATACAGCAAGTGCTCAATACATGTTTAGCTGTGGCTGCTGCTGTGGCTGTTTTGTGAAAAAACAAGAAATCACTTTGGCCTGAGGAGGACTTGGTGTCCCTGCTTCACTGCCTCTCACAACACCTCTGGGACTCGAAACCCGAGGTCTGCAATCAGGCAGCAGAGTTAGAAGCTGGAAGGCTTCCTGGAGGAGTCCACAGATATGAGATGACCCAACCCAAATGGTTCCCACCACAGCTTTGGCCTCAGAGCTTGGGGCCTCGGCCAGTGTTCTGACTTTGCTGGGCTTCAGTTGTCCCATCTATAAAATGGGCACAACAAAAATATCTCCCTGACAGGACTGTTATGCACATTAAGTGAGATGAAATACATATCGGGCCAGGCGCTATGGCTTATGCCTATAATCCCAGCACTTTGGGAGGCGAGAGGATCACCTGATGTCAGGAGTTTGAGACCAGCCAGGCCAACATGGTGAAACTCTGTCTTTACTAAAAATACAAAACTTAGCCGGGCGTGGTGACCTATGCCTGTAATCCCATCTACTCAAGATGCTGAGGCAGGACAATTGCCTGAACCTGGGAGGCGGAGGCTGCAGTGAGCCGAGATCACACCACTGCACTGCAGCCTGGGAGACAGAGCAAGTGAGACTCCGTCTCAAAAAAAAAAGAAAGAAAGAAATATATATCAAAAGCATTGCTCTCAGTGCCTGGTACATAGAAAGTACTCAGTAAAGGCCAGATGTTATCACAAGAGGAAGAAAACTAGAGCCACTCTGTGATGCTCCAGGGAGAACCTGAAACCTAATCCCAGTCAGAGCCTATTATGTTGCTCTCCACCCTTTTCTCCACAAGGTCCCAGTTCCCACCCTGAGTCCTGCCAAACAGTGCTGCAACAGTCAGCGTTCTGGCCACAGAGAGTGAGGATGCAGGATGGCTCGGCCCATTTCCCCAACTACGTCAGTCTGGACAGATGTCTCAGGCTGTGTTGGCAGAGGCACTGCTGGTACCACGTGCCAACCTCGGGACAAGCTGCCTCCTCTTGGAAATGAAGCAGGGACGATGCACCAGGGAATCATGTCATCAAGTCAGCCGTGTCAACACGCGTTTATGGAATGGAATGGAATAGAGTATCACTGCAGCCCACCAAGTAAGGGAAGGTCCGTGCCAATCGTGGACACATATGGGGTTAGTACATGTGTACTGGCCACAATGTTAAGCTTCTCCCTGTGGTTTGAGCAGAGCCGCTCTGGCCAGACTGCAGGTCCTCCGACCTGGGAGACTTCCCCCTTTCATTTGTGTTTGCTTATTTCTTTTTGTTGTTGTTGTTGGATCTTCCATCCCTCTTTAAGAAATCATTCTGATTTTATTCATTGGCTTTCAGCTCCATTATCTAAACCCAAGAAAGGCAGGCAGGACCCTGTAATTCTTTCTGCAAAGCCAGGAAATGATGCTCAGCAAGACGGTATTTAGACAGAGATGGGAGCAGGGACACCAAGGTGGGGCACAAGGTGGGCAAGTCATCCTCAAAGAGCCACCATCCTTTGCCTCTTAGCCCAGGAGAACACTCCAAGGTCTCCATGTTTGGTGGAGCCACATGGGGAATTATACCCTTCTGGCCCTGGGCCCCAGCCTTGGGCAGTAAGGGGAGGAAATGCTGGTGCCAAGCCCCAGGCCCTGGGCAACTTCTCCCAGCGAGCCCCTGCCCAGAGTCACAGTCCAGCCTGGGAGTAGTCACCTCCGCAGTGTCACCCTCAGACATACTGTGGCCCACGTTGCAGGGTCACCACTGTATCCCAGCACCTGCCTTCAGCCTTGCACAGAGCAAATGCTCAATCAACGTTGGTGAATGGATGAATGCAAGGCACAAAGACAGACCCAGGTCCCCTCCATCCCCACGGCCACTGCTTTAGTTCAGGCCACCACTGTCTCCCACTTGGACCACAGGAACAACTTCCACATGGCCCTCTGACCTCTGGCCTCTCCTCCACCCACCCTCCTCCTCGCCACCAGAGATATTTCCCCAAACTAAATTCCATCCTGACTCTCCCCTGCTTGAAAAGAGAAGACATGTTTCTTTGCACTTCTTTGGCACCAGCAAACTCCCCAGTCTGGCTGCAGGCCCCTCTAAATCTGAGGACCATGGCCACCTTGGCTGCTCACCCTGCTGCTCTGTCTGAGACCGCCGTACCTCCCTCTAGTCCCTCCAGTTCCTCTCTGACCTGCTGCCTGAATCTGCTGGGCCTCGCCACACCCCAAGCTTTGGCACATTTGGTTCCTCTTCCCTGAAGCACTTTTGCCCTTCTTTACCCTCAGCAAACACCTAGCCATGCTGCAAAACTCAGTGGTGATGCCGCCTCCTCTGGGAAGCCTTCCCAACTTCTCCAGGCAGAGTCAGGTGCTCCCTTCTCTTGAGTCTTTTGTTCTCAGCTCTATTGGAGAGTTTATCAGGTTGTACTATGTTAAGTTTATCATGTTGTATTTTTCTGTTTCCAGAACAGCTGTCTCTGTCTGCCTCCTTTTCCCCATCACTGCTGGGAGTTGGAGTGGGGGGAATGTGAATTCAATGCCTCCTACTTGTCAAACACTGAGCTACATTCTTCATGTACATTTACTACTCACAATAACCCCCAAGAGGTGGGTACTACTAGCCCTATCTTAAAGATGGGTAAACCAAGGCTCAGAGTAGTCAAGTAACTCATGCCATGTCACACAGCTGGTAAATAGGCCTGTCTTTCCAACTTCATGCTCCTTCCCCTGCGCCACCTTCCGAATAGTCCGTGGCATAGAATCAACCGGGATGTATCTGCCGAGAGGCTGGCTGGCAGGATCAAAAAATGCAAACAAAGCAGAAGAAAGGACCCAGGAACGCTGCATGACTCCACCTAGACTCCAGCGCTCAGCAGGTCCTTCTCCTGACAGCGAAGTATTAAAGAAACTGGCTCATCAACACGGCGAGGCACTCGGGCATGGTGGGGTCCTGAGCCGCACATGCTCGTACCATATCCCATCCTACCCCACCTCCCTGGGCCCTGCCTCCCTTGGTTTGGGGGTCTATTTCTCCACCACCTTTGGGGCACTCTGTGACCAGCCGTCTCCTGGCCACCCCTCTTTCTGCACCTCCACTGGGTCTGAGGGCTGGAGAGCACGCATTTGGCTTGGAAGGAACGCAGCCTCCCGCAGGGCAAGCACCTAAAACCATCAAGTGGAAGCCGAGGGCCGTCCCTGGGCAGCCGTGCTCGGGGAGGAGGGTGGGCTCCTGGCCTCAGCTGCCCCTATTCAGGGCAAGAAGGGCCCCCACACTGCCCTGGAACCTTCCACCCACCAGTGCTGTGCTGAGCACGTCCAGCCACGCCCTCACAGATGCCTGCCCATATGTTCCTCCCTGAGCCCCATTTCAGGGCGGGATCCCCTTCCCAGCTGCTCTAGGGGCCGTGGGACTGCCGCCCAGATGGCGTCACAAGCTGAAGCTTTGCAGCTTCTCCCAGCTGTGCCCCCAGAGTAGGGCCAGGGAGCCCCGCTGCTGCCGGCTCTCCTTCCCCTCCCCTCCCAGAAGGAGGAAAAGAACTGCAGACCTGGGCCCACGGAACTGAGGGAGCCACCATCTAACTGACGCCCTCTGCTCCTGCTCCTCAGGCTGAAGCCAGCGGGACAGCCCAGCACCCACTCCGCGGCAGCTCACATTTCGGAGACTGAGCGGGAACCAGGGGACCCATCAATGCCTCCGCGCGTCTCACCGGCCGGTGACGTGGCTCAGCGTAGTTATGCTCAGTCTGCCCCGGACCCAGTGGGCCTCAGAGGCAAGAGAACAATGGAAACTTGACCTGCGTAACCAAGGAATGATGCCACGAGAGCCCAGTTTGGTCAGCGCAGAGTCTAATCCCCGGAGACCCTCAGCCCAACAACCCAGCCCCTTTCCCTAGTGAGGCAGAGAGGCTCATCTGCACCCCGCCTACAAGGCAAAGTGCCGCGCTGGGGAGCGGACTGGCGAACTGGCTCCAGAGCGAAGATGCATCATGTTTTCCAAAGGGCTGACTTCTCTAACTCGGGTGGAGGGAATGGGGAGGTTTCTGCCCTTCCCCTCCTGCGCAGGAAAAACTCTGGAGTCTTGGAGAAGTGTTGACAGAGGGAAGGGAGCAATTTGGGGCAGCTGCCCAGGGCGGGTGGGGCCGGGAGTGTGGGGGCACCTCACAGGAAAGCCTGAAGAGCCAACGCCACAGCCGCCACAGTCTGCAGCTCAGGGTAGCATTTCTCAAGGGGTGTCTCCTGGGCCTCCTGCCCAGCACCGGGGATCCGGCTTCCTCCTCCCTGCAAGAAGCTCAGCTGCTTCTCCCATCCCGTTTCTCCCGCGTCTATCCAGACAGCCCTTGGCCAGGTTTCCAAGTCACCAATTCCTAGGGGACAGCTGTCCGCAGCAGGGAGTGAGAGGCCAACTCTGAACAGAGATGATGCTTGCGTGGGCTCACACCCACACCCACTCAGCTCATGTCCAACACACCAGGCTCTTTGCCACAAGCTCTCAGAGGTCAGCTGTGGCTGCCTTGGTGAGGTGAGGGCTTTCAGCTTGTATTCCTGGAAATTCTTATTATCAGACCCCTCGCCTGGCTTCAGCCTCGTACAGCTCTCCAAAGAGCTGACAGCTCTGGAAAAGTCAGGGTGACCTGCTGACCCCACAAAGCCTCAGGAGGGCTACGATGGAGGGGAAAGGAAGGCCCATCAGAAGCGTGGTGACTGCAGCAATGGTCTCCCTCCCAGGCAGGGATAGGAGGCAGAGACTTGAAGCTCTCTCTCCTTCCCAGAACCTCACTTTTCTCCCTCTCAAAGTCACATCTGTTCTCCCCAAGGCCTACGGCCTAATGATTACCAATGAGAGTGGGGGGAGGGGAGTGTGAAAACTCCTGGAGAAAAGCCATTTGCACTGGAAACGTGGGATTGTGTCATCGTTTCCACAGCAGCCGCAAGAAGCAGGAAGAGGCAGCAGGAAGTCACCCAGCATGTTTGCAAGAACAGAGCATCTGTCAATTCTGTAATAAGATGTGCCCTGGGCTTTCTTTGTCAATACACCAGGTCTCACTGCCTCGCTGCTCCCCTCCAAACCCAAAGAGAGAAGACAAAGCCACAGATATGGCGGGCACTGCAGCTGCCTGCGCATAACACCCAGAAGGCACGCTGGCTCCAACAGGCGATGCCTGGCTGGTGGCAGGAACCCATGGAAGACGTATTTCCAAAATCAAGAGTCCATCCAGGACCTCAAATTCTGGCCCAGGGCTGGGCATGGTGGCTCACGCCTGTAATCCCAGCACTTTGGGAGGCTGAGGCGGTCGGATCACCTGAGGTCAGGAGTTCGAGACCAGCCTGGTCGACATGGTGAAACCCCATCTCTACTAAAAATACAAAAATTAGCCAGGCATGGTGGCGGGTGCCTATAATCCCAGCTACTAGGGAGGCTGAGGCAGGAGAACTGCTTAAACCCGGGAGGCGGAAGTTGCAGTGAGAAGAGATCACGCCATTGCACTCCAGCCTGGGCTATGAGAGCGAAACTCTGCCTAAAAAAAAAAAAAAAAAAAAAAAATTCTGGCTCAGCCTGGGTGAATAACGACTTCCATTTCAGTGAAATCAAATGTTCAACCTTACATTTTCGAAACTTGCTTTGAAAACCTCCAGGAACTCATCCAAAGGGAAAAAACACGGTTGATTGGATCCCTGGATCCAGGCCATGGCCGCATGGTTGAAAGCAGCTGTGGAGAGAGTCGAGGTGGAGAGTGCACTGAAGGTGATGGAACCACAGCTGTCAGGGAGCCCCAGGAAATGGGGGCCTCAATCCTAAAACCACTCCTGTCTTGGCAGGCAGCTGGCCAGGTCTTTAACAATGCAGATCCGATCGTATCACTGTACTGCCTGGGGGCTTCTGGACACTCTTAAAAGAAAGCCCAAGGAGCCCATGACCAAAGCTGCTACAATTGGAGCAATGAAATAACGTAGTATTGGGTTATAACCCAAAGAATAAAATGAATATCCAGGAGTCCATGCAGATATAAATACATGATTGAATCAATTAATAAATGAAGGAGAACAGAAAAATCTCCTGTGCAGAAAAACTCTAAATAATTTCTGTAGATGTTCCACCCTAACAGAGGAGGAGCACAACTCTCCACCCCTTAAATGTGCACACAGTGACTTCCTTCCACAGACGACAGTACTGAAATGGGGGAAAAAAAGGAACTTGGCGGGGCGCAGTGGCTCATGCCTGTAATCCCAGCACTGTGAGAGGTCAAGGCGGACGGGTCACTTGAGGTCAGGAGTTTGAGACCAGCCTGGCCAACATGGTGAAACCTTGACTCCACTAAAAATACAAAAATTAGCCAGGCGTAGTGGCGGGAGCCTGTAATCCCAGCTACTCAGGAGGTTGAGGCAGGAGAATCGCTTGAGCTTCTGGGGTGGAGGTTGCAGTGAGTGGAGATGGCACCACTGCACTCCAGCCTGGGTGACAGAGTGAGACTCTGTCTCAAAAAAAAAAAGTAACTTTACAGTGGAGACAGTCAACAAACATGACCTCAGCCAAGCAACTGAGGTCAATGTCAGCAGTGATATGTCATGTCGATGGTATGTACCCTTGATAGGATGTGATGAAAATGACACTTGATCTCTGTTCTTCCTCCCAGAACCCACAGGCCCAGTCCAATCATGAGAAAAGCATCAGACAAATTCCAATAGTGGGGCATCCTACTAAATACCCAACCAGAACTCCTTAGAACTGTCAAGGTCATCAGAAACAAGACAAGTCTAAGAAGAAACAGCCACAGCCAAGAGGCACCTACAGAAACAAAATGGAAATGTGGTTTCCTGGATGGGATCCTGGAACAGAAAAAGGACATTAGGGAAAAACTAAGAAAACGTGAATCAACTATTGTATTAGTTCATTTTCTGTTGCTTATAGCAGAATACCTGAAACTAGATAACTTATAAAGAAAAGTAGTTGTTTTCTTACAGTTATGGAGTCTGAGAAGTCAAAGGTCAAGGGGCAGCATCTGGTGAGGGCCTTCTTGCTGGTGGGGACTCTGCAGAGTACAGAGGTGGTTCAGGGTATCCTATAACGAGGGGGCTGAGTAAGCTAGCTCGGGTCTTTCTTCCTCTTCTTATAAAGCCACCAGTCCCACTCCCATGATATCCCAGCAATCCATTAATTCATGAATGGATTAACCCATTCATGAGTGCAGAGCCACATAACCCAATCACCTCTTAAAGGCCTCACCTCTCAATACTGCCAGATTGGGGGTTAAGTTTCAGCATGAATTTTGGAGGCAACAAATACTCAAACCACAGCAACTATAGACTTTAGTTATTATAATAAAGATGTATCAATATATTGATAACTTTTTTTTTTTGAGATGGACCTCAGGGTCCATGCACATGCTGTTTCTCCCCAACAATATCTATTCTCTTCTGTATCTTCAGCAACCTCCGGCCCAGCCCACACATAAACCCACTCAGCCTAAGCTCTCAGTCGATTCCCTGGGAAGCCATCCTCAGCTACCCAGACTAAGTGAGGTTGTGGGTCGCATCCATCCAGGGTGCTGCACTTCTCCCCTAGTAACTCATTGCTCCATGTCTATCTGCCAGCACTGGATGCTCCTTGAGGGCAGGACGGTGCCTGTCTTCCAGACCTCTGTGTCCTGTCCCTAGCACAGTGATTGGCCCAGAGTAATCCCAAGTTCATGTTGCTGAATGGCTCAGATGTGTAAATGAATGAGATTCAGAAGCAACCCACACAGAGTGGGCTCCAGGGCTAAAGGTGAGATCACCCAGTGTGCCTTCTATGACAGGTTGAGAGCCGTGAGCCCATCTGACCTCAGGAAAGAAAGACATAGAGCAAATGGGTACCACTTGTGTCTGCTGGTGCCAGGAGGCACCAGAGATGCTCTCTGACCCTAACACTGCATCAGCAAAAGGTCTGAAGGTTGAAATTTTTATTTTAGATTTCATCAAAAATCTACTCTAGCCCTTGGATAAGTTCTTTTAAAAAAAATGAGGTATAACTTACATACCAAAAAATAGTAAAATTCACTCTTTTTAAGTATATAGTTCCACAAATTTTACAGAACATTTCCATCACCCCCCACAAAGATCTCTTCATGCTCATTTGTAGTCAATACAAATCCCAGCCCCCAGTGCCCACTGATCTGTTTTCCATTCCTTATTGTTTTGCCTTTCCCAGAATCTCATCTAGACTGAATCATGTAGAATGTAGTCTTTTGAGTCCAGTCTTTCTCACTTAGCCTAATGCATTTGCGATTCATCAATTTAGTTGCATGAATCAATAGCTTGTTCCTTTTTATGGGTGAGTAATATTCCTTGGCATAGATATACCACAATTTGTTGATCCTTTCACCAGTGGATAGATATCTGGGTTGTTTCAAATTTGGGGCAATTATGAAGAATACATGCATACAAGTTTTTAGGTAGACATATATTTTCATCGTTCATAGGTAAATATCTAAAAATGGGATTGCTGGGTCATATTGTGGATTTATGTTTACCTTTATAAGAAACTGAAGGGCAGAATATTTGAGAAGAGTAATTGTATTTCTTTCTCCAACACATTTTGGTTGTGCACCTACTATGTCCAAGGCAAACCAAGGGTGTTTCCCCAAACAGCTGGGGATGTTCCTGCTCCCCAACCTCTGCTTGTGCTATCTCACCAGCAGAAAAGCAGACCTCCCATACATTTCCTTGTCCTTGGGCCAAGAATTATGGCAGACCAGGCACTGCGGTGGATCCAAGAGGGGTGGAACAAATGTTCCTGCTCTGCCAACAACAATCTGAAGGATGGAAAGTCCCTCTGGGACTCAGGACCAACAGAGCTGCAGGTAGATGCCAGGAGATACAGGACAGAGAAGAGTTTAATGGTCTAGGTGGCATCATCCAGATAAGGCAGACTCTGGTCCAGCTCTGGGCCCACCCTACTGTTACCCGGTATTCTAGAATATCATCTGCATGTGGTGATGTTCCCTTCCTCTGATTTCTCTACTACTTCCCGACACTCTGGTTTGGCAGCTGGTTGTCTACGCTTTGGGCACCCCTTATATTCTTGCCCTCTACCATGGCTTAGCTTTCAGCACTGTGTGCTTCCCAGCCAGCAGGAGCTCCCTGAGGACCGAGGCCTGCCGTTCTCAGCACACCCAGATGCATTTGGCTCTCTACAAAATACTGTCCAAGAATGCTCTTTAGGAGGCTTTAATGATTTATAATCAAAACCAACTGCTTGCATGGAAACAGGAGTTCCAAATACTTGCTCTAATCATTAACTTTATGTGTCAACTTGGCTGGCCCATTGAACCCAGATATTTGATCCAACCTGTCTCAATTTCACTGTGGAGATATTTTTTACATGAGATTAATATTGAAATCAGTAGATTTTGAGTAAAGCTGATTACCTCCTATAATGTGGGTGGACCTCATCCCATCAGTTGAAGGCCTTAAAGGAAAAGGATTGACCTTCCCCAAGGAAAAGGGAATTCTGCCAGCAGATGGCCTTGGGGCTCTGCTACAACAACTCTTCCCTACTCTCCAGCCTGCCCTGCATTATTTCAGACTTGCTAGCCCCCACAATCACATGAGCCAATCCCTTAAAATAAATCCCTCTCTCTGCATATATATATACATATAAATACATACACATATAGATCATCCATCCATCTATCCATCCTATTGGCTCTGTTTCTGTGCAGAACCCTAACGCACTCGCCCACACCATGCTTCCCACTGTGACATGAGGAGCAGGTGGGCAAGGGTAAACCTGAGATCGGCTATGGCCCAAAGGGTCAGAGACATGGTCTCACGGGGCCAAATGGTCACCACCTTGTTACCATCCTAAATGCGGCTCACCCCAAGACCTAGGGGGCAGAGACCACCAGGCCCCTGCTCTCCGGGGGCAGGTGCTGTGGAGGGGGACTTGCGCAATACCTGCTGAGGTCCTTGGCCGGATCTGGGCAGGAGGGAGTGGAAGCTTCTACTCTGTCACCAGCTGGGGCAGATGGCGAAACTATGTGTTCTGCAGCCGAGGGAGGAAGACCCGCATGGGCAGCAGCTGGGGAGATGCTGGGGACACAATGAGGGAATTATTCCACATGGTGCTGGGCTCATTAATGGCACATTCATCAGGCCCCATTCACCCCACCCAACCCACCCGCCCACACATGGAATGGACTCTTTAAACCCCAGCACTTGGCTCCCCGGCTTCCCCATCCAGGCCTCCACTTCTGCACAGCAGGGCCTGTGGCTGCAACGAAGTGGCTCCCAGGCCAGGCCCTTAAGCTCCTCCCTCCTTAAGCTTCTGTAGAACCGGGTTTCTTTAACAGAGGCAGCTCAGGTGTCCAGGACACGCTATGTGAGTTTTCTCGTTTGATTTTTGTTTAGAGGAGAGGATTTTTTTTATGATGATTTCTATTCGTTTGTGATAGGCAATGAAACTCTACAAGGTGAGAACTAAAATACAACTTTACAAATTCCCCAGGCTTTGCCCGCAAATCCCAAGGCTGAGAAAAATCCAGGGGAAAAGGATGATGGGAAATTCGGGAACCTGCCCCGGGACCAGTTGGGCCACCCGTGTCCTGGGGGAGGAATGAGTTTCAGAGACGGAGTGTGGCCCTCGAGTAGGGAACGAGTGCCCCCTGCTGGACAGCCAGGGAACCACAGCGTGCGGGGCCTCCGGGGGTAGCACTGGAGACCACTCCCCACAAAAGCCAAAAGGCACAGGCTTGCAGTGCAGAAGAGGTTCTGATTTTCCCCACTGGCAAAAAGCAAGGCTAGCAACGGCCTCCACAGACTAAAGCCTGGGAACAGCTTTCAGGGTGGTACCCTCCCAGCCTCTCCAGCCATCCCTGCTCTGGTCCACAGTGGGACTGGCCAGGCTGAAGGTGTCTTGGGGTAGCCAGGCTGGAATACAAGACTCAGCACAGACGGCCTGAAACCCAGCCTGAGGTGGTAGCTGGGGTTTGTGGCGTCACAGCCCTTGCAGTGAGGGATCACTGCTTCCCTCTGCGGGTAAACACCTCCAGGGAGCTCCCAGATTGCAGGAGTCCAGGGTGCGTGGGCCTCTGGGCTGCTATGTCTGCTCACTCCATCTCTTCGAGGTCCACCTGACAGGCTAGCACCCTGGTCTGAAGGGCAGCTGCCATAGGCACCCACACTGTACACTGGACAGAGGACTCAGTCTTGCCCATAAGTCTGGTCACAGCTTAGCAGATTCTGCAGGTCCAGCAGGCACTTCCCAGCCCCTCACCGTCCTGGCCTCAGAGCTCCACGAGGACAGGGGCCACATCTGCCACATCCACCGCAGGATCGCAACCCTGGGCCAGGCCGCCCACAGCAGGCAGAGGGGATACCGCCAAGTGTCCAACTGGCTGCAACCAAGTGTGGGAGCAGAGCCAGGGCTGGAACCCATGCTGCCTGCTCCCTCGGGGCTCCACAGAGGAAAACAGAGCCCAAGAAATAACGACCTAGGAAAGCCCAGAGCAGACCAATCCACGGGGGAACAAAAATTACAAGTGCTTGGAGGAAACCCAGCAAAACAGCAAAGTGGATTCACAGATGGAGTGACTGGCCTCCTTTGTCAAACTATTATTTGCAACAATTTGGGCAGTGGCTAAAATTAATCATTTTGTAAAAGAATGACTCAAAATGAATAATGCAAACTACCAGAGGCATTTAAGCTCCTTAAGAGAGCTATTTTGCACTTTGGAGGCTGACATGTACTCATAATCGGCAAATGGACCACTTACAAACGCAAACTACTAGTCTAACTTCGCTTTCTCAAGAAATTACACTGCTGTGCTCCCCCCTCCACCACACACATCCCACCAAGATTTTACTTAGTTTAATGCAAATTGTGGAAAGGTGGTATTGTTTGTGGTTCTGTGATTTAAGGGTACTGTTTATCAAACTGCAAGGAAGGATCTCTGTCTTAGAAAACAGTGGCGGGTGGGGGGGAGATGCTACCTTAGATCTGTGGCCCGCTGCTAATCACAACAAAGCCAGCTCTGTGACAGCTGACAGCCCTGGGATCTGATGCAGATGCCCAAGGCTACACCTGCCCCATCTCTGAGAACACCCTGGGGCAGCACAACCAAGGCTCACTCACCAAGCTCCCCCGCCTGCCCTTAACACCCACAGCTGCTCCTGTTCCTGAGGGGCCACCTGGCTGCTCCCTCCTCCCTTCCTTCTGTTGGTCCCAACTGCCATGGCCACACCCTTCCTGCGCTGGCTGGGTCCCGTTAGCCAAAGGCATCAAACAAGTGTGACTCAACAGCTCATTTAAGAAAGGCGCCCCCCTCCTTCCACCGCCTGTTGGCTCATACCCAGGGGCCGAGGAGGTCAGGCTCCCACGAGGAAACACTCAGTGACTCACCATCCAAGCCCAAGCGCTAACACATGGGCCCCCACAGACACCTCCTGGGCCCAACAGAACTTCTCCTCTTCCCTCCTGACCCTCCTCCTCCTCCCCCAATTTTCCCAGCAAGGTAGTGGCACCATCAGCCCGCCAGGCCCTGGCACTGACTTCCAGTTCTCTCATTCCCATGCCCCTCATCACCCCTTCCTGCTGAGTCACCTCCTTCTCCTTCTGGAATCTGCCCTCTCTGAGCAGGACTCCTGGGCTATCCTGCTGTGCCTGCTTTCCGTTTTGTCCCCTCAGATCCAAGGCCCCACAGCCACCAGAATGACCCAACTCAAGTTCTGATCAGGTCCTTCCACTGAGTAAAGCCCTCCCTGACTTTCCACGGCATTCGGAAGCTGGTCCTCCAGGAGCCTAGTCAAGGTCCCTTGAACTCCCCCTGAGCTGCCAGAGGGCAATGTTGCTCAAGCAAAGCGAGTAAGCAGGTAGGGGCAGCCGGCAGCCAGCTCCTCACCAACAACCCCAGTCAGCTCCCATCTGCGTTCAAGCCTCCCGTGACCAGCAGTGACTCCTCTTAAAGACATTGTTCTCAGGAAGTCGGGCCCTGAACAAATGCCCAGGACCAATCCCAGGCCTTTGCAGAACCTTCCAGACAGCTGCCAAACCCAGCCCAGAGAGAGCAGGGCACTGATATGGGGTCCGCACATTCTGTAGTCTCATTCCACCTGCTAGAGTTATCTTGCTGTCTTCCTCTGGCGGAAAGCTAGCCTGGGGCTAAACATCTGGGATGCCTTTTTCCATTTAAGGAGTTAATCAGTGTTTTCCAAACCTTATTGGAATAACGAAGAAGCTGAATTCAAATTCATGTAGAGTGTTTATATTTTTGGAAGAGGAAGGATATGTTGATTTAAGTTCAACCTGCTATTTCTTTTTGTTTAGGACAGAGCTGACAGCATATAAACCACCACGCTTTCAGCAGACAGCCATGACTTATTGATCAAGGCGTTCTTTCCTGCTAAGCCCAGCTAGACAAGACCTCAGAATCCATCGCAACACAGATCCCTAGAGAACCATTACCAATGGATCAGAGACGATGGATCTGAAGAGTTTGCTGTCCCTGAGTTAGCACCTTGCTAAGGTCCTCACAAACAACAACTGGTCCCACTGCCCATTCGGCTGCAGTCTCCAGCCACACACACAGCTCCAGGGCTCACATTCAGCCCGACAGCCCTGCAGATCCGGCCGCAGTGAGACACCGTCAGCAGCTGTTGTCCTTTGATTCCCTGGTCAGGGCTTTTGAGTCCCGCTAGGCAGATCCCTCACTGAACTGATAGCAAATTTCATTTCAGAGATTGGCTGGAGCTGCCAAATTAAGCCCTTGTGCAAGGACAAACACCAGAGTGGCCCAGGCTGTCACGGGAGGGTGATAACAGCCCCCAAGGTGCAGGCCAAACACATCAGTCCTGTTGGCCAGATGGGTGACAGCATCTTATCTCCCATTTCACATCACCATCTGGAAGGCATTTAGCACTAACAGCCCTTCCTCCCAGGCCTCTTGATTTTTTTCTTCCGAAATTCCCAAGTGCACATGATCACATAATAGGGCAAGCGTTAAGGCCGAAGACTCAGGTCATGCTGAAGGTGAGATGCAAAGTGCAGAAAGGAAAGTGCTGTGAAATTGTGGGTTTGGAGAGCCAGGCTTGGTTGATACAAATGCTGGACAGCCAGTCCCACGGAGGCCTGGGACTTGATAAAATGAGACTCAGCAATGGGAGATAGAACAGGCGTCTCTCAGAGGCAGCCACTGAAAAGCCCCAAAGCCAAAATCAGAAGGTGCTGAGAGGTGCTTGTGAATTGGCTGGAAGCTCCGAGGCAGGCACATCCAGATATTTCTGGTCGTTGGTGAGATCCACCAGCATTCGAGCACCAGCCAGTTCACGTGAGAGCGTGAGCAGCCCCAAACAAGCTGATCTGCAGATTTCCAGCGGGCGCTGGGCTCCTGCGCAGTTAACCCTGAACTGGCTGGTCAGCTCTTCCCTGGCACACGTCTATCCACTTTACCTTCACAGAGAGAGCCCGTGCTCAGAGGAGGGATGTTATTTTCAAATTTGGCACAAGCAAAACTTAAGCAGGAAGGAAAATATTCACCAAGGGAAAAGTGATAAACACCATCCCAAAACCATAGGCGAGGCTTTGGTCTGGCTTGGATCGTCCAAGTTATGAATCCCCACGCCTGGTCATCACCAGCAGCTCTGCGGGCCCAGGGGCAAGATTTCCTTATGTCCTGAGCTCTCTGGGGATGAGTCCTGGTTTACAGAGGCTACAGGGGTGGAGACACAAGGGATAAAAGGAGACTGATCTTGGATATCCAAGATTATTTATTCAGAAAGTCAAAATCTGCCTATACAGATAAAGCAGCTCAAGAAGCATGAAAAACCAAAACAAGAACAGAATCTTGTGTGAGTGTGAACCGTATGAAATTCTCAATATCTGACACTTGCCAATGTGGCAGTTCATGTGGTTCAACCCCAACAGCAGCCAGACAGACAATGGAAACTCAAAGGCTCTGAAGAAATGTAAAGGTGCACCCCAATTCACTCAGCACGCTGGGTGCTGGCTTCACAAATCTGATTCATGAATGTCAAAGTACCTTCTAAAGGTACAAAGGAATTCTGTTATTCAGAGAAGACTTTTGGGAGATCCATTTTCTAAATTAAAAATAATTCCTCCACTTTATCATTCAGTCTTTGTTTGTTTGTTTATTTTTTGAGACTGAGTTTCACTCTTATCGTCCAGGCTAGAGTACAATGGCACGATCTCGGCTCACTGCAATTTCCGCCTCCCAGGTTCAAGCAATTCTCCTGCCTCAGCCTCCCAAGTAGCTGGGATTACAGATGCCTGCCACCACGCCCAGCTAATTTTTTTACATATTTAGTAGAGACAAGATTTTGCCATGTTGGCCAGGCTGGTCTCAAACTCCTGACCTCAGGTGATCCCTGCCTTGGCCTCTCCAAGCTCTGGGATTACAGGCATAAGCCACCGCACCCAACCTATCATTCAGTTTTTAATAAGGCACCTGCTTAAATAAAGGTTCAACTAACCTTTGTGAGGTGGTTGAACTCACTTATGCATACCCATAGAGGGAAGACAAAAAAATCTTATTGTGCAGTCAGAAAAAAAAAAAATAAACTACATGATTTGGAAGCAAGAGAAGAAATAAAAGCTGTAGTCAGTATGAATTCCCGGGCCTTTCAACTTCTGACCATTTTAAACTCTGCTTCTGAATCTGGAAACTCGCTGGTGAGGCTATGACACTCAGCAGGGGCTATCCCACCTCCTTCTGTCCAAAGTCAGAGATCAGAAACTTCAGCCGCCAGCTGCTGGGCCTGGTGTCTCCCTTCCTGAGGAGCTGTGATGAGCTGCTCAAACCTGTTCACAGGTGAGGAGAAAAGCAAGCGCCTGGACAACACTGCCTTCACCTGGTGGTTCTCCAAGGACTGGAAATGCAGGTGTGGGCCCCTCCCAACACCCCCCTCAATCAGACTCTGGGAAGAGGGCAGCATATCTGGGTTGTCAGCAGGTGATTCTGATGCACACTGAAGTCTGACCCACAGACACAAGTCCAGTAAGTAATTTTTCAGCCGTGTGGGTGGGAGTCCTGAAGTTCTCAGGGGACCTCTCTGCATGGATTCTTGACTGTGGGAAAAGCACAAGAGGCTCTTGGATGTGTCCCATTTCACTGCTTAATACATAGTGGTACAGCAGCTGGAAGGTTTCATTGAAAAAACCATTCTGCTTTTTTTTTAGATGGGCCTCAGTGTGTCAACCAGGCTCTCAGCCTGGTCTCAGCTCACTGCAACCTCCATCTCCTGGGCTCAAGCAATCCTCCCACCCCAGCCTCCTGAGTAGCTGGGACTACAGGCACGCACCACCACAACCGGCTGATTTTTGTAGAGGCAGGGTTACCCAGGCTCATTCTGCTTTTTTTTTTTTTAATGAAAATACTGAACAGATGAGAGTACAAGTGGCCATAGGCAATGTGGTCATTTGTTCAAAGTTCCAGAAGATCTGGGCCCAGCTTTCTCTGTCATCCAGGGTTAGCTCAACCCCCGAAGCAGCTTCACAGCTCTTCCCTGAGGAAAGAAGCAAATTTTGGTGCCCTCCAGTGGCATTAACAATAGAGAAAGGGTGCATCGAAATCCCTTTCATTTTATTTGAGAAATACCTTAGAGATAGAGGTGCCTTCTTTTTCCGCTACTCAGAAAAAAAAAGAGCTCTTGAAACTAGAGGGCAGGGCACCAAAGAATTAGCAGGCAACAGGGAAGGAGGAGTGAGGCTTGCTCTCTGTTTTTCTCTCAGCTGGCTTAAAGCAAATGCTCCAGCCCTACTTTTTTTTAAATTTTTTTTATTAATTAAAAAAAATTCTGCTGGGTTCAGTGGCTCACGCCTGTAATCCCAGCACTTTGGGAGGCCAAGGCAGGCAGATCACCTGAGGTCAGGAGTTTGAGACTAGTCTGGCCATCATGGCAAAACACCATCTATACTAAAAATACAAAAATTAGCCAGACATGGTGGTGCACGCCTGTAATCCCAGCTAGTCAGGAGGCTGAGGCAGAACAATTGCTTGAGCCCCAGGGGGCCGAGTTTGCAGTGAGCCCAGACTGTGCCACTGCACTCCAGCCTGGGCGACAGAGCAAGACTACATCTAATATATATATATATATATATATATACACACACACACAAACATACATACACACATATATATATATATTCATTTCAATTTAATTTTTAAATTTAAACTACTGAAAAGGCACACCTCTCCCGAGGACTGTTCCAGCCTGCCCCCTGCCCCATGTTGGTCCCTCCCCTCCTTCCGCATCCCACCCTCTGCCTCTCTCCTTATGGGAAGCAGAAAGTGCAGAGGGATTGCAGGTGGATGGGGTGGCGGGGACACTGCTGCGCTTAAATCGCCACTGCACACTAGGACGCCCGCTTAGTTTCTCCAGCAGATGGGCAAGGTGAAGTGCTGTTGATTCTTGCTATTCACAGGAATGTTCTACCAAGTCGCCATGAACCCTGAATTAGGAGACACTGAATTATTGCCTCTAGAGGAAACATAGGGGTAGCTTCCTGTGAGTTTCTAGGCACAGCATTTTCATCAGCCAATCAACCAAAACATAACCTTGTTCCATGTGTGCTTCTGTTTAAAGATGCCTTATTTAATAGGTAATTTTGCTTCATTGAATTCACAGCCACCAGCACTACCCCTCATGCCGGGAGGAAGCTTCTCTAAAGCACAACTTTTCGCCCCGAGGCCTGTTGTTGCACTTAGGAGGGGACTTCAGCATCATGCTTAGGGCTCATTTGAAACAATGTGCTCACCAAGGAAAAGCACAACAGTTGAACTAACTATGCCACGTAAGGACACTTGTTTGCAGTGCCAGAGCCACGACAAGAAGGCAGGGCGTTGCCTCGTTCAATCTTAGCTGAGAACGTGTGTGCTGGGCAGCTCTGCACATGTCTGCAAATGACTGAGAAAGGACCACAAGTATCAACTCTGGGGTAATCAATACATTTTAGTGAGAAGGCAAATTCACAAATATGGAATCTGCCAACGAGGATCGACTGTATTTTACAGAGGCATCTGGTGACCAAAGTCAGACCAATCCTTGGTATTAACAGAACTATCTCTTTTCCACCAATCCAGTAAAAACAACAAGACAACACGACTCTGGATAAATGTTCAGTAACACCAACAAGGCACCAAAATTGCTCATTCCTTAGTCAAATACTCCCCCAGGTTTTAATCATGCCTGCATTCTGCCCAGAGTTCTGAGTCTTTCCATAAGGAGATAAGGCCATGAAACTGGCCGAGTTCTCAGCACTGACACCTCTGCTTAGCCACTGGTCCCCTCCTGCATTCTGTGGTCACTCTTGGTCAGGGTTGTAGGTAACACAGCTGCATTACCTAATGCATTACCTTCCTTGGACTAGAGAGAGACCATGGATACAGGCGGGGCCCCAGGACACGGTATCTCGAGGAAGCCTGGCTCTCCCGCAGCTCTGCCAGTGGAGGTTTCAGAACACAGGTGGGCAGCCGGGCCAGAGCTGCTGCAGTCCCAGCTCTGCCACTTACTAGCTATGTGTACTGGAGCATGTTAACGTCTCTGAGCCCCAGTCTGCTCAACTGTGAGATGGCAGCCATGACAGCAGTTCCCACCTTCTACAGCTGGCATGAGGATTTACGGAGACACTCGATGAAACACACCCAGCATGGTGCCTGGAGCATGGGAAGTGTCCAGGGAAAAGGAGACTTAAGAGCATGTGCCACTCACCTACTATGGAGCCTGGGACAAGTCACTTAAAACATGCAGTCTCAGGCATGGGAGGGGCCTTCAGAAGCACCCATTACACCCTCCGCTGGACTGCAGCTCTCTGAGAGCCATCCCGCCAAGTCCAGCGCCATCCTCTCCTCAGAGCTTCCTCGTGCCCCCGCATCCCCCGACTGTAAGATGGGAGCATCGGGTGAGAGTGATCTCGGCTCCCTTCCAGGCTTTGCTAAGGGAGGGCGTGCCCCATTGGCTACAGCCAGAGGCCCCTGGGTCTTCCTAAAACGGTGGTGGTCAGGGAGCCAAATGGGACAAAGAGGGGGAGGAATAGGACAGACAGGAAGGGGGTGCCCCACGTCTCACTGGAAACTTCTGTACACTTCTTGAGGGTTGGGGGCCTTCGTTCGCAGCTAGGGTTTTTCCTTTAAGAAGTTAAAGTCACACAAAAGTAAAAACTATGGCTGACTCGGCCAGGCGAGGTGGCTCACGCCTGTAATCCCAGCACTTTGGGAGGCCGAGGCAGGCAGATTACCTGGGGGTCAGGAGTTTGAGAACAGCCTGGCCAACATGGCAAAATCCCATCTCTACTAAAAAAAAATACAAGAAAATTAGGTGGGCATGGTGGCGCACGCCTGTAATTCCAGCTTCTCGGGAGGCTGAGGCAGGAGAATCGCTTGAACCCAGGAAGCGGAGGTTGCAGTGAGCAGAGATTGTGCCACTGTACTCCAGCCTTGGTGACAGAGTGAGACTCCGTCTCAGGAAAAAAAAAAAAAAAGAACTATGGCTGACTCCCACCTATAAAAGGAACGTCTAAATTTCCACATCATTGCATGGCTGCCCTGGAATATCTGCTTCCAGCCTGCAGCTTCCTGCCCTATCTATCCCGTCCTCTGCTTTCTCCCCCACCAGGTACCTCCTCCTAGTTTTGAAGAGGTGTCTTGGTGCTGTCGGCCGCCTGCCTGCACCCCAAGGAAGAGGGTCAGCACGGGCCAGCCCCCAGGTCCCTGTCCCCCCCTCATCTGGTTCAAGTCGCCACCATTCCTCCAGGGCCTGCCCAATGCCATCTTGGGTACTGCGGTTCCAGAGATTACAGGTGACCAGTTCCTCCCTCAAGGAGTTCCCAGTCTAGTGAAGGAGACGGAATTAGATACGGGTCATTTACAAGGATCTGTGGAGGGCAGTGACATAGGGGCACAACGGGTGACTGCAGGAATTCAGATGCAGGCTTCTCTCAGCGTGGGGAGAAGGCTTCTGGGAGGAAGGGTCACTGGGCCATGAGTTCCAGGAGGGAAGGGACAGCATCTGCCTATTCACCATGGCTTCCCCAGCACTGTGCAATATTGGGCAAAAAGCAGATGCTTCACTGATATAAACAGAAATTAAAATGTGTGCACGCGTGTATTCATAGACACACACACAGACATGTGTGTGTATAGACATGTAGACATACACGTGTACATGTGTGTATGGAGAGACATGTGGAGGCATACATGTCCATGTGTGCCTATATATGCATATATGGGCATCTGAGCTGACTCTGAGCTGATTCTGGGAAAGCCCGGGTTAAATGCCAAGTTTGCAGGCAGAAGGAGCAGTGAAGCCTGAATCCAGGCCAAGCACAGTGTAGACGGAGAACCGTGATCAGTGTGGGGTTGCTGGGGTGTGAAGAGCAAAACGAAGGGAGGCTGGTGGGAGGTGACATGGCAGAAGGGCAGGGGCGGGGACCCCAGGCCCCTGGCTCCCCTGCCATGTGCTGCTGACCCTCCTCTTCTCTGACCACCATCAAAAAATGAAAGAAAATGAGCAGTGAATCCAGCTCTGTCCCAGGAGATCAGAAGGCAGCTAACTCAACCGTTCCCTGAAAAAGGAGAAGTAGCACGTTCTCTCTACTGGAGGGTTTCTGTTTCAAATAGGGACCCCTGAAGGCCACATAGGAAAAAAGTCTGTAAAATGCCCCTTGTATGTCTTGGGGGCCGGGACAGGGGAAACGGTCTTCCTGGTATCTCAGATCATTCCTAAGGTCACAAGAAGAGGCCCCAACTCTGGCACACACCTGTTCAGGACAGGTGTGCACACCCTGTGTGTGTGTGCAGAGGGGGTGAAACTGCAGGAGAAAAGAGAGGAGGGGAGGGGAAGGGAGGGGAGCGGGGGAAGGCAGCCTCAAGGATTGGGCCCTGAGGTCTCATCACCAGCTCCAGGGCCCCCACCGTACCTCTGGGCTATCAGATCCGTAGAGACCTGGCCAACAACATCACCGTGGTAGGAAGAGGCAGCTAAGGTTGGGCTTTCCAGGTCTGCGGGGGCAGCGGGCTGGATGATATCATCTGCCACAGGTGAACTGGGGAGAGAAAAGGGAAAGAACCTAAACTCAGAAACATTCCTACAAGTTTTTGTTTTGAGACGGAGTTTCGCTTTTCTTATCCAGGCTGGAGGGCAATGGCGCGATCTCCGCTCACTGCAAACTCTGTCTCCAGGGTACAGGCAATTCTCCTCCCTTGGCCTCCTGAGTAGCTGCGATTACAGGCGCCCCGCCACCACAGCCAGCTAATTTTTTTGTATTTTTAGTAGAGATCGGGTTTCACCATGTTGGCCAGGCAGGTCGCAAACTCCTGACTTCAGGTGATCTGCATGCCTCGGCCTCCCAAAGTGTGGGGATTACAGGCGTGAGCCGCCGTGCCTGGCCTCCTACAAGTTTTCAATGTGTTTTAACAGCACATTTCTATCTGGATCCTGAGCAGGGCCTCAGTTTCCCTTTCTGTGAGGGATGAGTTTGGTGCTGCTCAAAGCAGGGTCTGTCACCAGTCTATGCCAAGAGTAGTACAGAAACCTCAAGTAAGTGTTTAGAAACCTTTGTAGATCTTTCTCTTTCTTTCTTTCTTTTTCTTTCTTTCTTTCTTTCTTTCTTTCTTTCTTTTTCTTTCTTTTTTGAGACTGTCTCGCTCTGTCACCCAGGCTGAAGTGCAATGACGTGATCTCGGCTCATTGCAACCGCCGCCTCACGGGTTCAAGCAATACTCGTACCTCAGCCACCCGAGTGGCTGGAATTATAGGCACCCACCACCACGCCTGGCTAATTTTTGCATTTCTAGTAGAGTTGGGGTTTCATCATGTTGGCCAGGCTGGTCTCAAACTCCTAGGTTCAAGTGGTCTGCCCGCCTTGGCCTCCCAAAGTGCCGGGATTACAGGCATGAGCCACCACGCCTGGCCCCTCTGTAGCAATTTGATAGACTACGTTCATGTCTGTTAAATCTAATAATAAAAGGACAGGTTCAACATCCTACCACACACAGGACAGTCCCCAAGACAAAGGACTATGTGGTCCAGAACATCAATAGTGCCAAGGTTGAGAAACCCCAGCCTTGAGTTTTATTTCATTTTTCTAGTAATTCATTTAATTATATTTTTTAAAGTTTAGATCTATGATGAGTTAGAAATTTAAAAACAACCCTGGTCCTTTATGGACTGAAAGAGTCTGCAACCTCCAAGCACAGGGTGGCTCAGGAAGCTAGAAGAGGCTCAGTCCTTGGACACCCATCGTCTTGTAGTCAGTTACCCTATTATTTCATCGGGGAGGTCCCTGAGTGACTTTCTGATGAACTCCGCTCTGTAGCCATAAGTAGCAGGACCATTCTTTCCACTCCTTGATCAGATCCTTATTGAAAACCAATTCTCTGCTGTGAACAAGAGAGCAGCGGTCCCTGCCTTCATGGGACGTCTCATGGGACAGCTTCAGGCAAGAGTCAGATTTTTTTTTTTTTTTTTTTTTTTTGAGAAAGCGTCTCCCTCTGCTGCCCAGACTGAAATGCAGTGGCTCCATGACGGCTCACTGTAACCTCAACTTCCCAGGCTCAAGCAATCCTCCCACTTCAGCCTCCCCAAATGCTGGGATTATAGGCGTGGGCCACCTTGCCCAGCCCAGACATTTTTTTTAAATGTTTATTTATTTAGTAACAACTGTAGTAACTGCTAAGAAGGAAGGTGCAGATGGTCATGAGAACACAAACTGAGAACTCTTGGCCCACAATGGGGGTTGTGGAAAACTCTGTGGTGTGGTGAGCATGCTGAGGCCAGCTCAGTAACAAGTGTTTCCTAATGGTTACTACGTATACGTGCCAGGAACTGTTCTAAGTGCGTATAGATGGCACTGTATTTGATCCTCACAACGACCTTTATGAGGGGGATACGATTATTAAACACACTTTACAGATGTAAAAACTAAGGCACAGAGAGGCTGAGCAGCTTGTCGAAGGTTGAACAGCAGCTAAGTGGCAGAACCAGGATACAAACCCAAGCCTGACCCCAGGAGTCATGCTCTTAATCTCCACACTTGGCTTTGTCCCACAGGTGGAAGAGGAAGGAAGAGGGGCTGGGCACGGTGGCTTATGCCTGTAATCCCAACACTTTGGGGAGGCTGAGGCTGGAGGATCAGTTGAAGCCAGGAGTTGAAGACCAGCCTGGGAAGCATAGGGTGACCCTGTCTCTAGAAAAAATGTTAAAGCTTAAAAAAGGAAGAGTATACCCTGACCCTCAGCCCTACCCCCCATTCAGGGAGCCACGTATTTAAAAACCCTGAATCAGGAAGGAGCTTGGTATTCTAGAGGACCTGCAAAATGTCACTGCAACTAGAGTACAGATGAAGAAGGGGGAGTCTGGCTGGGCACAGTGGCTCACACCTGTAATCTCAGCACTTTGGGAGGCCGAGGTGGGCAGATCACTTGAGGTCAGGAGTTCAAGACCAGCCTGGCCAACATGGTGAAAACCTGTCTCTACTAAAAATACAAAAATTAGCTGTGCATGGTAGTGTGTGCCTGTAATCCCAGCCACACGAGGCTGAGGCACAAGAATCACTTGAACCTGGGAGGCAGAGATTGCAGTGAGCTGAGATTGCGCCACTGCACTCCAGCCTGGGTGACAGAGGGAGACTCCGTATTGATCCTAGGCAGAAGAATCAGCCTGAAGCTTCAACCCAATGTTCAGCCATAAAGTGCCTTTGGCATTGACAGTGCGGAGGTCCAGGGTGAATTTCCCAAAACTATCCTCTCAATACGATTGGACTAGCACATGTGTGCACCCACACTACTGCTTATTCTCCATTCTCCATGTTCCCACCCACCATTCCAGTTCCCCCAGAACAAGATCCTGAAGCCCTGTGACCACATCCAAGGAGTCAGAGAAAGAGATCACTGCAAAGAGAAATGGAAGAAGCAGTGAGCCCAGAAGAGGGAGGATGGCAGGAGCTCCGGCTGGGTGTCTTGGTGAATCACAATGTCTAGAATCCTAAACTACAGGCAAACTACAGGGGCACTTTCCAAAATCATAAAATCTGAGTGGAAAAACAGAGCTCCAAAGTTCTGGCAACACACATTGAAAACCATAAAAGACTTCGTTTCCTTTGACACAGCCATGGTTCTTCCAAGAATTCATTTTAAGGAGATAATTAAGGGCATGGGCAAATATGCTGATCACAACTGGAATCACGATAGCAAAAAATCTGGAAACAACCAAAATGCCCAACAGTAGAGGACAGTTCATCAAATTAAGGCGCAACCACAGGATGGACTCGTTTGCGGCTGTTCAAAAAATAAGGTAGGCCGGGCGCAGTAGCTCATGCCTGTAATCCCAGCACCTTGGGAGGCCGAGGCAGGTGGATCACCTGAGGTCAAGAGTTCGAGACGAGCCTGGCCAACATGGTGAAACCCCGTCTCTACTAAAAATGCAAAAAATTAGCCAGGTGTGGTAGTGGGCACCTGAGGCAGGAGAATCGCTTGAACCCAGGAGTTGGAGATTGCAGTGAGCAGAGATCGTGCCATTGCACTCCAGCCTGGGTGACAAGAGCAAAACTCCATCTCAAATAATAATAATAATAATAATAATAATAATAATAATTAAAATAAGATAGATCTTCATGTATCTAGATGCAAACATGTCCATTATTAATTGAACATAGGTTGAAAAAACTTAGCAGCATGATCCACATTTTATGTGTATCAATGATATACATGGGTATGTGTGTCTATACAGTCTATGTATAGACATACACACACGAGCACGTGACAGAGAGAGAGAGAGACAGCGCAAGCATAATAGCCTGAACAATGAAGCAATTTGGACAAGTATTGCCAAGGTGTTAACGGTAATTCTCTTTCGGTGGTGAAATCATTTGTGTTTTTTCTTAATGAAATTTATATCTACTTTCTAGTTCTATGCTGAACACATACTACTTTTGTAAGTAAAATAAATTAGAAACCATATGTAAGAAGTTATTTTAAGTGCCAGGGAACAACTTCCATGTATAACTCAGTGAAAGCTTTCAGAGATGGAGACAATCAGAAAGCCACTGTCTTTTCCCCACTTCTGTACTCATATTTTCCACTGGGAGGACCTAGGCTTGTCAGCCTCATTCCAGGGCGGGAACGCGGCCAGGCTTCGTCCATTAGGCACCACTGGAAAATGAGGTCCCAGCAAAGAAGATCTGGAATAAAAGATATCTGCCCACATATTCTACGTGATGGCATTTTCACCTAAACTCTTTGGAATGGAATTATTTTTCAAATCATAAACACTTCCCTGACTTTTTTGAGACAGAGGATCTTGAACATAATTAAATACTTGCTCAATGACACTCAGCCGTCCTCGGCAACTATGACATAAGTGAGTGACATTAGTGCTGTGGCACCAAATGTAACCACCGTATGTGAAGTTGAGGGGACTGGATTCCAGTCCAGGCCCACCATGGGATCTAAGCCAGGGGACTTCTCTGAGCTTTAGCCTTTCTGTCTGTAAAAGTGAAAGCGCCAGACTACTTGATCACCGAGAACTCTGACTCAGCCTTGTCCCTCGCTCTCAGGCCGTCAGCTGTCACTTCTACTTACCCACTCACCTGCCTCCCCCTGCCACCTTCTGCCTTGCAGTTCTCTGCTTCTAACAGGCTACAGGCTAAGAAACATGGCTGAGAGTGTCAGAACGTGCATAAATCAGGAGTCAACAGGCTCTGAATAAAGATCTACAAACCTTCCGTACCAAATCATTATCTTATAATTTAAAAATAAACACATATGTGTATAGACGCATATATATTAGGCTCAACCATATGAAACTGCTACAAAGAAATAAACTGTCAAATTGACTTTGTGCTGTCAGCTCCGGGCCCTTTCTGACTTTGTAACGATCTGAATATTTTCCAGGTGGCTAAGGATGGGAGAGAGCTAATTTCTGGGGAAATGGGGGGATTTTTCTAAAACAGCTCTTCTCAGAACAACTGTAAGAGGCTATAAATGGCTTCTAAGTTCTGCTGGTGGTGGTTCTGGGACTAGAGTGACTGAAATATTTTTCAGAGGAAAAAAAAAATCTGTCAGATTTCAACCACCAGCTGCTGCCACCAGCTGCTGGGGCCAGCCCACTATAAATTTAGTCAGGCCAGCAAAGGGTTGATTTGCCACTGGAATGTCAGGGAGGGAAGCCTGTACTATCAACAAGTGCTTCTGCAAAGGGCCATGAGTCACCCCTTTCAGAGACTGGTGGAATGGACTCTGTCCAAAAAGGAAGACGTTCAGGTTCCAGCCTTAAAAGCCCACATCTTCAGTTCTGTACATAGGATCCATGCCACAGGAAGAGCCCCAAGGCGGGCACTGGGATGGATTCCATGGGGATCACACACTCCAGGGGTGACAGGCTCATCAAGCCCGAGGAGCTGAAAGTCCAAAGAAAGGAGAACTGTGAAGGGTGGTGTCTTCATTGGCTCAGGCTGCTACAACAGAATCTCATAGATGGGGTGGCTTATGAACAACAGAGATGTATTGCTCACAGTTCTGGAGGCTGGGAAGTCCAAGATCAAGGCACCAGCAGGTTCAGTGTCTCATGAGGACCCCTTCCTAGTTCACAGACAGCTCCTTCTCACTGCATCTTCACGTGGCAGAAGAGGCAAGGCAGTGCTGTGGGGCCTCTTTTTATAAGGGCACTAATCCCATTCACAAAGGCTCCACCCTTATGGCCTAATCACCTCCCGAAGGCCCCACCTCCTCATACCATCACCTTAGGGGTTAGGATTTCAACACAGGAATTTCGGGGCTGAGAGGGATACAAACATTCAGAGCATAGCAGGTGATACCAGAAGAACAAACTGCCACAGAAACCCAGGATTCTACAGGCTGGGATGATCCAGGCAGGTCCTGAGAGGAGAATAGCTGAATCAAGCAAAGTGCTTCAATAGGCCGATGTGTGCAAAGGGCTTTCCAGATGAAAAAAAAAAAGCTTCTCCCTCCCTCTCTCCAGGATGGTTCTGTCAGAAAGGCTTCTGTTCCCTTCCCCTTGTTATTTATTACAAAGAATAGTATCCAGTATCAAGGATAATAGGAGCCAGGTTCTCACAATCAGAGAGGAGCTTGCATATACAGAAGGTGGTTGGACTCCAGAGATCCCTCAGGGCAGGGCTGCAATCAGAGGAATCAGACAAATCCAGAACTAGTTGTGGAGGGCTGTGTGCACACATGCATGTGTACATACACGTACCTACTTCCCAGCTGGGGGAGTCGCGTCAAAGGACATAAGAACCACCTAAAAGGGGCTGCCACTGTCAAATCTGGGACTATTTGAACATCAAACACACACACACACACACACACACACACACAGTTCTGGATTATAACCCATGGAATAAAAGTAATAATCTATGAATCCATTTAGACCTAAATAAAGTCATGAACAAATGGGGAAGAAGGGAAAGCCCCCCCTTACAGTACAATGCCAGCTAGTTAGTCCATGTAGGACAGAAAACTGCCATGGAAGAAACCTTAATGGTGGCACTCAATTCAAGGAAGAGCCATCAAAGGATGCCAAGGCAGGCGGTGGGGAGTGTGAAGAAGGAAAGGCTAGGCCAGGCATGGTGGCTCACGCCTGTAATCCCAGTACTTTGGGAGGCTGAGGTGGGTGGATCACGAGGTCAGGAGATCGAGATCATCCTGGCCAACATGGTGAAACCCCATCTCTACTAAAAATACAAAAAAATTAGTTGGGTGCGGTGGCGCGCACCTGTAGTCCCAGCTACTCGGGAGGCTGAGGCAGGAGAATCGCTTGAACCTGGGAGGCAGAAGTTGCAGTGAACTGAGATTGCACCACTGCACTCCAGCCTGGACAACAGAGCCAGACTCCCTCTCAAAAAAAAAAAAAAAAAAGGAAGGATATTGTGTAGCCTTTGAGTATCTTCCCACCAAATGCTGACTGATTACAAAGGTGAAAATGATGACTTTACAGCCAATAAACCTGGCAGGCACCAATCTGGCCATCCTCTGTGGCAAAACATTCCATGCTCTGTGCCCTGGGGTGGCAGAGCTTCACTTCTGTGGAATCCCTGCCCAAAGCAGACACCCAGGGTCTAGCCATGAAGAAACTAGGTGACACAGATTGAGGGACTTCTTCCAGCGTGAAGGAGCTGTACTCATAAAGGTCATGGGACGGGCATGGTGGCTCATGCCTGTAATCCTGGCATTTGGGAGGCTGAAGCAGGAGGATCCCTTGGGTCCAGGAGTTCGAGACCAGCCTGAGCAACATAGCAAAACCCAATCTCTACTAAAAAAAAATACAAGAAATTATCTGGGCATGGTGGCACACACCTGAAGTCTCAGCTACTTGGGAGGCTGAGGTGGGAGGATCACCTGAGCCCAGGAGTTCAAGGCTGCAGTGAGCTGTGACTGAGCCACTGCACTCCAGCCTGAGCAACAAAAGTGAGACCCTGTCTCAAAAAAACTCAAAAAGTCATAAAAGACAGGGAGAGACTGAGGAATTACTCCAGATGGAAGGAGAGTCTGGGGGCATGACATAGAGCATGGCACATGCTTTTTGACTGGATTCTGGTTCAGACGGAAAAAGGTACACTGCTGGTGAATTTGAGCAGGTTCTGAAGACTGGATGGCGATTTCCCAGCTGCAGGGCTGCGCTGGCTTCGTGCTGGAGAGTGTTTGCAAGAAAGGCACACTGGGGGGCTGGGAGGGGGCGGGGGTTGTTTTTGTTTTGCTGGAGGGTGGCGACTTCATGTCTGAAACTTGCTCTCAAATGATTCAGAAAAAGTAGCAATGATGGATATATAGGTACATATACATTTATATTACTCATATAGAGAGAGGATGAACGTCACAGCACATGTGATAAAATGTCAATGACTGCGGAATCGGGGAAAGGGAACATGGAAGTTTTTTGTAGTATTCTTACAACTTTTCTGTAAATCAGGAATTGTACTCAGGACAAACAAATAAGAACTTCTTGGGCAAAGGCGTGCAGGCAAACAGCCACTCCCCAGCACACATGGAGCTCCGTTTGGGTCTGGAGGACACAGCGTGATATGCCAGCCACTTCGGCAGCATCAGGCAGCTGGGGGGACACCTAGCTGGACACTTGGGGCTGGGGCCAGTGTGACAGGGGCCCCGGAACCTCAGACGCTCAGACCATGAGCCTGTTGTCCTGGGGCGATGGGGAACATGAGAGATTTAAACGCAGGCCAGTGACAGAATATTCAGAAGATAATGCCTGTGCCACAGTGGAGACTAATTGGAGGGGGCAAGAAATGCAGGCAGTGGAGCCGAAGTGAGAGCTTTGGAACAGTTCAGGTGCCAGGTGATGCAGGACACACTGGGACCACTGCAGAGGAGGTGGAGTTAGTTGTTCCAGAGGCTTCATGACATCTACCTGACACTAGGTGCAGAGGGAAGGGACATGAAGAACAAAGATGATTTGGGTTTTGAACATCTAATGGTTGGAAGGCTATGTTATTAACTGCATGCCTTGCACATAAAACCTTAGACCTCCGGTATTATTACTGATTTATGTTTAATAAAGATTAAAGAGGCCAGGTGCAGTGGCTCATGACTATAATCGCAGCACTTTGGGAGGCCGTGGCGGGCAGATCACGAGGCCAGGAGTTCGAGACCAGCCTGGCCAACATGGTGAAACCCCATCTCTACTAAAAATACAAAAATTAGCCAGGCATGGTGGCGCGTGCCTGTAATCCCAGCTACTCTGGAGGCTGAGGCAAGAGAATTGCTTAACCCTGGGAGGCGGAGGTTGCAGTGAGCCGAGATTGTGCCACTGCACTCCAGCCTGGGCAAGAAGAGTGAAACTCCGCCTCAAAAAAAAAAAAAAAAAAAAATGACTCTACAGCAACCCAACTCAAGAACAGACTCCCTGGAAACTGTGCACCCCACTTCAGAACACCGGCATAGTTCTCACCAACAGAGTGAAAGCTGAGCCCCAGGGGCTCACATCAGTTTTGAAAAGAGAAGCAAAGGCTGTCATAAGTCAGCAAAATGGAATCTTCCAAGATCTGCATTTTCATGGCCAGTTCTAGGCTGGGCATGACCGAACTGACCAGTTAGAAGCCACAGCACAGGCACCACGACATGCGGAACACACAGGGCATCCTTTTCAGAGCCACCCTTGGCATTCCTCTGGGTGAGGGGCCCACAGACCCCAGCTGCGCTTTGAAAGGTGGGTTCCCCAGGTCCCTCGGGGTAAGCACATTGTGCTTTTTAGTGATGATGAAAAACAACTCATCTCTTCTGGATCTGGAAAATGGGTGGACAAGTGTGGCCTGTGGCATCCCTGCAGGCCAGGCATGGAGTGGGGCCAGGTGAGTAACAAGATTTCTAAGACCAGGCCAGGCGCGGTGGCTCACAGCTGTAATCCCAGCACTTTGGGAGGCCGAGGTGGGTGAATCACTTCAGCCCAGGAGTTCGAGACCAGCCTGGCCAATATCACAAAACCCTGTCTGTACTAAAAATACAAAAAAATTAGCCGGGTGTGTTGGCGTGCACCTGTGGTCCCAGCTACTCTGGAAGCTGAGGCATGAGAATCACTTGAACCTGGGAAGTAGGGGTTGCAGTGAGCTGAGATTGTGCCACTGCACTCCAGCCTGGGTGAGTGAAACTCTCTCAAAAAAATGATCTCCAAAACCAGAGAGGCCAACCTCTCTCAGCAGCAGAGGAGAAACTATGGCCCTGAGATTTGAGGGACTTCATCTATGTTGCAAGCATGCTGATTTTATTTTTGGTGATAAAATTTGAATATATATGAAATATTATAGCACATTTAAATAATTACAATAAAAGAATTAATGATAACAGCAGTCATAAGGGCAGCTCACATTGTAAGCACTTCTTTCTGTTTGCCAGGTGTTGTGCGAAGGGCTCTGCACACACTCACTCATGCAGCCCCTCCCCTTAAGAGGGCGAAGAACAGAGTCAGGACTGGGACCCGCGTCCAAGAGCACAGGAGCCAGGAAATCCCACAGCATGCTCTGGGCCTGACTCAAGCTAAGGAACAAGAAGCTGTCTCCCACAGGACCCCGGGGAAAGCAGCTTATCAAACGGACCCTGGAGCCCACGCAGGGAGAACAGAGATTTTCCACTCTCGGATGAGAAAGCCTAGCAATTTAAAGATTTAGCCTTCAGCTATTAAAAAAAAAAAAAGGAATTATTTTTAAAAAAATACTTAGTTACTTATATGTGTATGGTATCTTAGAGCTTTGTTAAATGCCACTTTTATGATTCCTCATCACTGCTATGAAGAAGGCAGACAAGTTATTTATTTATTTATTTATTTTTTGAGACGGAGTTTCATTCTTGTCGCCCCGGCTGGAGTACAGTGGCACGATCTCGGCTCAGTGCAAGCTCCGCCTCCCGGGTTCACGCCATTCTCCTGCCTCAGCCTCCTGAGTAGCTGGGACTATAGGTGCCCACCACCACACCCGGCTAATTTTTTGTATTTTTAGTAGAGACGGAGTTTCACCGTGTTAGCCAGGATGGTCTCGATCTCCTGACCTCGTGATCCACCCGCCTCGGCCTCCCAGAGTGCTGGGATTACAGGCGTGAGCCACCGCGCCTGGCTAACAAGTTATTTTATAGAAGAGGAGAGGAGATCGAGACTCAAGGAATTAAGCGACTTGGCAAAGAGACCCATGGCGAGAACCCTGGACCTGTCCTCGCCTGGAAACCCATGCTGCCATCCCCCTCCCCGCCAGGTCTTTCCTCTAGTGGGCATGCCATAGCTCCTGTCCAGAGTTCAGCGGCACAGCCCCAGGGGAGGCATGGGAGGCAGCAGAGGCCTCTGGCAGGGCAGGAAGAGATGGCAGAGCCAGCAGGGGAATCGTGACCACCAACAACAGGGCAGGGACCTCTACCTTCCCTGCTGAATTCTTAGCCCACAGCCAGCAATGCATTTACTGGAATGAATGAACCAAGGAAGAGGCCCAGGCCCAGAAGCCAATGAGGCTGATACAATGTGATGCTTTGCAGCCACGTCAAAGTGCACATTTGCCCGTTTCAATTATAAGCAGCGCTTGTCACATTTTGAAGCCAAATTTTTTAAAGTCCCAGACATTTTTTAGATACTCCTGTGATGCCTGGGAGCCTTCACAGATGAAGAAATAAAATGCCATTCCTCCTCCCCCTGGAGAGGTAGGATAGGGCAGGTGATAGGAGGCCAGAGCCCGGGGCCAGACTGCCCAAGCCTGACCCCACTCCAGCAATAAAGAGCTGTACAACCTTGAAAAAGATCCTCTCGGAGCCTCAGTATCCTCATCTGTCAAAGATGGCAATGACAGTCCTTCCTGGAGAGGGAGTGGAGAGGATGCCTTGTGACCAGTCATGCGAATGTTTCTGTAGCAAGGTGCCCAGCACACGCAAAGTGCTCCACAAATGCTGGCGTCATTAAGACAAACACTACAGGATGTACTGTTTCCCAAACACAAAATACAGAATGTACTGTTTCAAAGTACACATGACCCTCCCTCCCGCCTCTCCTGCACATCCAGGTGTGAGTCTCAGGTGCACAGGCTGCTCCTTCAGGCACCCCAGGCTCTATGTGAATATCAACTGGGGTGTGGATTAAGAATGAATACAGGGCCAGGTGTGGTGGTTCACGCCTGTAATCCCAGCACTTTGGGAGCCCAAGGAGGGCAAATCACCTGAGGTCAGGATTTTGGCCTGGCCAACAAGGCGAAACCCCCTCTGTACCAAAAAATGCAAAAATTAGCTGGGCATGGTGGCACGCATCTATAATCCAGCTACTCGGGAGGCTGAGGCAGGAGAATCACTTGAACCCGGGAAGCGGAGGTTGCAGTGAGCTGAGCTGAGATCGCGCCACTGCACTCCAGCCTGGACGACAGAGCAGGACTCCGTCTCAAAAAAAAAAAGAAAGAAAGAAAGAATGAATACAGGTGGCAACAAGTGAAGGGAATCAATGTTTATGAGCACCTAGCATGCGCCAGGCTCTATGCAGGCCCTTCATCACTGTGAGCAATGTGACAGCAGAAAGTCCCTCTCCCCAAGGCCGCACGAGGCTGAGCTCCATCCCAGCTGCTCTGACTCTCTCAGCGAAGGACCCTACAGCCTCAGAGCAGCGTCGACTCATGATGTGCGACAAAGAGGGAGTGGCGTGCTGAGAGCCAAGTGGGTGCTGCCTCCCTAGGAAGAGGGTGTGCGCAACCAGCCAGGGCACCCGCGGTGGCTCTAACCACCAGGGGGTGGGGGCATAAGACCCTTCCCCTCCCAGGGCTGCGGGTGCCTCTTCCACCTAATGAGGGTTTCGACTATTCTCTCTAGGGTACCCTCCAGCCCAAACAATTTTCTGATCTGAAACCCAGGGTCTCCTGGCTGAGAAAGGTCAGCTTGGAGGAGGCTGTGAGCAGTGCCCACGTTGGCCCAACCCCTAGGCCAGGCGGGGGAGCAGGGCAGCTTCTGGTTGGGAGTTAAGGACGGGAGGCAGGGGGTGACCTGCTGACTCACAGCTCCAGCTCCCCAGGAGACCTTACTGTGAGGACGGGCGAGTTGCAGGACGGAGGGGGAACCTTCTCCTCATACACAATTTAATCACCTCTTAAAATTGGACTACTGTTGTTTCCGCATCCTTTGGGATTAATGAGCCCAAGGACCGAATTTTACGGCAAGCTCAAAGGAGAGGAAATTACTCCGGGAGGACAAGGCAGGGAGCCGGCAGCCAATGTTCTTCCTTTTTTTCTTTTTCTTTTTTTTTTTTTTCTTTTGAGAAGGAGTCTCACTCTGTTGCCCAGGCCAGAGTACAGCAGCGCGATCTTGACTCACTGCAACCTCTGCCTCCCGGGTTTAAGCAATTCTCCTGCGTCAGCCTCCCGAGTAGCTGAGATGACGGGTGCATACCACCACACCCAGTCCAGCTAACATTTATATTTTCAGTAGGAACAGGGTTTTGCCATGTTGGCCAGGCTGGTCTTGAACTCCTGACCTTTGGTGATCCACCCGTCTTGGCCTCCCAACATGCTGGGATTACAGGAGTGAGCCACGATACCCAGCCTGATGTTCTTCTCAAAAGATGACAAATAAACTCAGCCAGATGCTGGGAGAAGCTATACAGTCAGGTGAGTGAAAGTGTAGCTGTCCTCCTGATCAAAACAGCACAAAGCCAGCTGAACGGACCAGCCCCTCTGGGATCAAGATCTCAGCTGAGGATGCCCAAAGCCAGTGCACCAAATCCACAGGTGCGCTGACTCACCAGAACACTGGGCACAGAAATCACATGGAGGGTCCAGGGGCTTAGGTGGGCAGGGGCAGCAAGTATAGTACAAAGAGCACAGACTCTGGACATAGATCTGAGCCTGAATCCAGCTCTGCCACTTACTCGCCATTTATAAGCCCTAGGCAAGTTCATTAACCTCTTTGAGCTTCAGTTTCTGAACCTGTAAAATGGAGATAAATGCATTACTTGAAAGACTGTTAAAAGAAATAAGAGGAAAAAATATATGTAGAAATAGAAAGTCTAATAGTGTTACCAGGGTCTGGGGAGAGAAGGGAAGAAGGGAAATTGTTGTTTAATGGATACAGTCGTTCAGATTGGCAAGATGAGTAAGTTCTGGAGATGTTTCACAATAATATGAATATACTTACCACCAAACTGTACACTTAAAAATGGTTATGATGGTACATCTTATGTGGTTTGTTTAATCACAATTTAAAAAACATGTAAAGCATAGCATCATCTCACTACAGGTCCTCAATACACAGTATGGGTTCATGGAAAATAGCACTAACAGAATGATATTAATAGCCTCTGCCACCAGATCTGTCTAGCTAACACTTAATTCAGGCCACAATCAGCTTCCTCTCTAACTTTTTCAGGCTGAGAACAGGCCACTCAGCCCACAAACAACAAACTGAAGTCTCAACAAATGCCACCAGTATTCTTATATAGATGAGGCAAAATTTTAGTTGGTGTTTAAAAAAATGTCACTCAGTCCTCAGCATCTTAGCAGAGTTACAGATTTTCCCTGATTCCAAAACCACACAAGCAGCAAAATTACCTCCATTTCCTCTCCCTGCAATGCAACCAGGTCTAGACCCTGAACAAAAAGCAAAGCCTTAGAGCCTATAGTTCAAGAGAGGAGACGATTCATTAACTGATTCAACAAGAACTGACGAAAATCTGTTCTGCCAAACACAATACAAGGTACTGAGGATGCAGAGAGCAATGACGCAGGGGTTGTTAGCCGTCAGAGAGAGACCTTGGCACACGGCTGACCACAAGACAACCTGGGAGTTCCAGAATGCAGAGTCCTGGGCCAGCTAAGTTGCTGGGATGAACCAGTTTCAGTCAAGGTAAGAAAGGTAACGTCCAGGCTGGGCGCGGTGGCTCACACCTGTAATCCCAGCACTTTGGGAGGCCGAGGCGGCCGGATGGCCTGAGGTCAGGAGTTCAAGACCAGCCCAGCCAACATGGTGAAACTCCAACTCTACTAAAAATACAAAAATTAGCCGGGCATGGTGGCACATGCCTGTAGTCCCAGCTACTTGGGAGGCTGAAGCAGGAGAACAGTTTGAACCCGGGGAAGCAGGGGTTGCCGTGAGCTGAGATGGCACCACTGCACTCCAGCCCGGACAACAGAGTAAGACTCCATCTCAAAAAAAAAAAAAAAAGAAAAAGAGAAAAACAAAGGTAATGTTCAATCTTTTCCTGTTCTGTGTGAAGCAGGGAGCCAGAAAGTAGGAGCCACAGCAAGCCCAAGGGATGGAGGGAGGGGTGTCCTGGGTATAAAAGGAGGAAGAAAAAAGATCCTATTGATGGCCATATGGCCTAGCTGCTTACTGTCTCTTGTCAATTTAGAATGTGCCCCACTGGGGGAACAGTCATGATATGAAACCAACCCCCCATGCCCTCAAGGAGCTTCAGTGCAAGAATGCTAGCCAGGAGCCTTCTATTCTAAATGATGCAGACACTAGAATAGCTCCTGGACCTCAGAGGACCAAGCGTGGACACAACCACAGAATGACAAGAATTAGCGGGACTGTAAATAACCTGAGATGAGCCAATGGGGCAGCTGCTTTCTCTTTCCATTTATTTCTCCCCAGGTCAGCAGACCTAACAAGAGCCCCATATTCGTGTGTTTGTACTTATTTTCTAGGCAAAATATAAATGAACAATTAAAAGAGAGGGTGGCAGCTGGGTGCGGTGGCTCACACCTGTAATCCCAGCATTTTGGGAGGCCGAGCTGGGCAGATAACTTGACAGCAGGAGTTCGAGACCAGCCTGGGAAACATGGCAAATCCCCGTCTCTACTAAAAATACAAAAAATTAGCCGGGCATGGTGGTGCACACCTGTAGTCCCAGCTGCTGTGGAGCTGAGGCAGGAGAATCACTTGAACCCAGGAGGCAGAGGTTGCAGTGGGCCGAGATCACGCCACTGCACTCCAGCCTGGTGACAGAGCGAGACTCTGTCTCAAAGAAAAAAAAAAAAAAAAAAGATTTCTAAGACCAGAGAGGTTGACCTCTCCCAGGAGCAGAGGAGAAACTGCGGCCCTGAGATTTGAGGGACTTGATTTAATGTTGTGAGCATGCTGATTTTGCTGCTGGTGGCAAAATTTGAATATATATGAAATACTGTAACAAATTTAAATCATTACAATAAAAGTATTAATGATAATAGCAGTCATAAGGGCCACTCACATTGTGAGCACTTCTGTTTGCCAGGTGTTGTGTGAAGGGCTTTGCACTCACTCACTCATGCAGCAAGACGGTCTCAAAAAAAAAAAAGAAAGAAAGGAGAGTGGCAAAGCAAGGTAGGATGAACAAAAAGGAAGCCGAGACAACCAGCTCATGGACGGCAGAGTCAATACACAGCTTCTAAATAAGGAAGAACTGCGTTTCATAGTATGTCTCCTGGTTTGCATTTAAAAACAACACTAATGCACACAGGCTACAGCAGGTGTTAGGAAATTGAGCTCCCCTAAATCAGTACTTTTAATCATAACCAGATGAAAAATATGAACACCACTGACTTTCCATTTGCACAGCCCTTTACAGTTTGTTTATCAAGTATATTCATGTGCATGACTTCACTGGCCTCCCCAGCTTCGAGAGCCAGGTGGGCAGGGATAAGCGGCCCCACCATCCACGAGAAGGAAGGTGACTCAGACAGTTCACAACGTCACGACTTGCTCAAGGTCACACAGCTGGTAAGGGGTAGGGCAAGAACTCCAATATAGGATCTTTGTCTATAAATTCTGGGCTTTCTCAATACTGCCCTTCCCCAACCTAAGGAAAATAAGTCTTGGGGACTTTGCTTTATCTCAATTAGCAGCCATGAATACACTTGCAAAGTGACAGACTGAAACTCTATAACACTGTGGATAGCGGACAGAGGGATGGGGACAGAGCTGACACTCAACACATCTGAAATGACACCTCCATTACAAAGGGTCGGCTGCTCTACATTCCCTGGAGAATTTCACTTGCTCCTCTGTTTTTCAGATGCATTGCTCTGCAAACTTTGGTTTCCCTGGGTCTTCCTTCTCAGGCCTCTCGTTTCTCCTGAATGATTTCATAATCCTCAACATGTTCTGTCATCGCAGGGAGTTGATGTGAACATGATTACTGGGGTTATGAACCAAGGACTGCGACCTCAATAGGGGAGAGGCAGAAAAAAAACACAGCTAGCCACCAAAATGGATTTCACAGACCTTGGTCACAAGGGGATAAATGAGGGCACCCAGCCCTGCAGCCATCTCTATGCTCCTCTAGCCAGCACTAGTTACTGATTTTATTGCCAGCTTCCTAAACCACCTCCTGATCATCTGTGCAAAAGTTGCAAGGACCTGCTAAACCCCAGCTACAGTAAATCCAAGAACGCTTCGCTTTTGGCTATGGAACCAAGTCCTGAAAAAAAAAAATACACCCACACATGCATGTACACATATGCACATACACACACACAGGTGCTCCCCATCAAGCCCTCATTCTCTTCCAGTCTCATCTACGCTTACAGCCCAGAGCTGGGCAAGCCCAGAGACCCTTTCTTTCATCCTCCCAATTAGAACTGTCTCTCATGATTCCTCAAAGCCTGGCAGCATCCTCTATTGAGATGCTATTGGCATTGGGGTGAGGCAATTCTCTGCTGTGCAGGACTCTCACATGAGAGTGACCCTAGCCCTCCCCCACTAGACGCCAATAGCATCCTCCCCAGTCACTGGGACAACCAAAAATATCCTCCTAATAGCAGTTCCCTCCCTAGTCACTGGAACAACCAAAAATATCCTCCCACATTTCCAGACATCCCCTCCTGGGGCATTATCCTTCACCACAAAGCCTGCCCCATATGTGCATGCTCAGGTATCTCACACACACACACACACACACACACACACACACACACACACACACACACTCACCTACCTACCTCCTTGAAGGTGGGGGCTGTGTCATTCAATTCAACCACCATCTACCTCCCAGGCTCTGTGTTACTCTTGTGGCGTGGCATTGTGAACCAGACATATCCTTCCTCAAGCAGTGTCTGTCTCCATAAAAGCATCAAACACAAATAACCAGGATACAAAGCCGAATAAAACCAACGAGGCCGCAGGACTTGGCGCAGAGAACACCAGGGCAAGTGTCTGCGGTCTGGGGTTGGAGTCCTACCTTGATGTGTGGCCCTGGCCAAGACCCTGGACTTCTTTGAGTCTCTCTTTTCGTATCTGTAAAACGAAACCTTGATCTTTAACTTTCCTTCTTGCTAAAATATTTTAAATGTTCAAGCACGTTTCTTGAACATTATTTTTTTAAGAGAGAAAAGAGGACGGCTGGAACGGAGAGACAAGGGGCTAATCCTGTCTAGGTTCCACAGAGGCGGCAGCATTTGACCTGAAGATTTCCATAAGGCAGTTCCATAACACCGGTATATGAATAACTATAATACAAGCAGGTCATATTCCATGATCACACTTCTGAGGCTTGGGATGTAACTTTTGATGAGAGACTAGTGACTCTGGGTAGCTGAGTTGCTGTGGCATTTGCACAAGGAGGGTGGCTGCTGGCCTATTTGCTGCTCCGATTTCCTTCCCGGAGAATTAGTCCCAGGCAGAGCCTGTGAGAAAGAGCCCCGTGGGAATCCACTCACCCGCCTGGCTCAACTGGTCCCATTCTCAGGAGGCCCTCCCGCCTGGCCTGAGAAGGGAAAGCCAGCTGCTCCGGGAGGGAACTCACTGTGCAATTTTCAACAAAACCCTTCCTCTAAGTTCCATCAACTGTCAACCCTAAAAACACTGCTTAAGATTCAACTGTTAATCTGCACGTGCATCTCACAGACCAAACACTGCCTCACGTCACAGTCCCGGAAAAAAAGTCATTTCCAGATATCATGGAAACGGCTTTTAAAATGTGGCCTCAATAAGGAATCAGAGAAGTAAGAATGGGGAGAGTTCTCTCCGGTAACAGAGCCGCACCTTCCTCTGGCATAGCACAGGAAACTGCCCTAGGATCCTCAATGTCCCACGTCCTGTGACACGAGGGCCCCCCATCCTCTCCAGCCGCCCCTCCTTAGGCCCCGCTTCCATTTCCCCTCCACAATGTCTATTTCAGCTGTATTTCAACCCGCTATCACATTCTCCTGTCCCAGCATTTGACAGAGCCTGAAGATAGCAACAACAGTAACAGTGATGATGATGAAGCCATTTTAAGAAAAGACCAGGATTGAAGAGGACACCTGGCCACAGCGTGGTGTATTCGGCGCTCGGAGCCTGGGCAGCAAATCCCAGCGCCCCGACACTGGATTTCGAGGACACCCCGAGGCAGAGGCGCACTCTGCGGCGGGAGCCAAGGACGCGGAGGGGACGCTCGGGCGGGTCACGTGTTGCGCCGGATCCCCGAAGTGCGCTCGGCCCTGCTGACGTAACTATTCGAGAATTTAAAAGTCCCAAACTCGGAGGAAATCCAGCGCAGAGTTTTATGGCTAGTCCACGCGCCGTCGTGGCCCGCCGGGGATGCCCCCACGCGACCCAGTAGGACCACACGAGCTGGGAAAGAGCCCGGTGGGAAGGCGCGGAGGCCCCCAAGGGCGGGACCCCAACCCTGGCAGGGAGCCTGGTCACGGGCGCCAACCACAACCACGCGCGGGGACCCCAACCGCGAGCGGGAATCCCAGCCACTGGCGCGCGCCCCGAACCACGGGCTTTGACCCCCGCGCTCCCACTCAAGGGAACCAGGCTCCTGGGCAGACACTCTGGGGCCCGCGGTTTCCCCGCAGCCACACTCCTCTGCCAGCAGGGGACCGAATGTGCAGTTAGCCACTTTTCCACCCTCGGCCAGTCCCTGCCGGGGAAAGCCGAAATGAGCTTTGGCCACTTCCAGTACGCCTTTGTCTGGGGGCCAAGGTCCTTCGGGCGCCCATCTTCTGACCCCGGCCGCCCGCCCGTGGCCCCGGCACTTACCCGCCCGGGGAGATAGGGGATGGCCCGCACGGAGCCGCCTTCGTTCGGAGTCGCAACTGCCAAAGAGCCCGGGGGCGCTGGGTTTTCCGAGCCCGGTGGCGGCGCGGCGCGTGGGGTCACCACGGTCCGGTGCGGCCCTGGGACGCAAAGTTTCCCGGGACAACGGCGCAGGGCCGGCGTGGCTCCCCGAAAGGCTCGGGAAAAGTTGCAGCACAAAAGGCCAATGACTGGGCGAGCGGCGGCTGCCGGGCCAGGCTCCTCCCCCAGCTCTGGGCTCTCCGACCCGGGGCAGCGCTCGGCCAGCTGCTCGCGCAGGGCGCCCGCCGCGCTCTCCTCCCCGGCCAGGAATGCGCGGGGCCGGGCGCGCCCAGACGCACCGAGGGGCCCGCGGCCGCAGAGCGGCAGGCGAGAGACGCACGGACCGATGGACGCACAGCCCGGCCGCTGCTCCTGGAGGCGCTGCAGACTTCCAGGAGTCTCTGAGTCATGACAACTTGTTACTGTTCTTAGTTTGTCCACGGCCTTCCCACTACGCATGGCAACGCCGGGAAGGCTGTGGCGTGAGAACGGACTGGGAAGGTCAAGTACCGGCCAGGCGGCCCGCGCTTCCTCTGCGGGGCCGTTGCCCGCCTGAGGCTACCCAGGAGCCTCAGAAAGAAGCTGGGGGTGAAATGGTGCCTCGCTTGTTCCTGGAGCCAAATTCCGGCCCTTTTTTCTTCACCTGTGTGGTATTAATGGCGCTTAACCACAGAAACAGCGCGGGCTGTGCTGGACAGTTTGCAAAACTTGACGTGCGTTCTATTTGGCTGTTGCACACTCTGAAGTCGGCAGAGGCTAAATCCAAACCAATTCCAGCTGCCATATTTCTAGGAGTTATGTATCTATTGGCATGTGAGGTCTGTTTTCCTTTAAGGGCCTAACTAACTCCTTCACTGACATGGACCTCACACCCAGAAGTGGTGCTTACCTGCCAACACCATGGCATATCACCTTTTCTCTAGAAATTTCTGCAGCTAGGCCCCAATCATGAAGAGCCCGTGACTATATATAGACAGCAGGCTTCCCATTTTTAGTGTCACAGAAAGCACTGCTATAGATTATATACTCAGGGACCAAAGGGCATGAGACTCAGAAATTACTCAGCACTTCCTTTCCTCCTCTTAAAGAAACAGATCTTACGAGCCCCTAATGAGGATTCTCTGTAGAATAAAGAAATAGACTGTTACTGCCTTCTGCGAAAATATTGTTTTTTAAATAACGCAGTGCTTCTAAGAGTCACATTTTTTATGGAAACTTAAATAGATTCCTTGTTCACATGCTTATCACAGGTTTCCTCGTATCGTATTAATGTGTCCATTTTACAAGTATGATAACTGAGACCCAAATAGGCTAGTTTAAATGTATACCATCTGCTGTCGGTGAAGAGAGAATGGAAATGCCCAGTCTTCAAGGTTCTTGTGCCCTATAATCCCAGCACTTTGGGAGGCCGAGGTGGACAGATCACGAGGTCAGGAGATTGAGACCATCCTGGCCAACATGGTGAAACCCCGTCTCTACTAAAAATACAAAAAAAAAAATAGCTGGGCATGATGGTGTGTGCCTGTAATCCCAGCTACTCGGGAGGCTGAGGCAGGAGAATAGCTTAAACCAGGGAGTCGGAGGTTGCAGTGAGCCGAGGTTGCACCACCGCACTCCAGCCTGGCGACAGAGCGAGACTCCGTCTCAAACAAAAACAAAAGGTTCTTGTGCCCTGTGGGTCATATCCATTTGTGGTAAAAACATACACCACTCACCACCATGTAAGCTCCAGCACCTCAACTGGGCAACGAGCTAAGATGAACTTGAGGTGCCATCCCGTTCATGTGAAACAGCCCCTCCCAGTTGACAGATGCACATCCTTCAAGACAGAGGAAGGTGCCACTCTGTTTCGAAATCTACTGGTAGGTCTGTATGGTTGGCAAAAGGAAGGCCCCGGCAAGATGGCCACATCTTCATCCCTGGAGTTGTGAATATGTTAAGTTACATGACAAGGGGAATGAAGGTTGTAGATGGAATTAAAGTTGCTAATCACCTGACTTTAAAGTAGGGAGGCTATCCTGGAGTATCCAGGTGGACCCAATGTCATCATGAAGGTCCTTTAATTGGAAGGAGGAGGAAGAAGAGAGTCAGAGAAAGAGATGTGGCTATGGAAGCACAGTGAGCGAGAGATTAGAAGATGCTGACTTTGAAGATGAAGGAAGGGACCACGAGCCAGGGAATGTGAGTGGCTTCTAGAAGCTGGAAAAAGCACGAATGTGGATTTTTCCTCGAGGGCTTCCAGAAAGGAACACAACACTACCGAAACCTTGATTTTACCTCAGTGAGACCCATGTTAGACATTTCACCTACACAGCTCCTAGTAAAATAAATTTGTGTTGTCTTAAGCCAAAATTACTAGTTTTGTGGTAATTTATTATGGCAATCACAGGAAACTAATGCAGTAGGTACCTGGTTATTACTGTGACTTAATCCCTTCTTTGAAGGATTTTAAGAAGATAGCTAGGATTTCATTCACATCTCCAGAGTCTAAGGTCATTCACTGCAGGAGAACCACTCTGGTCGAGGAAGGCTGACCTCGGCACCTCTGTGAGGAATGACTGAACTCAGGCAGTGCAGTGGTCTTGGGCAGCCAGCATTCGGACACAGCCATAGTCCCATGTAGGACCAACTCATTAGAAGATGAAGTCAGGGGCTCCTAATATCATACAGTACTGAGCCTCAAATCCTGCCACACGACAGAAATACGTCGATATCAGAAACTCTCGGCCAACCCACACATCTCTGATCCTAGCCACGACCAGAAATCTTGCCTGGATAGTGAACCTAGAGCTACAGTAAATGTGCACTGCCATCCCCTCCTGCTCCAAGTCAGGGTAACAATGCAGTAATGGTACAGAGGAGGAAAGATGCAGGCTTGTGCGGTCTTGGGATACCTGGAATCTACTGAAGACTGACTTGCAGGCAGCAACACGTGCCTTAGAAATTGCATCCATGGCTGAATCTTTACTTCCCAAGGATTCTTTTTGCCTGAGTACCAGGCTATGGTTCTGCATCAGGGTGGTCTATATATGTGTTTACAGCAAGGCCCTAGTACAGTAGCTGCTAAACTATCTTCTGCAGAGTCCTAGGGTTTCTGGAGTTATCTTAAAGGCATCCATAGCACCTGCAAAGAGAGCTGTTTGACTTTTGTCATATCTTTAAGTTCTACATAAGATTTTGTTTGGAGAAGAGGTTCATTCGGAGGGAAGGGGAAAAAAAGAAAATGTGAAAACACACTAATTTTATAGAGAACTTATGCTGAAACCCAAAGAAGGAGATGGACTTACCCAGGGTCAAAGGCGGCATAGCGACAGAGCAAGCCCCTGGAATGCAGACTTTAAAAAACTTAAGTGGAGAGAACCGGATAAGGCACCCTATGTATAACACCCAGATCCAACATGATCAAATTATGGCTAATTCCATTTTATCCACAATCCCACTTTCCCTCTGCTACCCAGATTGTTTTGAAGCAAATGCCAGATAGCATCACTGCATCAGTTAATATTTCTGTCTGAATCTCTAAAGGCAAGAGCTGGAAAGGGAATTTCTGAAGTCAAAGTCTTCATTCTTCTTGGGCCCCCAGCCTCTGCTCAACAGGACTAGCATTGCTGAAGGGACATCTATGACATGAAAATATCAATAGGAGACAACCACGAACCCCAGGCTGTGGGACTGAAACTCAGTGCCAATAAGACTCACCGGGTTAATGTTAAAATGCAAATTCCTGGGCCTGGCTCCCGGGCATTCTGATTCAGTACGTCAGGAAAGGGGTTCAGAAATGTGCATTTTATCAGGGAAATGCAAATCAAAACCACCTCATTCCTGCAAGAATGTACTCTCAAAAAATTAAAAAATAATAGATGCTTGTGTGGATAAGATGAAAAGGGAACACTTTGAATGTAAACCAGTACAACCACTATACAAAACAGTGTAGAGACTCCTTAAAGAAGATCTACCATTCGATCCAGCAATCCCACTCCTGGCTATCTACCCAGAGGAAAAGAAGTCATTACATGAAAAAAGATACTTGTACATGCATGTTTACAGCAGCACAATTTGCAACTGAAAAAATATGAAACCAGCTCAAATGCCCATCAATTAACAAGTGGATAAAGAAAATGTAGGCCAGGCGCCATGGCTCATGCCTGTAATCCCAGCACTCTGGGAGGCCGAGGTGGGCGGATCACGAGGTCAGGAGTTTGAGACCAACCTGGCCAACGTGGTGAAACCCCATCTCTACTAAAAATACAAAAAATTAGCCAGGCGTGGTGGCGCGTGCCTATAATCGCAGCTACTCGGGAGGCTGAGGTAGGAGAATCACTTGAACCCGGGAGGCAGAGGCTGCAGTGAGCCGGGATCGCACCATTGCACTCCAGCCTGGTGACGCAGCGAGACTCAAGAAAAGAAAAAAAGAAGACCGGGCGATGGCTCACACCTGTAATCCCAGCACTTTGGGAGGCCGAAGCAGGTGGATCATGAGTCAAGAGATTGAGAACATCCTGGCCAACATGGTGAAACCTCGTCTCTACTAAACATACAAAAATTAGCTGGGCATGGTGGCACGTGCCTGTAATCCCAGCTACTCAGGAGGCTGAGGTAGGAGAATCACTTGAACCTGGGAGGCAGAGGTTGCAGTGAGCCAAGATCGCACCATTGCACTCCACCCTGGGTGACAAGACTAGAACTCCATCTCAAAAAAAAAAAAAAAAAAAAGAAAATATGACATACACATATATATATACACACACACACATAGAGAGAGAGAGAAAGAGAGAGCGCGCGCGCATGGAATACTACTCAGCCATAAAAAGGAATAAAATAATGGCATTTGCAGCAACATGGATGGAATTGGAGACCATTATTCTAAGTGAAGTAACTCAGAAATGAAAAACAAAACATTGTATGTTCTCATTCATAAGTGGGAGCTAAGCTATGTGGACACAAAGGCATAAGAATTATATAATTGGCCGGGCACAGTGGCTCACGCCTGTAATCTCAGCACTTTGGGAGGCTGAGGCGGGTGGATCACGAGGTCAGGAGATCGAGACCATCCTGGCTAACATGGTGAAACCCCATCTCTACTAAAAATACAAAAAATTAGCCGGGCGTGGTGGTGGGTGCCTGTAGTCCCAGCTACTCGGGAGGCTGAGGAGGGAGAATGGCGTGAACCCAGGAGGCGGAGCTTGCAGTGAGCCAAGATCGCACCACTGCACTCCAGTCTGGGCAACAGTGAGACTCCGTCTCAAAAAAAAAAAAAGAAAAAAGAAAAAAAAAATATATATATATATATATAATGGACTTTGGGGTCTTGGGGGAAAGGGTGGGAGGGGGGTGAGGGATATAGACTACACACTGGGTACGGTGTACACTGCTTAGGTGGCAGGGGCACCAAAATCTCAGAAATCACCACTAAAGAACTTATGCATGTAACCAAACACCACCTGCTCCCCAAAAACCTATTGAAATATATATATATATATGTTTTAAAAAAGAAATGTGCATTCTAGCAAGCATATTTTAAATAATTCTTTTTTAAAAAATTATTATTATTATTTTGTTTGTTTGAGACAGAATCTTCTCATTTTCTCACCCAGGGTGGAGTGCAACAGTGTGATCTGGGCTCACTGCAACCTCCGCCTCCCAGGTTCAAGCGATTCTCCTTTCTCAGCCTCCCAAGTAGCTGGGATTACAGGCACCTGACACCACACCTGGCTAATTTTTGTATTTTTAGTAGAGACGGGGTTTCACCATGTTGGCCAGGCTGGTCTCGAACTCCTGACCTCAAGTGATCCACCTGCCTCGGCCTCCCAAAGTGCTGGGATTAGACGTGTGACCTCAAGTGATCCACGCGCCTCGGCCTCCCAAAGTGCTGGGATTAGAAGCATGAGCCACCGCACCCAGCCTGTAGATAATTCTGATGGAGATGCTTTTCAGAGCACACTTGGAGAAATTGAATCGAAGTTTTATGGCCAGCATTATTGGTTGCTTTCAAAACTGCTGTTCTTCCTCCTTGTTTCCTTACTTTTGTTTAAATAATTGGGTTAGGCATGGTCCTGTTACACACCCTTGGCCAATGAAACAGAAGAGAAAATCAGCAGGCCTTCTGGAGATAGTTTTCTCACTCTTTGGAAGAGACACAAGACAGCATGGCTCCTGACCATCAGGGGTCTTCCTGCCTCTTGACATTGTCATGCGAGGGCGCAGTGCCTGGAGCTGCTGCAGCCAGCTTGAAACGATGAGGGGAGCATCTGGCCACACACTGAATGTGGGTAGAGAGGAAAATGAAAAGGGCCTGGGTCTTTCCTCAATGATGTCGCTGAACTAATGAATTACACAACCTTGGACTTCCTGCTGGTGCAATGATAAACCTATGATTGTTGAAGCTTTCTTGTATTGGGTGGTCTGTTACTTGTAGCCAAAAGCATCTTCAAAGGGCTGTCAACTGTGGTGCTGAGAAGCACTCATATGGTAGATACTAAACCTAAGGCTTCAGAAAGGAATGAAAGACCACAAAGCACATCATCATTTGCCAAAGGAGTCCTGCAGAATACAAAAGGCAAATCAGTGCCTAGGAAGTAACTGTGGCCCTGTCCACCAAATAATGCTTTGCTATGCATTTGCAGCTTCCTTTAAAATTATGTTGTAGCAACAATACTTTGCTTTTGCTGAGAAGTGGAAAGCCACATAGAAATGAGAAGCCAGGCTAGAAACCTGTGCTCAATTTGCCTGACACAGAAATAACCATTAATGGTTCAAATACCCACCAGCATCTGCAATCACCCTCTGAGTGCCCATATGGAACTGAAAAAATGTGAAATTAGCCCAAATGCTCATCAATCAGTAAGTGGATAAAAATGTTTAAGACAGGGGCCGGGCGCGGTGGCTCACACCTGTAATCCCAGCACTTTGGGAGGCTGAGGTAGGCAGATCACCTGAGGTCAGGAGTTGGAGACCAACCTGGCGAACATGGCAAAACCCCGTCTCTACTAAAAATACAAAAATTAGCCAGGCATGGTGGTGGACGCCTGTAAACCCAGCCACTGGGGAGGCTGAGGCAGGAGAATCGCTTGAACCCAGGAGGCGGAGGCTGCAGTGAGCCGAAATCACACCACTGTACTCCAGCCTGGGCAACAAGAGCGAGACCCCATCTCAAAAAAAAAAAAAAAATGTATATGTATATACATACACACACACACACACACACACACACAGAGAGAGAAAATGTTTATGACAGGCCAGGCGCAGTGGCTCACGCCTGTAATCCCAGCACTTTGGGAGGCTGCGGCGGGCAGATCACCTGAGGTGAGGAGTTCGAGACCAACCTGGCCAACGTGGTGAAACCCCATCTCTACTAAAAATAAAAAAAAATTAGCCAGGTGTGGTGGTGGGCACCTGTAATCCCAGCTACTTGGGAGGCTGGGGCAGGAAAATCGCTCGAACCCGGGAAGCAGAGGTTGCAGTGAGCTGAGATTGTGCCATTGCACTCCAGCCTGGGTGAGAAGAGCAAGACTCCATCTCAAAAAAAAAAAAAGTGTTTAAGACAGGACGCTACGTGGAAAGACAGGCACATGCTGGAGAGGCAAGAAGCAGGAATACGGAACCAAAACACCAGCAGACACCAGGTACAGTCAGAGTTCAGAGCAGGAAGAACCTGAGGTTATGATGTATATTAGGGAAAGTAACTTCAGGAGGCTGAAGGAAACCTCCATTCCATCGAATGGCTCACTTCTGCCCCACTGGATCAAGGGCCTCTCCCCTGATCACTTCCCCCTCCATCCCAGACTGCCAATGCCCAATTTCATCCCTTATCAATCCTGGGAAATGAGGCCAGAGACTGGAAGCATCCAAGGCTGGCTGGGTAACTGACAGGCAATATGTGATGCGGAAGGTCAGAGGCCAAACACTCCCCAGACACAGAGCATACTGGTTCCTTGCTGGGAGCTGGGAGTCTAAATCAAAGTTCATACATCTGATTTGTTGATGGGCATCCAAAGAGAAGCTTCGGAATGCTGGCGCCCTGAGTGACAGCACACTATCTTCACAGAATCACGGAGCGTCCTGTTAGGGGCACCCATGCATGCCAGACAGCATGAACTTCCCTAGACTAAAGGAGTTTCATCTAGTTATTCAAAGTCACTTATCAAGTGCTGCTACATCCTGGCCCTGTGCAAAGCACTAGGGTTAAAAAGTGAGATGCAACATGGTTCTTATGCTTACGTCTATCATCAGATAACGATGGCTACCACATGACAGGGATGGGAAAGGAATATTTTAACCAGCGTTGGAAGAGGTAAGGGGAGATGTTCCAGAAGAGGGAATAGTTAAGCTGAGTTTTAGAGGATAAGTCAGTGTTACCACGTTAGGATTTCTCAGATTAGAGTATTTCAATAGTTATGCATTTACATATTAGGAAAAAGATGCCATGAGCACACCAACTCATAACTTCACAGACATTGACTAGTAACACAACGAAATAAAAAATGAAAGCTGAGCCTGGTGGCTCACTCCTGTAATCCCGGCACTTTGGGAGGCCAAGGCAGGAGGATCAGTTGGAGTCAGGAGTTCGAGCCCAGCTGGGCCAATATGGTGAAACCCTGTCTCTACTAAAGATACAAAAAAATTAGCTGGGCGTGGTGGCAAGCGCCTGTAATCACAGCTACTCAGGAGGTTGAGGCAGGAGAATCACTTGAACCTGGGAGGCGGAGGTTGCAATGAGACAAGATCGCACCACTGCACTCCAGCCTGGGTGACAGAGCAAGACTTCGTCTCAAAAGAAAAAAAAAATCATAAAATAAAAATGAAGCCATTTTTAATAAGTAAGTAGATAGAAAGATAGTAAGTAGATAATAACACAAGTAGTGTACAGAGATGGTAAATGTCATGAATGTGGCCCATGAATGATTGACACTGGTGAAACATTGAGCTGAAAAAAGAAGAGGACATGGACCAGAAGAGAGAGAGAATATTCTAGGCAGTAAGAATTGACTCTCCAATGCCTTCTAATAAGGAAGTATATGATTAAGTCATTCATCAAGTATTTATTAAGACCTACATTTTGTTAGGTACTTCTAGGAGCTGCAGAAACAGCAGTGAAAAGACAACATCCTTGCCTTCATAGACAATGCCTTCTAGATAAGGACAAAAGGCCATATTCATTAAATACCAAATAGAGGCAAAGTCACTTAGGGCCATGAGCTGTTTTAGTCTTATAATGCCTGTGTACTGTCTCTTGAAACAGAGCATGGTCTCCATGAGGTCAGGAAACCAAGCCTTCCTGCAGTGCTCACCAGGCAGCTGGTCGGCTGGGCCTCCACTAGGTTGACCCCAGTCCAGTGCTCATCGTCCTCCATCCTTCCTCTCTCCTGCAAGACAAGACCCCCGCCTCCAGGCCAGCCTCCCTCAGCTCTACAGCTCAGGACCACCTTGCCCCATGACGCTCTTCTTCTCCCACAGGACAGTATCTCAGGGATTCACTCAAACACCAAGAATTCAAACTGAAAGGGTATGTGGGGCCTAGAAGATGACCCCATCATCTGCCAGCTTTGAAGAGTGGCAAAATGCCATCCACATGCCAACTTGCAGTGTGCCTCCCCCACTTAATAACTGGTAAAAGAACACCAAAAAGGTAATTTAAAAGCTTTTCTAAAATAACCACAATAATATTATGCACCATTTGTGAGCACTGGTCACAAAGATGGCCCTCTGCTAAGTGGCTCCCATCTCTTCTCTGCCTTAATTCTCTTAATGAGCCTATGCAGCAGGTACTGCTGTTGTCCTTAGCTGGCAATGGAGGAAGCAGGCTTTGAGTGGTGAACTCACCCGGAGGCCACACTGAGCAGTGCCACGGTTCATACATAGGCTCTGTGTGTGCAGAACTCAAACTCCTAACCAGTCTACAGTGACCACAGCTAAACTGTGGGTTATTTCTTATATACTCTAGACATGTCAGGAGGGGAATATGACATGAGGAACCCAGCCATATCATAGGAATTCAGCCCTCACACTCATAAGATCCATTTCACTGGTGAACTCTGAGGAACTTTCCTTCTTTCTTTCTTTTTTTTTCTTTTTCCTAGAAGGAATAGTGCTTTAGTCTTCTGAGCTAAGTCCTCACATTCCATGATGGGCTGTACAAGCAGCAAGATACATTCCTGAACTGCAACCCAGCAAAACTTGGTTACAGGGCGAGGAGGCATATTTGTAGAAGGGATTCAAGCCTCCTAAAAATTCAGCCATTACCTCCACCCATGCTAAGAGGAAATGTCAGCCTGAACCCAAAATATACACAAGGAAATGTGTGGGGGCAGCTCTGCACACGGCTCTCAGCCTCAGCCAGAATTTCTAGATGTGGCCTCGGCATTTTCCCTGAGGGCACACAGAGCCCAGTTCACACAAGCCAGGTCTGCACTGCTCGGACAGACGTGTGTTCCATGAGCCAAAGTGCTGACGGCTGGTCTCACAAGCCAAATGTACCTGGCCAGGCTCTCCCAGGGGCCAGTGTGCTCCTGCACTTGAACTTGGCCTAGTCCCAATTTAAAATAAGCCTTCGACTAAATAGGAAGCAATGCCCTGCCTGCTGTACCTTCTCTGGCAGAAAAACAACTTTCTCTAGGAGACAGTCAGATGTCCAAGTGACATCAGGGCAAAGGTGAAAAATAAACTATTTGATGGATCAGCCGCAGTAGTGTGAGGGTTTGGCAGGGCCAGGAGTGAGGCGCGGTTACGGGGTTCAGTTCAGCCTATGCAGTGGGCTTGATGATGTAGATGTCTTATGCTGCAACAAAGAAGCATCTGAGAGCCGAGTTGGTTTGATCTGCTTCTGCAGGCCTTAGGCCAGCTGTTCCGTGTTGTGTAGAAATACCTGGCGAACTTTGAAAATGTACTACCCCCAGGCTACACCCGCATATCCATTAAACCGGAAGCTCTGGGGGTGGCATCTAGGCATCAATATTTTTTTTAAGCTCTGTGGGAGTTTTCAGTGTGCAGCCAATGTTGAGAAGAGTGCCCCAGACCCCTTGCTACTTAAAGGGTGGCCCATAAACTGCCCAAACCGACGGGTGAAGCGTCACACAGTACCTTGTAGTAGGCAATACCGTCTAGGTCTGCGTAAGCACACTTTATGATGTTTGCACAATGATGAAATCGCCCAACAATGCATTTCACAGAGCAGCTCCCCATCATTAAGCAATGCATGACTGTAAAGATTCCAACTCAGCAGGCCTCGGGTAAGCACCTGAGACTCTGCCTTTTTCTTTTTTCTTTTTTTTAAAAAAAGGATGGGGTTGGCTGGGTGTGGTAGCTCACGCCTGTAATCCCAGCACTTCGGGAGGCCAAGGCAGGCAGATCACAAGGTCAGGAGATCGAGACCATCCTGGCTAACACGGTGAAACTCCATCTCTACTAAAAATACAAAAAAAAAAAAAAAAAAAAAAGCTGGGCATGGTGGCAGGCACCTGTAGTCCCAGCTACTTGGGAGCCTGAGGCAGGAGAATGGCATGAACCCAGGAGGCGGAGCTTGCAGTGAGCCGAGATCACACCACTGCACTCCAGCCTGGGCGACAGAGCAAGATTCTGTCTCAAAAAAAAAAAAAAAAAAAAAAAAAAGATGGGGTTTTGCCATGTTGCCCAGGCTGGTCTCGAACTCCTGAACTCAAGTGATCCTCCAGCCTTGGCCTCCCAAAGTGCTGGATTATAGGTGTGAGCCACCCTGCCCAGCTAAACACAATCATTCTACAAACATTTGTTGAGGGGCTACTATGTGCAGCCCACTGTGCTAAGGACTGGGGACCAGGCACAGTCCCTGCCATTGCAGGGGACTCCTTCCAATAGTGATAGATGTTCCTTGGGTGATACATGTGCCAGCTCTGGTCAAGCATTTCCAGTGCACTATTTCACTGAATCCTCATGAGGTAAGTATTAATTTTATACTCATTTTGCAGGTGAGGAAACTGAGACCTCATGAGACTAATATGACAAATGTCCTACAATGAATAAGCAGCAGATTTGAACCCAGATCTGTCCAGCTCAAAACACCCAATCTCTTCTGCAAATGAGAAAATCTGATTCACCAAACTGTAATACACTTGCCCCTGTCTTAAAATTATTGTCAGGCTACAGAAAGGAACCTCGCTACTCTGGTGGGAGGTAGGGGTACTCCTGGGGAGTGGAAGGGTCGGGAAGGCTTCACAGAACAACGTTTGTCTGAGCCTCTTGAACCAGAATGTGGTCCCATCACAGGCTACAAGTAGAGGGAGGGGCAAGGCAGGCAGAGGGGTCACCCAGAGACATGGGCACATGGGTCTGGCCAACATCTCTCAGCCACACTGGAGTTCCTGCCTCTTATGTCTTTACAGTCTGGGCCTGCTTCTGCACTTACACCTTTCTCCACATTTTTATACCAAAGGAAAAGGGGTTAAGAAGAGAAGACAACAGTCGGGCGCTATAGCTCATGCCTGTAATCCCAGCACTTTGGGAGGCTGAGGCGGGCAGATCACTTGAGGTCAGGAGTTCGAAACCAGCCTGGCCCACATGGTGAAACCCCGTCTGTACTAACAATACAAAACAGTTAGTCAGGTGTGGTGGTGCGTGCCTGTAATCCCAGACACTTGGGAGGATGAGGCAGGAGAGCTGCTTGAACCCAGGAGGTGGAGGTTGCAGTGAGCTAAGATCGGGCCACTGCACTCCAGCCTGGCCAACACAGCAAGACTCCATCTCAAAAAAAAAAAAAAAGGAAGAGAAGACACAAAATGGCCTTTGTTAGACCTTAGAGCCAGTGGCTTTTCAGGACCTTTCCTTCTCAGAAAGGAGCAGGGAAGAGTTACAGCTTTCCTCTTAGACTCAGTCACAGTCCCCAAATGCAGAATGCAAAGAGAGTTTCTTTTTTTTTTTTTTTGAGACAGAGTCTCGCTCTGTTGCCCAGGCTGGAGTGCAATGGCACGATCTCGGCTCACTGCAAGCTCCGCCTCCCAAGTTCAAACGATTCTCCTGTCTCAGCCTCCCGAGCAGCAGGGACTACAGGCGCACGCCACCACGCTTGGCTAATTTTGTATTTTTAGTAGAGACGGAGTTTCGCCTTGTTGGCCAGGCTGGTCTCAAACTCCTGACCTCAGGTGATCCTCCTGCCTTGGCCTCCCAAAGTGCTGGGATTACAGGCGTCAGCCACTGTGCCCAGCCCCAAAGAGTTTCTGAAAGCAAAAGTGTCACCCCAGGAGAGGCAATTTTCTACATTCCATTTTTACAGAATCCTCTCCATTGAAGATAAAATATGAACTAAATGAGAGGTATACACAACACTTCAACAGAAGCCTGGTAGTTCCTAACACATAAGCTTCCCATCTTCTTGAAAAAACAAAACTAAACCCTGCAGTGATCATTAAGTCGTTTTATCTCCCACAAATTTATAGCCCACTTGTAAAGAAACAGAGTTAAGCTGAGTTAAGCTGTAGCCTCTGTGCTTTGTGGCCCTGGCTTTCCTTTGCTTGGCTGACAGCATTTGCAGGAGGGTTGCCGAAAAACCACCAGCAAAAGCCAGTTGGGCCAGTGCTTGCAGCTTCTTTAATTCACCACAATTTGGGAAGTATGTGGATGCTGCTGGGGAGGACAGACTCAGATTAGAGTTCAACAGGAGAACGTTCTGCTGAAACTGGAGTTTTATCTCCTTCCAGCTGAGTGTGTCAGAAGGAGACTATGAATGACTATGAATGCCCAAGCCAGGCATGAGGTGGTACCTCATCTCAAAGGTGAGCTTCGCTGCTACCCAGCCTCAGGTGCCAGAGGAGCATCTGCCCAGCCATCCTTCATAGGTGGCCTGGAAAGGCAGTCTGGTCTGGGGTTGAGACTTAAGCCCAGGCTCGGCACTCACACTCTGCTCCAAATTCTCAGTCTGCCAACTCTGGCCATGTGTATGTTTCAATACCAGCTGCTTCGTCACTTGCCAGGAACAGTCTACTCCTCCAGCTATTATGTTATGGCGTCTGGCAGGCAGGGCCAGATGACTTTTCACCCTGCCCTTTCCTCTAGGGGTTTGGAATGGGCTCACAGCTCAAAATATCATGCCAAAATTGTCGAGGCGGTTTGTCCCATGAGATGTGCTCAGCACAGCCAGGCTCACCACACAGGCGTACTCCCACCCACTAATGTTAGCTTGCAGCCTCTCTGCAGCCGCTCCTGGCAAGAGGTTAACCCCAAAGCCCTAGATTCCACAAGGAAGGGAATGCATTCCCCACGGGTGCCAGATGGCTCCACTTCGCATCCTATACAATATTGCAACACGGAGAGCCACCCCCATTGGGAGGCTGAGGCTACAGGACGAGAAGAAGCATTAGAGGGTAGTGGCACATTCCAACAAATCCAGGCCAGATGTACGTGAACTCTATGAGCCCGTGTGTAAAAACACAGGTACCTACCATTAATCTACCTTAAGAATAGTCTTATCATCATTTAAGTGATGATGGTAATATTAATGATAGTAGCAATAAAAACAGTAACCTCTGGTACCTCAGTGCTTACTGCATGCCAGGTGGGCACTTTGCTAAGCTTTTCACACGTTATTTTTTACATAACTCTCTGTGGTGGACCCTAGCATTATACACATCTTTCAGGCAAGAAACTTAGGGTGGCTAAGGAACTTGCTCGAGGGTAAAGAGTCTAATAGCAGAGCCGTGAGTTAGACGCAGCCACCTGCCTCCAAAGTGCTGTCTGACCTCGTTTTTCAGGACAGGAACCCTCAGACTCACCTGATAGCTAGTTGTGTTGAATTATGTAGCAAACACGTATGCAGCGCCTAAGGTGCCTCATGCAAGGTATCAGGTGCTGGGTAACCAAGAGCCATGCCCTGCAAATCTAACATTCTCCAAGAAACAAGATCATAGCTTATTCTCTTAGCCAGAGGCCAAGACCAGCTCTCTATCAAAATGGCCACAAACATATCCATGCAAACATTTCTAGAAAGACAACCTAGGATCATGATGTCCAACTTCCTGATCCTACAGGGTACATAGCGAGCAGACAGGAGCCCGTGAACAGCTGACTCCTCACGTGTGTGCTGGGCCCTGGGCTGGGAGTCAACAAACCACATCTGTCACTCACCTGCCCCACATCAACCTACCTACCTACCCACCTAACCATTTACCCCAAACCTCTTTCTAGCAGAGGAGCGTGTACCCAGCGTGTCCTGAAAGCCCATCTCAGCTCTTCCCCGGTGAGAGAGCCCTCGGCTTCTCCTTCCAAGTGCCTGGCTTGGGTGCACATTTGCTGGGTGGCTGCTGAGCTGGCTGTGGGGATGGAGTTGCCCAGAAGCCCCCCTGCAGCTCAGGGACCTTGTCCACGAAGTCTCCACTGCAAGCTGACTTTGTGTCGGGTGTGCCGTGTCTCATCTCATCTTCTCCCCACTGTAACCCTCCTTTACCCCCAGGAGACATTGTCAGCCCCATTTACCTGCAAAGAAGCTGAGGCTTGGGGCAGTCCTAATAGCACCCAGCATCACCCCTCCAGTGGGAGCCAGGATTTAAACTCCGGCCGCCTACCAACCCTAGCCTCCAGCTTGATCTCATCCTCAGCCTCATTTCTCCTCCCTCCTACTCCCAGGGCCCTCCCCGTCCCCTGGGGCCACTTCAGAGCCCCGCTCTTCTCCCACCGAGTGTACTCCTGGCCTGAAAACTGAGTGCTGACCCAAATCCACTGTGCATTGGGGTCCTTGCTAGGCGCACCCTGCCCTCTCTCGGGACATAGACTCCCTTCCCCTGAGTTTCTTCTTCTTTCTTCTTTTCTCCTCCTTCTCCTCCTCCAACTCTTCTTCTTTTTCTTCTTCCTCCTTTTCTTTGAGACAGTACCTCACTCTGTCACCCAGGCTGTACCCAGGAGTACAGTGGTATGACCTTGGCTCACTGCAGCCTCGACCTCCTGGGCTCAAGCGATCCTCCCACCTCAGCCTCCTGAATAGCTGGGACCACAGGCATGTACCACCACACCACGCTAATTTTTCTTTTTCTTTTTGTAGAGATGGAGTCTCACTATGTTGCCCAAGCTGGTCTCTAACTCCTGGGCTCAAGCAATCCTCCCACCTCAGCCTCTCAAAGTGCTGAGATTATAGGCATGAGCCACCGTGCCCAGCAACCAGGCAAGTTTTTATTCCTAAACACCCTCGGCCAGGCTTGCAAAAGGAAAGGGCATTAAGAGCATCAGTAACTAGACCTGTTCCAGTGCCTTCCCTGGAAAAAGAAACACTTTCACAGTCTACATCTGAGTCATCAGGCTGCTAAAATATTTAACACTGGACTAACAGGCATTAAGAAAGCAGAGAAGAAAGAAGGGGCTGAGATGCTGTAAGCTGGGGCCTGTTCCTCATCCTGCCAGGTTTTCGGGACAAGAACAGTGCAGAGACATCAGTGGAAAAACCACATGTCTGCCCATTTGGGCTCCCTCCCAGTCTGGTGAGGGGCAGTCTTTTTTTTTTTTTTTTTGAGACGGAGTTTTGCTCTGTCGCCCAGGCTGGAGTGCAATGGCGCGATCTCAGTTCACTGCAACCTCTGCCTCCTGGGTTCAGGTGATTCTCCCACCTCAGCCTCCTGTGTAGCTGGGATTATAGGCATGCACCACCCTGCCCAGCGAATTTTGTATTTTTAGTAGAGACAGGGTTTTACCATGTTGGTCAGGCTGGTCTTGAGCTCCTGACCTCAGATGATCCACCAGCCTCGGCCTCCCAAAGTGCTGGGATTATAGGCGTGAGCCACCGCGCCTGGCCGGTAAGGGGCACTCTTGTAGGTGTGGCCACCGGGGGGTTTGTGGGCAGGGAGGGTTTGCCACAAGCGCTGCTGTCAGGAGCCAGTTCATGGGGCCATCCAGGGCTTCTTACAATGCCAGCTCAGATACGGGTGCGCAGGCCTGGATGTGAGGTCACATAGGTGAAGCCAAGCCCCCAGGTGCAATGGGAGGCCTCCTTGGGTGCAGGAAAGACACCTCCTGCTGATCCGCATTACTGGGCAGATGTGCCACGAACACACCTCAGCCTCCATTCTAGAGACACAACCACTTGGTCTCCCCACTTACAGAGCCAGCCAGCGGGAGGAAGGGGCGCCTAATACTCACCGAGCACCAGCAGGTGCTTGAGAAATGTCCAGGGCCTCACACACAGAGCCTCACCACACCCACTGGCTCTGATGGCAAGGATTAGCCTCTGACGTAATGCAAAGACACAGTGGCTTCCAGTTGGGTTGTCCTGTGTGGAAGCCACAGCCCCATGTGGGTATTTCACTATAAATTTCAATTAGTTGAAATTAAACAAAATTAACAATTTGGTTCCTTAGTGGCACCAGCCTCATTTCAAGTGCTCGCTAGCAGCCTGTGGCCAGCAGCGACTGTATTGGAGAGTGGAGACACAGGACATTCCCACCACTGAAGAACCGTCGGTGGACAGCGTTGCTGTAGGGAACAGGGCGCCTCCCCAGGACTCCACCTGGCTAGTAAGAGAATGATCAGCGTTCTGAACGTAGATCTGATGTCTGAAAAGCCTTGAGGTTCTAGTTCTAGTTCCAACTCTTATTAGCTTTTTGACCTTGACCAAGCCATGTCACCATTGGGAGCCTCCATTTCCTCATCTGGAAAAGGGGTACACAAACAGCACCCACCTACAGGTTGAGGTGAGAAAGAACCACGATGCTGCAGTGTGGAAGTACATTGGCCCAGAGTGGGGAATAAATGAAAGGAACTTATACAGAGCACTTGTGGCAGGTGCTCTCAATAAAGTGGCTCATTTAATTTTAACAGCGCTGTAAGGGAGTACTATTTGCTCCATTTTACGGGTGAGTCAAATGCCCCGCAAGGCGATGGCCCCAGGATCACAGAGCTAGAACCTGAGCCCTGTCAACTCTTGAGGCCTGTGCTTGTCACACCCTAGACCTCAGAATCATATGGTCTTTTCTCAAAAGCCTAGAAGCAGAATTGGGGTGGCTGGCATTGGTGAAAGGAAGATCCCCATCCCCCTCCTAAGGAGGGTCCCCAGTTCAGCACAGGCATCTGGGGGGAAACTTGCCATCAGGGGCCAAAACCCAGGTCTGTCTCTGCAGCTAGTTAGCCCCCTAGTCCTGTCCCCATTCTGAGACTCAGTTTCCTCCTCCATAAAGTGGTGGGGGGGAGCTCAATAAGAATGCCCCCACATTTCCTTGCAGCTCTCACCAGCTAGAGTGTAAAATATTCATCTCTCAAACATTGCTGCTGAAACAAAACCCAAACCCAGGTCAAACACAGTGGCTTCTACCGGTGGCCATAATGAGAAGTTCTCAGAGAGGAGCAAGTCAGCTTGGAGACATTCAATTTGGGAAATCATCACCTTGATCTGAATGAAACTGGCCCTTGACTTTGAAGTGGCAGTGAGCGGCTCTTCCATGCTGTGGGTTCAAGTGCAGCATGAACAGGGGACAAGCGGCAGAGAGGCTCCCAAGCTCTGGAGAGCCAGAAGCCAAGGTGGTGGCATGCCTGTCCCAGCCACCTGAAGACAGTGAATCCAGCCCCTGCCACCAAGGAGGCAGCCGCCCTTTGTGCAGATGCTTCATGAACCCACTTTCAAAGGGATTTAGAGGGTCGGGCATGGTGGCTCATGCCTATAATAATCCCAGTGCTTTAGGAGGCCAAGGTGGGAGGATTGTTTGAGGCTGGGAGTTCGAGACCAGCCTGGACAACATAGTGAGACGCCATCTCTACAAAAAAGTTGAAAATTAGCTAGGTGTAGTGGCGCGCACCTGCAGTCTCAGCTACTTGGGAGGCACGGAGGCTGGAGAGTTGCTTGACCCCAGGAATTGGAGGTTAGAGTGAGCTATAATCTCACCAAGTCACTCCATCCTAAGAGACAAAACAAGACCTTATCTCTAAAATAAATAAATAAAGATACTTGAAGCTTTTCCAAATGACAGATTCACCTCTCAGGAAATTCATTTTACTTATGAAACACAGATGCTTCATTTTACTTATGAAACACATAAAGGCTGCATTTCCAAAGGCTCCTTGACTTTGGTATATGATTGTTTATAGTGACTGAAGCTATTGATAAGAACACAATTTGTAAAGGCTTTAGTTTCCTAAGTACTTTTGATTCTGTGATCTCATTTCACATAAGGAGCTCCTTGTGGGCCAAGCAGGGTTCGTGGAGCCCCCAGCTTGACAGACAGAAACAGGCTCAGAGACGTGGAAGGGCTGGAGACAGACGCTCATCCAGTTTCTGCGTCTACAGATTCCTGCAGGGTCTGTTACCATTTCATTTGGAGATCTTGGGCATTGCCTCCTTTTGCTTAATTTCCAGGATGGTTTCGAAGAAATACATTTCAAATTACAAGAGTAGTTACCATTGTAATCATACATTTACCATATACCAGGCATTATCCCAGGAGCTTTGGAAACATTCCAATTTTATCCTAACCCCAATCCTAAAAGAGAGATGTTATCTTCCCATTTTATAGAGAGAGAAACTGAGGATGGAAAAGTTAAGCAGCTTATCCAAGGTAACGAAGCCAATAAGAGGCCAATGAGATGTGAATGCATCTGTCTAACTTAACTGCCTCCCATCTGAGAAGAGTATTGCTGTAAGTGACATTACCAAGTGTCGATTTCCTATGTCATATAAAATCGGGGGTGAGGTCTGTTGTCCTGGCTTTATCTGCTAAGAGAACCATGCTTCAATGTTGTTTTCTCTTTTCCTTAATTTATACAGTTGTAGCCATCCTCTAAAAGCTTATTCTTAAACTTGAAAACATGGTGTCACAGCTGGTAATTTTAGAACGGAGTGGAGGGAAAAGGAAGAAACAGAGACCAAATGGGAAGGAGGCATGGGAGGACAAGAGAGAAGCGGCTCCAGTGAGGCTTTCAGGTCCAGCCAGGGCTTCCTTAATGGGAGGCCAGCTGTCCTCTCTGTCCTCCCTCCCTCCACTTTTCAATCCAATTGCCCTTCCCCATTCAGCCTAGGTTTACACAAAGACCCTAAGCATCTGGGAACAATTTGATCCTCTTAAAATCCACTAATACTTGAAAATACCTTTCCAACCATTTCCCTAAATGGAAAAAAAAAAAAAAGAGAGAGACAAAGAGAGAACGACTCCTTTTAAACACATATTCAGCAACGACAAGCTTGGTGATATCCAAGATTAATCCAGAACGACACATCTGAACATTAGTGCTATGTAACCAAAATGCCAAATTCTAGACCTTCCACTAACAGGGAAGATAGTTGTATATGTACGTAGGTGAAATTGATTCAAGCACCTTCTGCAGAACAACCTGAAACTAACATGAGGCTGTCTCTGAGTCCCAGGCTCTTCCACAGGGAGGATCATACAATGTACAGAAATGCACAGCCACTCTCTGTACATTTCATTCTATACATTTCTATGCATTGTGAGTTCCTGCTTCTCAGAGTGAGAAGAGTGCCTGTTTCTCAGAGTGGGGGACACACAGACCCCCATGGGTGTGAGGTGTGGCTGGAGGTAGGCAAAGCCACAGGATATCCATGCCACATCCATTAGCAATGCCAATTTGACTTCATAAGATGGACAATAAAGCAGTAAACAAATTTATGCTACCTTCATGTACATGTGTATGAGATGGGTTATCAAACTATCCTGTCATCAAAATAGAAAAAGACACATTTCTTAGATATTGAATCTTATATGTGATATCAGCCCTATTCAAATTGGCAGAATCTTCAAAATTCAATCCACAGAAGCATGTCACCTGATAACTAGCAAGATAATAGAAAACTTGGTTTTGCTTTGCTTTGCTCTTCTGGAGGTAACTTGAAACAGTGTTTTGATGGTGAAATACAATATAATATGGTACACAAAGATACTCAAAGTGTTACAGTGAAACACAATCTCAAAATTTTTAACTTGTAGCAGATCACTCTGGGCTGTGCAGTAGGGGGTAAAAAAGAATTCACTCTCCTCAGCCATTGAAATATTTTAGCAGAGAAAGAATTCAACGCTGGAAAAGAAAGACAGCCAGGTTGAAGTTTCAACCTCAGGAGAACAGACTGAGATCCCAAAACCATCTCCACCCTGAAGAGAGATATAATCGTGCAGGTCACTGCACCAGAAATGCCCATCACAAAACAACAGGGAATCTAACACCCACTGGGCACCAGAATGGGCACGCTCCAGCGCTTGAATCAAGGATCTCATTTAACCCTCATGGCAATTCTTTGAGGCAGGTACAATTGGTGTCATCCCCATTCTACAGATGAACAAACTGAGGTTAGGTATGTAATTAGTAAGGAGCAGAGCTGGGGTGTGAATTCAGAGACCTGTCCCTGAAATTCATCGCCACCACAGCTCCTGGCAGTGTTCACCGAAGTCTGGTCACCCAGCCTCCCCAAGACCGCTGCTGATTTTCACCTTCAAAGGCAACACCTGCCCCTCCTAGGAAGTACAGCCCCTGGCCTGGCAGGACTTCCTCCGAGACCAGCCCAGGTCCACGTGCACGGCTTCCTCATGGTGGATGGGTTCACAAGCAAGAAGTTCAGAGCCTCTGCCTCAAGAGAAAGAAGCATTCCCAACCTGCCAGGCTGGATGAGAGAGTCCAATCCGAATTTTTTCCAGAAACCCTCAACCAATGTTAGGAAGCCTTTTCCCCAAGAGCCTAAAGCACAGGGAAGGCCAACTCTTTATGACCCCATTTCCTTCAAAGACCAGGGAAAAGCAGCTTCTAGGGGCAAGTGATCCAAATAGAATGTGACCCAGGTATTCAAAAGCCACATATGTCATTTTTTAAATTTAGGGAGCCACATTGAAAAAACAGAAAAAAGAAATAAGTGAAGTTGATTTTAGTAATACATTTTAACCCAATAGATCCAAAATATTATTATTTTGCATATAATTAACATTATATTCAAAATGACTAGTGATGTATTTTCTTTTTTTTTCATACTAAATTTTCAACATTGGGTGTGTATTTTACACTTACAGCACATCTCCATCCACACGTAGCCAGGGGCTGCTATGCTAGACCGAGCAGCTCTAGAGAGTACAAAAGTCTCAGCAGGAGCAAAGTGAATAGGAACACCATCAGAACCTAAATTTCCATTGCTGTTAAAACCATAATCAGTCATGCAATTTCAGCCATGAAGATCTGTTTGTAGGCTGAGTATGGTGGCTCATGCCTGTAATCACAGCACTTTGGGAGGCAGAAGCAGGAAGATTGCTTGAGCCCAGAGTTCAAGACTAGGCTGAGCACCATGGTGAAACCCCATCTCTACAAAAAATTAAAAATAAGCTGAGCATGGTGGTGCACACCTGTAGTCCCAGCTACTAGGGAGGCTGAAGTGGGAGGATCCTGGGGTGGTCGAGGCTGCATTGAGCAGAGATTGTGCCACTGCAGTCCAGCCTGGGTGACAGAGTGAGACCCTGTCTAAAAATAAATAAATACATGAATAAATAAATAATTTTTTAAGGATTTGTTTTTAAAGAGTTTTGACAGCACTAAAAACACTAAAGAGTGCTTTGATGGCACTAAAAATCTGCTAAAATGAAAATATACTAAAATACGCAATAATAATTGGTAGGTATTGTGGTTGTGAATTTTTCTCTGTCTACTTTTCTTTCTTTTTTTTTTTTCTTTTTTTTTTTTTTTTGAGATAGAGTCTCACTCTGTCACCCAGGCTGGAGTGCAGTGGCGCAATCTCGGCTCACTGCAAGCTCCACCTCCCGGGTTCACGCCATTCTCCTGCCTCAGCCTCCCGAGTAGCTGGGACTACAGGCGCCCGCCACCACACCCAGCTAATTTTTTGTATTTTTTAGTACAGACGGGGTTTCACCGTGTTAGCCAGGATGGTCTCGATCTCCTGACCTTGTGATCTGCCTGCCTCGGTCTCCCAAAGTGCTGGGATTACAGGTGTGAGCCACCACACCTGCCCCTTCTGTATCTACTTTTCCATACCTCACAAGTATTCTGGAAAAAACTATAATTTATAATACTAATTTATAAATTTTAATTTTACAATTTAAAGTGATTAAAACAACAAGTCATGAAATATTTATTGTACTACTATACATCTGGCCCTGCCTTCTCCAAGAAGGTGCTAACATGTTTAAGGACTCTGAAAAAGAAGGCACTGATATGGTCATTTTTGGGGTGGGGAAGACTTTTCCAAGCTAGACAGATATTTCTCCTGCCCCTTAACTGGGAATATAAAAAATACATAACAGCAAAGGCTGCAGGAAATTGTATCCTAAGTCAGTAGCAAAAAAGGGTGTCCAATGCAGATTAAACTTGCATCTGTTTGGCCAGCACATGCCCACATCCACATTGGCTCAGAGCTATGGGAGTCACTACTGCCAGGCGGCAGAGGCAGCTGGGTGTCAGTGGAAGTGTTCAGACTCGAAAAACAGGTGATCGTGCATTCTTTCTGAATGTGCAAAATATGAATCAGATCATTTATAAAATGCCTGCAGCTGTTTGGTAGGGTACACAGGTACTAATTTAAAGTCTGATTCCACCCTACTCATACACACAAGTGTTGTATGCATGTATATGTGTGCACACACAGCACCAGAACAGCCAAAGGCCTAGGGAGGCGGAAAGCTTGTTCACTGTGTGTCTGTGTACGTGCACAATATCACCATTTCCCCAAAAGGATGAAACCTTGAGCAGCAGCTTCTGCATAACACTAGGTGGCATTTCATGTAGAAAAGAACAGGCAGGCACACTGCAAGTGTGAAGGTCACTGTTCGTGGTTACATTTACCCTCCTTGAATCTCGAGATCTCCTGGAGTGTGACCGCTGTTGGTGAGCCATTCCTGCTTCGGAGACTAAATCAGCATTGAACCCATTTGCATCAAGATGTAATGAACTAGATGAATGGGTGCCTAGAGATGATGCGGCGGGTGTGGGGGCTGGGGTATGATATCTAGGGGCTGTAGGGTTTCTTTCTGTGGGGATGAAAATAACCTGAAATTGATTGTAGCCATGGTTACACACTGTGAATATACTACAAGCCACTGAATTGTATGAGTGAATTATGTGGTATATGAATTGCATCTCAATAAAGATTCTTTTCTTTTTTTGAGACAGGGTCTCTGTCACCCAGGGTGGAGTGCAGTGGCACAAACACGGCTCACTGCAACCTTCACCTCCTGGGCTCAAACGATCGATCCTCCCAACTCAGACTTCCAAGTAACTGGGACTACAGACACGTGCCACTGTGCCCGGCTAATCTTTGTATTTTTTCTAAAGATGGGGTTTCACCATGTGGCTGGTCTCAAACTCCTGGGCTCAAGTGATCTTCCTGCCTCGACCTCCCAAAGTGTTGGGATTACAGGCATGAGCCACCGCACCCAGACTGACTTTTTAAATTTAAGGTAATAAACTCAAGTATGAAAGCAACTCATTCAATCCCTTTTCCAACAATGGAGCTTTTAGTCATCCCAGGTACTGCTGTACCTGTACATAAAACGGGAATGGCCATTTGCTTCTTTCTTATGTAGGAACTCATGCTGTATAAGGACTACTCTCCTTTCCAAAACATCCAGTGTGTCTGTATCTAAGGAAGGCATCATGGCCTTCCAAAGACCAATATCTTTCGCTGACCTTTCTGTTCCTTCCGCACCTCTGGTCTCATCTGAAGTGACTTTATCCATGACTCTTGGAGCATCCTTCTTAGGAACCGAAGGTAACATGGATGGGCCAGGCCTGGGGCTCTCTCTGGGATAATAAAAGAAAGCAATTAATAGGATAATGTAGATAGTAAGGCATTTCTCCTCATGTCCTATTGAAAAAGCAGATTTCTCAATTAAAGTTTTAAGTGGCTACTACAAAAAAAAAAATCCCTAGGAAAAAGGGCCCCCTGACTAAATAAATCCAGATTCAAAAGCAGATGTATCTGGACTCCAGAAAAATATATGACTGACTATAACCTATCACTTAATAGTACACAGCCAGCCAGTAAACAGTTGATACTTTTCCAGTGGTTTAAGTTAGATGAATTAAGGAACACAAGAAAAAGAACATAGTCAACAGCTCCCAGCCTCCAACCATGGTTCTCACATTTTTCAGAGCCTCAGGACATCCAGAGGGGGTAAGCAGGTTCATTTAGCAATTAGATATGGAAAACTCAGCTTTTAGAAAACCACTCACCTATGCGACTGACTTCTAAAAATCAGGCTGGGAATCACCTTTGAAACTGACCACACATTCCCGTGGGAATTTTTTCATTTAAGTACCTGTCAGTGTGGAGCTCTTCTGGAGCCAAATGTTGCAGCTTCGGGTCGTGAGTTTCGTCAGGCTCTGGAGGTGAGGAGACGCACACCTTCCCATCCCCAGCTGGAATGGGGCGCTCAGGCCCTGGCTGCTCCTTAGCCTGCTGGGGCCTGGCTGGGCTGTCCCCATGAAGGGCAGCTGTACCCTCCATCCCCGGAGCCTTGTCAGAGCAGGCTGGGTCCTGACAGCTTCCTGGCAGCACCAAGTCACCTGCCACAACGGAGAATGTCCTCGTAGTACCTGCTTCAGGCAGATCACCGGACGCACATGCCTGTGTCTCAGCTGTGCTCAGGGTGATGTCACCCTCTGCTTCCCCAGCAGCGCCTGCCACCTTGCCAGGCTCCAGGGGAGTGTCTGCCACTTCTCCAGTTGGTGGTGCAGGGGTGCTCTGGTTGCCCAGGGCATTTCGCATTTCCAAGATGCCAGCAGTGACTCCGGGTCTCCTTTCACCCCCAAGCGTGTCAAGGGTCCAGGGCTCACTGTTGGCCTCAGGCACAGTCAAAACCTCCCTCTGAGGAGAAGGGGCACACGTGGACCTTGGCACATGTCCTGGAACCCCTGTGTGAGCAAAGTCCCCGGGACCATCTTCTCCATGTGGACTGTCGCAGGCAGATGTTTCCTGGTGCTGCTTTCCAGAAGGAATTCTGTCTTGGGCCACGGCCTCTTCTCCATGGCTATGGGGAGCCACCTGGAAGGCAGCAGCTCTCTCCACAGGGAGCTCCTGAGTAGCTGCTGGTGAAGGAAGACCTGAAGCTAATTCCTGCCTGCTCCTCTCCAGCTGTGAGTAAGCCTGGCCTTCCAGGCCTGGCCAGGCTGCCCCAGGCCCCTCTGGCCTCTCGTCTTCCCTCAGTGTGGGTGGGACACCTGCCATCTCCTTCCCCACACCGGCACCTGGCAAGTTCCGCTCCCAGGTCAGCCCTGCTGGACCCAGAAGCTTGTCTGAAGCTGGATCTTGCAGAGCCAGATGGGAAATCTCAGCCTCTCCAGCCAACTGTTGCTTCTTCTCCACCTGGAGTCGAGCAGGAGGTGCAGGGAGAAGGGTGACATCCACTCCTGGAGGCCCATCTAGAAGCTTCTCTGGGCCCAATGGCCTGGTGAGGTCTTTACCCACTGCACTCCTCCCAGCTCCTGCCTTTTCTCCAGGTGTGGCCAGGGCTCCGAGCACAGGCTTCTCGAAGATCTTGGCGATGTGCTCCCTGAAGTCTGGGAAGCCAGTGAGGGTGGCGATTTGCTCAGAGCTTGTGTCCACACCACCTGATGTGCCCTGCTTTGGGTCCTGGGAAGGCTCTCCCATCCTCTCCATGCTGCCCTCTGTCTCTCCTGCTGCATCACCTGCCATGCCCTCCCCACTGGCCTTGGCACCTGCACCTGGAGCTGTTGCTGCTTTCTCTTCCCCTGTTGCCTGCTTGCCCTTGGCCAGAAGTGGCATCCGGTCCAGGCATGGCATGGAGTCCACTGGTCCCTCAGTGGTTCTGGCTTTGGGACTACCACTGCTGGCTTGCACTGCAGGGATTTCCCCACCTGCAGCTCCTGGTTGCAACAGGGGGGCGAGGGAGCCAGCAAACAGCTTCAAGGAGGCAGCATTTTCCAAGGCAAGTGGGGGCTCCCCTACAGGACAGGGGCTTTCGCCAGGAGCTCTGGGGTCTGCAGAGGAAACAGCTTTCACTCCACTGTCTTCTGCTCCTCTCTGGGCAGCACTGTCGACATGCAGGTAAGGGGTGTCAGGAGCAGCCACTTCTGGTGGCCCAGACAGCAGGAGCTCCTTTGGGTCTGGGACAGCCTGGTGTGTAGAAAAATCCATGGTGCTCCTGGGAATCCCACCCAGCTCTCTGGCTGGCAGCAAGGCATCCTGGCAGCTGGCCATGGGGTGCTCAGCTTGGCAGGACTCACGTAGGGCAGAGGTAGAAGCTTCCTCCCCGGAGGTAAGGCAGTGCTCAGTCTGAAGGAGGCCACAACTCAAAGTAGCTTCTCCAGGTTTCTCCGGAGCCTGCTGCTTTCCTGGGTCTCCTGCACCAGCGCTGCCACCAGTCTCAGCAGCCCCGGCTTCACCACCTTGCTCCCCAGCTGATGGGAAACTTGCAAGAAGCTTTGGGGACTCTGCATCCGAAGTGGCCCAGCACTCCATTTTCTGCTGCGGGGCCGGCACTGGTTGCTGCCTGCCTTCCTGGGTTTCATCACATGCCTCTGTCTCTGGGGCATCCTGGGTGGGTGTGACTCCGGGGCTGGCGGGCGCCAGGGCTGGCAGGCAGGGAACTGCATCCAGGAGAGCTACTGAGTCAGGCTGACAAGGTGGGGCCTCCCCTGTGTTTCCACTTGCCATCTCCCTCTTACTCAAGCCCCAGAGTGGGGAACAACCATCAGCTGCTTCAGAAGCTCCTGGATGCCTTTGACATGCTTCTTCATGCTGGCTGCCTTCTTCCAAGGCATCAGCCAATGCCTGTTGAGACTTGTTTGGCCCCTGCCCAGTGCAGCAAGTTTCCTTTCTGCTGAAGTTCCCTGCAAGAGAAAAGTCTTTTAAGACATCTGCTGCTGGAGGCGAGACCCTCGAGGACTGACCATCACCGCATGCTCCCTCTGGCCGCTTCTCCCCTAGTGCAGGCAACTTCTGTCTCGTTGGTGCTGACAATTCTGACTCTTCTGTCAGAGAACTCTCCCAAACCATGTCAGTGGGAGATGAAGTTGGAGTATCAGACAGGGTGCCTTTGGGGAGCTGACTTTGAAGTTCTGATCCCAAAGCCTGCTCCTGTCCTCCATGAGTGGGCAAGTTGTTATCTTCCTGAGGTTCCACAGGTACATGGATTTGGGAAGAATCTGCTCCCTGGTCCTTAAAACCTGGATGGCTTGGAGAAGTCTCTTTCCCATTTTCAGGTGGCTGGGCCTGCTCCTTGAGCACGTCAAAGATGGATGTCTCTGGTTGTGCCTGGGATGGCTGGAGATGCTTCTCAGAAGATAGTAGGGGCCACTCGGATGCAGCTCCTCTTATCCAGCCTTCCCCTGGGCAGGATGGGATTCCCTGCTGATCTTGGTCCAGGATGAGTGCCGTGAGCCCCAGGTCTGCTGCCAAGTTCTCCCCCTGGGGGGGATGTGGCACCCCAGCATGAAATTCCTGTCTCGACGCATCACACGCCGGCCCGCGGGGTTGATCTGGGGACGTCAGCAAGCCCTCCCCATCACAGCTGCCCATCTTCCTTATTTCCAATGTGCTCTCACCTTCCTGGGCTTTGGGTGCAACCTCTGCAACAGGAGTTGGTGGAAAATCTGATTTCTCTGATTCTAAAGTCAGGAAAGACTCCATTCTTCCCAATCCTTCCCTGCTCTGAAGGGTGTCAGGACATTTGGGCTGCAATCCTGACCCCTCCCAGATGGCTCCTTCGGGAACAGTGGGCTCACCAGCTCCATCTGGCACAGGGGGCAGGACGGGGTCCTCCTCACCCAGCTTGTGTGGTAGGCCAGATGCATCAGCCTCTGCTGTCTGAGAGTGGGGCCCGTCCGTGTGCCCAGCACCCCCCTTTCTGGGTGGCTGTGCTGAGTGTGAGCTGGGATGGTCTCTGCTCTCTGCATCACTGCTTGGCTTTGAAAGCTCATCTTTGCCTACTTCTGGATCACGCTTGCTGCTGAAAGCCTGAGAGTCCTCTCCTTGCAGGTTCCCTGGGTCTCCACCATCAGGTGGCTCTGGGGCTTCCTCCTTTCCTCCAGGGCTGTCACCAGGTGATCTGCTTCCTTCTTTAGCCACGGCTGGGCTTGTGGAATCTTCATGGACCTTGGCTCCATCCGTTGGCCCCGGTGGCCCTCTGGCACTTTCACTTGGTGCCTTGGGAAGAGGAGGGGGTGGTGCTCCTGGTTGGACCTCATGGCTTTGCTCCTTGGGAAGAGGAGGGGGTGGTACTCCTGGTTGGACCTCATGGCTTTGCTCCGTGTTCAAGTGCTCTCCCCTCTCCTGGGGTGATGGGGCAGGAACCTCTCCAGGGTCCCCTTCTGGATGCTCTCCCTTGCTTCCAAGATCTGACACCTGCCTCTCCAGTCCCACCAACCCTGCATCCACCACCTCTTTGGCTGCATCTGCAGAAACTGGCATCCCAGCCTTGGAAACTGATTCCCTGGATGATGATCCAGGTTCTTCTACAGCAATAGGAATCTGAGCAGCTGGGAATGAAGCGAGGCTTGAAGCTGGATGTGCTTCCTCAGTCGGAGTGAGCAGGGAAGGTTCAGGGCTCACAGGCAAACCCCCTTCGGGCTGGCCGCCTGCTGCCACACAGACAACTTGATTGGGCTTGGTTCCTCGCATCCCTGTCTGTGGGTGACCCTGAACATCAATGGTGTCCAGAGCCTCCTTCCCAGAGCCCCCAGCCTCTGGCACCAGGGCAGGACTTGGCAAGCCCCAGGGCAGCTCTGCGTGCGGCAGATATGCTCCCACTGGCTGCTGGCAGCTCTCCTGGGAAGCGGCATTCACTTCTGCTTCTGGGGCAGCCCCTGAATTGCTCCTAGGGAGATGGCAGGCCCTGAGGAATTCCAAGTCATCTGTTAAATACTGAGGCGGCGCCTCCCCTTGGCCTCTTTCTCTGTCTGAGGCTCTTGGGGCTGGATCTTGTGGGATCGGGGCCATGGGTTTTAGGGGGGACTTCTCCAAGACCGCTGAGCTTTCTGTGCCCTGCTGGGCTGCAGCAGGGGCCTCAGGGGTCACTTGCACAGAAGCCACCCCCTGCCTGGACTCTGCAGGGGGAAAGCCACCTGCAGCCTCTTTCTCTTGGGACTCAAAACCACCAGGCTGGTCCCCCTCTCCACACAGCGGTGCCTTCATTGGCTCTCTGAGGGGTACTGGCGACATTCCAGGTGACTGGTCGATGCCACTGGAGAAGGAGAAGGAGGACTTCTGTCCTTCTTCCTTCGGCTGTCTCTCTCTTCCAGCACTGGGGACGGCAGCAATCTCTTGGTATGGAGTAGAGCTGTCCCTCTCAGCGGGAAATGCCGCCGCGATGTCTCCTGGGGCATTTGGGGCAGGTTCCCTCCTGGGAGACTGAGTCTGAGGACCATCTTCAGGTGCCGCTGCTGGACTTGCCAAGCAACCTTCCGGGGGACACTCGGCAAAGGGCATGGAGGACGAGGGGTGCTCTCGCTCCTGGGACGGTGGTGGGCTGGGCAGCAAAGAACCTTCTGGCCCCCTGGCTCCCTGTGGGTCCTTCCTTGGCTCAGTCACCTCTGGGGACACAAGGCATGGATCCAGGCTGGCAGAACTCTCAGAAGCGGTGCAGAAGCCTCCAAGCCCAACGCTGCCAATGCTGAAAATATTTAATGTTTCATTGGTTATCATGGATGCCAAGGACAGAGCCACACTGCAGGCAGGTCACCCCCCAACCCACCCCCACAAAAGGGCATCAAGTGCCCTAACCACAGACACAGCATCCTCATGCAGCTCATTCCTCTCTGTGAGAGCCCCCTGCACCCCTCCCATAACCATTATGCATGCCCTCGTTTCCCCCAAAAACCACTGCAGGGTATCTCAAACACTCAGTGTGGGCCTTCCATGCTGATCAGCAGTGAATAGAGAAATGTGGCAACTCATTTATAGTAGTATAAAATGTGGGAAACCCAAAAAGGTTTTGTTTGTTTGTTTGTTTGAGACAGGGTCTTGCCCTGTCACCCAGGCTGAGGTGCAGTGGCACAATGATAGCTTACTGCAGCTTAGGCCTCCTCGGCTCAAGCAGTGCTCCCACCTCAACCTCCCAAGTAGCTGGGACCACAGGTTTGCACCACCACACCCAGCTAATTTTTAAATTTTTTGTAGAGATGGGGTCTTGCCATGTTGCTCAGGCTGGTCTCAAACTCAAGCAATCTTCCCACCTCAGCCTCCCAAAGTGCTGGAATTATAGGCGTGAGCCACCGTGCTGACAACTCAGAAAGTTGTTAATAAGAGTAAATCATAACAGGGGATTTGAACCAGTCCTGTGAAGATTACAGGCAGGTCTCCAGCACCCCTGGGGATCCTTAGATGTTCAGGAAAAAGCACAAGTTGGCAAAGCCAGGCTTTGAAATAAAGAGCCATTCCTGGTAATAGTTAACTTGATTCTTCACATTTAACAGGTGAGACAGGGACAGGCATAACCCCAAAATCATTTATATTTGGCTATGGAATTTCCGCACGTGACCTATGTATAAATCTTGGGAGCTGAATCACCTTCATACCCATATTTGTCTTAACTTGAACACTTATCTGGGTAATGTGTGGCGAAAAAAAGTGAAACACTCAGGGAACTTGGGGGAACTTGGCTCTGAATTTTGAACTTACTACAGATAACTAACTATCCAGTTATTATAAAATGGCTTATTACATGATGTATTTGGACTATGTTGCTCAATTCTACACAGTTTTAATGCTGTGCCTTTTTTTTTTTTTTTTTGAGACGGAGTCTCACTCTGTCACCCAGGCTGGAGTGCAGTGGTGCGATCTCGGCTCACTGCAAGCTCTGCCTCCTGGGTTCACGCCATTCTCCTGCCTCAGCCTCCCGGGTAGCTGGGACTGCAGAAGCCCGCCACCACGCCCAGCTAATTTTTTTTTTTTTTTGTAGTTTTAGTAGAGATGGGGTCTCACCATGTTAGCCAGGATGGTCTCGATCTCCTAACCTCGTGATCTGCCCGCCTCAGCCTCCCAAAGTGCTGGGATTACAGGCGTGAGCCACCACGCCTAGTCAATGCTGTGCAATTTTTAATTTTAAAAATAATATGTGGCCAACACAAAGTGTGGAAAATGTAGGAAAAAAAAATCAGAAAAAATACTGCTACATGCTTGCCACTTTCAGAGTTCTAGTGAATTTCCTGATTTTTCCTACACAATTGTTTGGGGGTACAATTCTTGTTATTTTTACATAATTGTGATTCTATATACTTGTTATGATCATATATATTCTATTAACAAGAGAAATTCCTCAAGACAAAGTTAACATAAGTATGGTTTTTCTAAAGCTTTTACCATTTTCTTTAAAGTTATTATAGGGGAAATATCAAAGGAAAATTTATGGAATCTTTTTGTAACTGTTTGTTACATGCACACATATTCACACACACATAAGCCCACAGCGTTCTGGAGGGGGCTAGTGGAAAGATTCTCCTCTCAATGTCCGCTACCAAAATTCCAGTTTTCCACACCAGGCAGTGCACATGCATTCATACATGAGGGATGCATACAGTGAGATGGTGAAGTGCATTATTGTTAAATTTTTAAAATATGTGCTATGAACTGAACTGTGCCCCCCTCAAATCCATATGTTGAAGCCCTAATCCCCAATGTGACTGTATTTGGAGGCAGGCACTTTAAGGAGGCAGTTGGGATTAAGTGAAGTTATAGTAGTGAGGCCCTAATCTGATAGGACTGGTGTTCTTTATAAGAAGAGGAAGAGGCCGGGTGCATGGCTCACACCTGTAATCCCAACATTTTGGGAGGCTGAGGCAGGCAGATCACTTGAGCTCAGGAGTTCAAGACCAGCCTGGGCAACATGGCGAAACTCCATCTCTAAAAAGAAATATGAAAATCAACTGGGCATGGTGGTGCACACCTGTAGTCCCAGCTACTCAGGAGGCTGACGTGGGAGGATCACTTGAGTGCTGGAGGTTGAGGCTGCAGTGAGCTGAGAACATGTCACTGCACTCCAGCCTGGGCAACAGAGTGAGACTCTGTCTCAAAACAAAAAAACACAAAAAAAAAACAAAAAAAAAAAAAGGAAAGGAAGAGACACCAGGAATGCAGATACACAAAGGAAAAGCTATGTGAGAACATCAAAAGCAGGTGTCTTCTGCAAGCTGGGAAGAAAGGCCTCACCAGAAACCAACTCCACCAGCACCCTGACCAGGACTTCCAGCCTCCAGAACCAGGAGAAAATACATTTCTGTATTTTAAGTCACTCAAGTTGTGGTGTTTTCTTATGGCAGCCCGAGCAGACTAATACCATAGACAGGTGGGTATTTACTGTCCCATCCTTTCAACATTTTTGAGGTTTCAGTTTTTCCAAAACAAAAAGTTGGGAAAATAATAACAGATGAAATTCACTAGGCCTCAGTGCTTTGTGTGGATTATCTCATTTAGCCCTGCCAACAGCTGTGCAAGGTGGGTACCACCCATGCCATTTGCAGATGAGAACCCTGGAGAACAGAGGCTAAGCATGGATCTCAACATGGACATCTGATTCCACTGGACACAATCTTCTTATTCACTCTGCTATGCAGAATAAAAACTTCCAAGGAAGGCAAGAGCCTCTTCCCCCAGCCCCATTCCAGCCTCTCTGTCCTGCTCCTCACCTCTGAAGTACACGCGGCGTCATTTGACATCCCTGAAGGAGGCATGTACACAGAACCACCCCTGCACTCATCTTTATCTAATGCCTGTTCCTGCACATAGGACATGGGAATGGTGCCTGAGGACCCAAAAGAGAGCTGGCTACTGTCTCAACCAGATTTGCATTTTCTGACCCAAAAGCAGAGCTGAGTAGGCCAAAAAAGAGAAAACTCAGAGGGTAAATTATATAAAACCCTCCGATTCACAAATGGTCACGGAAGACAGATGGGCCCATGGAGAGCCCTGGCCCGAGTGGGCTGACATCTGGAAAACTACTTGGGGTTTGGATAAAGTGTCTTGGCCTGGCTTTCTGGAAAGCACCAGGTCCAGAACGAAACCCGATGCCTCCTCCCCCACCCTTCGCTGCTCAGCATCTGGACCTGGCAATTTTCCTTGTAACAAGCACTTTACATTTCATTATGTCCCACCCATTAACTGAAGTCAAACAGTTTAGTATGTGATAAGAGTAATGGTGTGTAATTCAGAAATGAAGTGCTCCTATTTATGTCGGCTTTATCAAGCTGGAAAGAAACGAAGCCACTTTCTTGTCCACGCCTCTGACAGGAACTGCCAACTTAGGAAAGGATGTGGCTTCCCTTCAGGCTGGCTGAAGTCGTTACCATCTGGAACAAGATGATAAATTATATTTTGGCATCTTGTAAACTTGTGCGGTCTTATCAGAAAGCAACCAGGAACAAATTTTCCATGGAGTATGGGACACACAACAACTCCTCCCAAATAAGAACCCAGACATTGGTTTATTTAGCATAAGCTGGGTACCAGCAATCTCTTTGATTATCCATCAGAAGTAATTTTTAAAGCCAGATTAAAGCTGCTCACCAGGAGCAGATCTGCCTAAGGGCAGGAAAAATTCTAAGAACTGATCTGTTGAGGGCTGTGCATTAGTTGAAGCTTACATAATATCCTTTTATGCTTCGAGATTGAGTTGAAATGTGTGGGATAGAGCCTCTGCTCAGAATCCGCAGGCCAGCACCCCGAATGGAAGCCTTTCACCCTCTGGGGGCACTGCCTCTGTGTGGAGGTCAGGGAGGGCCCAGGGACTAGAGCCTCCATCACAGACCAGATGTACACAGCACAGTGAAGGGAGAAGCATGGGCAGGGGCTGGCAGGGGGTCATCTGCCACAACCAAGGTCTGAGCAGATGATGGGGATGCAGATGGGTTCTTAAATGCATAGTTCTGGAAACACACACACATGCAATGCTTAAAGGGAGGAAGGAGGCCAGCTACAGAAAACACAAACATGGCCCCTGCACGACCAGGTTTTCAGGAGTCGGCAAAACCATAAAGCAAAGCCGTAAAGATAGAGAGTTGCCATGTACTAAACACTGACTCAGGCCAGACCCTCTGGGCACTTTTTTTTTTTTTTTTTTTTTTTTTTTTTGGAGATGGAGTCTCGCTCTGTCGCCCAGGCTGGAGTGCAGTGGCACAATCTCAGCTTACTGCAACCTCCACCTCCTGAGTTCAAGCAATTCTCCTGCCTCAGTCTCCCGAGTGGCCTGGACTACAGGCGTGCACCACCATGCCCGGCTAATTTTTGTATTTTTAGTAGAGATGGGATTTCACCATATTGGCCAGGCTGGTCTCTAACTCCTGACTTCAGGTGATCTGCCCGCCTCGGCCTCCCAAAGTGTTGGGATTACAGGAGTGAGCCACTGAGCCTGGCCTGGGCACTTTTCAGTTACGATTGCGCTTAATCCACACAACAGCCTGGTAGAAGGGTGGCCCCATTGTACACACAAGGACATTTTCCCGAAGAAGTTCAAGACAGGACCCAGGGTCAAAGAGCCGGTAACGCAAAGCAAGATTGAGCCCTGTGGCGCTGCCTCCCGTTGCCTTGTACTGGCTGCCTGCACCAGCCTCTCACCGAACAAGTGCAGCATTCCCTTCTCCCATCCTCTCTGGCCCCCTTCATTCTGTTCTGCCAGCTGTGGCCAGACCAACAGCTTAGAAATCAAAGTCTGCTCCTGTCACCCCACTGTGGCTTCGCTTTGCTCTCAGTTGTGGCCCCAACCTCCCTCTCCTGCCTCATTCCGCATGAAGCTCCCCAGCCATGCATCTGCCTGGAGCCTGCAGCCCTCTGCTCCCCACCAGGTTGCAGCTCCACTCTTCGCTTCTCAGGGTAGCCTCCCTGGCCTGGGCTCCCAGATCAGTTTCTTTCACAGGCCCACCTAGCGCTAGTCATGGTTCCCATCACTATGGTTGGTGACTGTTTTCCCTATTGGAGTGTAATGGAGGCCAGGTCCTAGTCTCCTTTCAATATCATATCCCTGGTGCCTGGCATATAACAAACAATAAAATGTTGTTGATATATGAATGTACGAGTGAGTGCCAGGATGGATGGCTAGAAGGATGGACAGAAACAACTGAACCCAAATCAAGGATACTAAATATACAGAGATGCACCCAAATCGTGGTTGTTTCACTAGAAGATTATGAACATTCTTTTTTTTTTTTTTTTTTTTGAGACAGAGTCTCACTCTGTCACCCAGGCTGGAGTGCAGTGGCGCAATCTCTGCTCACTGCAACCTCCGCCTCCTGGGTTCAGGCAATTCTCGTGTCTCAGCCTCCCGAGTGGCTGGGATTACAGGCCTTTGCCACCATGCCCAGCTAATTTTCATATTTTTAGTAGAGATAGGGTTTTGTTATGTTGGCCAGGCTGGTCTCGAACTCCTGAGCTCAAGTGATCCGTCCGCCTTAGCCTCCTAAAGTGCTCGGATTATAGACATGAGCCACCGCACCCGGCCCAGATCATGAACATTCTTTTCTTCCATCAAGCATAGCATTCCAGTAATTCATTAGTCCAAACCTCTCATTTTACAAATGAGGAAACTGAGGCCCAGAAAAGGCAAAGTACTTTTTTTTTTTTTAATACTTCTGTGAAACAAAGTTAAGGCAGCACTTCTCAATCACACACCTCTACACTCACTGGTAGGTCTAATGTGTCAGGGCATGCACTGCAAGTAATTTGTGACTAATTATAAAGTACTAAAGCCTGTGAATGATTTGTTATTTTCATAAATTACTATAATTCAAAAGATTAGAAGATTTCCTAACATAACATCATCACTGCTACTCGTTGCATTCCGGTGTGCCTTCTGGAAAAGGAAAGCCGGGGTAGAATGAAAGCCAGTGGGTTAGTGCAATGGATTGAATGAATGTTTTCCCCTTCAAACTCCCGCTGAAACTTAATCCCCAAACTTAATCATGTTGAAAGGTGGGGGCCTTTAAGAGGTGAAGGTGATTGGGTTGTGAAGGCCCTGCCCTCAGGAATAGGTTAATCCATTCATGGATTACTGGGTTATCATGGTGGCTTTATGCAAAGAGGAAGGGAGACTTGAGCTAGTATGCTCATTTCTTTTACCAGTGATGTCCTGCGCCACCTCATAACTCTACAGAAGCCCCACCAGCAAGAATGCCCTCACCAGGAGCAGCCCCTTGCCCTTGGACTTCTCAGCCTCCATAACCGTAAGAAATCAATGCTAGGTGCAGTGGCTCACGCCTGTAATCCCACCACTTTGGGAGGCCGAGGTGGGCGGACCACCTGAGATCAGGAGTTCAAGACCAGCCTGGCCAACATGGTGAAACCCTGTCTCTACTAAAAATAAAAAAATACAAAAATTGTGGTGGCAGGCACCTGTAATCCCAGCTACTTGGGAGGCTGAAGCAGGAGGATTGCTTGAATCCAGGAGGCGGAGGCTGCCATGAGCTGACATCATGCCACTGCACTCCAGCCTTGGGCAACAGAGCAAGACCCTGTCTCAACAATAAAAAAAAGAAATCAATTATTTTTCTTTATAAATGCTCCAGTTTCATGTATTCTGCGATAAGCAACAGAACACAGACTAAGTAAGACTGACTAGCCTCTGAGAACTGCCAACTCAAATAAATGTTAACAGAGGCAGCAGCTGTGGTGGAGATGAGAGGATTCGAGGACTGAAAGGTGATCCCCAGCTCCCCACATTCCTGCCTGGGCCCTCAAATTAGAGACTTTCCCAACACTTCTGAGTTCTCAGTGAAGTATGATGCTTCTGCCATATTCTTTGCCCCCTTATGGTCACGTCCATTGGAGGAGATTTCTCCGAGTGGTGATATGGGGAGAGCCAGCCCCCGTGAGTCCAGTTTCCCCATGGGTGGGGTTAAGGTGTTCGAGGTCCTTGAGATGAACTACCACAATGCAGCCCCTTCTCCTCTCGCAGCTATTTGCCACGTGACGAGCTCCCTGGGCCAGCCTTCCCCATCCTTCATGGCACCTGCACTGATGCAGCTTGGGACTTGGTGGGGAAGGATGGTTCGGGGGTAGGTAGGAGGATTCCGGTTTTGGCATCCTGCAGCCTAACCTTGCCATGATACTGCTGACTTTCTTTCTTTCTTTCTTTTTTTTTTTTTTTGGCAGCAAGATTTATTGTGAAGAGCGAAAGAAAAAAGCTTCCACAGCGTGGAAAGGGACCCGAGCGGGTTGCCCTATACTGTTGACTTTCTTATCTTTCTCTGACTGTGGCATCTATTTCATAATTTAGAGTCTGGTGGAAAGGGTTGCGATTAATTAGCTCCCCAAACCCCACCAACATTTAGGATGTCCAAAGTGCTCTATTTCCTCACACATTCTGAGGGCTTGTCAAGATCTGAATTGGCCCATGGGATATGTTGTGCGAATGACTTCTTCAGGAGAAGGAAGGCTGAGACCGTGCCCAAAGAAAGGAAATGAAACTCCAGAAGGTTTTCAGTCCTACCTGACATGAAATCAGAATAAAACCAGTTAATTCGGGGACCACGTAGATCTTCACAGTGACACAGATAAGCTTCTGCAGTCACCTAGTCAATTCACTGTCTTTATTCCTGTCCTCGGCTTTGCATATTTTTCTCTCCATCAATCATAAGTCTGGTAGGCAAGGTGCTGTGTGGTTGTGAATGGTCAGAATTCTCTCCAGCACTCTAATCCCTGTATTTGACCCACTCCCAACTCTCTCTTTTTTCCCTTTTCCATCCCAAGCTGAAAAGACTGCTTAAGAAACAGTCCCCTCAAGAACTTCAGTGACTGAGCCAACTCTGATAGGTCATTCTGCATCAATTATTAATGGCTAACAAAAGTTACATAGGAAATGCCCTCCATAGTTTACAACTCTATGAAGGGCTTTTAAAAACCAAACTCAGTGCTTCTAATATATGACTGCTAGGTGTGTAAGAATGAAGCTTCCTAGGCTGGGCACAGTGGGTCATACCTATAATCCCAGCACTTTGGGAGGCCGAGGCAGGTGGATCACCTGAGGTCAGGAGTTCAAGACAGCCTGGTTAACATGGTAAAACTCCGTCTCTACTAAAAATACAAAAATTAGCTGGGCAAGTTGGCAGGCACCTGTAGTCCCAGCTACTCAGGAGGCTGAGGCAGGAGAATCGCTTGAACTTGGGAGGCAGAGGTTGCTGTGAGCCAAGATCACGCCACTGCATTCCAGCCTGTGCAACAGAGCGATACTCCGTCTCAAAAAAAAAAAAAAAAAGATGCCGGGTGCTGTGACTTACGCCTGTAATCCCAGCACTTTGGGAGGCCGAGGTGGGCAGATCACAAGGTCAGGAGATCCAGACCATCCTGGCTAACATGGTGAAACCCTGTCTCTATAAAACATACAAAAAAATTAGCCGGGCATGGTGGCGGGTGCCTGTAGTCCCAGCTACTTGGGAGGCTGAGGCAGGAGAATGGTGTGAACCCAGGAGGCGGAGTTTGCAGTAAGCCGAGATTGCGCCACTGCAGTCCAGCCTGGCTGACAAAGCAAGACCCTATCTCAAAAAACATAAAAAAAAAAGAATGAAGCTTCCTCTGTCCAAGGAATGTGGGAAGCACTAGGTGAAGTGCGGTTAAACAAGCTTTTCTACCGCAGGATTTCTCAGAGCCTTTGAGAAACCACTGTGCCTCGTGAGTCAACAAGAAGATACATATACACTGTTTCCCAAATTTGTTTCTTGGAAACCTTCCGTTGCCTTTTTCTCAGTAGAGCTTTTAGTAGGATGATGGGCCACAGAACACACTGTGGAAAGCACAGCCTTACATTAAAAGAAGAATTGGTAAGGACATTTCAGATGCCCTTGAGAGGACGACATGGATAGTTTCCAAAACACACTGTTCACCTCTCACCTCTCACCTCTCCCAGGTGGGATCTGCTTGTCAACCAGGAAGATGTGAACTGCTCTTTTGTGTCTCAGAGCAAAAGCCAAATCAGGTCTCTGAACACATGGAGTTCTCAAACCTTCCCAAGGTAGGATGTCTCCTTCCCCGTCTCCATGGTGAGACCCCCTGCTCCCCTTCCCGGGGCTGCATGCCACTCCCCAGGCCCTGTGTACAGACACTCTCTCAGTACCTGCCATGGCCTCTTGATTTGGATCCCCCCAAGGTTAAAGTGAGCTCATCTCATGTATGCGTGTGTGTGTGTGTATATATATATATATATATATATATATTTTTTTTTTTTTTTTTTTTTGAGACAGAGTCTGTCACCCAGGCTGGAGTCCAATGGCGTGATCTTGGCTCACTGCAAGCTCCGCCTCCTGGGTTCAAGCGATTCTCCTGCCTCAGCCTCCCTAGCAGCTGGGACTACAGGCCCGCGCCACCACGCCTGGCTAATTTTTTGTATTTTTAGTAGAGTCAGGGTTTCATCATGTTGGCTAGGATGGTCTCCATCTCCTGACCTCATGATCTGCCCTCCTTGGCCTCCCAAAGTGCTGGGATTACGCGTGAGCCGCCACGCCCGGCCCTCATTTATATTTTTATGTCTTAGTCTAGCACTGGGTCTACGCTCTGTTGAATGAGTGACTGAATGATGGCATACATAAATAAGTGAAGAAATACATATTTTTAAACTGACAGTTGTACTGGCACGACAACTGCTCACGTAGGTTGACACCTGCACCGTGGGAGGCATCACCTATTCCAGAGACTTTGGAAAAGGAATTTATATTCTAACTGATCCATGCTGAAGAAAGAATTCTAATGTTAATAGGAGAGAAAAACTGCCATGTCTTAACAGTGATAACATAGTAATTCACAGAGAAAGACACCTCCTCAGAAACTTCTTTGCAACCCTAGCACACTGTGTCCACTCCACACACATGGTCCTAACTTGTCCAAACAACCCTCCCCACAGAAGCCTGGGAGCCCACTGACCTTGGCAGGACAGCCAGACTTGGCTTTGTATTTTTAACCCAGTTTTATCTTCGCTGTGCTCATTCTTCAATAGAAAACAAACAAACAAACAAAACAAGTACGTGATGCTTGAGCAATCCAGGCAATAGATGACTGAAAAATATGTGTAGATTCTAAAGAGTTACTGGGGAGCTGGGCACGGTGGCTCACGCCTGTAATCCCAGCACTTTGGGAGACCAAGGCAAGCGGATCACAAGGTCAGGAGATTGAGACCATCCTGGTTAACTAAAATACAAAAATTAGCCGGGCATAGTGGCAGGCGCCTGTAGTCCCAGCTACTCGGGAGGTTGAGGCAGGAGAATGGTGTGAACCCGAGAGGAGGAGCTTGCAGTGAGCTGAGATCGCGCCACTGCACTCCAACCTGAGCAACAGAGTGAGACTCCATCTCAAAAAAAAAAAAAAAAAAGAGTTATTGGGGAGATCAACATGTGTATGCGGATGTGGATTAAACCCCAAAGTATCCTACACAAGTCATATGAACTTTTTTTTTTTTTTTTTGAGACAGAGTCTCACTCTGTTGCCCAGGCTGGAGTGCAGTGGCGCAATCTCGGCTTACTGCAACCTCCACCTTCTGGGTTCAAGCATTTCTCGTGCCTCAGCCTCCTGAGTAGCTGGGATTACAGGTGCCCGTCACCACGCCCAGATCACTTTTTTTTTTTTTTTTTGTATTTTTAGTAGAGACAGGGTTTTCCCATGTTGGCCAGCCTGGTCTCGAACTCTTGACCTCAGATGATCCACCTGCCTCGGCCTCCCAAAGTGCTGGGATTACAGGAGTGAGCCACTGTGCCTGGCCTCATACGAGCTTCTATATGACTTCAAGGTCAGGTGCCACTCCATTCCTGAGAATCCATTATCCAGCATAGTGTGGGGATGGGGACAGGCAACTGAATTTCAAAGAAAATTCGAAAACTATCTTTTAACCAATTTTTTTCAGCAACCCTCTCCTGGGGTCCTAAAAGTCAACAGAATGACCCCATTTTGTGATTCCCAGACTGGCTGCTGGAAGGGGCTACTGCTGGGTTGTTGCACACCAGTACTCCCCATAGCCAGAATGAACTTGGCTTTCACATCTGTCTGTTGTCCTTCAAACGTGTCTAGATAAAGTCATGCCAATAACATTCTGATATAATAATTTCTGATCATTCAGACTTTTCTTAATGATCAAATACCAAAAATAAAACTACTATCCCATTAGAGAAAATACCTGTTTTTAATCACAATAAAGATCTTTAAAACTTGAATAAGCCCAAATCAAGGGATTTGGTAGAATATTTACCTGAGTATAAACATTTCTTAATTTTAAGTTAAGCCCTTGCTAGTGCTTCATGGAAAAATGCAAATGAGAGTTTTGCTTGTATAGCTAGATTCTGGTGGTGTTTTTATGTTATTTTGACACCATGAGGATATTTTGAACAACAAAGAGTGGTAAACGTATTTTTGTTATATCCCTTTTTTTTTTTCCAGACAGGGTCTTCCTCTGCTACCCAGGCTGGAATACAGGGGTGCAATCTCAGCTCATTGCCACCTCTGCCTCCAGGCTCAAGTGATTCTCCCACCTCAGCCTCCCGAGTAGCTGGGGCTACAGGCATGCATTACCACACCTAGCTAATTTCTTTTTTTTTTTTTTTTTTGAGACGGAATTTTGCTCTTCTTGCCCAGGCTGGAGTGCAATGGCGAGATCTCAGCTCACTGCAACCTCTACCTCCCGGGTTCAAGTGATTCTCCTGCCTCAGCCTCCCAAGTAGCTGGGATTACAGGCATGTGCCAACACGCCCAGCTAATTTTGTATTTTTAGTAGAAACGGGGTTTCTCCATGTTGGTCAGGCTGGTCTCCAACTCCCGACCTCAGGTGATCCGCCCGCCTTAGCCTCCAAAATGCTGGGATTACAGGCATCAGCCACCGCGCCTGACCCAAACCTGGCTAATTTTCTTATGCTTTGTAGAGACAGGATTTTGCCATGTTTCCCAGGCTGGTCTCAAACTCCTGAGCTCAAGCAATTAGCCCACCTCAGTCTCCCAAACTGCTAGGATTATAGGCATGAGCCACCATGCCCAGTCTATATCCCTTCTTGATAAGACTCCTAGCATTAATTAAAATCATTTTCCTGCCACAGTAAACATTGTACAAAACAGGGAACATAGTGGAAATGTCTCTTGATGACTGAAAGTCTTTCAGAGAATTTGGGGCATTCTCTGACGCATAAGATGTTACCGGTGTTACCTGTCTCAGACTGAGCTCTTATGTCCTGAGCTCAAAAATGTGATGAAGGGTTTCTTTTTAGAATAAATCCTCATTGCCAGTCTATTTTGTTGAGATCGTCTCTCTGTAATCCCATTAATCTAAACTGGGGAAAAAAGTGGATGAGTCAACATTACTGGGCGCCAAGCTGGCTCAATGTCAAAGACATAAAGATCATCCAGCTTCCTTCCCAGCATTAACACAGCTGCAGAGACAAGTTTGGGAAGATTAACCACTGTCAAAGTTGGCATTTGAGGTCACAGCAAGACAGAGGGGAGACTGCAAGTGTCGGTGATACAAGGAGCTCTTGAAGGGAGAAGAGAAACAACTTTGCCCGCGGCATCTTGTCTCTTATTCTTTTTTTCTAGAAGGGTCTCCCCACCTCTTCCAAAATAAATGCCAGGTGTTTTGCTGCATTCCTATTTAAAACCCAAGAAAGCAACTTGATACGGTGGCTTTTCAATGTTTTCAGAGAGCCTAGGTTGGAAAACGTCATATGAGGAATTATTAACTACAAGAAGGGTTGGGCTAATGGAGGATTAGCTGCTAAGGAAGACAGAGGAAAGGAGGAGCAGGAATCCTGGAGATAGAAGAAAACAATGGGGGCCAGGCGCAGTGGCTCACACCTGTAATCCCAGCACTTTGGGAGGCCAAGGCAGGTGGATCATGAGGTCAGGAGATCAAGACCATCCTGGCTAACACGGTGAAACCCCATCTCTACTAAAAAATATAAAAAATTAGCCGGGCGTAGTGGTGGGCACCTGTAGTCCCAGCTACTTGGGAGGCTGAGGCAGGAGAATGGTGTGAATCTGGGAGGTGAAGATTGTAGTGAGCCGAGATGGCGCCACTGCACTCCAGGCTGGGCGACAGAGCGAGACTCCGTCTCAAAAAAAAAAAAAAATAAATAAAATAAACAATGAGGTGAGGTAAGCCTTGCTGTTGCCCCCACTGAAGGTCTGGAGAAAGCGGCACAGAGAAGGGGGTTCCAGGTGGAGCCCAACAGTCGCCCTGACTTGAGATGAAGCTGTGTATCTGGGGAGACCGAGGCAGCTGCAGTTCCCAGAGTAGAATACTAGAGAGGGGAGGACTGATCGGCATGTGCAGGTGTAGAAACCCCCTAAGGTAAGGTACAGAACACCTGAAAGGTTGGGCCCGCGCGGTGCCTCACGCCTGTAATGCCAGCACTTTGGGAGGCTGAGGCGGGTGGATCACGAGGTCAGGAGTTCGAGACCAGCCAAGCCAATATGGTGAAACCTCGTCTCTACTAAAAATACAAAAAAAAAAAAAAAAAACTTCTAGGTCACACAGACAGAAAAATGCCAGGTGTGGTGGAGCGCGTCTGTAGTCCTAGCTACTCAGGAGGCTGAGACAGGAGAATCACTTGAACCCGGAAAGCGGAGGTTGCAGTGGCCCGAGATCGCACCACTGCACTCCAGCCTGGGCGACACCGTGAGACTCCATCTCAAAAAAAAAAGGTTTCGGAGGAGCAATCCTCACAGCTCACACAGAGCTGGGAATAATTCCTGTTCCCACCGGCCAGAGTGGAGTACCTCATCACTCATAAGGCATCTGCTGAGCACAAAGGCAGGTTTTGTCTCAGTATTGGGGAAGATTAATCCTCACCTAAACACTGCTCTCGTTCCATCTAATGAAGCGAGATGCAGAGGATTAAGTTGTTCCAAATAACTTAACTGCATCCCAGAGCAAAGTTCAATAGCATTTATAGGAATACGAAAATATCCAGAACCCAAAAAGCTTAAAGTCCACAGTGTCCAGCCTGTGAGCAGGGAAATGTGACCCATAACAAAGAAAAAAAATAACATAATTTGTCTTGAACCAAGAAATTACACAGATAATAGAATTACTATAAAAAGACTTTTTTTCCAGAATTATAACTGTATTCCATATGTTCAGGAGGCTAGAGGGAAGACCGAGTATGTCAAGCACAGAGGGAAGATGTAAAAAAGACCCAAATCAAACTTCTAGAGATGAAAACTGCAATGTCTAAAATAAAAAACCCACTGGGTGAAATTAATGACAGGTTAGCCACTGCAGAGAAAAAGATTAGTGAACTTCAAGATATAGCGATAAAAATGTTCTAAAATGAAACACAGAGAGAATTAAGACTGAAAGAAATAACAACAACAACAAAAAAGCATCAGTGAGCTGTGAGACAAATTCAAGTAACCAAATATATGTGTAGAGTCCCCACAGGAGGAGGGGAGATACAAAATATTTGAAGAACTGATGACTGAAAAATCTCCAAATATGATGTAAACTATTAACCAACATATCCAACAATCTCAACTAATGCCAAGCATAAGAAACAGCGAGGGCCGGTGTTCAGGGCAGTGGCTCACGCCTATAATCCCAGCATTTTGGGAGGCCAAGGCGGGTGGATCACTTGAGGTCAGGAGTTCGAGACCAGCCTGGCCAACATGGTGAAACCCCATCTCTACTAACATACAAAAATTAGCCAGGTGTGGTGGCATACGCCTATAATTCCAGCTACTTGGGGGGCTGAGGCAGGAGAATTGCTTGAACCTGGGAGGCGGAGGTTGCAGTGAGCCAAGATCAGGCCACTGCACTCCAGCCTGGGTGACAGAGTAAGACTGTGTCTAAAAAAAAAAAAAAAAAACCAGAAACAGTGAAAAACCTACACCACCAAGGCATATCGTAACCAAACTGCTTCAAACCAGTGAAAAAGTGAAACATATTAAAAGTAGCCAGAGAAAAAAAGAACAAAGGTAAGAATTTTGTTGGAAATAATGAAAGCCAGAATACAGAAATAATATCTTTAAAGTGTTGAAAGAAAAAAACTGCCTACCTAGAAATCTTTGCCCAGACAAAATATTTTTCTAAACCAGGTGAAATAAAGATTTTTCCAGACATACAAAAGCTAAAAGAATAACCCCTAGCAGACCTACATTTCAGGAAATGTTAAAGGAAGACCTTCAAGCAAAAAGAAAAGAATACAAAATGGTAATCAGGATCTACACAACAGAATAAAGAACACCCAGAAAATGGTAACTATGCAAGTAAATACAGTCTCTTTTTCCTTGTTACTTAAATCTCTTTTAAAAGATAATTGGCTGATTAAAGCACAAATAATATGTATTATGGGATGTGTAGCTTATATATAAAGACCAAATAGAACAAAGTCTGAAACAGAAGAAATGGAAGCATATTGTTGTAAGCCTCTTCTAATAAATGTAAAATGATATAATCATTGTGAAAGTAGATTGTGAGATATTAAAGATGTATATTGTACTTCTTAAAGCAACCACTAAAATAACACAAATAGTTGTAGCTAATAAAATAATCCAAAAGAAGGCAAAAAAGGAGGAAAAATGGAATAAGACTATAGATTTAAACCAACCATATTAATAATCACAATAAATGTGAATGTTATAAACACTCCAGTTAAAAGCTACAGATTTTTAGGCCAGGCACGGTGGCTTTTGCCTATAATCCCAACACTTTGGGAGGCCGAGGCAGGCAGTTCACTTGAGGTCAGGAGTTTGAGACCAGTCTAGCCAACATGGTGAAACCCCATCTCTACTGAAAATACAAAAATTAAGCTGGGCGCGGTGGCTCACGCCTCTAATCCCAGCACTTCGGGAGGCCAAGGCAGGCGGATCACAAGGTTAGGGGTTCGAGACCACCCTGACCAACATGGTAAAACCCGTTTTCTACTAAAAATACAAAAATTAGCTGGGTGTGGTGGTGCACACCTGTAATCCCAGCTACTCAGGAGGCTGAGGCAGGAGAATCACTTGCACCTGGGAGGTGGAGGTTGCAGTAAGCTGAGACTGTGCCACTGTACTCCAGCCTGTGCGACAGAGACTCTGTCTCAAAAAAAAAAAAAAAAATAGCTGGGCATGGTGGCAGGCCCCTGTAGTCCCAGCTACTTGGGGGGCTGAGGCAGGAGAATCACTTGAACCTGGGAGGTGGAGGCTGCAGTGAGCCAAGATCACACCATTGCACTGGTGTGATAGAGCAGCCTGGGTGATAGAGTGAGACCCTGTCTCAAAAAAAAAAAAAAGTATAGATTTTCAGAGTGCATTAATAAAACAAGATCCAACTCTATGCTGCCTACAATATAGGTACTTAAATTTTTTTAAAGCACAAATAGGCTAAATGTAAAACAATGGAAGAAGGGGAAGATGTACTATGCAAACACTAATCAGGCTGTTGTGTCTATATTATTTAAGACAGTAGATTTTGCAGCAAAAAATATTACAGGCATAAAGAACATAATGTTATAATGATAGAGGATTCAATTTATCCATATAAATTCTAAAATTTTATACATTCTAAAATAAACATTAAAAATTCTAAAAATTTTTATCAAATAACAGAGCTTCAAAACACAAGAAGCAAAAACTGCTAGAACTGAAAGGAGTAATGGACAAATCCACAATTATAGTCTGGTATTTCCAAACCCCTCTCTCAATAATTGAACAAGTGGATAGAAAATCAGTGTGGATACAGATGACGTGAACAACACTATGACCAACTTGACTTAATTAACACTTTTTTAACACCATCCAATAATAGCAAAATAACATTTTTTTCAAGTACAGATGGAACACGTACAAGGGAGACCATATTCTGTGCATAAATTTGAGATGATTCAAATTATACAAAGTATCTTATCTGGCTACAATGAAATTAAATTAGAAATCAATAACAGAAAGATATCTGGAAAATCCCCAACTATTTGGAAACAATAACACATTTCTGAATAGTCCATGAGTAAAAGAAGAAAGAAAGAAGGAAATTGTAAAGTATTTGAACAGAATGAAAATGAAAACAGAAATATCAAAATTTGTGGGACGCAGTTAAAACAGGTCTCAGAGTGACATTTATAGCACTAAAATGCCTATATTTTAATAAGGTCTCAAATCAATGATGCCAGCTTCTCAGCTAAGAAACTACAGAGACACTGGTCAAACAACAATGTGATTATACCTAATACTACTGAACTGTACACTTAGAAACGGTTAAGATGGTAAATTTTATGTTCTGCCCTTTACCACAATAAAAAAATTTTTTTAAATCAACAAGTATCCGTGTATAAAATAAGCCAGAGAGCAAAGCATACATACTATTTGCTTCCATTTATATAGAGTTCAAGATCTGTCAAAACCAATCAATGGTGATAGAAGTCAGAATAGTTGTTACTCTTGGGCAGGGGTATTGACTGGGAAGGAACAAGAGAGAACAATCTGGTATGATGAAAATGACCTAGATCTATACAGGACTATAAGCATTCATCAAGCTCTCAAATTCAGACAACTCACAGTATGTATCTGATACCAATAAAAAAGGAATTAGAACAAAACTATAGAGACACTAAAAAGAGAGTGATTCCCAAGAATGTGGGAGGATGGAGGGAGGGGAATGGGTGGAGCCTAAGGGGTTTTTAAGGCAGTGAAACTAATATCATAATGACGGATACATGACCTTATGCATTTGTCAAATTCATCAGAATGTACAACACAAACTGAACTTTAATGTAAACGATAGTAAGTCCTCAATGTTGTCCAGTGGTTCTTGGAAACTGCAACTTTGAGCAAATAGTTATAGAGTAGGCTCTCCAATAATGTGGTTTTGTTCAATGTAGTTTCAGTAAAATGATGACAAAAAGACTGGTCTCATTATACATCATTTCACTTAAAATTGCAGTTTCTAAGAACATATTAATGACACTGAGGGAGAACTTACTGTATAGACTTTAGTTAATAATAATGTATCAATATTGGCCCATTAGTTGAAACAAATATACCACATTAATGTGAGGTGTTAATAATAGGGGAAACTGTATGGAGGAGGGAAGTGTGCATGGGAACTCTTTTGTAATAGCTACACGATTTTTCGGTAACCTAAAACTGTTCTGAAAATAGCCTATTAATTATTTTTAAAGTGCATATACATATATAAAAATTATATACACACACACACACTTTTTGTTGTTGTTTGAGACAGAGTCTCGCTCTGTCACCCAAGCTGGAGTGCAGTGGCATGATCTTGGCTCACTCCAACCTCTGCCTCCTGGGTTCAAGCGATTCTTCTGCCTCAGCCTCCCAAGTAGCTGGGACCACAGGCATACACCACCGCGCCCGGCTAATTTTTGTATTTTTAGTAGAGACGGGGTTTCACCATGTTGGCCAGGCTGGTCTCAAACTCCTGACCTCAAGTGATCCACCTGCCTCGGCCTCCCAAAGTGCTGGGGTTACAAGAGTGAGCCACCACGCCTGACCACACACACACATTTCTTTAAGGGTGTGTGTGTGTGTGTGTGTGTGTGTATTATATAATATATATGTATAATATATAATTTGAATATGTTTTTATAATATATATGCACACTTAATATACCACCTAACAAAATATAGCTATCTCACAATCAATAAAGAAAAGAACTAGAAAAAAGAAGAGTGTGAGGAAAACACTAATATTTTGAAAGCCATTGTCTGCATATGGTAGGAGCATTGGTGATTTTTTCCTCTCCACTCTGCACTCTTCGCTATGTTCCAAGTTGCTACAATAAATGGGTATTATCTCCTAATGGAAAAATACTCCTCTTCCCCTGTTGTTTAAAGCCTCAAATGCTCTGTTGAAACCAGAGGAGCAGAAAACAGACACACACCTAATTCAGCACATGATCTTCCTTTTCAGCCAGCGTCAAAAGTCAGGAGCTCACTCCTCCTCTCCCTCCCACTCTCCTTTCTGTGTTTACTTCCTGCCAAAGATAAATAATGAGTCAGAAGCAGGACAAGGAGGGGCGGAGGCTGCTCTGCGCTCTGCCCGACACACCCTGGCTGGGCAGGAGCCTGGGAATTGATCTTAGAGTCCTCCCAAGTTTGGAAGGAACAGAGCAGGCCGCCTGGGAAATACAGGGCTCTGTCTGTAAGAGCTGGCCCGGGCCGATGTGCAAAACACAGCTTAGATCTTTCTGATTTTTCTTTTTTCTGCTAAGAACTGACCCTGTTTATAGGAAAACTAAATGTTAAGGATTGACCAAGGTTCACTTTCTAATATGGAGACCAGAACACAAACACTTCAGACACCTGTGAGAGTCAGTTACGAGTCTGGGTTTCAGGTGGATCAAACCAGCCTCGGTTCTAGTCCCCGCCCTGCCACATTCTGTCTGTGTGACCTAGAACAAGTTCCTTAACCTCTCTGAGCCCTGATTTCCTCATAAGGCCCCCTTGGGTCATCTACAGCCATCCACACAGAGCTGCCGGGTGAGGTGATGTGTGTAGCCCTAGGCCCAATGCCCAGCCTGCAGCAGACCGATTCCACAAATGACAGTGAAACGGAGGAGTAAGAAACATCCTGGCCTTCCATTTAAAGCCCATTTAGTTCATTTTTTCAAACCATCTTTCTAAACCCTTCCCCATAGTTGCTGCTATCCACACCAAAGATGTTTTTGTTCTAACTAGGAGTTTGTCTTCTGAAAAAGCCAAGAGGTTGAGCTTAATATTATGCTACACCTCCTATCTCCCAGATGTAAAGAAGCTCTGGGCCTGGCACAGTAGCTCATGCTTGTAATCCCAGCACTTTGGGAGGCCGAGGCAGGTGGATCACCTAAGGTCGGGAGTTCGAGACCAGCCTGACCAATATGGAGAAACCCTGTCTCTACTAAAAAAAAAAAAAAAATTCAAAATTAGCCGGACGTGGTGGCGCATGCCTGTAATCCCAGCTACTCCGGAGGCCGAGGCAGAATCACTTGAACCCGGGAGGTGGAGGTTGTGGTTAGCCAAGATGGCGTCATTGTACTCCAGACTGGGCAACAAGAGTGAAACTCCAGGCGTGGTGGCTCACGCCTGTAATCCCAGCACTTTGGGAGGCCGAGGCGGGCAGATCACAAGGTCAGGAGATTGAGACCATCCTGGCTAACACAGTAAAACCCCGTCTCTACTAAAAAATACAAAAAATTAGCCAGGCGTGGTGGCGGGCACCTGTAGTCCCAGCTACTCAGGAGGCTGAGGCAGAGAATGGAGTGAACCCAGGGAGGCGGAGCTTGCAGTGAGCGGAGATGGTGCCACTGCACTCCAGCCTGGGTGACAGAGCGAGACTCCGTCTCAAAAAAAAAAAAAAAAAAAAAAAAAGCCGCTCTGACATGTCCTAAAGTTTATGTGTCTAGTCCTTCTAAAATTCTGTTTCCTGTGGATCTACGATAGGGACAGCTGTTCTCTGCCTGGGACTGTCTTTTCCCCATAACCCTCTACTTCTACTCAGTTTTGAAGACCTAGCCCCAAGAAACCTCCCCTGGAGACCTCTCCTGGTTCTCCCCAGCAGAGCCAGCCCCTCTCTCCCCGCCCCTGTGCTCCCAGAGACCCCACCTAGGGCATTTAGCTTGTTCTAGAATTATTCATTTGCATGCGTTTCTCTAGACTGGACTGGACATCTTGCTCATCTTCGTGCCTCTGGTCCAGCCCAGAGCTTGACCTGTAGTGTGTAGTGGGCCCGTGTTGATTAAATGGACTAAGACACCGACCCCCTAAAAAGGCTGGGGTGCTAAGGAGCTGGGCATGGAGCAGGAAATGAGCTGTCCCTGAAGCAGAAAGGAGAACTCTGCTTTTCTCTCAAAGATGCCAGGCCTTCCTGGGATTCCCCCAGCACAAGCCCGGGTCTGTGATAGTCGGCACTTTGTCCTGACAGCTTCACCTGGCACCCGTAGGATTTCCTCCTGGAGCCCAGGTCTGTGGCCGTGGAACTCGGCAGACACACCTGACCTTAGTGCTTTTCACATCTCAGCATATGGTCCCACCTGCCCAGTCACTCAAGCCAAAGCTTCAGGAATCTTCCTCGATTCTTTTCTCCCTCCTTTTTTTTTTTTTTTTTTTTTGAGACGGAGTGCAGTGGCGCCATCTCGGCTCACTGCAAGCTCCGCCTCCCGGGTTCACGCCATTCTGCTGCCTCAGCCTCCCAAGCAGCTGGGACTACAGGCACCTGCCACCACGCCCGGCTAATTTTTTTTGCATTTTTAGTAGAGATGGGGTTTCACCGTGTTAGCCAGGATGGTCTCGATTTCCTGACCTCGTGATCTGCCCGCCTCGGCCTCCCAGAGTGCTGGGATTACAGGTGTGAGCCACCGTGCCTGGCCCCCCCCCCTTTTTTTTTTTTTTTTTTTGAGATGGAGTCTCTGTTGCCCAGGCTGGAGTGCAGTGACATGATCTTCGCTCACTGCAACCTCCACCTGCAGGGTTCAAGTGATTCTCCTGCCTCAGCCTCCCGAGTAGCTGGGATTACAGGCATGCGCCACCACGCCCGGCTAATTTCTGTGTTTTTAGTAGAGACAGAGTTTCGCCATGTTGGCCAGGCTGGTCTCAAACTCCTGACCTCAGGTGATCCGCCCACCTTGGCCTCCCAAAGTGCTGGGATTACAGACATGAGCCACCGCACCTGGCCTCTTTTTCTTTTTCCTTCTAAAGCCAGTCTATCAGCAAGTCCTGGCATCTCTAGCTCCACTATATCCAAAATATGGAAAGCTGCTCACATTTTCTCCACCTTCACTGGTATCTCAGTCCATGCACTCTCAATGGGCCAAGACCATCCCTAGGTGGGGTGAAAATTGGTTCTTGAGAGGTGAAAAGAGCCTTAGATAGTACAATAGTCTGTGGCCTCAAAGGCCATAGCACAGAAACATATACAGCATTCCTGTGGTATTGAACTTTCTTGGAGAGGGAAAGGCAATGAGGAATAAATGTCTCTAACTTCCTTGCAGGCAGCCAGGAGTGAGTGGCAATAAAAACGAGCTTGAGAAACCCTGCCCTAGTTCCAGGTACCACATCTTGCTTGGGGATTTGCCTGGGGCTCTGCCTGGGGCTCTACCTGGGCCCCTTCTTTGACCGCCTGGCCCCAGTCTTGCTTGCATCCCCAGCACCAGAAGGAAATCCAAGTTCCTCACCATGGCCTTCAGGGTCCAGGCTTGGCTGATCAGGCCCCTGCCCACCTCGCCATCTCTCACTGCCTCAATGGTCACCCATTCCTCTAAAGCAGGGAATTCTTCCTCCTTAAGCCCTTTGCAAGGCCTGTCCCTCCACCTGGAATGCCTGGTCCCCTAGGTCTTCCATGTCTGCCTTTTTGTCATTCCAGACGCAGTTCCTGTATCACCTCCTTCTCTGGCCATCTAATCCAGTGGTTCTCAAACCTTAGGAGTGCCAGATCCCTGGGCTTGTTAAAACACACATCACTAGGCCCCACCCTGAGTTTCTAGTTCAGTGAGTGGGAGTGGGGTCAAAGCTTTGCATTTTTAACAAATTCCCAGGTGATGCTGAGACCACTGGGCCAGAACCCCACTTTGAGAATGGCAGGTCTAATCTAAAGTAGCCACTTTCCCTGTTACTCTCTAGCTTGACACCCTGCTGGGTACCTTTCAGAGCCTCCACACCACCCAAAAGTGTCTCTGTTCTATTTGTTTCCTTGCTCAATGTCTAACTCCTTAACTACAGTGTATTTACCCACCGGAGCAGAGCTCCCATGGTGCGTGCTGCCAGCTGCATCCTCACCACCTAGTGCAGGAGCAGGCACAGAATGGCTGCCCAGTAAATATATGTTGGAAAAAAAAAAGAGGAGAGAACAGGAGAGGGGGCATGAGTCTGTATGCGAATTATCCAAAGCGCAAACAAAAGTTAGCTATCCTTATTGGCCTGGGGGTAAACCCTGGTCAGTGTCTCCCAAACTTGCTTTCTCATGAGAATCTCATGGGATTCTTATTACAAACACAGATTTAGGGGTCTCATCCCAAATCTACTGGCTCAGACTCTTCAAGGGGGGAGGGGGGTGTTCAGGAAACGGGTACTTTAACTGATATCCCAGTCAATTCTGATAAACTGGTCCTGGCAATAGCTCACCATTCCTTAAATTTCCCTCCTCAGAAGAATCACCTGGGGTGCTTATTAAAAACACAGATGGAGCCCGGGTGTGGTGGCTCACGCCTATAATCCCAGCACTTTGGGAGGCTGAGGCGGGCGGATCACAAGGTCAGGAGTTCGAGACCAGCCTGACCAACATGGTGAAACCCCGTCTCTACTAAAAATACAACAACAACAACAACAACAACAACAACAAATTAGCCAGGCGTAGTGGCAGGCGCCTGTAATCCCAGCTACTCAGGAGGCTGAGGCAGGAGAATGGCTTGAACCCGGGAGGTGGAGGTTGCAGTGAGCCGAGATTGCGCCACTGCACTCCATCATGGACACCAAAAACGAAACCGTGTCTCAAAAAAAAAAAAAAACACACAGAGGGGGCTGGGCTCAGTGGCTCACGCATGGCCTAGCTCTCACTTTAGATGTCCCAGTGTTTAATGTTGGATCTTTCTTTTGGGTTCTTGATCCAGAACCTTAGCATCTTCTTGTCAACTGAAGAATCATGAGGTTCATAAATTTGGGGAGGAAAGCTTATTTCTTATAAAGAGTTGCAGTGGCCAGGCACGGTGGCTCATGCCTGCAAATCCCAGCACTTTGGGAGGCCGAGGCAGGTGAATCACAAGGTCAAGAGATAGAGACCATTCTGGCCAACATGGTGAAACCCCGTCTCTACTAAAAATACAAAAATTAGTTGGGCATGGTGCTTCGCACCTGTAGTCCCAGGTACTTGGGAGGCTGAGGCAGGAGAATCACTTGAACCCGGGAGGTGGAGGTTGCAGTGAGCCAAGATCGCGCCACTGCACTCCTGTCTGGCGACAGAGTGAGACTCCGTCTCTAAATAAATAAATATATAATAAAGGGTTGCAGCCTGCAGGCTGGCCATCCATCCCGCAGGCTGGGAAGTGACAGAAGCGCTTCCGCGCTTTGCAGCGGAAGCCGGAAGCAGGCACTTGAGGTAGGGAAGTTTGAGACTGGAATTTATGCTGAACAGGCGAAGTAGACACATTCAACAGATTATAGGAAGAGCTATGAGTATTCATGAAGAGGGGCGTGCATGCATAGTAAGCAAATGGACATGTTACACCCCATGCTCACTTTGTGGTGTAGACAACATTTAAATGCGCTAAAATTAGGCTTTATACATTAAAAGGTGACGCAGAGGGTGCGAAGGCACTCAGGGTGCTGAACCACTCCATGGTGGGTGGTCTCTTGTGTGGAAGGAATGCTGGTCAGTTGTTGTGTGGAAACCACAAAAGGGAAGGGGATCTAGCTGAAACCAGTGGTGGAGCAAGTCTTTCGAAAGGGCTGGTTTGCTTGTTTCTGTTGAACCCTTAGGAAAGAAGTCTAACATCATCTAGCGAGGGAGCAGGTACGGGAAGGTTGTCTGACCTCCATCCTCTCAGGGCTCCAAACTCAGTTTTTGTTTTTGTTTTTTTGAGACGGAGTTTCACTCTTGCTGTCCAGGCTGGAGTGCAATGGCTCGATCTTGGCTCACCCCAACCTCCACCTCCTGGGTTCAAGCCTCAGATTGAACCCTGCCTCAGCCTCCCAAGTAGCTGGGATTACAGGTGCCCACCACCATGCCTGGCTAATTTTTTTTAATTTTTTAATTTTTTATTTTTAGTAGAGACAGGGTTTCTCCATGTTGGTCAGGCTGGTCTCGAACTCCCGACCTCAGGTGATCTGCCCGCCTCGGCCTCCCAAAGTGCTGGGATTAGAGGCGTGAGCCACCGTGCCCGGCCAAACTTAGTTTTTAAGGCTTCTTTAGGGTCCCTTTGGCCAAGAGGGAGTCTGTTCAGCTGGATGGGGGGCTTAGGATTTTACTTTTATTTCTCATTCTTTGACTCCACCTCTTCCGCCCACACCCAGGCAGTCACCGGGTTCTGTGGGTTCTCCCTTGGGATTCCTTCTGGCCACCATTCCTCTACTACAACAACATCCCCTAGTGCCCCTTCCAGCCGGCACCCTCCACCCCTCCAGTGCACCAGTCAGTGCCTCACCCTTATCTTCAGAACACTTTCCTGGCATGCATAAGCCCTTGTTTATTTTATTTTATTTTTATTTTATGTTTGAGACGGAGTCTCACTCTTGTTGCCCAGCTGAAGTGCAGTGGCATGATCTCACCTCACTGCAACATCTGCCTCCTGGGTTCAAGGGATTCTCCTGCCTTAGCCTCTCTGGTAGCTGAAACTACAGGTGTGCGCCACCATGCCAGGCTAATTTTTGTATTTTTAGTAGAGATGGAGTTTCACCAGGTTGACTAGGCTGGTCTCAAACTCTTGACCTCACATGATCCACCGGCCTTGGCCTCCCAAAGTGCTGGGATTATAGGCATGAGTCACTGTGCCCAGCCCAGCCCTTGTTTAAAAGCAAACAAACCACAAAGCACTTCCCTAGCTTCCAGTTACCTTCAGGAAAAAATCTCAACCCCTCACCTGACTGACAGATTCTCCTCAACATGGCGCCACTCCTCATACCTTGTTTTCAGTGAACGTCACCACCTGGGTCTGCACTCACTTCCTACTCAGCCCTAGAGAGGTCCAGTTCAGGAATTCTGCCCCTGCCTGGAATGGCCTCTAGAGTCTGCCCCTTTCACTCAAGCTCCCTCCACCCCTGCCAGGAGACCCTCCTTGTCCACTCCAGCTCTCAGGGAAGGCTTCTTCTGAGCCCCAACAGCACTGGGCTGAGGTGGTCACACAGCCGCGTGGCAGAATGCAGCAGTCTTCATTGTGTGGTCTCTGGACCAGCAGTACTAATACCTGGGAACCTGTTAGAAATGCTCCTTCCTGGCTGGGCGCAGTGGCTCACGCCTGTAATCCCAGCACTTTGGGAGGCTGAGGTGGGCAGATCACCTGAGGTCAAGAGTTCGAGACCAGCCTGGCCAACATGGTGAAACCCCATCTCTACTAAAAATACAAAAATTAGCCGGGCATGGTGGCAGGCACCTGTAATCCCAGCTACTTGGGAGGCTGAGGCAGGAGAAACGCTAGAACCCGGGAGGCGGAGGTTGCAGTGAGCTGAGATCGCACCATTACACTCCAGCCTGGGCGACAAGAGTAAAACTCTGTCTCAAAAACAGAAAAAGAAAAAGAAATGCCCCTTCACAGGCCTCACCACAAACCTGCTGCATCAGACTCCCCAGAGGCGAAGCCTAGAAATCTGTCTTAATCTGCCTTGCAGGTGATCTTGGTGCCCACTCAAGTTTGAGAACCATCAGATAACAGCTAAGACTCCAGGCTGTTGAGTTTCCACTCTCCTTCATTCAGTGACAAAGTGAGACAGGGTATGGATGGGACTTGGCCCCCACCAGGATTCTACTAGACCTTGCATACCCCATCCAGTGCCATCCCCGCTGACCAAGAGACCTTGAAGAAGCTAAGGTTAGCAGCATTCCACCATCATCTTATTCAAGGAAGTTAACCCTATTGCCCGCATACGCACAAGTCCAGAATGACCCATCTTCACCCACTGGCTCATCGTAATACCAAAATTCCCACCCAGGTGGGGCTTATCTGCCATTTTTTGGGTTTTGTTTTGTTTCATAAACTTTTATTTTGCGTTCAAGGGCACAAGTGCAGGTTTGTTACACAGGTGAACTCGTGTCATGGGGGTGTGTTGTACAGATTATTTCATCACCCAGGTATTAAGCCTAGTACCCATTAGTTATCATTCCTGATCCTGTGCCTCCTCCCAGCCTCCTCCCTCCAATAGGCCCCAGTATGTGTTGTTCTCCTCTATGTGTCCATGTGTTCTCATCAGTTAGCTCCCCTTATAAGTGAGAACATGCAGTGTTTGCTTTTCTGTTCCTGTGTTAGTTTACCAAGGATAATGACCTCCAGCTCCATCCATGTCCCTGCAAAGGACATGATCTCGTTCTTTTTTATGGCTGCATATCTGCCATTTTTTGATCATGCAATATATGCCCTAACATGTTTTTCACTGTGCCTGTGCACTCTGTGCTCTACCCCACACGTGTAACGACGCTCCCATACCTCATGCTTGTTCACGTCACCCTTCTTCACTTTTTTTTTATTTTTTTTTGGGAGACGGCGTCTTGCTCTGTCACCCAGGCTGGAGTGCAGTGGTGCAATCTCAGCTCACTGCAACCTCCACCTCCTGGGTTCAAGCAATTCTCCTGCCTCAGCCTCCAGAGTAGCTGGGACTACAGATGCATGCCGCTACACCCAGCTAAATTTTTGCATTTTAGTAGAGATGAGGTTTCACTGTGTTGCCCGGGCTGGTCCCTAACTTCTGAGCTCAGGCAATCCACCCACATCGGCCTCCCACAGTGCTGGGATTACAGACGTGAGCCACCATGCCCTGCCCACCCTTCTTAAAACACCAAAAAGACCTGTCCTCGGGGAGCCAGCCGGAGAACTTTGCTCCAGCGCTCTCTCCCTTGTGTTCAAACATAAGCCCCTCACAAAGCCTTGTTTGGGAGATCTGTTTGGTCTTGTGTCAATTACCATTGCCTGGGAGCCTAAGCACTGTGGTCAGAAACCAAAGGCGCCGGGAATTCAGCTAGAAATCACTCAAGGTCACTCCCTGCCTGATTCTCACTCCCTGAGAAAAGCCGGTCATCTCGAAACACTGCCCTTGACCTTTTTCAGAAGAAGGAGCACAGGAAATGGAAGCACAGGAAATGGCCAATGACCAACAATTTTTGACCTAACTAAATGGTAATTTCCTCTGGTACAACCTAATATTAATAGCTCCATTATCTGGCAAAAGGTTGTAAGATAAAATCAGTTGTGTCTTAAGGATCTAAAAGGAAAAAGCTGCTCAGTCCCTGGTTGATGATATCCAAGAAGGGCGGACCAGGGACCAGTCCAGACTGCTAATCAGCTGTACTGCTACATCAGCTGTACTGGCATGGACACTGCTGAGCAGAAAGAGATGCTACTGGGGTTAAGCTTCACCCTAGGAGGCTAGGATCATTCTCCCTCAAGAACCCAGGGGCCTGTGCAGGGATGGTCATCAGGGAGGCATGTCCCAGACTCTGGATGGTTGAACTACGCTGGGCTAAGTTACAACAGCGCCACCACGTGGCAACCAGAAAAGCAAGACAGTCGAATTGATGGGACCCCACTCTTCCTATTGAAGAACTTTGGGGATGAGTAAACCCCATGTTCTAGCATAATTCAGAGGGAGGGAAGAGCCTCGAGGAGAAACAATGGACTTTCTACCTCTAAGGTAGATTACATCATGCTGCAAGCCTCAGTTTCCTCATCTGTAGAGTGGAGATGATGCCTGAGCAGAGGGACCATCTTTGGGAATATTCACACACGCATTCTGCCTATATTCTTCCCTCGCTCCATGCCCAGCAGGTGGCCACTGCAGGCCCTTCTGTGTTTTTTGCCTCTGGATTTTTCCAAGTAGAAAACAGAAAGAGTTGCAGGTCAATGCGTCTTCCCACCTTTTGTAAAAACTTACATCCTTTGAAGAGAAAATGCTGGTTGTCCAATGAGGCCAAGGGACAGATGCCTCAAGGCCAATGCGCCTGAGAGTGGAGAGAAAGGGCCCTGAACAGTGGGGAACCTCTGAGAGTCCCTCTCTACTTCCAGACCGTGTCCTCTGGTTCAGAGGGGAATGAGCAGGGAGGGTGCTCGAGGAAGCGGTCATGGGCTCCCAAAGCCTCGCCAAAGATTTCCTCCTGCCTACGGTTGTGGAGAAGCAGCACAGTCCCTCAGCCTGAGGGGCAGTGTGGTCACTGGCATCACAGGGAAGGTGCTGGGGTTGGGGAGGGAATGGATGATGGTCTCAATGCACCAGGCTCTGGAGAGAGAAGTCCCAAGGATGGCTGCCCTGGGTGATAATGGTTTGGCTGTGTCCCCACCCAAATCTCATCTTGAATTCCCACGTGTTGCGGGAGGGACCTGGGGGGGTGACTGAATCATGGGGGCTGGTCTTTCCCAAGCTGTTCTCATGATAGGGAGTGGGTCTCACGAGATCTGATGGTTTTAAAAACGGGAGTTTCCCTGCACAAGCTCTCTTCTCTTTACCTGCTGCTATCCACATAAGATGTGACTTGCTCCTCCTTGCCTTCCACCGTGATTGTGAGGCTTCCCCAGCCACGTGGAACTGTAAGTTCTTCATTAAGCCTCTTTTCTTTGTAAATTGCCCAGTCTTGGGTATATCTTTATCAGCAGTGTGAAAACGGACTAATACACTTGGCATACCCACCAGCCTGGCAGGTAAGGACTCAGGATCAGAACCGAATAGGTTTTAAAAAAAATGCAATGATCTATTGCACACACAGAGCATTTGGCATAGTGTCTGGAACCCATATGCAAAATGAATGATAAATGCTCTTTATCCTTGTTGGTGACGCCAAGGACAGGTGACTCACTGAAACCGCACACAGGAGCCCTGCTCCGTCAGGAGCGATGGACTCACTGTCAGCCCTTGCAGAGTAGGAGGGCCTGTTCCTTCTCGATAGATGGTTTCTGAGTTAGTACAGGGCCCTGCACTATAGACACACACACATTTATAGAGGAGAATCATGTTTTTAATTGTGAACAGGAAGCTGCTTTTTTGAGTGTGTTCTTGGAAGGCACCTGTTTGTTTTTTTTTTTTTTTTGAGGCGTAGTCTCACTCTGTCGCCCAGGCTGGAGCGCAGTGGTACGATCTCGGCTCACTGCAACCTCCACCTCCTGAGTTCAAGCGATTCTCCTGCCTCAGCCTCCTGGGTAGCTGGGACTACAGGCACACGCCACCACGCCTGGCTAATTTTTGTATTTTTAGTAGAGACGGGGCTTCACCATGTTGGCCAGGGTGGTCTGGATCTCCTGACCTCGTGATCCACCCACCTCGGCCTCCCAAAGTGCTGGGATTACGGGCACCTCTTTTATGCTCAATTTGCATGCCAACGAGAGGCAATTCTTCAAGGGAAAAATAATAATTGACTAAAGCTGGGGAACAAGCAACAAAAGACATTTGAGCTGCTGCTACTCTTCAGTCCAGCTGTGACACAGGCCTCGAGCAATTCCCAGGCCTCAGGAGATCCCAGGACCTCACCAAGAGGGAAAGAGAAGAGCTGGACCCTGGGCCTCAGCAGCCACAGTGGCTTCCCTTGTGTGGGATTCCAGAAAAGACAAATGCATTCACTAGTTTCATAGTCATCCAGAGCCAAGTCAGAGGTCTCATTAGAACCAAAGACTAAAACCTTTGTCCTGTGACCCTGATGAAAAATTCATGGAAATGGAACAGACACGGGGGTCTGGGGAAGTAGAGGAAGCACCATCTTTAGCAGAGAATAGAGATCAAAGGTGCTGTTTGAGGGATCATTCTGATTCCCTCAGCAAAAAACACTCTGCCCCATCTGATTGCCATTTCCCTAAAGAAATCCAAAGCTCCTGCCAAGATGCCCCAAGTACTTCCTCTGGAAAGCCACATAGCCCAAGCCACCCACTTCCATGCCCCAGGCATGAAAATTCCTGCCACCAGGGGTTGCTCTGACTTACCCAAAGCAAAAAAAAAAAAAAAAAAAAAAAAAAAGTCACTTTGAGTCTCAAGGTTTTGCAAAGCTATGAAGTAGCATGTGAGTCAAAGTTGCATTGTCTATGACAGGGGCCTATCATTCCATTTTGCATTTTTGTTCCACAGAGTTCCTGCTCATTTGCTTCCCTTAAGGCCTGTCATGATACACTCCTGAGAGCTGGGCTCCAATTTTGCAGGGTTTTTCTGACCAAATCCATGGCCTGTTTGCGAGTTGAACCCACGAGCAGTTATTAAGTGCCCCCAGCGTGCCTGGCCTGTGTCCATGCTGGACACCAGGTGCTCGAGTCTGCTGGACTACTGCTTGTATCCCCTAAAACTATGAGTGTGGGGCCAACATGGGGAGAGGCCCAGGAGAGAGCCCCGGCAGGGAGCCCTAGGGCCTGGCTGTGGCTCATAACAAGAGCCAGTGACCAGCCAGGCATGGTGGCTCACACCTATAATCCAGCACTTTGGGAAGCTGAGGCGGGTGGATCACCTGAGGTCAGGAGTTAGAGACCAGCCTGGCCAATATGGTGAAATCCCGTCTCTACTAAAAATACAAAAAATGGCTGGGCATGGTGGCGGGCTCCTGTAATCCCAGCTATTCGGAAAGCTGAAGCAGGAGAATCGCTTGAACCCACGAGGTAGAGGTTGCAATGAGCCGAGACCGTGCCACTGCACTCCAGCCTGGATGAGACTCCATCTCAAAAAAAAGGAAGTGACTGATGGGCCACCCCCGCACTGGCCACATCCCACTGCCACAGTTGGTTTCTGGGATTCATCCACCAGCCTCCCTGGGACAAAGGGCTTGGGTGGCTTTGGTAATTGTGTTCTCAGTCCTCTGTTTCATGGTCCAGTGCCCGCAATGGCCACCACACTGAGTTACAGACTCCACTTAGCCACGGATTAGACACTGATAAACCCCTGGGAACCCTTGATGTTTTCCATTTTAAGTTCTGACAATGAAGATACTCTGGAGTGTGGCTGGAATGGAAGTCTATAATTACTAATTTCATCTTTGGGCAGGCAATCAGGATGAATTTTTCAATCATGCAGGCCTAGCCAGTCACAGAGAGGTCTGTGAACCACTGCTTGGAACATCTCACCACTGAGGACGATACCATGTGTCTAAGGGTCCAGTTTCCAAAGCAAATGGGGCAAAGCTAATGCTGGAGCAGGCAATGAGCGGGGCAGTCCTTGGGCTGCATCAGTCCTCCAGAGCTGGCCTCCTACCTGGACGCGTCTCTGTGGTCAGGGCTTCCGGGCGTGTCCTGCTGCTTCCTTTTTATATTCTGACTGTTCCCGGGTGGCTGCGCGGACCTTGGAGTCTGAGCTGATAAAGTCCTCTGAGCCAGGAGAAAAAGAAATTGGAAAGGAAATCAGATAGGAGTCTCTGAAAACACAAAAACATTTATCAACAGGGCACCCACCACAGCATTCAAGGTAAGGTTGTTCACTTGCTCTGCCGTCCAACGAAACACCTACTATGTGCGGCACTGAGCTAGGCCTTGAGGATATATGGCAGCGAAGCAAAGGTGGCTGCTGCTCTCATCCAGTGGGGAAGAAACAAAGTCAAACAAGCAGTTCCAACTGAATGCTTTAGTAGAAAAACCAAAACTGGGGACACCTACCACACTTTGGGGTCACTTGCTCCCTAGGAGAAGTGGAGCATTTAAACTAAGACTTGAAAGTGTCCAATTTGTTTGTGGCACTCCTGAGATGAAAACACATTTTCCTCCCGCCACCACCGATGGCTTCACATACCAGAATTCAGCTGGAAACCTAGGGAAAAAAACTAACCGGAAGAAGAAAACCATGAACGCTTAGAAATCTGGACCCAACCACTTGGGATCCTAACCACTCTGAGAGTTGGTCACCTTTTCTTTCACTCCAGGATAAGCTTGTCCACCGGTTAGTTGATTTGTTGTTGTTGTTTTTATAAACCATATTCCTACAGACTAGTTGATTTTTAAAACCAGGATGCAAAAATATAAGGCTCAGTCAAAACTTTAAATCACAGGACAGAGATGAGATTTAAAATTAAAAAAAAAAAACAGAACCTCATTTAAATGATGCTATTTTAGTATAATATAAAAATCAGAAGAAGGGAAAGGGCTTTTGTAAGCTCCAAGCTGTATTTCCCAAAGCAGTGGTTGTCTTTCATTTTGTTTCCCCAGCGGCGACCCTGTGCCCCCACCCCAAACAACATGCACCCCTTGTTCTGGGATGGGGTCTGCCTTCTTTCAAGAACAGTTCCACCCATACCCTCCATCCCTGAGGTTCTCATGGAAAATGCCAGTCATAGTGCCCCATGTCCCTGCCCACTGGAGTGTACATGAGACTCCGGTCAAGCCAGGACCTTCTACGGGATTCCCTGAAGAACCAGGGCAGTTCTGGTGGGGGGTTCTATAGAAGGTGAGTCGGGAAGTCACCTGCAGCCTTGTTTCCAGCTGTGGTGGACGAAACCGCCACAGAAAGAGATGGCAGAGCTCGCAGGCAGAGAAAAGCCGAGATGCCAGGCAGAGGGAGCAGCCCTGCTGGGGCCAAGGCCTCATTCTGCCCTAGCCATCTGGGAGCTCTATGATGAGGCCGCATGCATTGCCCTTTTCACCTTAGCAGGTGGGTACAAGCTGAATTTCTGTCACTAGCAACTGAGAGTGCATTCCCCGGTCCACCTCTCATCCAGATGAGCTGCACCAGATCAGCTTGGAGGAAAACAAAGTACTCCCTGGTCAAACACCTTTGACAAGTGCTACATAATATAGGCCTCCTTTAGAAATTCACAATGCACATTAGCATAGTAAAAATTCTGAGTTCTACAGCAGAATAACTTACTGAATTTTAACTCAGAGTTTGCCAGAATTTCTTGACCACAGGACTCTTTGTTTATGTACCACAGTTTAACATCTTATAGAACTCGCGTTACATGGAACACACATTTGAAGACAGCACAAGAGCTCATTTCTTTCTACCTTGCTTAAATCTAGCAGATGGTGCAAATCTGTACGACAGACATTCCCTAGCCCATGGGCACCTTTGTGAAAATCAGAAGGTGGCACTCTTCTGGGCCAAATGCATGGCCTGGGAGCAGACAATGCCATTGTGTGAATTAGAAACTGCCTCCCCAGCCGGGTGCGGTGGCTCATGCCTGCAATCCCAGCACTTTGGGAAGGCGAGGTGGGAAGACTGCTTGAGCCCAGGAGTTCGAGACCAGCCTGGGCAACATGGAGAAACCCATCTCTACAAAACAGAAACAGAAACAAATAGGGGAAAGGAAAAGAAAGGAAGAGGGAGAGAGGGAAGGAGAGAGGGTAGGAGGGAAAGAAGGGAGGGAGGGAGGGAGGGAGGAAGCAAGGAGGGAAGGAAGGGAGGGAGGGAGGAAGGAAGGAAAGGGAGGAGAAAAAAAAAATAAGGCTCCATTCCTCCTCTCACGTTGCTCACAGTCTAGGGAGACAGACCCCAGTCCCATGGCTGCAGGGGTGTGCACACAGAGGGCACCCCAGGAAGATAGTAGGTATGGCTCCTGCCTGGAGGTGAAGCAGACAGCCCCCAAGGTCCCCCAGGAAGGGAGGGTCCCCACTCATCAAACTCTACCAACCTCTAGCCTATGGATTTTGTAAATTAATCTTGACGTTTCTGCAGGACATGTGAAAGCAAATCATCTGCCTAGTCTGCACCTGGGGACTTCTTGAGACCGTCAGACTTGTTGGATGGGCTGTAGTCCTTGACCTTCAGACACCAGCCCGAAGAGCAAGCTAGCTTTGGCTAAGGTTCCCCTACCTGGTGCATTTCCCTGAGTGGTTGGCTATCTGTGTTCATCCCATTGTGTCCAAAGGTAAAACATAAAAGATGCTTCATCTCTCAGGTACCCATACAGTCTAGTGCCAACATGAACACTACAATGCAAAAATTTTCCTTCATTTTAGCTGAAGGATAGAATGTGGGGGAAAGAGAACAACAGCAATAAATGCTCCTGTTATTGAGCACTTACTAATGCCAGGCACTGGGCCAGTATCTTTCCATGAACTATGTCATTGAATTTGCACAACTGTCTTAAGGGAAAGATGGATATTTGTGTTCCTGTTTTAGAGCTGAGGCTCTGAGAGGTTTAGTAACTGGGCCAAGACCACACAGCAGTGGAATCTAGACATAACCGATTATCTCTGATCCCAGAGCCAGGACAGGGCGTCTCTGTTTGATCCCTTCCACGGGGCAGTGTTGAAGGAGGCAGAAAGAGCTGGGGATGGTTCCTCACACGAGAGGGGGCTGCTGACCTGGGGTTGGCTTGACCTCCCTGCAGGCTGAGCCATTCCCTTAACGAGTGCCCCTGCCCCCCCCTGAGGGGTCTCAGCCTCTTCATCTGTGCATCCAAGAAGACAATCATCCCCATAGGACATTATCAAGACCATGGAAACTTTAAATCACCTTAAGTTCACACTCTATAATCTTCATTTTCAAAGAAAGATTCTTTTTTTTTTTTTTTTTTTTTTTTTTTGAGACGGAGTCTCGCTCTGTTGCCCAGGCTGGAGTTTGGTGGCACCATCTCGGATCGCTGCAACCTGTGCTTCCCGGATTCAAGCGATTCTCCTGCCTCAGCCTCCTAAGTAGCTGGGACTACAGGTGCCCACCACCACACCCGGCTAATTTTTGTATTTTTAGTAGAGACGGGGTTTCACCATATTGGCCAGGCTAGTCTCGAACTCCTGACCTTGTGATCTGCCCGCCTCAGCCTCCCAAAGTGCTGGAATTACAGGTGCCACCACACCCGGCCAAGATTCTTTATCTATAAATTATAAATCTTTGGAAGCATGATTCTCACATTTTACTATAATAACTCAAGATTAACAATACTGAGTGAGTGGCATTTTTATATCAGGGTCCTGCATTTTTGAAATTTTAACCCAATTCCTACTTGTCTGACCGCCATGCAAACCTCAGCAACTAACACCTGAGGCCAGGCCCCCCTTTCAATCACAAGATGACCTGCAGTAAAATATTCTGCAAATAATTTAACAGATAAATCTCATGCCCAGTATTCCATGAGCAAGATTTCTTTTAATTCTGGAAAGAAGACAAATAATAGCCCAGACAGATGCAAACAACAGATGGAATAAGGAGACAGATCTTTGCTCCAAGTCCAGGAGAAGAAAGGGACCACGGGCTATATTTCCTCAGGCAGATGGACTATAACAAGGGCTTGGATTTGTCTTTGAAGAAAAAAACAAAAGGCAGGCGTCTCTCCCTTTTCAGCTCCACTTCTCTTTCTTTTTTTCTTTTTTTAATTATTATTTATTTTTATTATTATATTTTGAGACAGAGTCTCACTCTGTCACCCAGGCTGGAGTGCAGTGGCGAGATCTTGGCTCACTGTAAGCTCCGCCTCCTGGGTTCAAGTGATTATCCGGCCTCAGCCTCCCGAGCAGCTGGGACTACAGGCGCCCACCACCACGCCCGGCTAATTTTTTGTATTTTTAGTAGAGACGGGGTTTCACCGTGTTAGCCAGGATGGTCTCAATCTCCTGGCCTCGAGATCCACCCGCCTCGGCCTCCCAAAGTGCTGGGATTACAGGCGTGAGCCACCACACCCAGCCCTATTATTATGATTTTTGAGATGGAGTTTTGCTCTTGTTGCCCAGGCTGGAGTGCAATGGCGTGATCTCAGCTCACTGCAACCTCCGCTTCCCGGGTTCAAGCAATTCTCCTGCCTCAGCCTCCCGAACAGCTGGGACTACAGGCATGCACCACCACACCCAGCTAATTTTGTATTTTTTTTTAGTAGAGATGGGGGTCTCACCATGTTGGCAGGCTGGTCTCGATCTCCTGACTCGTGATCCATGCGCCTTGGCCTCCCAAAGTGCCGGGATTACAGGCATGAGCCATGGCACCCGGCCCACTTCTTTTTCTAATAGAAAGCTAATCTGCAAGAATGATACTAGTTCTCCCCAACACAAACATATCTGGATGGAGTTAAAAGCAACAAAACTATCTGTATGAATGGCACATTGCACTTTTCAAAGCTCTTTGACATCCATTTGATTCTTATAAAATCCCCGTGAGCTATACCAGGCAGGTAAAATCATGTTTTCCATTTTCCAGATAAGAAACAGAGAGGCTTGCCTTCTGCCCTCTGCAAGTCTCCCACCTTGAAGTCCAGTGCTCTTTCCACAAGAATACTGACACCCAGCATTTACATAGCTCTCTTTCTGCTACGACAGCAGCAACCTAATTATTAGGAACACTTTCTGTGTGTCTAGTACTGCTCTTTTAAGTGCTTTACATATTTAAACTCATTCAATCCTTAGAGCCCGATGTTATAGCTAAGAATACTGGGCACAGAGAGGTTAAGCCACTTGCCCAAGATCACACAGCTTGGAAGTGGTGGAGCCAGGATTTGGACCAGGATGGTTTGGCTCCAGAGTCTGTGCTCTTGTCCCTGCCTTACGCTGCTTCGCCATACAGTGGAATTCGTTGCTCTATGGCCTCTGCCATTTTGCTGCTATGCTCCAAGGAATTATAGCAATTGGACATTTGAGAATAATGTGGTATAGGAGCCTAGATTTGATGCCCAGAATAGCACCTGGCACAGAAGAGGCAGTCCATAAATATTTGTTGAATGTATGAAAAGTAGATTATTCTTATTTAGTCTGGTGGCCATGTCTGCAAATCGAAAGACGTACCCTCAGCCCTGGGAACTCTCGCTTTTGCCACATTTCCCTGTGCTTTTGAATCCCCCTTCCTGTTCCCCGTCTTAGAGATAGTCTTAAGCTCTATTGCTTACTGGATTCCAAAGGACCTGTGTGTCAGCAGGCGTCACTGCAAAACAGCATGCATTTCTAAAGTTACCCTTTACACTTCCAAATCGCAGGCTGGAAAAACAATTGGCAAGCCTTACAGGACACGTGGACTCGCCCAGTTGCTTCTTCAAATCTTTCCCTCGCTGCCATTGCTTGAGTAAACAAACAGTCTTTCGTTGGCTCTGGAACACTCCAGAGCCTGGAGTCTATTTTAAAGCAATCTTTAAACAGTTACAGCAATTTTCCAGTCCTAAAAAATATACTTTGTAAAGAGCTAAAGCATTTCACCATAAAAAAAAAAAAAAAATTCCACTTACCTCTTAAACGCTCCATCACTCTAGACCACTGCTTACTGGTCATGCCAATAGAGTTAATTAAACCATGCTTAATTAACATGGTTAGATCATGACCAGAGTGTCTGCCTAAGTCGCCCCCTCTTTGAACGAGCTCCTTGGGAGCAGCTTGACTGCAGGTGAATGCTGGGAAGCAGACCAAAGGTCATCCCCATGGCATTAGGAATCGGATTTCAGAAACAACTGCCAGGCTGACCAAATATGGAGGATGAACACATGCTCTGTGCTAGAGCCAGCCGGCTGCCCATCTTCCCTGTCAAGGGAAGGCAAATGCTCACACCAGTTCTGCTAGACCATCCCAAATGTTTCTTCCCCTCCAAGGGGGTACAAAAGATTGACGAATACAGGTTGCAGAGGACACCTCAGCCTAACCTAGCAGGCACTCTGTCAGGCCAACAAGCGAAAGGCTGCCAGCGTGGGATTTCAGCTTTCCGCAAACGGAATGTTTTCTGATGTGATACAGCACGATAGAGCAGAAGAAATGAATAAGCTTCGAAGCCCGAGAGAGCTGGGTTTGAGTCCTCACTCTTCCTTTAAAAGATGGAAAATAACAGAATAGAGTTTGACGTGTGTTTTGATGATTATGCCTCATGAATAGTAAGGGCTGGGTCTAGGTTCTGGGTAGACACTGATGACTAAAACAGGCATGGTGTAAAATGTTAACTTTAGGAGAAGCCGGGGAAGCATCTATATGGGAGCTCTCCATACAATCTTTGCAACTTTTCTATAAATCTGAAAATACTCTAAAGTAAAATTTGGCCAGGCACAGTGGCTCATGCCTGTAATCCCAGCACTTTGGGAGGCCGAGGCGGGCAGATCACTTGCGGTCAGGAGTTCGAACCCAGGCTGGCCAACATGGCGAAACCTCATCTCTACTAAAAGTACAAAAATTAGCCAGGTGTGGTGGTGGGCACCTGTAGTCCCAGCTACTCAGGAGGCTGAAACACAAGAATCACTTGAACCTGGGAGGTGGAGGTTGCAGTAAGCCAAGATTGTGCACTGCACTTCAGTCTGGCAACAGAGTGAGACTCTGTAAGAAAGAAAGAAAGGAAGAAAGGAAGAAAGAAAGAGAGAGAGAGAGACAGAGAGACAGAGAGAGAGAGAAAGAAAGAAAAGAAAGAAAAAGAAAGAGAAAAAGAAAGAAAGAAAAAGAAAGAGAAAAAGAAAGAAAGAAAGAGAAAGAAAGAAAGAAAGAAATCTAATTATAAAAAGAGACACATGGTTCCTACTACCCTCATGGAATTTTGAATTTAGTGAATGAATGAGTGATATTTAGTAAATCATATCTGCCTTCCCTTCCTCAGAAGCATTTGGGTCACAAGCGGTGGCCATTACCCTAAAAGGATTCAGGAACCTCAAAGATGTAAGAGGTGACATGTTCTGATGTCTGTAGTTTGTAGGTGGCAGACTAAAGGCTTCAAAAACATACCCAATGTTGATGACCTGTATGTATTTAATATTTTAGAAACAATATGATTTAAAGAGAATTGGATGAGGTCAGAAAATCCAAATCCATGTGCCCTTGGTCAGATCAGTTCCTCTCTCCAAGCCTCTCTCTCTCCGTCAATAAACTGGGGACCACAATCTCTGCCCTTCCCTACCTCAGTGGGTGATAGGAATGCCTTGTAAACAACAACTGTACAAATAAAAGGGAGAGTCTCTTTATTCAAAGAGCTGGGCATGTCAGGATGGCCTGTACCATGCTGTGATGTTTACTTGATTATACTTAAAGTGCAGACATAAACTTTATTTCTTTTGCCCCTCTAGAATCCCTGTATCCACTCATTTTCATGCTACAGCAGCATGGTTTAAGAATGAGCAGGCAGGAAGCTGAGTACAATTGTTCTGAAACCCAAGCTTTACTGCTTATTTAGCTGTAAGTCTCTGGGTTCTACACCTCGAGTACCGTATCTGTAGAATGGGGGTCATAACTGCAGGGTTGTTCTGAAGGTTAAATAAAGGACAAGGCTAGACCACGTAGACATTGTACATGCTGGTTGTTACTGTATAAAGAAGAAACAGATTCAAAACTCATTAATGAAGAGCCCCATTGGCTATCTCAGCTTAGAGCAAAAGCAGTTAATCAGAAGTTCAGGCTGGGTGCAGTGGCTCAAGCATGTAATTCCAGAACTTTGGGAGGCTGAGGCGGGTGGATCACTTGAGGTCAGGAGTTCGAGACCAGCCTGGCCAACATGGTGAAACCCCATCTCTACTAAAAATAGAAAAATTAGCTGGGCATGGTGGCAGGGACCTGTAATCCCAGCTACTTGGGAGGCTGAGGCAGGAGAATCGCTTGACCCCGGGAGGCAGAGGTTGCAGTGAGCTGAGACTGTGCCACTGAACTCCAGCCTGGGCGACAGAGTGAGACTCTCTCTCAAAAAGAAGAAGAAAAGGCCATGTGCAGTGGCTTACGCCTGTAATCCCAGCACTTTGGAAGGCTGAGATGGGCAGATCACGAGGTCAGGAGATTGAGACCATCCTGGCTAACACGGTGAAACCCCGTCTCTACTAAAAATACAAAAAGTTAGCCGGGCGTGGTCGCGGGCGCCTGTGGTCCCAGCTACTCGGGAGGCTGAGGCAGAAGAATGGCGTGAACCTGGGAGGTGGAGCTTGCAGTGAGCCGAGATCGCGCCACTGCACTCCAGCCTGGGTGACAGAGCGAGACTCCGTCTCAAAAAAGAAAAGAAAAAAGAAAAGAACAGCTCCTCCCAAAGTTAACATTTTACACATTTATTCAGAAGATGCATCTGGCCAAAACCTGGAGCCGTGTTGTTCACACACTTGCGTAATCGTGCCAGTGAAAACTAGCACCGACCCTCCGGGCTGGGGGAACCCCACAGCAGGGGCTGTGGGAGCAGACAGGTGACAGTAAAGAAACTCTCTGCTGTCAAGGCCGGGTGCTGTGGCTACACCTGTAATCCTAGCACTTTGGGAGGCCAAGGTGGGTGGGTTACCTGAACTCAGGAGTTCGAGCCTGGCCTGGGCAACACGGTGAAACCCTGTCTCCACTAAAATACAAAAAAGTAGCCAGGCATGGCGGTGTGCACCTGTAATCCCAGCTACTCAGGAGGCTGAAACAGGAGAACTGCTTGAACCCAGGAGGCGGAGATTGTAGTGAGCCGAGATCGCGCCATTGCATTCCAGCCTGGGTGACAAAGCAGGACTCTGTCTCGTTACGAGAAAAAAAAAAAAAAAGAAAGGAAACTCTGTGCTGTCATGAAGATTGAATTAATTCTTGCTGCTTAACTTGTTCTTTGCTCAACTTCTTTCACATTAAACACATTAAAGCAGCCCAGATGCCCACCTGCAGCCTGTGGAATATTGGGAAATGCTCCCTGTCCTGCACTGGCTGAGTGTTGCTGTAATGCTGAGTTCCTCAAGAGCTAAAGAAGGGACCTTCAAGTTAACCGTAGAGCACCAAGCATAGCTTTAAACAAGATGTGCACATATATATGGCACTTTCCTCTGTCAAGCAAAGTAACAACCACACAGCGCCTGAGCAACATACAACCTCAGCCTTTCTTGATGACCAGACCCTGGGGACGGCTCGCATACACAGATTCTCCTGTCCTCCTGGTCCTCTGTTCCTCAGATGTCCACATTGCTGAGGTCTCCTGCAGCAGCAAACCTCATTCAGACCACATCTTGTACGCAGAGCAGGGACCCGACCCGGGGGGACCTGCCCAAGCTGGGGGAGGCGTGTCTGCTGAGCTGGCTCTGGGTCCTTCTGATGTCACCTACTTCCTGCTCATTTGCAGCTCTGAGCTCAAACATCAGCTCCCCAGAAGCGCCTTCCTTGACACCCAGGCTAGGTCTGGGGTCTGTGCACCTGTCTTCTTGCTTCATAGCATTGATCACAGTTTCTAGAGTTGAAAATTATGTTTTTTGGGACTTGTTACAGAAACACCCAGACAATAGAAGTGTTAGAATGGAGTTACTGAATGATGATATGTTTTAAGTGAGATCATTATAATAATAGGATTGAATGTCTTTTCTTCCTCCCCACACGGTCAGAGCTATAAATGGGAATCATGACAGCCCCATGGCCAAGCGGAACTCCAGAGAGTGGTAATGGAGGGGTTAGGGTTGCCCTTCCCTTCTGAAATCCACATGCTTGGAGCTTGGAGCTCAGATGTCCCCTGTAGGGCTCTCCAGAACTGAACAACTGTGAAGCCCACCTTCAGGATTTGGGGCTGTGGGCTGGCATGGCCCTTATTTCACCACAGAGCTTTCTAAACAAGTCAGGATGCATGAAACCCCTGGAAGGGCTGTCGAGTGGAGACAGCTCTCATCACAGCGTCACCACCACCTCTTTCCCAGAGAGGGACACACATAAGCCAGGACCCTGACACTCCCGGGAACAGGTGATGCCCCCCTTGGCTGGGTGTTAGACAGTCTCCCAACTTCCCATTGGACCGTGTCCTCCCACTCCCCAAACGAGTCACCCTTTAGAGCCGTGGTTATACATTTCTCTTCATTTCCAACCATCAGGTGGTGCAATACATCACCTGTGCAAGTGTACTTTAGTAACCGAGGCTGCTTAGAGCCCCCTGAGAACAGCCTCCCAGGAGGCCTAAGTGAGTCCATTCCCAAAGGAAGGAGCAAGGGTAACAACTAGGACTCAGCTTGCTGCAAAAGGCACCCACAAGGGGCTGGGCTGAGGCTCCATGGCCCCAGCTCAGTAAGAGGAACCTCCAATTAGCAGATAGAAGAGGTTTCAGGCTGAGTGTGGGAATTTTCCTCTGTCGATGGCTTCTCTTCCCTCAGGAACAGAGAACAGAACCCAAAGCTACCACTAAAATTCAGAGTTTCAATAGCATTTGTGCTGACAAAACAAGAAATCACTGTGACTGGTTGGCAGGATAGGAAGGTAAGACTGTTGTGATGTTATTAAAATTGACTACTTGAATAAGATAAATCAGTTTGTAATTAATGCAGCAATTAATTGTTTTCAAAAAGTGTCAAAAGCAAATACTGTCGAAATAAACTGCCGGCTCACTGCCTAGAGGCTCCGAGGAGAGGTCCTGTTGTGCTTACCTCCCTGCCTCCCTCATCTGCCTGAAGGCCCAGTCCTCCCAGGCACTTGTTGTCCCCCAACCCCACATCTCAGGCCGCCCCAGACCCTGCTGCCTCATCTGACCTTGTCTCCACCCCCACCTTCCAATTCCCACGCCTTTTTCTGCACTCAGATCAGCAGCCTGAACCCTCATATCCCAGGATCATCACGGAACAGACCCTTAACCTTCCCACCTTACCCATGCCAGCTGCCCTCTGAGAACCTACCAGGTTCCAACCCTCTCAAGGGGAGGCTGATTTTCCTTCCACAAGCCCAGAAGATCATGGTTTCAAAATAGAGTCAGGAGGCCAGCACGGTGGCTCACACCTGTAATCCCAGTACTTTGGGAGGCCAAGGTGAACAGATCACCTCAGGTCAGGAGTTCGAGACCAGGATGGCCAACATGGTGAAACCCCATCTCTACTAAAAATACAAAACTTAGCCAGGCATGGTGGCACCTGCCTGTAATCCCAGCTACTCCGGAGGCTGAGGCAGGGGAATCATTTGAACCCAGGAGGCAGAGGTTACAGTGAGCCAAGATTGTGCCACTGCACTCCAGCCTGGCTGACAGAGTGAGACTCCGTCTCAAAACAAAACAGAAAAAAAGCAAAAAACACATGAGTCAGGAACCTTGTGTCCCCCGCCAATGTTCTTTCTAAGCCATTTCACTTCCCCCACCTGCAAAACTCAATGTCCCTTTAATGCAATGATGCTGTAACTGAGTATCCCATTTTTCTAAGAGAAAGAAAATGGTTTTAATTATTTTTTTTCTTTTCTCTCTCCTTCTTTTCTCATGTTCCTCACTTCCTACTTAGCGCTTTAGAAATGCAATTATAACCTTATAACCTTGACCTTCCCTTCACCAGACACTCCCTATAGGACAAGCTTATCTGACTCTGTGCTCACTTAGAAGCTCCAGAGCCAGAAAGCTCTCCCAGCAGGAGATTGCCTCAAGAAACAACTGTCAATTTCCAACCTCAAGTACGCCCACGACGGAAGTCTTTCCCACCTGGAGAGCGTCTCAAGACAACGACCACCTTAGAACCTAGTTTTGTGCCAGCTGGACCACCTGGTGGATAAGGCACTGAAGTGAGTCCAGTGGTCCCCCACCTACTCACTCCCTCCCCACCTGCTGTGCATGCAAAGTCCCCCCTTTAAAAGTCCCTGCTTTCTGCCCCAAAAGCAAAGCAGTGCCCTTAAAAGCAGAAGCCTGTACTTTTCCCCCTAAGCTAAGCTTTAGAATAAAAAGTCACTTTTTTCATGTCAGCCCTCACTCGTTTTTTGGTTTGTGTGTTTGTTTATTTGTTTTTTGAGACAAGGTCTCACTCTTGTCACCCAGGCTGGAGTGCAGTGGCGCCATCTTGGCTCACTGCAACCTCTGCCCCCTCTCCCCCAAGGGCTTAAGTGATCCTTCCACCTCAGCCTCCCAAATAGCTGGGACCACAGGTGCACACCACCACACCCTGCTAATTTTTTGTATTTTTAGTAGAGACAGGGGTCTCGCCATGTTGCACTGGCTAGTCTCAAACTCCTGTAGCTCTTGTTAATTGGACTGTACAAGTGGTGAGTGACTGAAGCTTTGGTTTGGTTACAGTGCTACTGAGTGCACTCCTTTTATTCTCTGAGGTATCTCCTACAAAAACAAACAAACAAACAAACAAACAAACAAAAACCAACAAAAAGCCTCACCTGGGAGCCTCTGGCCTCCCAGGCTTCTTGCTCTCTATTATCCCAGGACCTCAGCCCCATCCAGAATAATGAGCCAAACACTGCTAAGGGGCTCTGCCCCTTGATCATTGTGTACAAGAGAAAGACTCAGGCGCCGTGACTGTTGAGGTGCAAAGAATAACCCAATACCCTGAGCTTGAAGCAGAGGAGATTTACTCACACGGATGGGTATACATGAGGGACTGCAGCCCCTGCAAAGGCTCAAAGACCATCTCTCTGAACAAGCCACAGGGACTCAACAAAGCAAAAGCCAGGGAGTTTTACAAGGAAATGTGGTTGGTTGGTTTTAACCAGTCCTTCGCTTGTCAGTTTCCAATTGGCCGGTTATGGGGAGCTCAGTCTGGCTGAGTGCTGAGTCTCAAGTCCGCTGAGCCCAGACAGAGCTGGGCACAAGTTCACCGTCAGCTGCTCTGCTTCCTCCTTGGGGAGCCCTGACTGCTGGAGTCTCACCCCCATGGTGAGTGAGCATACAGGCTCAAATCCCAGTGAAATGCTCTTTTATCACCATGGCTTTGTACCACAGGTAGAAGAAAGCCAGACTTCTTACCAGGGCTGGTTGGGACCTACAAAACTGAGCCCTCACCCAGCTCCCTGGCTGCACAGCTCACCATAATTTGCCTCACCCACTTTTCTCCAGCCACACCGGCCTTCTTTGCTGATCTTAAAGTACAGCAAGCTCATTTCTCCCATACCTGTTACACTATTCCTATACCATACACACCTGTTACCTTATTCCAGAATGTTCCTTTTCCAGAACCTTATGTGGCTGTCTCCTTAGTACACCAGGTCTCTACAGAGAGCTGTCCCCTGCACTTCATCAAAAATAGCCCCGACCACAATGACACTACTTCACACCTACAAGCATGACTGTAATTTAAAAAACAAACAAACAAACAAAAAACAAAGTAACAAGTATTGGTGAGGATGTAGAGAAATTGGAACATTAGTATATTGCTAGTGGAAATGTAAAATGGTGCAGCTGCTGTGGAAAAGTTTAGTGGTTCCTCAAAAACTTAAACATAGAATTATTGTATGATCTACCAATTCCACTTCTAGGTATATACCCAAAAGAATAGAAAGCAGAGGCTCAGATACTTACGTGGACACCCATATTCATCACAGCATTATTCACTATAGTCAAAAGGTGGAAGCAACTCAACTGTCCATCTACCAAAAATACAAAAATTAGCCGGGTGTGATGGTGCACGCCTGTAATCCCAGCTACTCGGGAGGCTGAGGCATGAGAATCACTTGAACTTGGGAGATGGAGGTTGCAATGAGCCGAGATCTCAGCCACTGCACTCCAGCCTGGGTAACAGAGCGAGACTCTGTCTTAAAAAAAAAAAAAAAAAGAATGGATTGCCAGGCACGGTGGCGCATGCCTGTAATCCCAGCACTTTGCGAGGCCAAGGTGGGCGGATCACGAGGTCAGGAGATCGAGACCATCCTGGCTAACACGGTGAAACTCTGTCTCTACTAAAAAATACAAAAAATTAGCCGGGCGTGGTGGCAGGCACCTGTAGTCCCAGCTACTCGGGAGGCTGAGGCAGGAGAATGGCGTGAATCCAGGAGGCAGAGCTTGCAGTGAGCCGAGATTGCGCCACTGCACTCCATCCTGGGTGACAGAGCGAGACTCCGTCTCAAAAAAAAAAAAAAAGAATGGATTAGCAAAATGTGGTCTATACACACAATGGAATATCATTCGGCCTTATAGAGAAAGGAAATTCTGACATGCAGCAACATGGGTGAACCTTGAGGGCATTACGCTTTAGTGAAATAACCCAGTCACAGAAGTGAAATAATAATCACATACAAATACTGTATGATTCCACTTACATGAGGTACCTACAGTAGTTTAATTCACAGAGACAAAGCAGCCAGCTGCAGTAGCGCATGCCTATAATCCTAGCTACTAGGGAGGCTGAGGAGGGAGGACTGATTGAGCCCAGGAATTCAAGGTTGCAGTGAACTATGATTGCACTACTGCACTCCATCCTCAGCGACAGAATAAGACCCAGTCAGAAGGAAGGAAGGAGGGAAAGAGGAAAGGAAGGAGAGAAGGAAAGAAAAGGTTATCAAGGGTTGGGGAGAGGGAGAATGTGGAATGTGGGCAGAGAGTTTCAGTTTGAGAAGATGAAAAAGTTCTGGAGATGGATGGCGGTGATGGTTGCACTGCAATGTACTTAATTCCACTGAACGGTCCACTTAAAAATAGTTACAATGGTAAATCTTATGTTATATATATTTTACTGCAATAATAAAAAAATAAATAGCCCCTCCGACCATGGTTACCATTGGAAATTTTATGATGTGTCTTTTGCCTGTTAGCGCCTCATAAGGAAGCTTCATTCGAGCAGATCACAGCTGAATTGTTCACTGCTGATTCTCACGTGCTAGAGCAATGCCTGGTAAACAATACACATTTAATAAAGATTCAAATGTATTTACTCACTGATGTCTGTTTACTCACTTGCTTATCTGACTCCTCAATTGGCTGTAAGTTCCAGACAGCAGGGCCCTTGTTTGTCTTGCTTCTCTACAGATCACAGCACCTAAATAAGTACCAGATGCCCAGCAGGGAGGGGCTTCCCAAATGTCCACCAAGCCAATAAAAAACCATATCCACGTCACATCACGACGTGGGAGCTTGTGACTGAGGTCTTGAGCTCTGCTGCAAAGCACGATGGAAGACCTCTGTGAGATAGAACCGGACAAAGTGCTCTTCCCCTAACAGGGACACCCGTAGGAGCCTGGACTAGGATCCCCCAAGATGGCTTCTTGTCTCCAACCTGCCACTGACTTATGGCAGTGAGCAAGTTCCTTGTCCTTCAGATCCACCATACACAAAACTGAAAAATAATGGAGGTGGACCAGATCAGTGTTTCTTTCCAACTCTGATTCCAAAACTTTTTTTTTTTTTTTTTTGAGATGGAGTCTCACTCTATCGCCCAGGCTGGAATGCAGTGGCACGATCTTGGCTCACTGCAACCTCTGCCTCCCAGGTTCAAGCGATTCTCCTGCCTCAGCCTCCTGTGTAGCTGGGATTAAGCGTGCACCACCACGCCCGGCTAATTTTTGTATTTTTAGTAAAGACGGGGTTTCACCATGTTGGTCAGGCTGGTCTCAAACTCCTGACCCTGTGATCCACCCACCTCGGCCTCCCAAAGTGCTGAGATTACAGGCGTGAGCCACTGCGCCCGGCCCCAAAACATTTTCTTCTAAGAGCCATCTTGCAGTATAAGGCTGTATAGGGTAAGTTGTGCTGATGGAAGGTCAGGGTGCAGGGAACTGGATTCTCCTCTCTCCACTTCCTCTTTTTCTGGGCTGATCCAGGAAGCATTGCTGTTGGCTCCAGGATTTCCCACAACCCAGTTTGGAAATGACTGGCCAGCAACCTTAGTGACCCAGGGTTCTAGTTCTCACTCCTCCACTCACCCAAATGACCTGGGATGATTATCCTTCCGAGCCTACTTCTGAGTCTATAAAACATGAGTCATCAGCCCAGCTCATGGAATAATGAAGAGAAGCAGATGAACTCATGTATGAAAAGGCTTCACAATGCTCTATGCAAATGGTTATTTCACAATCTTAAACATCACTCCTTGCTGGGATATGCAGAGAAACAAATGCATCAAGTGCACCACCCACCTAACAGCCATCCTCCGGGGCAGAGCAGCTCTTTTTTTTTTTTTTTTTTTTTTGAGACAGAGTCTCACTCTGTCACCCAGGCTGGAGTGCAGTGGCACAGTCTCGGCTCACTGCAACCTCTGCTTCCTGGATTCAAGCAATTCTCCAGCCTCAGCCTCCTGAGTAACTGGGATTACAGGTGTGCGCCACCACGCCTAGCTAATTTTTGTATTTTTAGTAGAGACGGGGTTTTACCATGTTGGTCAGGCTGGTCTCGAACTCCTGACCTCAAGTGATCTGCCCTCCTCAGCTTCCCAAAGTGCTGGGATTACAGGCATGAGCCCCCGCACTTGGCCCACTCTTTTTTAAAAGCCCACTTCACCTGGATGACTGCCACGCCTGGCCAGGTGTGAAGGGGACTTCAGAGCAGGCTAGTGAGGAGCCAGGGGTTTTAGAGCCTCACCCTGACCACACCCCTAAACACACACTAACCTCAACGTCCTCTCCAGGAAAAAGCACTGTGAGGTGACGCAAAGTTCCTTATTTACCCTCTTCCCCAGTGGATGGCAAACACTTTGGGCAGAGCCACAGCAGCGGAACTCAGCTAGCACATTGTTGCATGACACTGACAGCTGATTCAGAATTTAATCTTCTTTTACAACAAATCAGTTTTGCTCACAGGCGGCAAAGGTAGGGTCACCACCCCATTCCCAGCTTCACTTGCAGACAAAGGAAATCAAAGTAGAAGAGTTTGGAGGGGTTAGTATTGGCTCCCAGCATCTACGTTCCTTTCTGCTGGCAACATAAGCCTTATTCAGCATTGCAGAACATACCAACCAAGCCAGTTCTTGGACAGGCACACTAAAATACTATCCTAAAAAATCTAAACATAAATTGTCGATTTCGACTGTGTTTTACAACTTATTTGGGGTGGATGGAAGAAGCAATGGAAGAGGGAGGAGGAGAAAACCTAAATATATAAATGCACATGACACACCAAATGTTTGCAACCATCTAGACGTTAGGAAGGGGCTGAGAGGGAAGCCATGCAGAACAGCACATTCCCCAGTACCTGTGTGGGCTCAGGGTTTGGAGGCCACAGAATGACGTTATGCAAGACGGAGTCCTCCTGCTGAAATGCAAAGGGATCTCACCGTTAGGACAGGTCGCAGGGAACAGGACCAGATGGACAATCTTTGGTGTTTTTGTGGGGTTTTTTTGTTTTTGTTGTTGTTGTTGTTGTTGTTGTTGTTTTGTTGTTTTGTTGAGACAGAGTCTTGCTGTGTCTGCCCAGGCTGGACTGCAGTGGTGCAGTCTCAGCTCACTACAAACTGCGCCTGCCAGGTTCAAGCGATTCTCCTATCTCAGCCTCCCAAGTTGCTGGGATTACAGGTGCATGCCACCACGCCCGGCTAATTTTTGTATTTTTAGTAGAGATGGGGTTTCACCATGTTGGCCAGGAAGGTTTTGAACTCCTGACCTCAGGTGATCACCCACCTCGGTCTCCCAAAGTGCTGGGATTGCAGGCGTGAGCCACCGTGCCTGGCCATGGTTTTTACTCCCAGGCCAAATCCATGAGGCATGCACCCATGCTGCCCATGGTGTCCCAGAAATGAGACAACAGAGAGAGAGAAGAGGAACCAGAAGCCCGAAGGTGTATGAAGTACACAAGGGCCAGGACTGGGCAGGCCTGTCCCTTACCCTTTGCCCTAGTGACACAGCTGCTCCTCAATGCCTGGTCTTTAATCTGTGAACAGGAGGTTTCTTCAGACTTGCATCTTTCCTTCCAAACGTTCCCTAGCAAGCAGGATTCAGGGACCTCCAAGTGCACTCACAGTCAAGAGTCTCCTGAGGTGCTAGGGGCCTGGGTGCGACGGGGAGTGTGCTCACTGGGACAGAGATAGCAGTTTGGAGGTGTTCCCAGTGATCCAGGTGTGAGAGGGTAGAGTTGTGACAGCAGGGATGGGGAGCAGAAAAACTGTTAGAAAAGACCATGTCATAGATACGTGCTGCCTTTACGTCCTTTGAGAAACTGCTTCAAGTGATATTGAAGGGGCTGGTATACAGCTGGGCCCATCTTGGCCCTGTTGAGGCGGGTGCATGACTCACATGGCTATCAGAGTGTCCCATATTCTGGGCACAGCAATTGACTTCAGAGAGGGTACATGACACAATCAGGGTCGCTCAGATTCCTTATGGGGTCTGATCAGAAGGCTGAGGCCAGGCACGGTGGCTCATGCCTGTAATCCCAGCACTTTGGGAGGCTGAGGTGGGAGGATCACCTGAGGTCAGGAATTCAAGACCAGCTTGGCCAACATAGTGAGACCGCATCTCTACTAAAAAAAGTACAAAAATTAGCCAGGTGTGGCGGCACACACCTGTAATCCCAGCTACTCGGGAGGCTGAGGCAGGAGAATCACCTGAACCTGGGAGGCGGTGGTTGCAGTGAGCCAAGATTGTGCCACTGCACTCCACGCTAGGTGACAGAGTGAGACTCTGTCTCGAAAAAGAAAAAGGAGGCTGGGCCAGGCGTGGTGGCTCACGCCTGTAATCCCAGCACTTTGGGAGGCCAAGGCGGGTGGATCACAAGGTCAGGAGATCGAGACCAACCTGGCTAACACGGTGAAACCCCATCTCTACTAAAAATGCAAAAATTAGCCGGGCGCAGTGGTGGGCGCCTATAGTCCCAGCTACTCGGGAGGCTGAGGCAGGAGAATGGCATGAACCCAGAAGGTGGAGGTTGCAGTGAGCCGAGATTGTGCCACTGCACTCCAGCCTGGGTGACAGAGCGAGACTCCATCTCAAAAAAAAAAAAAAAAAAAAAAAAAGAGGCTAGACCATTGGCCGGAAGAAGCATGGAAGGCTGGACCTGCCAAGGGCATCTTTTCCACCAGGCTGGGGGCACCTCCCTGGACACTGGGGAATCACAAAGGAAAGTAGAGCGCAATCCAGTGAGAGGGATCCCCAGAGCCATCTTTTGAATCTCTGGACTCAGCCACTATTGCAGCCAGACCCTCTCTGTGGGTGTCTCAATTCTATAAGCCAATGATCCCTTTCTCTGCTTATGGTCACCGAAGATGGGCTTCTGTCTCTTACAACCTTAAAAAAAGTTCTAATTAGCTGGAAATTTGGAAGGCTAAATGGCCAGGCCATTCATCAATTAATTAATTAAACATAGTGTGATTTATCAGATGGGGGGGTGGAAGTAGGTGGAGTCAGGGCTGACCCGCAGATTTCTGTCTTGGATGGCCAGGTAGATCATGGTACCCAAGAGGGGGATCACAGGAGGCTGAGCATTATGGAGGCAGAAGCTGAGTTTGGGTTGGAGGGACTCGCGGTGGCTCTGGGTCACCAGGTACAGATGGGTCTGGAGCCCCAATTCCCTGGGAGAGCCCTGAGTCCCACAGCCAGACACACCCATGCTTCATTCCTACTTGTTTCTCTACCAAAGGCAGACCTCGTCTGGTCCTGGAATCCTAAAGGCAACCCCACTTCTCCAACCTCAGCCAGACATGACCCAGACCTCTGCCAGACTGGGTCATGTCTGGCTGAGGTTGGAGAAGTGAAAACTTGCAGAGCTAGAAAAACATCTGCTCACTCAAGGAGAATGAAGACTGAGGAGGGGAGATGGAGTCAGGAGCTGGTAGGAGGTGAGAAATGAGGAACAGTTGGAGTGGGATGCGGGTATTGAACCCCCACACCAGCATTTTTACCTTCCTAACTAGTAAACATATGTAGCATTAGAACATCCGTCGCCTGCAAGGATGCAGTGACACAGGCTTTCATGCCCTGGTGAGAGAAGTCGACATCACTGTTCTGGAAGGCATTTTGACAATGTATACAGCAAGTGCCTTTTGAAAGTACTAACCCTTCGTTTGACACTGCAATTCCATTTCTATGAGTCTCTGCTAAGTAAACAGTGTACATTCAATTCTGGACAGTGGGATTTCGTGAAAGTAATGGGGAGAAAAATGTAACCCATTTTCAACGTTGCCTATATTCAGGTAGAAATTCATCTCAGGTTAAAGAAGTTTACCCACCTCCGCTAGGCATTCTGTTAAAGCAGTTAAGCCAAATGTTCTTGTATTCTAGGGTTTCTCAACCTCAGCGCTGTTGACATTTTGTGCTGGATAATTCTTTATTGTGGGGGACTGTTCTGTGCATTGTAGAATACTCTGCAGCAACACTGACCTCTACCTACCAGATGCCAGTGGCACCCCATCTCTGAGTTGTGACAACAAAAACTGTCCTGAGACATTGCTAAATGTCCCCTGAAGCACAAAATCACACACCTCCCACCCTCCCCACCCCCTGCCCACCGCTCTATCTTGTTTGCAGCCAGTAGTGGGGCCTGCAGGGAGCTTGAGGTCCAAAAGCATCCCTAAGACCCCAAAGAAGGGGTTGAACCTGAGCTGCTTGGTTTGTTAATGAGCAGGACTAAAGGCCAAAATATGCCTAGTGGCCCATACTGTGCACATTGAGGGCGCTCACCCGATAGCTATGCCCTTCTCAACTCTAAAACACAAGACAGAACATTCCTTTAAGTGGAAATTACTGGGAGGCGTGCCCGAAGCCAACCCCAGCCAGCAGGCACATTCGTTTGGCCCATAGAGTGCTTAAAAATAATTGAAATTAGTTGCCAACATTTTTTTAAAATGTAAGATTTCTTTACACAATCTCTTCTAGAAAACAGAACAGGAGCAAGCACTTCCCAACTCATTTTGTGAGGCTACTATTACCCTGATACAAAAACCAGACATAAAAGAAAACTACAGAGCAATATTTCTTACGAATTTAGATACAAAAGTCTTCAACAAAGTGTTAGCAAATTGAATCCAACAATGTGTAAAAATAATTATACCAGGCTGGTTCAACATTTGAAAATCAATCAGTGTAGTTCAATATATCAACAGGCCAAAGAAGAAAGATCATACAATTACATCGATTGATGCAGAGACGGCATCTGACAAAACCGAACACTCATTCATGATAAAAACCCACAGCAAACTAGGAATAGAGAACTTCCTCAACTTGATTACAAGCATTATGTTTAACAACAAAATTACAGCTAATATCTTACTTAACAGTGAAAGACTGAATGCTTTCCTCCTCAGACTAGGAACCAGGGAAAAATGTCCCCTCTCACCGCTCTTGTTTAACACAGGACTGAAAGTCCCAGCCACTGTAATAAAGAAGAAAGACGGGAAGGGAAGGGGAGGGGAGGGGAGGGGAGGGGAGGGGAGGGGAGGGGAGGGAAGGGAAGGGAAGGGAAGGGAAGGGAAGGGAAGGCGAGGGGAGGGAAGGGAAGGGAAGGGGAGGGGAGAGGAGGGGAGGGGAGCGGAGGGAAGGGAAGGGAAGGGGAGGGGAGAGGAGGGGAGGGGAGGGGAGCGGAGGGAAGGGAAGGGAACAGAAGGGGAGGGGAGAGGAGGGGAGGGGAGGGGAGCGGAGGCAAGGGAAGGGAACAGAAGGGGAAGGGAGGAGAGGGGAGGGGGAAGGAAGGAAGGAAGGAAGGGTATACAGGATGGGAAAAGAATAAATAAATAAAACAGCCCCTATTTGCAAATAACGTGATTACATACATAGAAAAATCCCAAGAAATCTACAAAAACAAACAAACTTCTTGGAACTAATAAGTGAGTTCAGCAAGGTCACAGGATACAAAATCAGCATGCAAAAATCAATACATTAATAATGAACACATGAATAGCAAATTTAAAAACATGACACCATTTACGGTCACTCCAAAGAAAACATAATACTTAGGTATAAACATCATAAAATATATGCTGGATCTATATGTTGAAGATTACAAAAAATGATAATGAAAAATAAAATAGGCTTGGTGTGGTGGCTCACGCCTGTAATCCCAACACTTTGGGAGGCCGAGACAGGCTGATCACCTGAGGTCAGGAGTTTGAGACCAGCCTGGCCAACATAGTGAAACTCTGTCTCTACTAAAAGTACAAAAATTAGCCGGGCATGGTGGCATGCACCTGTAATCCCAGCTATCCAGGAGGCTGAGGCAGGAGAATCGCTTGAACCCAGGAACTGGAGGTTGCAGTGAGCTGAGATATCACACCACTGCACTCCAGTCTGGGTGACAGAGTGAGACTCCATCTCAAAAAAAAAAAAAAAAAAAAAGAAAGAAAGAAAGAAAAAAGAAAAAAAGAAAAGAAAACAATGGGCCAGGCGCAGTGGCTCACGCCTGTAATCCTAGCACTTTGGGAGGCCGAGGAGGGCAGATCACAAGGTCAGGAGATCGAGACCAACCTGGCTAACACGGTGAAACCCCGTCTCTACTAAAAATACAAAAAATTAGCTGGGCATGGTGACAGGCGCCTGTAGTCCCAGCTACTCGGGAGGCTGAGGCAGGAGAATGGCGTGAACCTGGTAGGCGGAGCTTGCAGTGAGCCGAGATCACTCCATTGCACTCCAGCCTGGGCAACAGAGTGAGACTCTGTCAAAAAAAAAAAAAAATCCCAGAAAGTATTGTGTAGAGATGGATAGATTTATTCTAATATTAATAGGGAACGTCATAGGTGCAAGAACAGCAAAAACAATTTTAGAAAAGAATAAAATGAGAAGACTCACTGTACCTGATTTCAAGCCTTATTATATAGCCACAGTAATCAAGATAATCAATGGACAAGAATAGCAAACCCAGAAACAGAGCCACACAAATATGCCTAGCTGATTGCTGACAAAGGTGCAGAAACAGTTTAATGGAGGAAGAATACTCTAACAAATGTTGTTAGAAAGATGGACATTCGTAGGTTAAAAAAAAATACACAGACACAAAAATGAATCTCAACCTCAAGAGAATAAGAAGACAAGCCACAGGCAGGGAGAAATTATTCGCAAAAGGCACACTTTATCCAAAATATACAAGAAACTTGTAAAACTCAATAATAAGAAAACAAACAACCTAACTTTAAAATGGGCCAAAGACCTGAACGGACACCTCACCAAATGAGATATACAGATGGCAAATAAGTGTATGAAAAGATGTTCCACATCCTATGTCAACAGAGAAATGCAAATTAAAGCAACAAGATACCACTATATACCTATCAGAATGACCCAAAATCCAGAATACTGACACCACCAAATGCTGGGGAGGATATGGAACAGGAACTCCCATTCACAGCTGGTAGGGACGCAAAATGGTACAGCCACTTTGAAAGACAGTTTGGTGGTTTCTTACAAAACTGAACATACTCCTATATGATTCAGCAATCACGCTCGCTGGTATCTACCAAAAGGAGCTGAAAACAATGTCTGCACAAAAATCCGCACATAGATGTTTATAGTAGTTTTATTTATAATCACCAAAACTTGGAAGCAACCAAGATGTTATTCAGTAGATCAATAAACCGGTACATTCAGGCAATGGAAAATTATTCAGTGCTAAAAAGCAATGACAAAGCAATGAAAAAACATGCAGGAACCTTAAATGGACATTACTGAGTGAAAGAAGCCAATGTGAAAAGGCTACATACTGTAGGATCCAACCGTATGACATTCTGGAAAAGGCAAAAACCCTGTAGACAGTAAAAAGATTCATGGTTGCCAGGGATTGAGAGGTGTGGGAGGGATGAGTAGGTGGAGTCCAGAGGATTTTTAGGGCAGTGAAACTACCCTGCATGATACTATTCCTTTGTCCAAACCCAGAAAATGTGCAATACCTAAATCGTGTACCTCACACAAAAATTAATTCAAAATGAATCATGCACTCAAAAATAAAATGTAAAACTTCAAAACTTTTAGCCAAAAAAAAAAATAGCAGAAAATCTTCAGGATGTTGGTGTAGGCAGAGTTCTTAGGTTTGATACCAAAAGCAGCACCCCTAAGAGCAAAAACTGATCAACTGTACCTCATCACAATTATACTTTTTTTTTTTTTTTTTTTTTTTGAGACAGAGTCTCACTCTGTAGCCCAGGCTGGAGTGCAGCTCACTGCAAGCTCCGCCTCCCGGGTTCATGCTATTCTCCTGCCTCAGCCTCCCGAGTAGCTGGGAGTACAGATGCCCCCCACCATGCCCGGCTAATTTTTTTTTTTTTTTTGGATTTTTAGTAGAGACGGGGTTTCACCGTGTTAGCCAGGATGGTCTCCATCTCCTGACCTCATGATCCGCCTGCCTTGGCCTCCCAAAGTGCTGGGATTACAGGCGTGAGCCACTGCACCCAGCCTCAAAATTATACTCTTTTGCTCTGTAAAAGATGCTCTTAAGAGGACGAAAAGACATGTTACAGAATGGAAGAAAATATCTGCAAACTATGAGCTGACAAAGGATTAGTATCTAGACTATATAAAGAACTCTGAAAACTCTTTAAAAAATAATAATAATAATAGGCCGGGGTGCAGTGGCTTACGCCTGTAATCCCAGCACTTTGGGCAGCCGAGGCGGGTGGATCACGAGGTCAGGAGATTGAGAGCATCCTGGCTAACACAGTGAAACCCCATCTCTACTAAAAATACAAAAAATTAGCCAGGCATGGTGGCAGGCTCCTGTAGCTCCCAGCTACTTGGGAGACTGAGGCAGGAGAATGGCATGAACCTGGGAGGCGGAGGTTGCAGTGAGCCAAGATCGCACCACTGCACTCCAGCCTGGGCAACAGAGCAAGACTCCATCTCAAAAAAAAAAATAAAATAAATAAAAATAATAGGCCGGGTGCAGTGGCTCAAGCCTGTAATCTCAGCACTTTGAGAGGCTGAGGTGGGCGGATCACGAGGTCAGGAGTTCAAGACCAGCCTTCCCAACATAGTGAAACCTCGTCTCTACTAAAAATACAAAAAAATTAGCCAAGCATGGTGGCATGCGCGTGTAATCCCAACTACTCAGCAGGCTGAGGCAGGAGAATTGCTTGAACCTGGGAGGCAGAGGTTGCAGTGAGCCAAGATCATGTCATTGCACTCCAGCCCAGCTGACAGTGCAAGACTCTGTCTCAAAAAATATATATATGAATAATAATAATCTAGTTAGAAAATGGGCAAAAGGCATAAAGCAATTTTTCACCAAAGAGAATATGTAGATGGCAGATAAGCACATGAAATGTGTTCAACATCTTTATCCATCATCAAAATGTAAATGAAAACCACATGGAAATATTACAACACACCTATCAGAATAGCAACACCAAAAAGTGACACCACCAAATGACAGCCAGGGTCCAAAGACCAGATCCCTCATACGTTGCTGGTGGGAATGAAAAATGCTTTAGCAACTCTAGAAAAGTTTGTCAGCTCCATATCAAACTAAACATGCAACTATCATACAACCCAGCAACTGCACACTTGGGCGTTTATCTTAGGGAAATGAAAATGCGTGTTCTCAAAAAACACCTGCACACACATGTTCATGACAGCTTTATCTGTAAAAGACAAAAACTGGAAACAACCTAAATGAGCTTTAATGGATGAATGGTTCCACAAAATGTACAGTACATCTATTCCTGGAATACTATTCAGCAATAAAAAGGAATGAACTGTTGATACACACAGTACTTGGATAAATCTCAAGAGATTTATGCTGAGAGAGAAAAAAAGCCAATCCTTAAAGATCACTTACTGTGTGACTCCATTTATATAACGTTCTTGAAATGATAAAATTATAGAAATAGGGAACAATAGGGAATAGGAATAGTGGTTGCCAGGGGTTAGGGATGAGAGGAGAGAGAGGTGGGTGTGGCTACAGAAGGGCAACAAGAGTAATCCCCTGGTGACGGGCATGGTCTGTTATCTTGACTGTATCCGTGTCAGTATCCAGGTTGTGATATTGCATTATAGTTTGGCAAGATGTTACCCTTGAGGAAAACTAAGTAATGGTACATGGGACCTCTCTGTATTCTTTCTTTCTTTATGAGACAGGGTCTTGCTCTGTTGACCTGGCTGGAATGTAGTAGTGCAAACATGGCTCACTGCAGCCTTGACCTCCCAGGCTTAAGCAATCCTCCCACCTCAGCATCCTGAGTAGTGAGGGCTACAGGTGTGCACCACCACACCCAGCTAATTTTTTTCCTTGGTAGAGATGGGGTCTCCCTATGTTGCCCAGACTAATCTTCAACTCCAGGACTGAAGCTATCCTCCTGCCTCGGCCTCCCAAAGTGCTGGGATTAGAGGTATGAGCCGCCGTACTTGGGCTCTCTGCATTGTTTCTTTAAGCTGCATGTGAATCTACTAATATCTCAAAATAATAAGTTTAATTTAAAAACTTAACATTTCATAGAAAAATATGGGTTTCCAAGTTCTTTTGAACTCAGAACATTGGCACCACCTTCCCACAAGGCAATCACCCACTGGAGCTGATGGTGGCTTCCCTGTTTAAGACAGTAGGACAAGAACTCCCTGTTTGCCAGAGCACTTGCCTGTCCCTGTTGTCTCACACCCAGTCTTTTTTTTTCCCCCCCCTCAGGATTTCTTTTTTTTTTTTTTAATTATACTTTAAGTTCTAGGGTACATGTGCACAACGTGCAGGTTTGTTACATATGTATACATGTGCCATGTTGGTTTGCTGCACCCATTAACTTGTCATTTACATTAGGTATATCTCCTAATGCTATCCCTCCCCCTCCCCCAACCCCACGACAGGCCCCAGTGTGTGATGTTCCCCATCCTGTGTCCAAGTCTTCTCATCGTTCAATTCCCACCTATGAGTGAGAATATATGGTGTTTGGTTTTCTGTCCTTGCGATAGGTTGCTCAGAATGATGGTTTCCAGCTTCATCCATGTACCTACAAAGGATGTGAACTCATCCTTTTTTATGGCTGCATAGTATTCCATGGTCACACCCAGTCTTTTAACACAATTGTTGTTTCTGGCCTGCCCCTAAAGATGCTGGAGTTTGACAACTTTTCTTTTGACACTTTGTTTTCTTGCTTGAGAAAAGAAAATTGTAGAGGCCGGGCGCGGGGGCTCATGCCTGTAATCCCAGCAGTTTGGGAGGCCGAGAAGGGTGGATCACCTGAAGTCAGGAGTTCGATACCAGCCTGGCCAACATGGTGAAACCCTGCCTCTGCTAAAAATACAAAAATCAGCTGGGCATGGTGGCAGGCCCCTGTAATCCCAGCTACTCGGGAGGCTGAGGCAGGAGAACTGCTTGAACCCGGGGGGAGACGGAGATTGTGCCACTGCACTCCAGCGTGGGTGACAGAGAGAGACTCTGTCAAAAAAAAAAAATTGTAGGGAAGAAAAAGGCAGAGGGAAATGAATTACAGCATGTGGGTTTTTAGATCCAGTTTTCTCGTTCAAGGAACTCAATGTCATTAATCCAAATTTTCCAGTTTGTGTGAGATAAATGAGAAAGTGTCTTCCTGATTTTGTTCACCAACGCATTAAGTTAAAACTTTCAAACTTAAAATAGATAATGAAAAACTTGAATATGTTGTAATATCTCAGCCTATGCACAATTAAGCAGTTAAAGTCCATTCTTCAATTGTGAAAACCTTGTTTAACATGAGAATGACCACTCACATTTAATCTGCCCAACACTGATAGATTTCAAAATCATTTTTAATGGCCATAGCTTTATTTGGGGGAGCAGTGTGGAAAGGTTTTATTTTAACCTCTGCTAAATCCATGTAAGTTGATGGGTGGACACAACCTAGGAAAAATGTGCCAATCTCTCTTATGTCAGTTTTAGAAGACAGAATAAAAAGTAAGGCCAGGCCTGGTGGCTCATGCCTGTAATGGTGGCTCATACTTGTAATCCCAGCGCTTTGGGGAGTGAAAGAAGGAGAATTACTTGAGTCCGGGAGTTCAAGGCCAGCCTGGGCAACATAGCCAGACCCCATCTCTACAAAACCTAAACATTAAAAAATTAGCCAGGCGTGGTGGTGCATGCCTGTAGTCCCAGACACTTGGAAGGCTGTGTGGCAGGAGGATCGCTTTAGTCCAGGTGTTTGAGGCTGCAGTGAGCTATGATCATGCCACTGCATTCAAGCCTGGGTGACAGAGCAAGACCATGTCTTTAAAAATAATAATAAATAATAAGTAGAATTAGCGTTTCCGGCTTTAACTAGAGCTAGCCTTAATCGTAAGAGAATTCCAATGAAATGAAAAATGGCTGCATAGATCCATAAATGCCCGCACACATCTACGCAGAAGCTGTCTTGTTTGCTCCTTCCTGGGTGAAGATGAGACGCTGTAAAAAGAACCTAGTCAAGGTCTGCCAAGAGCACCACGTAGCTCGAGAGAGAAGCTTCCTGACACCCACCTGGTTGTCCGAGGTGCTGTTCTCATTGCCCATGTTGATTCAGTGTTCCCAGCGTCCCCAGAATTTTGTCAGAGGTGACTGGAAGAAACAAAAGGGTATAAACGTCTGTGAAATGAAAAAAGATCTGAGGTTTTTTCTGTCTGCTCATCTCCCCAAACTCAAAAGCCAGATGATGGGAAATGTTTATCTCTACGGTCACATCATGGAAAATTACTTTTGAAGGGTTTTCTTTCGTGATCTGCCACCCAGGTTTCTTTCCCAATACGGGCTGGTGTTTTCATTCCCCACCCCGGGGTTGGCAGACACTTCTGAAAAACGGGTTTGTTACTGAGACTCTGAGCTAGTGCCAGCGTACACATATACGTATATATACAAACGGAGTGACAAAAGGGGTCCGTTTGCCAAAGGGCCTGAGGAATGCTGCTTGTCAGATTATTTTCTGTTTCTAATTGTGTTCAGTTTGGAAATTCAGAGTGTGGCTGGTTTCCCACTGTTGGTGACGGCAGAGCTCGGTGTCAGACATCAGGAGGTGTGAAATCCACTGCTCTCCAACAACATATGGTTTTTATTTTTTTACTCTAAACACTTGTTTCATCAAATCAGTTTCACTTCTGCACACACTTTTTATCAAGGCAGAATGGCTTTCTTGCTAAGGAAAATGGGAGATTGGGACCAGACGAGATCATGTAAGGCAGCATACTGCCAGGTCAACTAGAATCATTTCATGAGCTCACTTAGTGACATGGTTTATTAATGATCTTTCTTCCCCCCCGCCTTTTTTTTTTCGAGATGGAGTCTCACTCTGTCGCCCAGGCTAGAGTGCAGTGGCACGATCTCGACTCACTGCAACTTCCACCTCCTGGGTTCAAGCAATTCTCTGCCTCAGCCTCCTGAGTAGCTGGGATTACAGACGCCCGCCACCACACCTGGCTAATTTTTGTATTTTTAGTAGAGACGGGGTTTCACCATCTTGGCCAGGCTGGTCTTGAACTCCTGACCTCGTAATCCACCCACCTTGGCCTCCCAAAGTGCTGGGATTACAGGCATGAGCCACCGCGCCCGGCCTATTAATGATCATCTTAATTAGGGTGCTTCCCACACAGTTCACAGAGAAGCCCAGTACACTTATTGACCTCATCCAACTGAATTCCATAAGACGCTGTAACATATTCAGGCCTAGAGGTGTTACCTTCACTTTTTCTAGTTAGAAAAACTAAATTACAGAAAATCCTTAAGAATCATAGACTTTTAGAGCTGGAGCCGTAGAGATGACCAGTCTAACCCAGTGGGGGAACTCAGGCTGGAAAAGGTAAGGAGCTTGCCAAAGACTCAGTTTGGGGAGGCCAAAAGTTGGAAATAAACCTCAAACTCCAGCCTTCTAATTGAAGATTTCTTCATGGAAATATGGTTTTCATCATAGCGTTTCCTCGGAGAGCTTAAAATTCACCCATTGACTTGCTTATTCATTTAAGCAACACTGATTGCGTAGCCACCCTGCACTATGCGTACTGAACCATCACTGGAAAATAAAATGGAAGTGGTTCAAACAGGCCCAATTAAAATGCCTCCAAACTAAGAAAACTGAGTGACGTCACCACAGCATTCAATTCTTTCACTCCTAACCCTTCAATCAAAAGGATATGATACCTTAATCCTTTCTTGCCTTTTGCTGTAGACACACACACACACACACACACACACAATCACATGCTCAGAGAACGTAAAAATCTGCATGCATTTAAAATTAATCACTTCCATTTATTTTTTATGTTCATTTGGAAGATGATCCCTCATTAGAAAATATTGAGTGTTAGAAGAATCACTGCCTTATCAGTTATTAACTTCCTTGTATCTTCCAGGTTGAATCATAAGGTTGAATGTAATATTAATTTGTGACAATCATTAACCAAATTAAATACAATAATCTTATTAAAAATCAAGGCATCTGAACTAGCTTTTTAAACAAACAGACTAAAGAGACCGGCAAAACTCCTGGTGAGGTGTAAATTGTAAAACCGCCGAGGGAAGCCTGGCTGCGTCTGGAATCCTCTTCTAGGGAACTCTGCAACCACCACCCTCTCCGGCTTTCCCAAGACAGAACCGAAGGTGCACACATCTCTGCCTCCTACTTACATTCGGGGGTGGTCTGGACTTGGAAGCTGCGGGCGCATGGAAATTCTGCCCTTCAGCAACTGGACTTTCTCCTCCTCCGTTCAGAATTGCGCGAGTTCTAAGCAGAGGCCCTGACACACCTCAAGCAGCGCGTCTCCGCCCTCGCACTGGTGCAAGCCAGCTGCACTTCATACCTGGGCAGGAGCCGTGCAGGGCCGTCGCAATTAGACAAGCGTTCCTGCCCACAGGGAATCAGCGTTTCCCAGCCCGTCAGTTTCAGGGCCTTTCACACAGGGATTTTCCCCGTTATTACATCAGCAGGGCTCCTTTCAGAAAAGGCTTATCCAAACTAAAGCGGCCCCTGCCATCTGATTGGCCGCACCTAGCAGCTCAGAACTGTCCTTTGCAAGGAGCCTTGCGCCAGGAACCTCTCACTTCTCTCTTGCCCTTTATGCAGTCGGGCCGGGAACAAACCTTTCTTTCTAAAAATAAGCCAACTGCTCCCAGGGCTTCCTGTTTGCACCTGGGCAAATTCCGCCGTAAATAATGTGGAAACGCACATACAAAAAGAAAAAACAAAAACTTGCAAAAATGTGATGACGCGGCAGTCTGGCACCTGTTTATGGAGTGTGCAGAATGTACTTACCCAGGCGTGGCTTGAGTTTCGGCAAGTGAGGTCATAAAAAGTAGCAGGCTTGCCCAGATCGCTGATAGGCAGACTTGCCGGCCCACCCTGGATGGAGGAGGCCCTGTGGACCTCCGGTGGGGCAGAGTACCGACCCAAAGACCCTCCGGCCCCGCAGCCTCCGGCTGTCCGCAGTTCCTCCAGTTATTACCACTCAGCCATCCTTTGCATGCATGCAACCAGTTTCTATTTTTGTGTAGGGCAGAGCCTTTCAGGCAAATGGAAGCGCCTTACCCCTGCCACAAGGTAGGACCACTCCATGGAAACAAATGAGCATTTATTTCATCAAAGGCTTCCCGGAGACCAGGCATCTTACCAAGCTCAGAGGACCCTTAGGAGCTCCTTGGAGGTGGTGGAGGAAGCTAGATGAGGAGGGGGAGCTCAGTGCCCCGCTTCTGGTTGGAACAGAGCAGAAGTGTGTATGTTTCAACAGACGAATGGATAAACAAAATGCCGTCTCTCCATACAATGGAATATTCTTCAGACATGAAAAGGAATGAAGTACTGACATGCTACAACGAGGAGGAACTCCAAAAGCCTCACCCGAAGTGAAAGAAGCCAGGCACAAAAGGTCATAGATTTTACGATCCCATTGATAGGAAATAGCCAGAGTTAAGCAAATTCATAGAGCCAGAAACCAGACTGGTTGTTGTCAGGGGCTGGGGGAAGGGGAAATATCGGCTTAATGGGCACAGGATTTTTTTTTAGGGTGATGAAAATGTTTTGGAACTAAATAGAAGTGGTGGTTTCACAGCATTGTGATATACTAAATGCCACTGAATTGCTCACTTTCAAATGTTTAATTTTATATAAGGTGAATTTCACCCGAAGTTTTACAAGTGTAAATGTTTCATATATGGGGTTTCTGCATAAGACATTGTTTGAAAAAAGAATTTGCAGCCCTAAAAAAGAATGAGTTCATGTCTTTTGCAGGGACATGGATGAAGCTGGAAGCCATCATCCTCAGCAAACTAACACAGGAACAGAAAACCAAACACCGCATGTTCTCACTCATAAGTGGCAGTTGAACATTGAGAACACATGGACACAGAGAGGGGAACAACATACACCAGGGCCTGTTGGGGGATGGGGGTGAGAAGCGGGAAGTTGGAGGATGGGTCAATAGATGCAGCAAACCACCATGGCACACATATACCTATGTAACAAACCTGCACGTTCTGCACATGTATCCTGTTTTTTTTTTTAGAAGAAATAAATAAATAAAACGAATGAGGTCTACTTTTACATTAAAAAAAAAAAAAGAATTCCACTACCAGGTTAAAAAAAATGTTTGGAGGGATGAGAGACAAGACTGTTTGCCTCTTCCCCCTCAAAAAAACCACAGAAGAATTTTTCTTTTTCTTTTTCTTTTCTTTGTCTTTTTTTTTTTTTTTTTTTTGAGACAGTTTCACTCTGTCACTCAGGCTGGATGAAGTGCAGTGGCGCGATCTCGGCTCACTGAAACCTCTGCCTCTAGGGTTCAAGCGATTCTCCTGCCTCAGCCTCCCTAGTAGCTGGGACTACAGGCACCCACCACCACGCCAGACTAACTTTTGTATTTTAAGCAGAGACCGGGTTTTGCCATGTTGGCCAGGTTGGTCTCCAACTCCTAGGCTCAAGCGATCCGCCTGCCTCAGCCTCCCAAAGTGCTGGGATTACAGGCATAAGCCACTATGCCTGGCCACAGAAGAATTTTTCTAAGAAGGAGAATCTTATTAGGCAAAATGTCTTGAATGAGCCAATTGGGAATGGCGGCAAGTCTTCAACAGGCGGCAAAACACAGGGAAAGCCCTGGCAAAGGAAGGAGAAGAACTAGGGGCTACTCCTGAGGACTGGCAGGGAGGGAGGGAGAGAAGATGGCTCACCAAAACGGCGGCGGCACAGGGGACTTCGCAGGCGACGCATGTGCAATCTTCCATCTGTGTGCGCTGCTGTGATGTAAAATCCAAAAAGCACCCTCCAGAAACCACTTTCCAGAAACCACCCTCCAGAAACTGTCAACTCTGCGGCCCACACGAATGCCTGGGGTGATTGGGGCTTCTGTGAGAGCGCGAATGCTCTGAGCAGAGAGGAGAGGCTGCTCTGGTCAGCTCCGGCTGCTGTAACACCACCACAGATTCGGTGGCTTCAGCAAGTTATTGTCTCATCTTCCTGGAGGCTGGACGTTCGAGATCAAGGTTTTGGCCGGGTTGGTGTCTTCTGAGTCTTCTCTTTTTGGCTTGTGGATGGCAGTCTTCTCCCCATGTCTTCACATGGTCTTCCCTCTTTGCCCGTCTATGTCCTAATCTCTTCTTCTAAGGACAACAGTCATGTTGGATTAGGCACCCCCATAGGGCTTCATTTTACCTTAATTACCTCTTGAAAGGTCTTATCTCCAAAGGCAATCACATTCTAAGGTACTAGGGTTAGGATTTCCACATATGAATTTCGTGGGGACACAAATTAAGCATCTTATAGAAGAAGAAACTTGGAGTCGGAAGAAGCTGGGGGAAATGTAAAGCTGAGGCATTTAGAGATGTCTTTGGGAAGGCAATGACACCCCACAGTGCTCAGAATGGGGCAGTTTAAACCAATCTTAACTAGAGCTTCAGACCACAGAGGTGAGAAAGGCCTCAGGTGTGCAGGGACTGACTTTTTTTTTTTTTTTTTTTAAGACAGAGTCTCATTCTGTCGTCCAGGCTGGAGTACAGTGGTGCAATCTCGGCTCACTGCAACCTCCATCTCCCGGGTTCAAGCAATTCTTCTGCCTCAGCCTCCCGAGGAGCTGGGACTACAGGAACGTGCCACCACACCCAGCTAATTTTCGTAGTTTTAGTAGAGACGGGGTTTCGCCATGTTGGCCAGGCTGATCTCGAACTCTTGACCTCGTGATCCACCTGCCTCGGCCTTCAAAAGTACTGGGATTATAGGCATGAGCCACCGCGCCTGGCTTTTTTTTTTTTTTCCTTTTTTTTTTCAGACAGGGTCTCACTCTGTCACCCAGGCTGGAGTGCAGTGGCACGATCATGGCTCACTGCAGACTTGATCTTCCGGGCTCAAGCGATCATCCCATCTCAGCCTCCCAACTAGCTGGGACTACAGGTGTGCACCACCATGCCTGGCTACTCTTAGTATTTTTTTGTAGAGATGAGGTTTCGCCATGTTGCCCAGGCTGGTCTCCAATTCCTGGGCTCAAGCAATCCACCTGCCTCAGCTTCCCAAAGTGCTAGGATTACATGTGTGAGCCACCATACCCCCACTGATTTTTCTAATTTTTTTTTTTTTAACATTTTGGGATCCTGGAATGTAAAGTGCAAAGCATTTAAACACTGAGGGCACAGAGGGAATGGCCTTGGAACAGAGAAGCTGTGATGAAGGAAGAGGAAAGGATGTTTGCTGGGAGGGGTGGATTTGGTTAAATCCTGCACCAGCGATCTCGGCTCACTGCAACCTCCCCCTCCCGGGTTCAAGTGATTCTCCTGCCTCAGCCTCCTGAGTAGCTGGGATTACAGGCATGCACCACCATGCCTGGCTAACTTTTGTATTTTTAGTAGAGATGGGTTTTCACCATGTTGGCCAGGCTGGTCTCAAAGTCCTGACTTCAGGTGATCCGCCCACCTCAACCTCCCAAAGTGCTAGGATTACAGGCATGAAACACTGTGCCCAGCCTAATTCACTTCTTATTAATGCATTTCATAAACATTGAGTTTTTTTGTTTCTTTATTTGTTTGTTTGAGATGGAGTCTCACTCTGTCACCTAGGCTGGAGTGCAGTGGCACGATCTGGGCTCACTGCAACCTCTGCTTCCTGGGTTCAAGTGATTCTCCTGCCTCAGCCTCCTGAGTAGCTGAGACTACAGGTGCGTGCCACCACTCCCAGCTAATTTTTGTATTTTTAGTAGAGACCGGGTTTCACCATGTTGGGCAGGCTGGTCTCGACCTCCTGACCTCAGGTGATCCCCCCACCTCGGCCTCCTAAAGTGCTGGGATTACAAGCATGAGCCACCGTGCCGGGCCAACATTGAGTTTTTGTTTTTGTTTTTTTAATGTGCCAAGCTCTGTTAGGTACTTATGTCCTCTTTCATACTTAGGGCAAAGCTATGAGATATGTTTTGTCCTTTTTTTTTTTTTTTATAGCAGATGAACTGCCAAAGCCTGTAAGTACCATAAGTGGTTTGGCCAAAGTCCACCAGAGAGCAGGAGGAAGGATGGAGATCCTGCATTCAATGAACAATATGACACTACCACCTTGAGAAGATTTTTGCAAAGAATTCAAAGATAACTTCCGCCTTTATCTCTTGTTTATTTAGTTTTATAACAGAGCATGGCTTTCTAGTTGTTGGCAACTAAAGCTGGTTTGGAAGGTACCATCTCATGTGATCCCTCTCTTTGATCAGGGAGGAGAGTGGAAGGTACAGGTTTGGGCCAGGTGACTAATCACTGTGGCTGAGGCAGCCTAGAAGAAATGGGTAGGCAGAACCATGGCCAAGATGACCAAGAGCATAACTGGGGACTTGGGCCCTATGGGCAGGTCTGCAAGAGAAGGGGAAATGGAAACATGAGAACCAACACAGCAGCAAGACTGCAGAAGCCACAGTGGGCAGAGCAGGTGGAAGACATTGCTAGGACTGTGAGGTCTAGGCCAGGCTGATGCCCCATTTTATACACTGAGCATGGGGTGGAGAGGGGCAGGGAGCTAAGGAATCGGAGACAAGATCACACAGGTCTTGGCCGGGTATGGTGGCTCATGCCTGTAATCCCAGCCCTTTAGGAGGCTGAGGCAGGTGGATCGCCTGAGGTCAGGAGTTCAACACCAGCCTGGCCAACATAGTGAAATGCCATCTCTACTAAAAATACAAAAAATTAGCTGGGCATGGTGGCAGGTGCCTGTAATCCCAGCTACTCTGGAGGCTGAGGCAGGAGAATCGCTTGAACTCGCTAGGCGGAGGTTGCAGTGAGCCAAGATCATGCCATTGCACTCCAGCCTGGAGCAAAACTCAAAAAAAAAAAAATTACACAGGTCTCATTTCATCAATGGTAAGATGAAGGCTTAGAGAGGTTTTGCAGCTTGCCCAAAGTCTTTACCCTATACTTCTCTGTTAGTACAGCCTAGTAATGATCTATTGGGATTTGTTGATATGTTAGACAATCGCATCATGTTTTCTATTAGAGTTTTTATTCTCTATTGAAAAAATTATCTTTTTTTTTGCAGCATGATAGAAATGTATCTGTTTTATAAGTTTAATAAATTCTGATTTTTCTCCTACATAGAATAATTTAGATTGTTAGTGCTGGAAGAAACTTGAAGACCACCCTCTCCAAAGCCTCTTTTTACAGATGAGGAAGCTGAGGCCTAGAGGTTGGAAATGATTTACCCAACATCCCACAGTCTTCCAGTTCCAAGGCTGGAACCAGAACTGGCTTCACACAGGCTTGCCTTCTCTCATCTCGACCAGGGCCCTACAGGCTCTGAATTGCTTCTCCAGACCAGACCAGCAAGCTCAGATCAGAACTGCGTTTTCTGCCATGGCATTGCTCCCCAGCCACAGAGGGCTCGGGCAGTCGGGTTCTGTGTCAGTGGAGGACATGGTCCAAGTTGTGTTTGCTCATCGAGGGGGAGCTCAGGTTCACCTGACCCAGCAGCTCCCGTGGCTGCTTGACAAACCCAGCGACCTAAGCCCATTGCTATTCACAGATAGCCCAGCCCTCATCCTAGGGCCATCAGGAGACCTCAGCTTCTTTCTCCAGTGACTGAATTCAGTGCTCTAACTCCCTACCTTGCACAGCTGAGCATGGAGCTACTAATAGCTCTGTTATCATGTTCCCGTTTTAATACAAACAAACAGCCGTAGCCCAGGAAAGAGATTTGTTAGAGAGGTTGCTTGCCTTCTGCTCTGGCAGGAGACCTTCACAGCACCAAGCACCTGGCTGCTCTGTGGGGTTTGAGTGAAATGATGACTCTTCCTTCACACTCTCCCCTTAGCCTGCTGTTTTCTTCCTTTCCTCCACCTTGGAGGCCACCTAGAAATTTTGATGTAGAAAATTCCAATCTTGTAGAATATCAGGGCTGGGAAAACCTCAGAGAGTCCCTGCTCTCATGACCCAGTGATCAGACACAGGACTGACATATCCAGCCCTCTGCTCGTGAGAGGCTGGGCCGGTTATTAGTTACTGCTTGTCATCTCCAAATCCCCCACATTCAGATGTTGGGGGACTCTGCAAGCCCCATTTCTGCTTTGCCAACTGCTCTTCAAGAAGCTCTGCCAGGAGGGGCCAGAGGCCAGACACACTCCTTCCGGTCTGTTTCTTGTTTCTATGAGCAGCACCGTGGCCCACTGCTTCACCCAGGCAGTAGCAGTTCCCTCCCTCAGCAGTGAAAGAACCGAGTTTGCAGTTTTACTGATTCCTGCAGCACCCCCACATGGTGCTCCCTCAAGGATGCCAGCTCCAGCCACCTGGAGCCCCCTCCATGGAGCTCTGAGGTTCACTTCTGTGGGGCTCCTCCTCTAATCTTCCAAATTTTAATAATTTCAACTTCTACTCTTTGCTCCCCCAGGCTTAAGGGTGGTAGCTGCTTTCTGAAGTTGCTACCTTCCATTACACCTGAGAGTTTGCTTTTTGCCTTTCTACTTACATAGATAACAATTCTTCATATATTGAATTCTATTAAAATAACTGGGAGGTTTGGCTGGGAGTGGTGGCTCATGCTTGTAATCCTAGCACTTTGGGAGGCCAAGGCAGGCCGATCACCTGAGGTCAAGAGTTCGAGATCAGCCTGGCCAACATGGCGAAACCCCATCTTTTTTTTTTTTTTTTTTTTTGAGACGGAGTCTTGCTCTGGCACCAGGCTGGAGTGCAGTGGCGTGATCTCGGCTCACTGCAACCCCCGCCTCCTGGGTTCAAGCGATTCTCCAGCCTCAGCCTCCTGAGTAGCTGGGATTACAGGCATGTGCCACCACACCCAGCTAATTTTTGTATTTTTAGTAGAGATGGGGTTTCACCATGTTTGCCAGGATTGTCTCAATCTCCTGACCTCATGATCCACCCGCCTTGGCCTCCCAAAGTGCTGGGATTACAGGCATGAGCTACCGTGTCCGGCCAGGGTGAAGCCCCATCTTTACTAAAAATACAAAAATTAGCCAGGCATGGTGGCGGGTGCCTGTAGTTCCAGAAACTTGGGAGGCGGAAGCGGGAGAATCATTTGAACCTGGGAGGTGGAGGTTGCAGGGAGCCAAGATCTTGCTACTGCACTCCAGCCTAGGTGACAAAGTGAGACTCCATCTCAAAACAAAAACAAACCAGCAAACAAAAACAAAAAACTGGAAGGTTTTCATCAACTCTGACTGATATGCTGGCAGAGCTGAGATCCAAACCTAGGTCTTCTTTCTCCTGGTTCAGGACTCTTTGCACTGGAATCCAATAAATATTTGTTCAATTAAAGGAATAGTAAAGTGAGTTCACTCCATTCATTGGTTCCAACGTTAATAAGATGTTGTTTCAGATTCCCATCACCACCACCACCAACAACAAATTATCACCTAATTGCAGCCTAGACTTCCTGCCATCCAAGTGTCAAGCTCTATCACAGGCTATTAGAATTGAGAGGGACTATGGCCAGGCACGGCCGCTCATACCTGTAATCCCAGCACTTTGGGAGGCCGAGGTGGGCAGATCACGAGGTGAAGAGATCAAGAGCATCCTGGTCACCATGGTGAAACCCTGTCTCTACTGAAAATACAAAAATTAGCTGGGCGTGGTGGCGTGCACCTGTAGTCCCAGCTACTCGGGAGGCTAAGGCAGGAGAATCGCTTGAACCCGGGAAGTGGAGGTTGCAGTGAGCCGAGAGCCCGCCACTGCACCCCAGCCTGGCAACAGAGCGAGACTCTGTCTTAAAACAAAAAACAAAAACAAACAAACAAACAAAAAACATAAGAGCAGTGCAGGGCTGCAGAGCTATCTCCTTTCTCCCCAGTTTGGCTGCACCCTTCCCACTTCCCCAGCCACACTATGTCCCTCTCCACCTGGCCCTGTGTCACTGTCTACCTGACCCTGCATCCCTGTCTACCTAGCTCTCTGTCTGCTCCCTCACCCAACTGGGTAATGGTCAGTGGTGAGGCCCAAGGACTAATGGGGCTAATCTAGTTGGACCATCGTCTTAGATTGGGCCACAGGCCTTTACCCAAGAGCCAACCTAAATTTGCCTTGTTCAGAGACTACAGTCAGCATATTCCCTTGTTTTCATGGCTGGTGAGTGGTAGCTGGTAGCAAGCCAACCCACAGCTGAACACCGACACATGAGGGATCTCAGCTGAGACCAAGAGAACCACCCAGAAGGACTGCTAAGTCCATCCCAAGTTGCCAACCCACAGGATCAAAAGCTAAATAAATAAATTCTTGTCTTAAACCACTAAGTGTTGGGGTGGTTTGTGATGTTGCAAAAGCTAACTGATAAGATTTCCCCAGAGGCTCTCACTTTCCTTTCCTTCACACCAGCCTGCACCCAATTGTGGCTGGCAGTCATGAAGATCTAAGCATTGTATCCCAAAGGATGCCACACGAGGGAAGACTGAGGGATGCGTCCAATCCCTCTCCACTGTTGAAATGACCATTTACTGGCATGGTCCCTTGAGTGGCAGCCACCAGTGTTGTCTTGGTCTATGCCAGACCCAGTGTCATCAAGATGCTAGAGTGTGTCAACCTCTCTGGGGATGAGGCTCTGAGCATTCCATTCTGGAATTGCAAAATGGAAACATGATTTGCAGTAAAGGGCCTCTTTTTCCCCTGCTAAACCAGATATTTGATGACACATTAAAATATAAGGTTCCCCTTACTCGCAATTTCCATACCGTCCCTCTCTGCAGACAAGATTAGCAAAAAACCATATTCTTATTAAAACAAGCTGCTGTAACCCACAAAAACTCAGACATCAGTTTGAACCCCAAAGCTAAACTATGCTGTCATTTTTGGATATCAAATACAGTATCAACATCATGAAGAATTGTGGGTTAAGGCAAGGGAGAGGGATGACAGAATGAAGGGGTGGGGAGGCTGTTCCAGCACAAACAACATGGGAGAGATTTTGAGAAAGGGATAGTGTCGGTGCCAACTACACCAGAGGCAAAGAGATTATTCCTGATGACACACATGTCAGAGCAGAACTAAGAAACTGCAGATATTTGCCTTCCATGTGACATCATAGGACTTTGCAAATGCAATCATCTGACCTCAGAGAGAGTTTTCGCTAACATCAGGCTACTTTATTATTTAAATTAAAAATAGCTTTTTAAAACCTCTGTTTCCCAGGCAACCTTATTGAAAACAGAGTCTCACTCTGTCACCAGGCTGGAGTGCAGTGGTGCAATCTTGGCTCACTGCAACCTCCGCCTCCTAGGTTCAAGCCATTCTCCTACCTCAGCCTCCTGAGTAGCTGGGACTACAGGCGCGCACCCCCATGCCCAGCTAATTTTTGTATTTTCAGTAGAGATGGGGTTTCATCAAGTTGGCCAGGATGGTCTCACTCTCCTGACCTTGTGATCCACCTGCTTCGGCCTCCCAAAGTGCTGGGATTAAAGGTGTGAGCCACCGTGCCTGGCCAATAACAACCATTATATAATTTTTAAATGTCCTTAATTAATAAGACTTTGTTAAGTACCATTTGGCCAGTTTATACTTCTCCCCAGCAAGAGCAAGAACAGAAGAACACCTTAATCAGATTTGTTTTTTGTGGGCTTTTGTTGAGAGGGAGTCTCTCTCTGTCACCCAGGCTGGAATGCAGTGGCACGATCTCTGCTCACTGCAACCTCTGCCTCCCAGATTTGAGCGATTCTCCTGCCTCAGCCTCCCGAGTAGCTGAGATTACAGGCATGCACCACCACACCCAGCTAATTTCATATTTGTTTGTTTTTAAGTTAGCTTTTGTGGTAACTGAAAATAATAGAGGCCTCCAGTTACCTGTCTCCCAATACTTCCTCCCAAAGTGATATAAAACAATGAGAAAGGAAAAATAAATGTACACAAAAGGTAGACTTTCTATAACTTGAAGACAGAAAATAAAACAGAGAAGTGTAATCACTTTTCAAAACTGTAAATAAAAAGAGGAAAGTCAGAAAATCCTGGATTTTTCTCATGCACCTGCCCTCACCCTACCACAAGTGTTTGTAGAGAACAAAGGTAGACCCAGTTCCCTAGAAACAGTTGGGACAATACAGAGGGCAGCTAGTGAAAAGGGCCTACATTGGTCTAGCATTATTGTCAGATGATTAAGTATACCCAAACATAGAAAATTCTTTAAAAAATGTCTGAGCAGGTCACAGCAGGGACTATTACAAAGGAATTTCAAAGCACATGGAATTTAAAGGGATATGTACGGCTGGGCATGGTGGCTCATGCCTGTTATCCCAGCACTTTGGGAGGCCAAGGTGAGTGGATCGCTTGAGGTCAGGAGTTTGAGACCAGCCTGGCCAACATGGCAAAACCCCATCTCTACTAAAAATACAAAAATTAGCCAGGTGTGGTGGCTGGCGCCTGTAATCCCAGCTACTTGGGAGGCTGAGGCAGGAGAATCGCATGAACCCGGGAGGCAGAGGCTGCAGTAAGTAGAGACTGTGCCACTGCACTCCAGCCTGGGTGACAGAGTGAGACTCCATCTCAAAAATAATAAAGGTTAAAAAATAATAATAGTGCTGGGCGCAGTGGCTCATGCCTGTAATCCCAGGACTTTGGGAGGCCAAGGCGGGCAGATCACCTGAGGTCGGGAGTTCGAGACCAGCCTGACCAACATGGAGAAACCCTGTCTCTACTGAAACTACAATATTAGCCAGGCCTGGTGGCACATGCCTGTAATCCCGGCTACTCGAGAGGCTGAGGCAGGAGAATCGCTTGAACCTGGGAGGCGAGAGGTTGCAGTGAGCCAAGATCGCACCACTGCACTCCAGCCTTGGCAACAAGAGCAAAATTCTGTCTCAAAAAAAAAAAATAATAATAATAATAATAACAAAGGGATAGACAGAATTCAAAGGACAGCCTTCAAAATGCATGGCTTCTAGGGGGAAAAAAAAGGCAGAAATGATAATAGGAATACCCAATGGCAACTGGGTGTTTGTCTTGGTCCATCTTCTGTTCCTATAACAGAATACTATAGACTGGGTAATTTGTGATACAAAGAAATGTACTTCTTACAGTTCTGGAGGCTGGGAAATCCAAGGTTAAGGAGCCACACGCGGTGAGGGCTTTCTTGCTGGTGGGAGGACTCTCTGCAGAGTCCTGAGGTGGTCAGAGGCATCACATGGCAAGAGGCTAGAGTACGCCAAATTGGCTTTCATAACAGGCCCACTCTGTTGATAACTAACCCACTCCCATCATGACCCATTAATCTATTAATTCATGAGTGGATTAATTCATCTTCCTCCTATTAAAGGCCCCACCTTTCAATGCTGCCACATTGGGGACTGAATTTCAATGAGAGTTTTGGAAAAGATAAACATTCAAACCACAGCAGTGTTAAATGGGGAAAAGAAAGAAAAAAAAGAAAAGTTAGAGTTCTATGAAAAGAAAAGAGCATCACAAAATAAAAGGACTCAGAAACGTTCTTGAACTTCACCCTAACAAACATGGCCTGTGTACAGACAGACCAGGCGACTGTTAAACTAGGAATCCTGTAAAACACCTCAGTGCCATAAAAACGGACAAGAAGAAGGTCAACAAGTCCACACAGAGCTTTTGAAAAACAAAACAGAAAAAGGAGATAATATTTCACACATATTACTTGAGGAAAATCTTCCTTACACCCTGAGACCAACTATGAAGAGGAACAAAATTCTAACTCAGCACTCCAAACAGAATAAAATATTCTCAAGTCTGCATTTCAGCATATATAAAATACCTTGAATCAGAAATTCAAACGTGCAAATAGAAATGGACAAAAAGCAAGGAGGAATAAAAAGATTGTCAATTGAACTCCAGAAAAAAATATAAGAAAAAGACAAAATTATCTCAGAAATAAATAAATCATAAGGCACCCAAGGGATAACAGATGTAAATTAAAATTTAATAAACGACATTAAAAAAAATCAGGAAAGTGGCCGGGCATGGTGGCTCACACCTGTAATCCCAGAACTTTGGGAGGCCGAGGTTGGCAGATCACCTAAGGTCGGGAGTTTGAGACCAGCCTGACCAACATGGAGAAACCCTGTCTCTACTAAAAATACAAAAATTAGCTGGACATGGTGGCGCATGCCTATAATCCCAGCTACTCGGAAGGCTGAGGCAGGAGAATCACTGGAACCCGGGAGGCAGAGGTTGCGGTGAGCCAAGATCACGCCATTGCACTCCAGCCTGGGCAACAAGGGCAAAATTCCATCTCAAAAAAAAAAAAAAAAAAATCAGGAAAGCAATGAAGAGGATAAGAAATGGCATAAAGAAATAAATAAAAAGGATCAGAGAGAAAGTAAGAAAATAGGAGACAGGCAAAGAAGGAATTATAGTTCTATTGTTGGAGTGCCTGAAATAAAAACAAAACAGTGGAACAGAGCTAAAATTTAAAATGTTTGATTCAAGAAAAATTTCTAGAAACAGGAAAATACCTGAATCTACGTGCTGGAAGGACTCACTAAATACCTAGGAAAATTAACCCAAAACAATCAATCCCAAGACATGTCCCAGTGAAACTATTAGATTTCAAAGACAAAAGATAAAAGCCCTCCAGACAAGAAGATCTAAAAACTTACAAAACCAAAAGGATTAGAGTGGCATCCTATTTTTTATTTATTTATTTATTTATTTATTTATTTTTTGAGACTGAGTCTCACTCTGTAGCCCAGGCTGAAGTGCAGTGGCGCAATCTCGGCTCACTGCAAGCTCTGCCTCCCAGGTTCACACCATTCTCCTGCCTCAGCCTCCTGTGTAGCTGGGACTACAGGCGTGAGCCACCATGCCTGGCCAATTTTTTTGTATTTTTAGTAGAGACGGGGTTTCACCATGTTAGCCAGGATGGTCTCGATCTCCTGACCTCGTGATCCACCCACCTCGGCCTCCCAAAGTGCTGGGATTATAGGCTTGAGCCACCGTGCCTGGCCAGCATCCTATTTTTTAAAAATCAATAAACAAAGCAAGATAACAATGAAACAGCATTAAAAAAGAAAAACAAAAAACAACTCATGAATGAAAGTGCGAACCAAAGATTTTATATCCAGCCAAGCTGTTCTTCATGTATCAAGGCTAGAGAAAAACAATTTTCAACATACAGTAGGCCAGGTGTGGTAGCTTACACCTATAATCCCAACACTTTGGAAGGCTGAGGCGGGCAGATCACCTGAGGTCCAGAGTTTGAGACCAGCCTGGCCAACATGGCAAAACACCATCTCAACTAAAAGTACAAAAAATTAGCTGGGCATGGTGGTGCACAACTAGAGTCCCAGCTACTCTGGAGGCTGAGGCAGGAGAATTGCTTGAACCCGGGGAGTGGAGGTTGCAGTAAGCCAAGGTCGTGCTATTGCACTCCAGCCTGGGCAACAAAGTGAGACTCCATCTCAAAAAAAAAAAAAGAAAAAAAAAAAAAAGGCCAGGCACGGTGGCTCATGCCTGTAATCCCAGCACTTTGGGAGGCCGAGGTGGGTGGATCACAAGGTCAGGAGATCGAGACCATTCTGGCTAACATGGTGAAACCCCATCTCTACTAAAAATACAAAAAATCAGCCGGGCGTGGTGGTGAGCGCCTGTAGTCCCAGCTACTCGGGAGGCTGAGGTGGGAGAATGGCGTGAACCCAGGAGGTGGAGCTTGCAGTGAGCCGAGATCATGCCACTGCACTCCATCCAGCCTGGGCGACAGAGCAAGACTCTGTCTCAAAAAAAAAAAAAAAAGCTGGGCGTGGTGGCTCACACCTGTAATCCCAGCACTTTGGGAGGCCGAGGTGGGTGGATCACCTGAGGTCAGGAGTTCAAGACCAGCCTGGGTAAACTGGTGACACCCCATCTCTATTAAAAATACAAAAAACTTAGTGGGGCATGGTGGTGGATGCCTGTAATCCCACTTACTCGGGAGGCTGAGGCAGGAGAATCACTTGAACCCGGGAGGCAGAGGTTGCAGTGAGCCCGGATTGCACCATTGCACTCCAGCCTGGGCGACAAGGTGAGACTCTGTCTCAAAAAAAAAATAAAATAAAATACAGTAACTTACTGAATTCTACACCCATGAGATTCAGTCTTGAGGAATCTACTAGATGATGTATTTCATCCAACCAAGTGATAACTGGGAAAAACTTTGGTAAAAGCACTGAGGATGAGGATTAAAAAATAGGTAAATATACATCTAAAACTAAAACAACTCTTAGATAAAAGGGGAAATACAAAAATACAAATTTAAATTACAAAATACAAAATAATAATAATTGTAAGTGCCCAACATGTTCTTCCTGCCTGCTACCTAGATACAGCCTATTTATCAAGAGGGGGGATTGCAATAGAGAAAGAGTTTAATACATGTAGAGCCAGTTTTATTACTACTTAAATTGGCCTCCCCCAAAATTCAGAGTCTAGGGTTTTCCAAAGATAGTTTGGAGGACAGGGAGCTCGGGAATGGGTGCTGCTAATTGGTTGGGGATGCAATCATAGGAATGTGGAAAAAAGGTCCTCCTGTGCTGAGTCCAGTTCTGGGGGATGGGGTGTGGGGCCACAGAGGAGTCACTGGTCTAGGTGGAATCATCTGGTAATCAGAAATGCCAAACTCTGAAAACATCTTAAAAGGCTAACCTTAGGTTGTACTATAGTGATTTTATTTACAGGAATAATTGGGGAAGTTGTAAATCTTTCAACCTCAGGAACGAGTGTAATTTTTTTTTTTTTTTTTGAGACAGAGTCTCGCTCTGTCGCCCAGGCTAGAGTGCAGTAGCACGATTTTGTCTCACTGCAACCTCCGCCTCCCAGATTCAAGCAATTCTCCTGTCTCAGCCTCCTGAGTATCTGGGACTACAGGTGCCCACCACCACACCCGACTAATTTTTGTATTTTTAGTAGAGACGGGTTTTCACCATATTGGTCAGGCTGATCTTGAACTCCTGACCTTAGGTGATCCACCCACCTCGGCCTCCCAAAGTGCTGGAATTAGAGGTGTGAGCCACCATGCCTGGCCAACTACACCTACATCTTAGCAGAATTTAGGCCTCTCTTATCTTCCTAACTTGGTGAACTTTCATTAGTTTTCTGCCTGCCTCGGCCTCCCAAAGTGCTAGGATTACAGGCGTAAGCCACCGCTCCTAGCCCTTTTCATTAGTTTTATAAAGGCAGTTTAGGGCTGGGCGCAGTAGCTCATGCCTGTAATCCCAGCACTTTGGGAGGCTGAGGCAGGCAGATCATGACATCAGGAGATCGAGACCATCCTGGCTAACACAGTGAAACCCCGTCTCTACTAAAAATACAAAAAAATTAGCCGGGCATGGTGGCAGGCACCTGTAGTCCCAGCCATTTGGGAGGCTGAGGCAGGAGAATGGCATGAACCCGGGAGGCAGAGCTCGCAGTGAGCCCAGATCGCGCCATTGCACTCCAGCCTGGGTGACAGAGCCAGACTCCATCTCAGAAAAGAAAAAAAAAAAAGGTGGTTTAGTTTTGGAAAGGGCTATTATCGTTTAAACTATAAACTCCCAAAGTTATCTTGGCCCACATCCGGAAGTGACCACAGGAAGTTTGGAGGTTAAAGGCAAAATAGAGTTGGTTAGGTCAGATCTCTTTCAGTGTTACAACCTTTTCAAAGGCAGTTTTATAATGACAGCAAAAACATTACATATATATCAGAGTCAATGGGATGTATTTAAAGCAGTGATCAGAGGAAAATTCATTGCATCAAACATATTTGTCAGTGAAAATGAAAGAAGGAAAATAATGAATTAAATTCCCAACTCAAAAAACTGGAAAGGAAAAACAAAGTAAACTAAGAAAAGCACAAAGAAGAAAAAATAAAGTTAAAGGCAGAAATAGATGAAGTAGAGAAGAGAAAAATGAGCGATTAATGAACAAATCAAAATCCTAATTCTTTTTTTTTTGTTTGAGACAGAGTCTTGCTTTGTCGTCTAGGCTAGGGAGTGCAATGATGTGATCTCGGCTCACTGCAACCTCCGCCTCCTGGGTTCAAGCGATTTTCCTGCCTCAGCCTCCAGAGTAGCTGGGATTGCAGGTGCCCACCACTATGTCTGGCTAATTTTTGTAGTTTTAGTAGAGACGGGGTTTCACCATGTTGGCCAGGCTGGTTTCAAACTCCCGACCTCAGGTGATCCGCCTGCTTCGGCCTCCTAAAGTGCTGGGATTACAGGTGTGAGCCACCATGCCCAGACAAAAGCCTAATTCTTAAAAATGGAATAAACTAGAAAAATTACTAGCTACCTTGATCAGAAAGAAAAAGGGAGAAAGCACAAACACACAAAATTACAAGAGGGAAATAACCATTGTAACGGAAGAAATTTTAAACATTATAAGAGGCTGATTTGCAGATGTCTATGCAAATAAAAAAATGAAATGGATAGTATCCTAGTGAAATGAGGATTGCCAGAAATGACACCACTAAAGTTACAACACTTAAACATACCTATTTCCACAGAAAAACGATAGAGAAATTTACTAAGGAACCATAACACAACAAAAAGATCAGGCCCAGATAATTTCACGAGGGAGTTTTACCAAATCTTTAAAGGTCAGATAGTCCCAGCGTGCTCTACAAATTATTCCAAAGCATTTTAAAGGCAGAAGAACACCTTAATTCCTTTTATGAAGAATGACACTGATTCCTCAACCTGATAAAAATGGCACACACACACACAGACAAAAACTACAAAGCAATATCACTCATGAACATGAGTGATGCAAAAATATTGAAAAACATACTAGCAAACTCCAACACTATATACAGAAAATAATATACCATACTGCTATAGACTGAATGTTATACCCCCTGCCCCAAATTCATATGTTGAAATCTAATCTCCAATGTGAAGGTATTTGGAGGTGAGTCATCTGAGAGGTGATTAGGTCAGGAGGGCTCCATCTTCATGAATGAGATTAGTACCCTTGTAAGAAGATACTTGAGAGAAATGGTCCCTTTATCATATGAGGATACAGCAAGAAGGTGGCCATCTGCAAACCAAGAAGATGATCCTCACTAGGGCCTTAGCCAGCACCTTCATCTTGGACTTCCCAGCCTCCAGAACTGTGAGAAATAAATTTCTGTTGTTTAATTCACCAGTCTATGATATTCTGTTATAGCAGCCTGGGCTGAATAAGACAATGACCTATAATCAAGAGGAAAAATAATCAATATAAGCAGATGCAAAGATGACTCAGAGCTTGGAATTAGCAAAGACTCAAAAACAATTCTTACAACCATAACATAAATAATTTACTGGAAAAGGTAGATATAATAGTGGAAGACATAGGAAATTTCTGGAGGGTATATATGGTGGAGGATATAGGAGAAATATGGAAACTCTGGGGGGAAATGGAAAAGTGCCTTGAGAGACATATCAACCAAAAGCAACTTGTGAAACTCGTTTGGATCCTGATTTTAAATAAATCAAAAGTTTAAAAAATGAAACAACCAGGGATATTTGAACACTGACACAATTTTTAATATTACGTAATTATTTATTTTTTGTATGATAAGGATACTGTGGTTATACACTTACAAAAAGAGTCCTAATTTTTTAGAGACATGATATGGTGTGGCTTTGTTGCCACCCAAATCTCATCTTGAATTGTAGCTCCCATAATTCTCATGTGTCATGGGAGGGACCCAGTGGGAGGTAATTGAATCATGAGGGTGGGTCTTTCCCATGGTGCTCTTGTGATAGCGAATAAGTCTCAAGAGATCTGATGGTTTTATAAAGGGAAGTTTCCCTACACAAGTTCTCTTGCCTGCCACCATGTAAGACATAACCTTGCTCCTCATTCGCCTTCTGCCATGATTGTGAGGCCTCCCCAGACATGTGAAACTGTGAGTCAATTAAACCTCTTTCCTTTATAAATTACCTGGTCTCAGGCATGTCTTTATTAGCAGTGTGAGAACAAACTAATACAAAATACATACTTTAATATTACTGATTAAACAATGGAAGTATTTGTTTTAAAACAATCCAACAGGGCCAGGAGCAGTGGCTCACGCCTGTAATCCCAGCACTTTGGGAAGCCACGGCAGGTGGATGACCAGAGGTCAGGGGTTCAGGACCAGCCCGGCCAACATGATGAAACCATGTCTCTATTAAAAATACAAAAATTAGCTGGGCATGGTGGCGCATGCCTGTAGTCCCAGCTACTCGGGAGGCTGAGGAAGGAGAATCGCTTGAGCCCAGGAGGTGGAGGTTGCAGTGAGCCAAGATCACATGACTACACTCCAGCCTGGGTGACACAGTGACAGAGTGAGACTTTCTTAAAAAACAAACAAACAAAACAACAACAAAAAACAGAAAACAAAACAAAACAAAAAAATTGAACAGTGGAGGGAGGAAGGCAGATGTTAGTGGAAAGTAGGATAATAAATGAAATAAGCTCAACCATTGTAGACAATTGTAGAAACCAGTAATGGGTACATAAGGATGCTTATAATATTCTCTCTACTTTGGTGTATACTTGAAAAGTCCATAATAAAATATTAAGAAAGAAAAGGAGACAGGGTGGAAGGGAGGAAAAGAAATGCTTCCTTCCTCATTTGTGACTAGAGCCCACTCCAGTTCCTAAGCCAATCCTGGCCGAGTCAATCTCTGGCTTGTCAGTGGTGGGCTTTGGAATCAGGTCATCTCTTCATAAGCAGGCATCGAGCAATCTGCCAGTAATTTGGCTACTAAAGTAAGCTAGTTTTGATTTGCATTTTCTTTCTCTCTTTTTTTTGAGACAGAGCCTCATTCTGTCGCCCAGGCTGGAGTGCAGTGGCGCGATCTCTGCTCACTGCAAGCTCTGCCTCCTGGGTTCACGCCATTCTCCTGCCTTAGCCTTGCGAGTAGCTGGGACTACAGGCACCCACCACCAAGCCTGGCTAATTTTTTGTATTTTTAGTAGAGACGGGGTTTCACCGTGGTCTCGATCTCCTGACCTCGTGATCCGCCAACCTCGGCCTCCCAAAGTGCTGGGATTACAGGCGTGAGCCAACGAACTTAGCCGATTTGCATTTTCTAAACTGAATTTCCCCGTTGCACTTCATACATGAGACCTGGTGTCTCCAACAGAACTCTAAGTCCAAGTGTTGGATCCCAAGTCTTCACTCAGCCCTTCTCTTGCATCTGTACTGGTTTGATCCGTAGGACCACGTGTCTGACCACTACTCCTGGCTCCTAGACCTTGGGCCTGCAGACTGATCTTGCCACATATGAACATATCTTCTAAAGGTTAACTTCCTGAACTCCTGGTATCTACCCATCTGACCGAAGCTCTGGAAGGAGTGACCGATTGCCCTTGGGCATTGTTTTTCCTCTGTCGTTTTTCCTCTATCTATTTAATAGCTGCTTCTCCAAGATTGACATCAGTGTATGTAGAGGGTCATTTCCCTCCACACCTGTTGGACCAAGACATGTCAACCCAAGTCTCTCTGTTTATGCCAAATGAGGAGAAGGAATGCGCCAAAGCATTGACAGTCCTGGGGCAGTAAAACAGGCTGGTGTTGGGCAAAGAGAGGCACGCCAACAAATGCCAAATAGGGAAACTTCCACCAGGCCCTGCAAACAGTAATATCACCAAATGCTTTTCAAAGACTTGGAACACATGTGGCGATGAGCTTGTGACCAACTGGGATTCAAGCGTTGCTTGTCTCATCTGTTTGCTATGAAATATGAGATGCAAAAGCACTTTGTCAGATTCTAACTTGAACCTTATGACCAGTTTCAGCAAAAGGATATTCAGAGGAATGGTTTTTCTGAATGACCAAAAGTGAATACAAAGCTGTGCTTTTTAAGCTCAGGGAGCCAGCTGCAAAATTATGTCTCCTCAAAATGAAAATCTTTGTCCCACTTAGAAATGGCCATTCCAATCACGAGTTCAGGAGATTGAGACCATCCTGGCCAAAACGGTGAAACCCTGTCTCTACTAAAATACAAAAAATTAGCTGGGCGTGGTGGTGCACGCCTGTAGTCCCAGCTACTCAGGAGGTTGAGGCAGTAGAATCGCTTGAACCTGGGAGGCGGAGCTTGCAGTGAGCCGAGATCATGCCACTGCACTCCAGCCTGGCGACAGAGCAAGACTCCGTCTCAAAAAAAAAAAAAAAGAAAGAAAGAAATGGCCACTCCAGCTTCCCATACATTTGTACCTTTCCAGGTCCTTTCACATGTAACTGAGCACAAGCAGGGAGAAATACATGTTTCAGGCTGAAGTCTTGCTTAACATGCAGTAAAGGCAGCTACTCAGAGGAGGTCAGATCTTGGTAGGGATTGGATATTTCTTTGGAGCCCCAGACAATGAGACACAACCAATTTCAGTCATTCCTGAACTTTATACCGATGTAAGCGGCTTGGCTGCATAAAGTCAGCCAGTGTTGCTGGGTTTAATCTCTTTCCAACTCTTTGGCACCCGATCCAGCACAGAGCTCTCCTGAGGCTGTTCCCTGACTTGAGTGTGGAGCAGAATTTCCCCTTTTTAGGTCACAAATTCAGAGTAGTCACTCATCACAGCCACTCTCTCCACTGTGTCGATTTTAAACACCCTCATTAATAACACTTACGAAACGTTGGCAAGGTGGTGGCTATCTTGAGTTGCTCCTGCTATCCATGACATATCACAAGATAGAATAACAGGAACAAATTTGCCTCTGCAGACTAGGATGATAAAAACACAGTGATATCCACCTCTTCTAAACACAGCTGAATTAAGAACCCTAGGACAAGGGTCATAGTGGATTGTTCAGAGATCTGCTAAGGGTGAGTACAGGCCCCCAAAAAGGAGTCTTCCTTTTTTTTTTTTTTTTTTTTGAGAACGTGGTCTCACTGTGTCACCCAGGCTGGAGTGCAGTGGTGTGATCTCAGCTCACTGCAACCTCCACCTCCTGGGTTCAAGCAATTATCCTCCCTCAGCCTCCCGAGTAGCTGGGACTACAGGCGCCTGCCACCACACCCAGCTAATTTTTTTTGTATTTTTAGTAGAGACGGGTTTCACCATATTGGCCAGGATGGTCTCAAACTCCTGACCTTGTGATCCACCTGCCTTGGCCTCCCAAAGTGCTAGGGTTACAGGCATGAGCCACCGTGCCCAGCCGAGGAGTCTTCCTTGTCAGTTCCTTGAGCAGCGTCTGGCTGCTCCCTTGCTGCCACCACCTGAAGTCTTGGTCTTCGTGCCTGCCTTTGGGGGTGGGATGGGACCTCTTGGGCTGAGATGGACAAATCTCCCCTAGGCTTGTGGCCTCCTTGGGATTCAGAGCATTGGATCGGGATCGCATCAGAGTGAGTTTGGTTTTCTACTGACCAATGCTCCAAGGGTACATAATTGTATTTTACCATGCTCTCCCTCTCCCCTATTAGCCAGCAGAGCTGTCCCCTACCCCAGCATGTCCCTGGCCGTTAAGCATGTGCCCTTGCATGCAGTTAGAAACACTGTCATCACCCTCAGCATTCATTTCTCTGCTCCCATGACAGCACACACTTGAGCAGCCACGTTGGAAGGCCTGCCTTTGTTCTTCTCTCTGAAAACCACTCATTCCTCACCCCTCCCAACATGTCCCATCTCCCTCCTGTCTGAGTGGTCCTGGCCCACCACATCAACCCACCTCTTAGACCCTGCTAATTGGACTAAGGGTAGATTCTGGCTTATGTGGGGACAATCAGATTTTCTCTTTAGATATTTGATAAGGAAGACCATCAAAGGAGGCCACTCATCACGAGGCAATGAGGAATGGTGGCCAGGACCAGTGGTAGAGAAGCCCAGAGTCTGTGCACGCTGGACTTAGGGAGAGGCGGGGTAAGATCCCAGCAGAGGAGATCCATCCACCCTCAGACCAGAATGAAGCCAGTGGTTGCTGAGAAGCAGGAGTGAGAAGTTGCTGCAGCCCAGAACTATGTCTGCTCAACAAATGCCCCTTTTCGGGTGGGTTTCTGTTTCTTGCAACCAAATGTGCCCCAATTGAAAGCATACTCAAAAGCTGCCCATGATGCCCAGATGCTGGTCTCATCTACGTCCTCATCCTCTTTCAGCCTCTCTGCAGCATCTGAGACTATCCCCTGAACTCCCACCTCCAGGCTCTTTCCACCTAACGCTTTTCTAACGAGCTGCTGCAAAATCCCACTCTCTTTCTCCTTCTCCAGTTCCTCCTCCCACCCTCTCAGTGAAGCCAACCAGGAGCTTCAGGATTTGGTGTTCTAGCCTGGTCTTCTCCTTGGAGAGTCCATTGATTCCCATGGCTTTCTCTATTGAGTCCAGGGAAAAGACTCTAAACCTAAAGCACCTGCCCTGACGTCTCACTCCTGCACCAACTGCATTTTTAAATCTCCCATCAATGTCTCTGCTTAGATGATTCAGCCTCTTGAAATGTCCACTTAACATCTTTCCCTCAAGCCAATCCCTCTCTTGCCTTGCTCATCAGATTTAGAGGACCTCGTTCTCTCAGTCATGTGGCCTGGGACCACTGTGGTCATTCTACACCTCATGGTGACTGCCTGCTTAGCATCACTTAATAAGTGTTTGCTGAATGAAATGAAGAAATGAATCTTGTATTTTTCCCTCTGTTTCATTCCTCTTCTCTCTCACTGATAGAGTTTGGAGGTTTGTCTCCTCTAAATCTCATTTTGAAATGTGATCCCCAGCATTGGAAGTGGGGCCTGGTGGGAGGTCATGGGGGCGGATCCCTCAGGAATGGTTTGGTGCCTTCCTTGTAGTAAGCAGTGGCTTCTCACTCTATTAGTTCACATGACAGCTGGTTGTTTAAAAGGGGCTGGAGGCTAGGTGAGGCAGTTCTCTTCTGTAATCCCAGCACTGTGGGAGGTCGAGGCAGGATGATCGCTTGAGCTCAGCCTGAGCAACACAGCCTGAGCAACACAGCAAGACCCGGTCTCTCTACAAAAAATAAGAAAATTAGCCAGGTGTGGTGGTGCGTGCCTGTGGTCCCAGCTACTCGGGGGGCTGAGGTGGGAGGAGTGCTTGAGCCCAGGAAGTCAAGGCTACACTGGACCACTGCACTCCAGCTTGGGCAACAGAGCAAGATCCTATCTCAAATAAAAAATATAAATGAAAAGGGCCCGGCAGCCAGGTGCAGTGGCTCATGCCTGTAATCCCAACACTTTGGGAGTCCAAGGCGGGCAGATCACGAGGTCAGGAGTTTGAGACCAGCCTGGCCAGCAGGGTGAAACCCCATCTTTACTAAAAATACAAAACTTAGCTGGGCATGGTGGCACGCACCTGTAGTCTCAGCTACTCAGGAGACTGAGGCAGGAGAATCGCTTGAACCCAGGGGGCGGAAGTTGCAGTGAGCCAAGATTGCGCCACTGCACTCCAGCCTGGCGACAGAACGAGACTCTGTCTCAAAACAAAAAAAAAGAAAAGATCCTGGCATCTCTCTTGCTCTGTCTCTTGCCATGTGACATGCCTGTTCCCTCTTGGCCTTCCACCATGAGTGAAAGCTTCCTGAGACGGCAGCAGACGCCAAGTGGGTGCTAGTGCCAAGCCTGTACAGCCTTCAGAACCATGAGCCAACTATCTCTTTTCTTTATAAACTACTCAGTCTCAGGTGTTCCTTTACAGCAATGCAAAACAGACTAATACACTCACCATGCCACTAGAACTGGGAGGAGTTTTGCCCCCTGTATACACACATACGCAGATATTACACAATAGATTATAAGTGGTGTCAGTGGGATAAAGGCTTTTGGTCGGGGCGTTTCTGTTTTATGGAACAGGGTATGAAACAGTACATACACACACACTTCTGTGTTTAACTGAACTGTAGGATTCTCTCATGAGGCTTAGAATTCTGCCTAACTTTGGCTTTAACCTGATGATTCAGTTATAACTGACACCAAGTCAAACTCAGAAACACAGCGTTTGCCAAGATCACACGGCGGCTCAAGTTGGCAGGCACAACATCAGAAACAGGCCTGGAAAGGCACTTGTGAGAGTCTAGAGAAATACCTGTGCAAACATGTCAAGGTCAACACAATACGAGCTTTCAAATGACTTTCTCCCACAAAGTCCTACAAACCCTCAGGGCCTTAGGGGTTCTCTCTGAAGTCATCATTCTGCAGAATCACAAACATTTGAAACTAAAATTTGTGATGGGCAGAATCACAACAGAGGCCAGAAGAAATTCCAGTAATCATCCAGCGCAACTCCTTATTTCACAAATGAAGAGATCGAGGTCTAGATTAATGGGGCCATAGTCTATCAAAAGTAACCAGTGACGTATTAGAAAAAGTACAGTTCATTTGGCTTAAAAAACAAGGAGTGGAGAGGCACAGATATGCCTTTAATTTCACTTTATAAGGAAAGCAAACAAGCAATGCTTTTATCCCTCTAATCTCAGTAGTCAAACCGGTTTAAAGCCACAGGTTGCTCAAAGGAAGAAGCCCTCAGTCTGAGACTCACTCACCCAGGATCCCCCCAGCGTGGAGAGGAGGAGGAGAGAAGCGGGAGAAGGCCCTCTCTTCCAGAGGCTCCTTTTCAGCACTGCCCTCCACCCGCAGTCTGTCTTCCCCAGGATCACATGGAATTGTTCTATAAATGTGCATTGGCTTAAGGTTGGGAACGCCGGCCTGGGAGGCAGTGGCGTGTAAGCAATCTGACCCAGGCCAGGCAGCGGCTTTCCAGAAGGCTCTGCAGCCCAGAGGGAGAGGGTAATAAGGAGCAGGGAGCCTGCAGGTGCCGCCAGCCTCCAGCTCTCTGTGCTTCTCACTACACATTTATTTGGGATCCGAAGCCAGTGTCAACTACCTTGGGCTGCAATTTGATTTACTTGACTTATATTTTGGCTGGGACAAGCCACTTTTCAAAACAAAGCAACCATAAAAGAAGAAAAAAACAAGGCATAAAATTAGCAGTGCTTCTAGTAAATAGGGACAGGTCATCACCAGCCTCAGCTGACAGTATCAAGCAGTCCTTTTCAAACATGTCAATATGCCTCCTTTAGAAAGGGAGAATGAGCAGTTAGTTAGGCGAGTTCTAAACAGCATGTCACCTACAGTTTCATCAGTAGCCAGGGAATTAAAGATGCAATCATACAATGGGAAACGAAGCGGCTGGAGAAAGGGTGAGGAGCTCTTTATATACCGTCACTGAAAACTCTCCAAGATACATCAAGTGAAAAATATTAAGATACAGAACAGTGTGTATGATATACTATTGTTTATGTAAAGAAAAAAGAAAGGGGCTGGGTGTGGTGGCTTACGTCTATATAATCTCAGCACTTGGGGAGGCCAAAGAGGGCAAATCACTTGAGCTCAGGAGTTTGAGAACAGCCTGGGCAACACAGAGGGACCTTGTAGAGTCTACTAAAAGTACAACAAAAAAATTAGGCAGGCATGGTGGCGCACGCCTGTAGTCCCACATACTTGGGATACTGAGGTGGGAGTATCGCTTGAGCCAGGGCGGTTGAGGTTGCGGTGAGCTGTGATGGTGCCACTGCACTGTAGCCTGGGTGACAAATTGAGAACCTGTCTCCAAAACAAACAAACAAAAAACAAAAAACAAACAAACAAAAGCCCCGAAAGGAGGATATACATTTATGTGTAAATACTACATTATAAAGGCAATGATCTAAACCTAACCATACAATGTGCTACATTATAATATATAAATAATTCTTTCTGGAAACTCACATAAGAAACTAGTGACAGTGGGTGGACTCGGGAGCAGGGAAAGAGGAAGACTTCCCTCTCATATTTCTTTTCTAGTCTAGGGATTTTATCTCATGTGAATGTATAATTTTTCAGAGAAAATTTAAAAGGTAATCTAATTTTCATCGGAAATATTTAATTTTCAAAATTATTCTAGTATTCAGAGTGCAAATTCAAGTGACTACAACTCCTTTTTTTCACACATTTAAAAGTTAGTTGAGTTGTCTTCCTTAAGAAGACTGAGTTTTATAATAACTAAAATGCTGTAATACCAAAGGACCTCCCAGAGAGTTTTGTTTTGTTTGTTTGTTGTTGAGGCAGGGGTCTTGCAACATTGCCCAGTCTGTTCTTGAACTCTTGGCTCAAGGGATCCTTCCGCCTTGGCCTCCCAAAGTGCTGGGATTACAGGTGTGAGCTACCATGCCTAGCTTCCCAGAGAGTTTTGAATGAGGGTTCTGAAGGCTGGATGCTAAGTCTCGATTCAGCTATTTTTTCTTTCTTTTTTTTTTTTTTTAGAGACAGTCTCACTCTGTTGCCCAGGCTGGAGTGCAGTGGCACGATCTTGGCTCACTGCAACCTCTGCCTCCCAGGTTCTAGCAATTCTCCTGCCTCAGCCTCTGGAGTAGCTGGGACTACAGGTGCCCACTGCCACGCCTGGCTAATTTTTTGTATTTTAGTAGAGACGGGGTTTCGCCGTGTTGCCCAGGCTGGTCTCAAACTCCTGAGCTCAGGCAATCCACCCTCCTTGGCCTCCTAAAATGCTAGGATTACAGGCGTAAGCCACCATGCCCAACCAATTCACCTATTTTCTAGCAGTGACTTGGATCAATTGCCCAAGCACTAAGCACTTCCATTTCATCAGGCAGAAAAAGAGAATGATCCCACACTCCACCTTCTTCATAGGCCCAGCATGACTTAATCATGATGATGTACATAAAAGCCCTCCAAAAATGGAAAATCCCTATTCTAGAACTGAGTTGTTCTGTGCAATTACATTTTATAACTTTTCTTGAAGTTCTTGTGTAATTCTGCACTCAAATAACTTAAGTCAAATTTTCCTGTTGGAAAAAGCATTAAAGTAAAGGGGCCCCTACATAAAACCATGTGGCGTGTTTTCACATTAGCACTTTTTCGGCTCTTAAAACCTTCAGGTTTTTCACTTTCTCAGCATCACCTCTCTTGTGTACAAACTGCTTTCTTCCAAAAGAACAGCCTGGCATATCAGGGTGGGCTGTTCTGGGCCTTCTTCACAGCTTTCTACCACTTCTCACTTTTGTTCCCAGTTTATTGATCTGGGAACAGTTTTTTAGTACTCCCACTAGCACCAACACATAAAACGTGGGTGAAATGGTGATGCAGTTTGGCTGTGTCCCCACCCGGATCTCATCTTAAATTCCCACTTGTTGCAGGAAGGACCTGGTGGGAGGTAATTGAATCATGGGGGCAGGTCTTTCCCATGTTGTTCTCATGATAGTGAATAAGTCTCACGAAATCTGATGATTTTATAAGGGGAGTTTCCCTGCACAAGCTCTTTCTTTGCCTGCTGTCATCCATGTAAGATGTGACTTGCTCCTCCTTGCCTCCTGCCATGATTATGAGGCCTCCCCAGCCACACGGAACTGTGAGTCCATTAAACCTTCTTCCTGTGTAAATTGCCCATCTTGGGCATGTCTTTATCGGCAGCATGAAAATGGACTAATGCAAATGGCTTTGAGATATAAAAAAGTTTTAAATTACACTAAAGTCACAAGTCAGAGTTCCAATGTCTGTAAACAACAGTGCAGTTCCCATGATCCTGATGAAAACCTGCAGACATCTCTGTATACCGGCTGAGATGGTGCCACCATACAGCAACAGTGTGAGTGCAGTTTCTATCATTCACTCAGCTGCTCAGCTTTGAAATGATTCTTGACCAAAACATTCATTCATTAATTAGCAAAAAAGACTTATTTTTAATTTGAGATGTGAACTATTTCAAAACTTGCTCATAAAGTCAGGTTTGATTAATGTTATTTTATTTCATATTAGTTCCTATTTGCCCAGTTGAAATACACGTAAACACAACCTTGCTGAAAATCACTAGCATGTGGCGGACAGCGCAAAGAAAACAAAACATTTCCCAGGCAATGCTTAGAGCTCCTGATTATTTAAAAGCTCTGAGGGGAAAATAAATTTAAAGTAATGTTTGAAATGACAGTAAACAGGTGGATTTATAAAAATAAAAATATACAATGTTTAAGGTTCATTTATCTCCATACATAAAATAAATAAATAAAAGCCCTCTCTTTACTGAAGAAGACAGAACACACAAATGCAACTCCTTTCCTTTAAGAGACTTCATTAAAATGATAACAAAGGCATTTTTAAAAACAAGTAGGTCCAGATGAGGCGTAGTGGCTCATACCTGTAATTCCAGTACTTTGGGAGGCTGAGACAGGTGGATCACTTGAGGTCAGGAGTTTGAAACCAGCCTGGCCAATATGGCAAAATCATCTCTACTAAAAATACAAAAATTAGCTGGGCGTGGTGGCAGGTGCCTGTAATCCCAGCTACTCAGGGGGCTGAGGCAGGAGAATCGAGTGAACCTGGGAGGCAGAGGTTGCAGTGAGCCGAGAAGGCAACACTACACTCCAGCCTGGGTAACACAGCGAGTCCCTGTCTCAAAAACAAACAAACAAACAACAACAACAAAAAAACAGGTATGTCCAGACAATAATGTAATAATGTGGCAAACTGGAGAAGGCACATTAGCTGATGAGAGCTTTCTCCATGGTTGTGGGTAATGGAAAGCAGTGACGGCCTGGTAGTTGAGGAATTAGGGCAGAGGGGCATTAGACTAGAGTAGAAGGGGCTCCAGCCAAACAAGACTCTGCAGACCCTGGAGAGGGTCTGAAACACCAGGAACAATGGTGGGAACGTACTTGGGCAGAAAATTAAAAATAAGTGTCAATGGAATCTACCCTTTGCCCTGCCTGGCCCCGTGCCATAAGACAAAAACAAAATTGAAAACGAAAGCAAAACCTTTCCTATATCCTGATATTTAAAATTCTGGCAGTGTTTGGTGGCTCATACCTATAATCCCAGCACTTTGGGAGGCTGAGGCAGGAGGATCACTTGAGCCTAGGGGTTTGAGACCAGCCTGGCCAACACGGCGAGACCCCCATCTCTATAAAAAATAAAAAATATTAGCTGAATTTAGTGGCATGCACCTGTAGTTCCAACTACTTGAGAGGATTGCTCCTGGTGGGAGGATTGCGTTAGCCCGGGAGGTCGAGGCTGCAATGAACCATCATTATGCCACTGCACTCCAGCCTGGGCAGTAGAGCAAGACCCTGTCTAAAAAAAAAAATCCACAGAAGGTTGAAGGTAAATTTAATAAAATATCTCAAAAAACAGAATTAAAGAAATATTTAAAATATGAAAAAATATTAAAGGTCTGGAGAATCAAACTGTGAGGTCCCTATCTAAGTGACGGGAGATGCAGACATGACACAGAAAAGTAGAAGGAAGAAAGTGTCGAGGTGGTAACATAAAAATATTTCCCATGCTGCACATGCTGGCATGTGCTTGTGGTACCAGCTGCTTGGGAAGCTGAGGCAGGAGAATCACTTGAGCCCAGTAGTTCTGGGCTACAGTGAGCCATGATCATGCCACCGCACTCTGGCTTGGATGACAGAGTAAGAACCTATCTCTAAAAACATAAAAAAAAAAAATAAAATTAATTTAAAAAATAAAAATAAATCATAATTTTTTCCAAAGTTGAAAGACGCAAAAGGGCTCTCACTAGGTGCCTAGCACAGTAGATGAAAATACCTCATACAGTTCTGTGAGTTGGCTGGGCTCAGCCAGGCAGTTCTCACCTTGAGTGATGGTGCTCCCCAGCCACTGAACCTAAGAAGATAGGGTTTTCCTACCCTGTATTTTCAAGTAATGGGAATCAGAGCCAACTTCATTTTCCAGCCCTCTCCTCCTTACTTACCGCACTCCAGCTGTTACCAGTAGGGAATCTGATGTGTCTGCAGCAGCAACTCTATTCTTCCCTCCTCAGAGGAAAAAATTCGCCCAAGGGGCATAAGGTAGAGTAAGAAACCAAGATAACTTTTAGAGCAGGAGTGAAAGTTTTTAAAAAAGTTTTAGAGAGGAATGAAAGGAAGTAAAGTATACTTGGAAGAGGACCAAGCGGGTGACTTGAGAAATCCCAGTGCACTGTACAACCCTTAATGTGGGGTTTTATATGTTGGCACGGTTCTGGGATTTGCGTTTCTTCTCTCCTGATCCTTCCCTTGGAGCAGGCTGTCCACTTATGCAGTGGTCTGCCAGCACTTGGGAGTGGCCGCACTCACAGTGTGTTTACTGAAGTTGTGCGCGTGCTCATTTGAGGCATTTTTCCCTTGCCAGTCGAGAATTCCTAGAGGAAGGTCATATATTAGTTAAACTCTGACATTTTGCCCCTTAGGGCCCATGCTTGAGCCCACTTGCCCAACTCCTGAGATCTTATCAGGAAGCGGCTGACACTAGCTTCAGGTGTTTTCTATCTATTGGGAGCCGGCCTTTCCCTGGTGCTGGCTGCAACCAATGATGATTTTAGAGAAACAGTGTAACAACCACCTGACCATCACATGATGGTCGCCTGACATTCCTGGTTGGGGGTGGGGGTGGAATGCCCTCTGCTGCCCTTCTCATGTTCCCCTAGCTACCTACTCTAACACAGGTATGTATGCCTTTCTGAACTTTCTTGAATGTGTCAGACTTATTTTAACCCCAAAGACTTTTTTTTGCTATTGCCTTTGACTACAATATGACTTCCCTGTATTTTTGCATGACACATTACTCCTCACAATTCAAGTCACATCTCAAATGTCACCTCCTCAGGAAAGATGTTGTGCTGCTCATCACACCTAAAATAGCAACTTTCAGGTCGGGCACAGTGACTCATGCCTGTGATCCCAGCACTTTGGGAGGCCGAGGTGGGTGGATTACTTGAGGTTAGGAGTTCAAGACCAGCCTGGCGAACATGGTAAAACCCCCTCTCTACTAAAAAGACAAAAATTAGCCGGGCGTGGTGGCAGGTGCCTGCTATCCCAGCTATTTAGGAGGCTAAGGCAGGAGAACTGCCTGAACCCAGAGGTGGAGGTTGCAGTGAGCCAAGATCGCACCACTGCACTCCAGCCTGGGTGACAGAGTGAGACTCTATCTGGAGGGAAAGAAAAAATGCAACTTCTATTCTCCACCTATCCCTTTAGCCTATTTAAATTCTTCATAGCACTTACAATGACCAAATCCTTTTTTTTTCTTTTCTTTATTATCTGTCTCCTCCATGAGAGTAGGGACTTTGTCTTATTCATCATTATACAGATGGTTCTGGAGCCACCCAACAAGTTCTTCTTCCCCACTGCACAGACAAAAATCAATTCACTGAGACCATGGCATTGCAATAGAGAAAGAGTTTAACTGCCGCGAGGCTGAGCCCACGTGGGAGAACTGGAGTTATCCCTCAGATCAGTCTCCCTGTAGGCTCGGAACAAGGGTTTTTATGGACAATTTGGTTGTCAGGGGGTAGGGGGATAGTGCCGCTGATTGGTTGGGGATGAAATCATACCGGTGTGGAAAGCAGTCCTCATGCACTGAGTCTGCCTCTGGGTGGGGCCCCAGGACCTGTTGAGTCATGAGTCATGAGTCTGAGTGAGGTCAGTCTGAAAAACATCTTAAAAAACTCAATCTTGGCTGGGCGCGGTGGCTCACGCCTGTAATCCCAGCACTTTGGGAGGCCCAGGTGGGTGGATCACAAGATCAGGAGTTCGAGACCAGCCTGGCCAAGATGGTGAAACCCCGTCTCTACTAAAAATACAAAAACAAACAAACAAACAAACACCCCAATCTTAAGTTCTACAATAGTGATGTTACTTACAGGAGCAATTGGGAAAGTCACAGATCTTGTGAACTCTGGCCACATGACCCCTGGGCATTAAGGGACTATAGAAACTATGCCTACATTTTAGCAGAGTTCTGCCTTCTCCCATTATCCTATTCCTGTGGCCTTTCATTAGTCTTACAAAGGCGATTTTGGTCCCTGAGAAAGGAGGGGGTTAGTTTTAGGGAGGGACTATTATAATCTTTACTTTCAAATTAAACTATAAATTGAATTCCTCCCAAAGTTAGCTTGGCCTATGCCCAGGAATAACCAAGGACAGCTTGGAGGTCAGAAGCAAGATGAAGTCAACCATGTCACATTTCTGTTACTGTCAGTTCTGCAAAGGCAGTTTCCTTCCCTAACATAACAATAATTTGATGTAGATTTATCATAAGATGGCTCAAAAGAGAGAATGCATTCAGCAGAAACTGTACTTTGAGTATTCAAACAACTATTCTGTTTTTCAAATTCAGTACAGTATTCAATAAATTCTATGAGATTCAACACTTTGTCACAAACTAGGCTTTGTGTTAGGTGATTTTGCCCAACTGTAGGCTAATGCAAGTGTTCTCAGCACGTTTTAGGTAGGCTAGGCTATGCTACTTTAACAGCTACATTGTCTAGAGTATTTATGCTGGGGTTCCTTGTCTCACAATGAGAAAGAATTCAGGACACAGACACACGTGGGTGGGTTAAGAAGTAGAAAACTTAATAGAAGAAAGGAGAGAGAGAGAAGTCCAAAACGGGAGGCGGCGGACCGCAGCAGATTTTATAGGCAGGCTGGAAAAGGTGGTGTCTGATTTACGCAGACCTCATAGATTGGTACCATCAGGTATGACATTTACATAGCCCGCGAGGAAGACTGGCTGCCCCACCCTAATCTTATTATGTAAATGGACTCTCCAGTTGATCAGCACTATCTTGACTGCTCTTTAATACATTGTATGGTGGTCGACAAAGAGAAAGGAAGACAGAGCCACCATCTTGAACACATATAGTCCCTAGCTCCTGCCGGCATTCACCTGTGCAAGCTCCCAGCTTGCTTGTTTATATCTGCAGCTCAACTTTATAGGCTGCTCTTTGTTAAAAAACAATTTGGGGCTGCTTTTCATTAAGGATAAAAGCCTTACCAAGGACTTCCGTACCCTCACTATCTGCCCAAGTAATTTCTTCTTAACTCCCATATCCCTATGTTCAGTAGGTTAGGTGTGTTAAATGCATTTTCAACTTACAATACTTTTAACTTATGAAGAATTTACAGGGAGCACCTGTATCATTAGTGCCTAGAACATACTTGGAATGTTTGTTGAGTGAATGCTGGATCAGAATCTTGGCTGGGCATGATGGTTCATGCCTGGAATCCCAGCACTTTGGGAGGCCGCGGCGGGCAGATCACCTGAGGTCAGGAGTTTGAGACCAGCCTGGCCAACATGATGAAACCCCATCTCTACTAAAAATACAAAACTTAGCCAGGCATGGCGACCCGTACCTGTAATCCCAGCTACTCGGGAAGCTGAGGCAGGAGAATTGCTTGAACCTGGGAGGCGGAAGTTGCAGTGAGCCGAGATCACACTATTGCACTAGAGCCTGGGTGACAAAAGTGAGACTCCATCTCAAAAAAAAAAAAAAGAAAGAATCCATTTCAGGCAGACAATGGAACAATGCTTTTAAATTCCTGATGAAAAATTAGTTTCAGCTCAAAATTCTATATCCAGTCAAATCTTCAACTAAATGGAAAAGAAAAATAAAGACATTTTTTAGACTCATAAAACTAGCTTGCTTTACATCTCTTCTAAGAAAATACCTCAGCAAAACCAGGGCATAAACGAAACAAAAGTTTTAAACATGGAATCCAGAAAGCAATGAGTTTAACCAAGGATGGCAGTAAAGGGAAACCCCATGGTGACAACTGTGTAGCAAGACTGGAATAACAGCTCATCCAAATTGAAGTGGGCAGACACAGGGCCCTGGGATGGAGATCTCTAGGGGAAAAAAAAAGGAGAGCCAGGCATAGTGGCTCACGTCTGTAATCCTAGCACTTTCAGAGGCCAAGACAGGCAGATCGCCTGAGGTCAGGAGTTCAAGACCAGCCTGGTCAACATGGTGAAACCCTATCTCTACTAAAAATACAGAAATTAGCTGGGTGTGGCAGTGGGTGCCTGTAGTCCCAGCTACTCGGGAGGCTGAGGCAGAAGAATTGCTTGAACTCGGGAGGTGGAGGTTGCGGTAGCCAAGATCACGCCACTGCACTCCAGCCTGGGAGACAGAGCAAGACTCTGTCTCAAAAAAAAAAAAAAAAAAAAAAAAGAAAGAAAAAAGAAAAGAAAAGAAAAGAAAAAAAAGGAGGATTTCCATAGAAAAGTGAATTTGATGAAGAGGTTGGAAAAAGTTGACAATATATTTCTTCAAATAGTACCAAAAAAGCAATTAGAAACTGTAGAGGAAAGCAAAAGTATAAAAGAGAAAATGTAATTGGTAATCTTATTGATCACAAGCTCTGTATCAAACAATATTCACAGAGATCCAAAAAGAAAAATATTCCACATTGATTTCCAAATTTGTGAATCAACTTATAGATGAAGAAGAGATGATTTACTTGTGGTTACAGAACAGCCTTGATGATGTTGTGGGGGGACCTGTGATGCACTGTCCAGGGAAAAAAGAAATTATTTTCCCAGTGACTGGAAATGCTGCCAGCAGACAGCTCTCAGCTGTGTGCCCCTTTGCAGACTGCCTCAGCGGAAGAGAGCTGCATAGTGTGAAACTCAGCTGCTTCCTCTGCCCAATCCTGTTTCCTTCCTTTCTGCAATACATCCCCTAACAAACCTCCTGCATGCCAATCTGTTTCGTAGTCTGCTTCCCAGAGAATCCAACCTGTGATAATTGGTACCAGAAGTGGGGTGATCCAAAAAAAACCAAAACAGGAGGACTGGATGTTTGGGGTTGAGTCACCTGCCACCTGGCTATGAGGACACCATCATTGGTGGAAGGTGGCACACAGATTGTCTCTGGCAGAAGGTGATGGTGCAATTACTAAAACTTTTGCTAGTGATGAGCTCAGATGGTACCTTAGTGAAGGAAATGTATTAGCTTGGATGTATCAGGTGCTAGAGACATGAAAGAAATAGTAAGTATAGTGTTATTGCCCAGCTGGATTAACACTTTGGAAAACACTGAGAGCATCAGCAATTGCAGCTAAGTGTCAAAGCCTGAGTGCCAAGCATGCAGCCAGCATGGCCAGAGATTGGTTACAGGAGGATTAGGCAATGACTCCTATTATCAATGATAATAGGAACCAGGGTTCTTACTGTTGAGAAGGAATTTACAAATACGGAAAGAGGATGTATTAGTCAGGTTTTGCAGAGAAACAGAACCAATAGGATATACGTAGATACGTAAGATAAGATTTTTTTGTGGGCCTTGGCTCATGGAATTAGAGAAGATGAGAGGTCCCACGATATGCCATCTGCAGGCTGGAGAACTAGGAAAGCTGGTGGTGTACTGCAGTCGGAGTCCAAAGGCCTGAGTAGCAGGGGAGCAGATGGTGTAACTCCCAGTCCAAGGCCAAAGGCCTAAGAAGCAGGTGGCAGGGTGATGGTGCTGGTATAATTCCTGGAATCTGAAGACCTAAGAACCAGGAGCTCCTATGTCTGAGCTCTAAAAGAAAGAAAACTCTCCTTTAACAACAACAAAAAAGATTTCACTCGGGCTTTCACAATTGAGTAAACATATTTAAATTGTTCTGTATCTCCTAAGTCTCGCAGTTCAAAGTGTGGTCTCTGATCAGTAGCATCACTATTAACTGGGAGCTTGTTAGAAATGTACAATTGGGGCCAGGTGTGGTGGTTCACATCTGTAATCCCAGCACTTTGGGAGGCCAAGGCAGGCGGATCACGGGGTCAGGAGATCAAGACCATCCTGGCTAACACAGTGAAACACAGTCTCTACTAAAAAAACACAAAAAAATTAGCCAGGCGTGATGGCAGGCACCTGTAGTCCCAGCTACTTGGGAGGCTGAGGCAGGACAATGGCGTGAACTCAGGAGGCGGAGCTTGCAGTGAGCTGAGATTGCACCACTGCACTCCAGCCTGGACAACAGAGCGAAACTCTGTCTCAAAAAAAAAAAAAAAAAAAAGAAATGTACAATTGGGGTGGGCCTGGCAGCTTATGCCTGTAATCCCCGCACTTTGGGAGGCTGAGGTGGACGGATCACCTGAGGTCAGGAGTTCGAGACCAGCCTGGCCAATATGATGAAATCCCATCTCTACTAAAAATACAAAAAAAAAAAAAAAAAAAAAAGAAAGAAAGAAAAAGAAAAAAATTAGCTGGGTGTGGTGGCACGCACCTGTAGTCCCAGCTACTTGGGAGGTTGAGGCAGGATAATCGCTTGAACCTGGGAGGCAGAGGTTGCAGTGAGCTGAGATAGTGCCACTGCACTCCAGCCTGGGCAACAGAGCAAAACTCTGTCTCAAAAAAAAAAAAAAAAAATAGAAATGTAAAATTGGAGGCCCATCCCACATCCACTGAATCAGAATCTATATTTTTAACAAGATCCCCAGGTGATGTGAATGCATGTGAAAGTTTGAGAAGCACTGGTTTACAGCATGACTGAGGCATGTGGTCTAGAATTGAGGTTCCAAGTACTTAGCAGGTGTGATCATGTTTACTAACATGCCCTGTTTTGTTGACATGAGAGAGATCATATACTTTTTTTTACTTTAGTGGCTCTTTTTATTCATTTACATATTCTCTTTTTTTTTTTTTTTTTTTTGAGACAGAGTCTTGCTCTGTCGCCAAGCTGGAGTGCAGTGGTGCAAGTTCGGCTCACTGCAACCTCCGCCTCCTGGGTTCAAGCGATTCTTCTGCCTCAGCCTCCCAAGTAGCTGGGATTACAGGTGCCCACACTCAATATTTAATGATTCCAAGTGACACGTTCATGACACTTGCCACAATAAATGCATTACTGATACTCTAACTCAGCCCTGGCTGGACTACACATGGCCACCAAGCCTAGAATTCCCAGCACCCAATCAGATCTGATTTCATCTGAACCCTATGGTGGGCTGCCTTCCCTAGAGGCAACATTGCCAGAACTATTAAAAACTTTTTCCCACGTGAGAATTTGCATGTTTTTCCATTTGATTTGCAAGAGGGCTGGTAAAAGCTGCAGCCTAGTAGGGATGCCATGATACCAGAGGACTCATTCACTCCAAACCTGCCCAATCTCTAACTCATCTCCTGCATCTCTCCTCTCTGCCTGGCATTCACTAAGTCCTGGTTACTACACATCCTTTGCAACTCCTCATTGTCATCCCATTTTAACCAGGAGGGTAATCCAGGGGCTTCATCTCCCAGGAAGGGGGATAGAGTTTATTTAGTTCTCCTCATTATGTCGTTCCCCACTTCATCATCTTGCAACGCTCTTCGTTCCTGATTATTATGTGCAACCACCGTGCTAATCAGTCTTTTCTGTTTAGGGTACAGTTCCTATATTCTGGAACTATCAGGTTGCACGAGTAAGGATTCTTTATTTGTTGGTGCTAGGAAATCTAAAGCAAGTTGGCTTAAGTAGGGAAGAAATGCATCATATGGGTAGTTTTGTTTACAAATAACAAAACAGAACACTTGATGAAGAGTGGTTTAAACAATAAGGACATTGGCCAGGCGTGGTGGCTCACCAGCTACTCGGGAGGCTGAGGCAGAAGAATCGCTTGAACCCCAGAGGTGGAGGTTGCAGTGAGCCAAGATCGTGTCACTGCACTCCAGCCTGGTGACAGAGCAAGACTCCATCTCAAAAAAAAAGAAAAAACAAAAACAAAACAATAAGGACTTTTATTATCTCTGTAACAAGATGTCCAGAGAAAAGGCAGTGGCAGCAGCTTGGTGATGTCATGAGGGACTTGGGTTCTTTCTGCTGGGTAATGTTAATTTGTCCTCGCATGGTCACAAGATGACTGCCATATTTTGAACAACATATGCAGACATGACAACATTTGGCTAAAGAGGAGCACTTCCTCTTAGTGTCTATTTTTATTGTGTAGAAAAATATTTCTCATAAGACCTTCGATAGACTTCTGCTTAATCCCAGTGACATGTGCCACTTTGGGGTTGAGGCAATGAAGCCAATGCACCAATCTTGGCCTGCCTACTTCTAGGCTTCTGGTTTTACAAGAAGAATTGTAACCATTTTGACTAACACACTGTAGTGGGATTTCTCATATACCTAGCTAAATAGACCCTGGCAGAGCCTTTACCCACAAGGCTGGTTACTCTCCATCTGTCCCCATTCCCACCTCAAATGCATCTCCATCTTTCTTGGTCCTGCTCTGCCCAGGGACTGGCCTATAGACTGCATCACACAGGTTCTCTTGCCCTCTGACATCCCGTTGGCCTCAGCCAATGAGAGGTAAAAGCAGGAGAGGAGAGGTTGGAAGGATGAGATCAGGGTATTTCTGCCCTGATTTCCTCTTTGCTTAGTATTGTTGTCCTGGCATGGTGCAAACTCTAGAACCAGAACTCCTGTCTGGTTGCCCCTTCTCCATGGCTTCAGTCTTCATGGGGCTCTGATAACACTGCTTCTTCCTTCAGACCCTCTAGGCCTTGGAGTAGTAATATCTTCCCATGGTTGCTCATCCTGGGTACCTGGATTTGTTTCCTATGGCTGCTGTAACAAATTATCCCAAATTTGCCTACAGTTCATCTTTTTTTATCTTTTGGTTGCTGATGCTTTTGGTGTCATATCTAAAAAAAAAACTATCACCTAACCCAAGGCCACAAAGATTTACAGCTATGTGTTCTTCTAAGAGTTTTATAGTATTAGCTTACATTTAGGTCCAATCCATTCTGTGTTAATGTTTATATATGATGTGAAGGAAGGGTCTAGCTTCACTCCTTTGCCTACAGATATCCAATTGTCCCACTACCATTTGTTGAAAAGACTATTATTTTCCTATTGTCTTGGCACCCTGGTTGAAAATCAGTTAATCAGCTGGGTGTGGTGGTGCATGCCTGTAATCCCAGCACTTTGGGAGGCTGAGGCGGGCGGGTCACGAGGTGAAGAGATCGAGACCATCCTGGCCAACAGGGTGAAACTCTGTCTCTACTAAAAATACAAAAATTAGCTGGGCATGGTGGCACGCGCCTGAGGTCCCAGCTACTCAGGAGGCTGAGGCAAGAGAATTACTTGAACCTGGGAGGCGGTGGTTGCAGTGAGCCAAGACTGTGCCACTGCACTCCAGCCTGGCAGCAGAGAGAGACTCTGCCTCGAAAAAAAAAGAAAAGAAAAGAAAATCAGTTAACCATAAATGATATGTCTGGACTTTCAATTCCATTCCTTTGATCTATATGTCTATCCTTATGACAATACCACACAGTTTTGATTATACAGCTTTGTATTAAGTCTTGAAATTAAGAAGTCTGAATCCTGCCAAATTTGTCCTTCTTTTTCAAGATTGTTTTGGCTATTCTGGGTCCCTTGCATTTCCATATAATTTTTTTTTTTTTTAAACAAGGTCTTGCTCTGTCATCCATGCTGGAGTGCAGTGGCATGATCATAGCTCACTGCAGCATCAAATTCCTGGGCTCAAGCGATCATCCTGTTTCTACCTCCTGAGTCAGTGGGACTGTAGGTGTGCACCACCATGCCTGGCTAATGTTGATTTATATATACTTTGTAGAGACAGGGTCTTGCTTTGTTGTCCAAGTTAGTGTCAAACTCCTGGCCTCTAGTGATCCACCTGCCTTGGCCTCCCAAAGTGCAGGGATTACAGGTATGAGCCACCACACCTGGCTCCCCACATGAATTTTAGAATCAGTTTAATGCCTGTCTTCTGGTGATACCCTGGAAGGCAAAGGCAAGTACCTGAATTATCTGTGTGCCCTGCTGTGCTTTGTAGGGTGTCTAGCCTATGAGTACACCTCAAATATTTTTATTTATTTATTTATTTAGAGATGGAGTCTCACTCTGTCACCAGGCTGGAGTGCAGTGGTGCACCATCTTGGCTCACTGCAACCTCCGCCTCCCCGGTTCAAGCAATTCTCCTGCCTCAGCCTCCTGAGTAGCTGAGACTACAGGCGCACGTCACCATGCCCAGCTAATTTTTTGTATTTTTAGTAGAGATGGGGTTTCACCATGTTGGCCAGGATGGTCTCGATCTCTTGACCTCATGATCCACCCTCCTCGGCCTCCCAAAGTGCTGGGATTACAGGCATGAGTCACCGCGCCCGGCCCTCCCTCAAATACTTTTGAATTGAATGAGTTATTTCAGGGTTTTTTTGTTGTTGTTGTCATTGTTTGTTTTTTGAGATGGAGTTTTGCTCCTGTCACCCAGGCTGGAGTGCAGTGGCATGATCTCGGCTCACTGCAAACTTCGCCTCCCAGGTTCAAGTGATTCTCCTGCCTTAGCCTCCTGAGTAGCTGGGATTACAGGCGCCCACCACCACGCCTGGCTAATTTTTCGTATTTTTAGTACAGACGGGGGTTTCATCATGTTGGCCAGGCTGGTCTTGAACTCCTGACCTTGGGTGATCCACCCACCTTGGCCTCCCACAGTGCAGGGATTACAGGCGTGAGCCACTGCACCTGGCCTATTTCAGGTATTTTTGTGTGGAGCTTGGAATGAACTTTTGAGAGGTGACAGCGTGCTGGCAGCCCTCGCTCGCTCTTGGCACCTCCTCGGCCTCAGCGCCCACTCTGGCCGGCTTAAGGAGCCCTTCAGCCCGCCGCTGCGCTGTGGGAGCCACTTCCTGGGACCGAGGCCAGAGCCGGCTCTCTCAGCCTGCGGGGAGGTGTGGAGGGAGAGGCACGGGGGGAACCGGGGCTGCACGCTGTGCTTGCGGGCCAGCTAGAGTTCCCTGTGGGCGTGGGCTTGGCAGGCCCGCACTCGGGAGTGGCCGGCTGCCCTGGGCAGTGAGGGGCTTAGCACCTGGGCCCGCAGCTGTGGTGGGTTCGCGGGGTCCCCCAACAGTGCCAGCCCACCAGCGCTGTGCTCCATTTCTCGGCGGGCCTTAGCTGCCTCCCCGCAGGGCAGGACTCAGGACCTGCAACCCGCCATGCCTGAGCCTCCCCCTGCCACCGTGGGCTCCAGCGTGGCCCGAGCCTCCCCGATGAGCGCCGCCCCCTGCTCCAGGGTGCCCGATCCCATCAACTGCCCAAAGGCTGAGAAGTGGGGTGCAGGGCGAGGGACTGGCAGGCAGCTCCACCAGCCACCCTGGTGCGGGATCCACTGGGTGAAGCCAGCTGGGCTCCTGAGTCTAGCGGGGACTTGGAGAACCTTTATGTCTAGCTAAGAGATTGTGAATACACCAATCAGCACTCTGTATCTAGCTCAAGCTTTGTAAATGCACCAATCAGCACTCTGTGTCTAGCTCAAGGTTTGTAAATGCACCAATCTGCGCTCTGTGTCTAGCTGATTTGGTGGGGACTTGGCGAACGTTTATGTCTAGCTAAGGGATTGTAAATACACCAATCGGCACTCTGTATCTAGCTCAAGGTTTGTAAATGCACCAATCAGCACTCTGTGTCTAGCTCAGGGTTTGTAAATACACCAATCAGCACTCTGTATCTAGCTAATCTAGTGGACAGGTGGAGAACTTTTGTGTCTAGCTCAGGGATTGTAAACGCACCAATCAGCACCCTGTCAAAATGGACCAATCAGCTCTCTGTAAAACAGACCCATCGGCTCTCTGTAAAATTGACCAATCAGCAGGATGTGGGTGGGGCCAGATAAGAGAATAAAAGCAGGCTGCCCTAGCCAGTAGTAGTAACCCACTCAGCTCACTTTGCACACTGTGGAAGCTTTATTTTTTCGCTCTTTGCAATAAATCTTGCTGCTGTTCACGCTTTGGGTCTGCACTGCTTTTATGAGTTGTAACACTCACTGTGAAGGTCTGCAGCTTCATTTCTGAGGCCAGCAATACCACAAACCCACCGGGAGGAACGAACAACTCCAGACACGCCGCATTAAGAGCTGTAACACTCACCGTGAAGGTCTGCAGCTTCACTCCTGAGCGAGTGAGACCACGAACCCACCAGAAAGAAGAAACTGCGAACACATCTGAACATCATAAGGAAAAAACTCCGGACACATCACCTTTAAGAACTGTAACACTCACTGCGAGGGTCCGCGGCTTCATTCCTGAAGTCAGTGAGACCAAGAACCCACCAATTCTGGACACACTTTCACCTGGAAGAACGCTAAGTATTCCATTACAGAACACTGAGCTACAAGCAACAACTATGAAACAATGACCTGGTTTAAACCATGATTTATGGCTTACTTTACAGGGAGTCTGGAGGCATGTGGTTGATTCAGCAATTCAGCCATGTCCATCTTTGCTCTCCAGTGTCTCCAGCACTCTAGTCTTTCCTCATGCTTGTCACCTCGTGAGTACCAGATGCTGCCAATATGGCAGGCTCCACATTTTTTCTTTCAGACGTTGTTTCATTCTTGTCACCCAGGCTGGAGTGCAATGGCGCGATCTCTGCTCACTGCAACCTCCACCTCCCAGCTTCAAGCAGTTCTCTTGCCTCAGCCTCCCGATTAGCTGGGATTACAGACACGCACCATTATGCCCGCTAATTGGCAGGTTCCCCATTTCTTATGCCAGCCATCTCAAAGGGGGTAGGGGGTCAAGGGTTTTCTTTTCAGGAAGGTTTGTATTCCATCCAGTTGGGAAACCCTTTCACATCTCACGGACCCAGGTTGCATCACATGACCCTTGACCAGTCACTGGGGAAGGGGAATGACATTACCGTGACCTGGTTAGAGTGATCACGTTTCATCTAAGGAAGTAGGCACACACGTCCCCTTCAGGAAATACAGATAAGCAGGGATGGGTGAGGTAGTAGCTGTTGGACAGCAATGAACAGTGCCTAACTTAAGTTTAGTAGACATGATGCACAAAATGGAATATTTGTAGGTTGTGTAATAACCCAACTTATAATATTGGTCTTTTGAGAAAATGTGTTCTTAGCACCAAAGACAACTTTTGGGAAACAATACTCGAATACAATCCAAAATGCACGGAGTGAAATTCATACATTTATCTTTCAAAGTATACTTAACATAATTCCATCTTTCTTGGGCCCTTCAGGAGGTATTCTTAGAATCTTCTAGTTTGAGAATCAGAATCAGGCTGTGCCTGGTGGCCCATGCTTGTAATCCCAGTACTTAGGGAGGCCGAGGTGGGCGGATCACTTGAGGTCAGGAGATGGGGTTGCAGTGAGCCAAGATAGTGCCACTGTACTCCAGCCTCGGCAGAGCAAGGTCTTAAAAAAAAAAAAAAAATCAAATGTGAACATAGACTGTCATTAAAATCAACCCAACAATCCCATAGACTGTTTACTATTTTTTTAATAAACTTAGAAATTATCATTTCTAGTCTTAAGGTTGAAACTTACCTTTGTTTTATCTGAGTTCCTTCCTCAGGAAAGGACCTCCAGAGCCTCTCAAAAAGTATCAAAAAACTGAAACTCGCCATATCACCGCATTCCAGACAATGAGATGCCAAGCCCCTCATGCATCCCCATAGCTTCCTTCCCCCTCCCGAGTTCCTCTTTTCCCATACATTGTTACATTGCTTCCCTGCAACTGTATAAACCCTTAATTTTAGTTGGTCAGGGCAATGGATTTGAGACTGAGCTTCCAACTCCCTGAGTGCAGCACCCTACTAAAGCCTTCTTCCTTGGTAATAATGGTTTTCTCAGTGATTTCTGTGAGGGGGCAGCGGGTCCTAGAACAAAACCCTGGTGCTCTGGTGACATTCTGTTGTAGATATTTAGAAGGATGTTTACCTGTTAATTTGTTCTGCTATCCTCACAAAAAATGGTATTGCCAGCTGCACATAAATATTTGATTCATCCACCCACCCCTGTTCCCCACCCCCCCGACCCCAGCCATGATGGCACAGGGAAACTGAGGTCGCAGGTGAGCAGCAGACCGCGTCTGGACTCCACATCCCGCGCTCATCCTGCTCCACAGCAGGAAGCTCGTTCAACACACATGGACTGCGTGCCCATGTGGGTGCCAGGCTGCGGCTGTGTCCTGGGCAGGCAAAGGGACCTAGGGAAGATGCAGGTCCAGGAGGGTGGGAAAGTAGGGGCAGAAAACCAAGATTCTCACAGCCCTGCAGTGTGGAGTAAGAGCTCATTACACCTCTTGTCAAGGGAACAAAGGATCCCCGCCAGGCCCCTCTTGTGCACCCAGCGGTCCCCCCAGGCGCCTTGGAGACCCGGCCGGGCCCGTCGCCGGCCTCCAGCCACAGGCGTCGCTGTGCGCTCGCGCGGGCCCGGGAGCCGCGTTCCGCCGGGAGCAGGCGCTGGCGCAGAGCAGGGGTTTCAGTTTCTGGCGCGAACTTCCGCCGTTCCGAAGTTGCACGGTGAATTGGCGCTATGTCTGGGGACAGCAGCGGCCGCGGGCCAGAGGGCCGGGGCCGGGGCCGCGACCCGCATCGGGATCGCACCCGCTCCCGCTCCCGCTCGCGGTCCCCTTTGTCGCCCAGGTCCCGCCGCGGCTCTGCGCGGGAGCGCAGAGAGGCCCCAGAGCGCCCGAGCCTGGAGGACACAGAGCCGTCGGATTCCGGGGACGAGATGATGGACCCGGCCAGCTTGGAGGCGGAGGCCGACCAAGGCCTGTGCCGCCAGATCCGCCATCAGTACCGGGCGCTCATCAACTCCGTCCAACGTAAGGCGGCGCCTCCGGGCGGCGCGGGCCCGGACGGGCCGCTGTCCCCGCCCTGCGCCGGGCGCGGGGGGAGGGCACCGGAGGCAGGTGCCGGGCGGAGGCCCGGCGCGGCGTTAGTAGAGACGCGCCGGGTGCCAGCCCCTCGCCGCACCTTAAATTGTTGACAAAGTGCTCCCACTTTGTGGCTGGAGCCGTACGACCTTGGCGCGGGTCCCCGAGTGGCGGGCTGGAAAAGCTGGAGGCCAGAGCCGTTCGCGGACTCGCCCGAGCCCAGCCAGCCAGTGGGGAGAGGCAGGACGCGGACTCCGCGTGCTTTGATTGCGCCCGGCAGTCCTCGGCGTGGGCTCCCGGCCTCGCAGCGGCAGCTGCAGCTGCAGCGGCACGCGAGAGCTGTCAAATGCACGTTCTCGGACCCCACCCGGACCCGCGGAATTCGAATCTCTGGGTGGGTCCGCGCAACTGTGGAGTGGCCCTCCAGGTGATGGTGTGTATTGCTTGCAAAGTTTGAGAACCACTCAGTTATGGAGCACTCAGAGGCTGCAGCCGGAGTCCAGCCCTTTGGGTTAAGGTTAGAGGGAGCTAGGGTTTCCTTTTAAAATTCATGCTGCATAAAGGGTAGGGTGGCCTTTCTCCTTTTCCGGGTCATTTTGGTTAAAAAGATAAAGATGTTCGAAGTAATTACTCAGAGCGCAGGGGCCGGGGCTTGGCTTTACTGTTGCAGGTGATAACCTTGTCAACTGCTTATTAGTGAATGCTGAACAAATTTCCCAAAGTTTGTATTTTTAAAAATAGAAAACCGTGAGGACATACTGAATGCCGGTGACAAATTAACAGAGGTCCTTGAAGAGGCTAACACTCTGTTTAATGAAGGTAATTTGTTATTTTATATGTTATTTCGTGTTTTATGATACTTTTAATTAGTGTTACATAAGCGCCAAATTATTGACATAAAACAATTCCCACATTTGTAATAGTGCTTTCCCAGTTCGGGAACCGTTTCATTATAGCAATAATGCCATTTTTATTATGCACTTACCATATAATAAGGGCTTTACATGAAAATTTGGGGGTAGGTTCCGCAGTCTGTGTTAAGCCCCCAGTTGATTCTGTTGCCTCTTCAAGTTTGAGAACGTTACATGTGTTATCTTGTTTCTTTTTCTTGTGTTTACTGCCGTATCCCTAGTATACATTGGTTGAGTGGATGAATTACAGAACTGAGCTAGCCTCTGAAATCCTGTTTCTTTTCCTGTCCCATTCTGTTTTGCCTTCCTCAGCTCCCTGCTATTGGTCCACGTGTAACACAATGGAGGTGGCAAAGCCTGCAAGTGTACCTGCTGGTCTCCAGTCTGGGGTGTGTTGTGTGTGAGTGAGTGAGTGAGAGAGATCCCAGAGCACTGAACTCTAGGCCATGGGTGCTTTAAAAAATAACCTTAGTTTGAATTGAAAGCAGAGGCAGTGGTATTGGTAGCAGCTGTCTGTCTGCTTGGTGACAGAGGGGTACTCCCTGATGTGGGTACTTGGTCATAGAGCCACAGGACTACTACCCAGACCACTGTCCCCTCCAGCCCTCTCTGACGGGTCTGTGGGAACATAGGGGAGAATGCAGCCAAATATATCCTTTTTTTTTTTTTTTTTGAGGTTTGAGATGGAGTCTCTGTTGCCCAGGCTGGAGTGCAGTAGCACAATCTCGGCTCACTGCAACCTCCACCTCCCAGGTTCAAGCAATTCTCCTACCTCAGCGTCCCGAGTAGCTGGGATTACAGGTGTGCTCCATCACACCCAGCTAATTTTTGTATTTTTAGTAGAGACGGGTTTCGCCATGTTGGCCAGGCTGGTCTCGAACTCCTGACCTCAGGTAATCCACCTGCCTCCGCCTCCCACAGTGCTGGGATTACAGGCATGAGCCACCGCCCCCGGCTGGTTCCTCATATTCTTAAAGGACTAGAACGTATATTTTTAGTCATTGCTGAGGATGACTAGTTCTTTAAATGTCTCCTTTTATCACTTTATATATGCTCTCCAATTTCTTTGACCACAGCCTCCTTACCATTCCCCATCTTAGTCTACCGCATTTGCTAACTCTCATCAAAACCTTCAGGAACCGGGTGTTTCTCCTTCACCTGGTTAAATCCCTCTACTACCCTCTTAAGTTTTGTCTTCCCTTCGCAGCCTGGACTCCCAGTCTCCTTACTGTTAGTCTTGCTTGACTTGACTCAATTACTCCCTTGATATTTACTGTGCATCTAGTCAGTTCTTTATCCCCACATCATTCCCCCCTCAGCTATTTCCAGTATTTAAAGCAATATTTTAGAGCAAAATTATTCACTCATTGGAGCCCTAGGAGTTGCTCAGCAAACAACAGATGCTGGCATTCATGGATTTGATGGTCTCAGTTTGTAAAATAAATAAATAAATGAAAGGGGAAGGGAGTGGGGCAGGCAGGCACAGGATACTCATGGGAGATAAAGAAGGGATCAACAAAAGGAAACAGCGGGGCTGAGGGGGTTGCTTAATCAGACCCTGCAGGCAACAGAGAGTATGAAAAATAGTCTGGGAACACCTACACCTGTCGCCCAGGCTGGAGTGCAGTGGCATGATCTTGGCTCACTGCAACCTCTGCCCCCCCCAGGTTAAAGCTATTCTCCAGCTTCAGCCACCCGAGTAGCTGGGATTACAGGTGTGCACCACCATGCCCAGCTAATTTTTGATTCTTTAGTAGAGATGGGGTTTCACCACGTTGCCCAGGCTGGTCTCAAACTTTGGAGCTCAAAGTGATCCGCCTGCCTCGGCTTCCCAAAGTGTAGGGATTACAGGCATGAGCTGCTGTGCCCAGCCTGTTTCTGCATTAATTTAAATCTTTTTTTTCCATAGCTTTTCTTAAATCCCATGTCCTCTGTCAAGCCTTTTTTGAGTATCCGTCCTCGGGTCACTACCTGCTACCTGTAGACTGTTCATTTGGGTGGCTTTGCTGGGGTTGCCTGTGAAGCCATACAGAGGCATGAGCCTCCTAGTGCCAGCCTAGCACATGCCATGATTTTGGTTAGCAACTTTAGCAACTTACCTATTGCTTAGCAGCTTACCTATTGCTGTTCACAAACCACCATGCCAAGCACAGGGCCCTACATGTAGTGGGAATTTGATTTTCCTTACGTCAGCACACATGATCATCGTGATTAGGATGGAGGGAAAAGTGAGTATTAGACATGACGGGTTTTGCTCAACTGGAGTTATTTAAGAGATTGTGATTCAGCTAACAGTAGGAGAACTAGACAGAAAGCTGGCTTTTAGGAAGACTGGTCAGCTTTCATTAGAGATTTTGGTGAGTTGGGCACAGGAGAAAGTTTTTTTTTGTTTTTGTTTTTGTTTTGAGACAGCCTCTTGCTCTGACACCCAGGCTGGAGTGCAGTGGCGCGATCTTGGCTTACTGCAAGCTCTGCCTCCCGGGTTCACGCCATTCTGCCTCAGCCTCCCAAGTAGCTGGGACTACAGGCGCCCGCCACCACGCCCTGCTAATTTTTTGTATTTTTAGTAGAGCTGGGGTTTCACCGTGTTAGCCAGGATGGTCTCGATCTCCTGACCTCGTGATCCGCCCGCCTTGGCCTCCCAAAGTGCTGGGATTACAGGCTTGAGCCACCGCACCTGGCCAGGAGCACGTTTTAGAAGGAGATGTGTCAGTTGCCTATTGAGATTTTTTTTTTTTTTTAGTCCAGTGGGAAATCCTGGTAAGTAGTTGGAAATGTAGGGAAAAAGTCTATGGATAATGTGTATTTTGTAATGTGAATATTTTCTTTCTTTTTTGAATAGTGTCCCGAGCAAGAGAAGCAGTCCTGGATGCCCACTTTCTTGTTTTGGCTTCAGATTTGGGCAAAGAGAAAGCAAAGCAGCTGCGCTCAGACCTGAGCTCCTTTGACATGTTAAGATATGTTGAAACTCTAGTAAGTTCAAAGCTACAGACTCTGAATAAAAAATGTTCTGTTATATATTATAATTATTTACTGTGCTCATATCCATATGCAGATGATTTCACTTCATTCTTCTTTTTTGGTCTCAGATTCCTCTGTAGAGATCTTACCAATTTAAACAGACGAAAGTAGAACCATGTGGTGGAATCTTGGGTGGGGGCTTGGAGTAAAAATCTCGTAGCATTCTGTCTTAAGATGCTGGGTGCTATGGTCATTTGCCAATGGCCATTTTTCCTCTGTTCACTGGTGTTCTAGATCATTCTCAGTGACCTCAGACCTTTGTCCTGGGCTGGACAAAAGCCCACTCTGCGATGGCAGAGCTCAGCTGGAATTGAGTTAGGCCTGGCGAGAGGGCATGTTTTGGTCTGTCTTTGAGAATATTTCAAAACCATGTGAATATGATTGGGTTTTGCTTTTTTTTTTTTTTTTTTTTTTCCTTTGAGACAGAGTCTCGCTCTGTCGCCCAGGCTGGAGTGCAGTGGCGTGATCTCGGCTCACTGCAAGCTCTGCCTCCTGGGTTCACGCCATTCTCCTGTCTCAGCCTCCCAAGTAGCTGGGACTACAGGCGCCTGCCACCACGCCCGGCTAATTTTTTGTATTTTTAGTAGAGACGGGGTTTCATCATGTTAGCCAGGATGGTCTGGATCTCCTGATCTCGTGATCTGCCCGCCTTGGCTTCCCAAAGTGCTGGGATTACAGCCGTGAGCCACCTAGCCCAGCCAGGTTTTGCTTTTTTGGTTTTATGTTTTATTCACCTTTCTTTGTCTCTTGACAAGTTTGAATAGTGGTTACCTGCAATTCTAAAACTGTTCCTTGATGAATTTACCAAAAAAGAAAAAGCACACAGAGACTGACCTTGTATCTCACTTTGTTGTCTTTTTAAAAAATTCTATTCTGGCTGGGGGCAGTGGCTCACGCCTGTAATCCCAGCACTTTGGGAGGCTGAGGCGGGTGGATCACCTGAGGTCAGAAGTTTCAGACCAGCCTGGCCACCATGGTGAAAGCCCGTCTCTACTAAAAATAGAAAAATTAGCTGGGTGTGGTGGCAGGCGCCTGTAATCCCAGCTACTCGGGAGGCTAAGGCAGGATAATCCCTTGAACCCAGGAGGCAGAAGTTGCAGTGAGCCGAGATCGCGCCACTGCACTCCAGCCTGGGCTACAGAGTGAGACTGCACCTCAAAATCAATCAATCAATCAGTCAATCTGTCAATCTGAGCCAACCTCTGTCCTAGCACAGATAGCTGCACCTCAGTATGAATATTGCATTTCTAACTGGATGTTTATGTTAAATGGTTATTAAAATAATTTAGTACTATGAGATCTGATCAGATAATTTTTTTGTAAAGGCATGAGGCACCAGATTATTTCCAGTTTGTTTTTCAAACCTTTTCCTTTTTTTTTTTTTTTTTTAACTTTTTTTTATTGTGAAACATAATGCACTTAGGAAAGTGCACTGTAATATAGAGGTCAATAAAGTAACCATGTATTGGGTATTTCTTTAAAAATTACTTTATCAGGTTAAGCTCTATTTTTTTATTTTTTGAGACAGAGTCTTGCTCTTGTTGCCCAGGCTGGAGTGTTGCCCATGCTGGAGTGTTGCCCAGGCTGGAGTGCAGTGGCACGATCTCAGCTCACCGCAACCTCCACCTCCTGGGTTCAAGCGATTCTCCTGCCTCAGCCTCCCAAGAAGCTGGCATTACAGGTGCCTGTCCCCACGCCTGGCTAATTTTTAGTAGAGGTGGGGTTTCGCCATGTTGGCCAGGCTGGCCTCGAACTCCTGACTTCGTGATCCACCCGCCTGGACTTCCCAAAGTGCTGGGATTACAGGCATGAGCCACCGTGCCCGGCCAAGCTCTGTACTTTAAATAACATATCAAAATAAATTCTGGAAGTCTTAAAGCATTAAATATAAAACCTTAAATTAATAGTTGTCCAGTCTCTGGGTGGAGAAGACTTTCGTATGTATAGCATCAAATATAGACACTATAAGGAAAGATTGGTGGATTTCTCTGTCAGTTAAACAGACCAAAACTGCCACGTCTGCCTACAAGGGTGCAGTGGTAGTTCGGGCGGCAAGGGAATGGAGAAGAGCTGGCCATAGCGCTCTGACCAGGCTCTTGTAGCCTTTCTTTTCTTTAAAGTCTGATTGCCTTTAATAGGGTTAAGCTCCCTGAGGGTTTTGTGATTATTGTTTATATATGATATTGCCATCGTAATTGGATAACTTCTAGGCATTTTACAGTATAATGTAATAAAAATGTACTTTCATAAAAGTAAATTCAATATAACACATTTTCTGTAAGACAGTTTGAGATGAGAGAATTATTTGACTTCCGCCAACTCTTCCCAGGAAGGCAATTTTAAGATGAGCCATTCTCTCAGTGATGCCGGGCCACTGCTCTCTGGATATACTGAGATACAAGCTGAATAGAGATTTGTAGGAGGTTGGCAAAAAATTAAAATCTGAAAACCAGCTGAACTTCCTTGTGCTGTCTTGAAGCTTTTGATTTGGGATTTAATTTTATATTTATATGTTAGTGCAGCTTTACTAATACACGAACTATTGGTGATACAAAAAATCCCAGGGGGCTGAGTTCTGGCATACCTAAATACTTCTGGCTGCCAGTGGGCTACAGCAGGGTTTCTCAGCACTGGCACTATGGATTGGCATTTTGAGCTGGGCATGTCTTTGTTTTGGGGGCTGTTACTGTGCATTATATGATATTCAACAGCCTCCATGGCCTCTACCCAGTATATGCCAGCAGCATATCAGTTGTGACACCCACAAATGTCTCCAGGTATTGCCAGAAGACCCCTGTGGGCACGTATACCCAGGTTGAGAACCACTGGTCTAAATCATTTCACTTTCTCACCCAAAGGTTTTAAGTACATTGAGGAATGTTTTCTGCCAAAAAGAAGGTAGCTTTGGAAGCAGGACTTTAACTGTAAAGTTATCTTCACAGTAAGAAATTTAGCCAGCATGTTAAGACACTGAAAGCTGGCTTTGCGTCTGGCCTCTTAAAGGTTGAGTGATGCGGATTATTGGATGTGGAAAATGATTGCATGTGGCTTAACTGGGTTTTTTGTTTTCCTTCATTTTTGTAGCTCACACATATGGGTGTAAATCCGCTAGAAGCTGAAGAACTCATCCGTGATGAAGATAGTCCTGATTTTGAATTCATAGTCTATGACTCCTGGAAGATAACAGGCAGAACAGCAGAAAACACCTTTAATAAAACCCATACATTCCACTTTCTGTAAGATTATTTTAAAAATCCAACAGACCAGTTATTTGTGAACCTTAAATTGCTTTTTCTTGTAGGGACAAAGATTATTTGGTATTGTAGAGGTGACAGTCATGATGCCGTTGTTTGGAGACTTTTGAAACTTTGATATGAAAGTTCATAAACACTAGGCCGGGTGTGGTGGCTCATGCCTGTAATCCCGGCACTTTGGCAGGTGGATGCAGGTAGATCATCTGAGCTCAGGAATTCAAGATCAGCCTGGGCAACATGGCGAGAACCCATCTCTACCAAAAATACAAAAAATTAGCCCGCTGTAGTGGCCCATGCCTGTGGTCCTGGCTACTTGGGAGGCTGAGGTGGGAGGATCACTTGAGCCTGGGAGGCAGAGATTGCAGTGAGCTGAGATTGCGCCATTGCACTCCGGCCTGGCTGACAGTGAGACCCTGTCTCAAAAAAGAAAAAAAAGTCCATAAACTCTAGATGTGGATGGAACCTTAAAGGATCTCTCATTCTGCTTTAGCAGAAAAGGCCAGAACCTCTTTACCAGTGCTCTCCTGGCTCCTTTGCTTCTAGCTCATGAGACTCTGGGTTTATCATCTTTAAAATCCTTATCATATAGGAGGATGATACCTCCTACTGAGGGTATCTTATGAGTCTCCCAACGTCTAAAGTGACATTTATTATAATACCCTGTTAGATGACCACTGACTTGTATTTGAAGATTACTTGTCACTGCCACATAAACTGTCCAGTTCATTTTTTAGATAGAACTCTGATTTAAAAAAAAGATTTCTTTATATTTGAATGAAGTTGGCTTCTGTCTTAACTTCCTGGCATGGTCCTATGGAGAAATTAAGAACAGCTCTTACTGGCTCTTCTCTAAGAGGACCTTCAAGTATACTGGTTTTGTTGCCCAGTAAATACTTTAGGGTAGCCATCTGAGTTGTTCAGTCCTTCTTTAAGTGGTATAGCTCCTGGGCTTTTGTCTTTTCTAATTTGTCTTTCTAAAAACCATTGAGATTGATAGTAGCTCGGGTAGAAGGCCTTGGAGATGCCAATGTAGTAGTGTGGTGTGGGGTCTGGCATCTATTTTTAATAAGACTTCAGGTAACTCAGGTGCCCAGAGCCATTTGTGTATGTTCTATTTAATAGGATGTAGTCCAAACTTCTTCATCTTAGGATAAAGTCTAAATCTTTGTTTTTTGCTATTGTACTAAACTCATAAATCCTAGGTTATAAAGATAAAGCCTTAAACTTTATCTCATCATCCAGCCCAATTTCCAGCCACAATGAAGTACTTAAAACTCTGTGTCTTTGTACTTGCTGTTCTCTTGGCCTCCAATTCCTTTTCATCTTTTCCATTCGGTAAAGTTTGTTTATCCCACAGGCCCCATCTTGGAAGCCTCCAGCAACTTCTCCAGACAGAGGTGTTAGCAGTGTAGGATCAGATTTCTCAACCACGTCACTCCCATGTCTGGGTAGATATCTCTGCCCAAGTGTTCTCATAGCACTTGAGCAGTACTCTCTAAGCGCCCAGGATCTACCATGTTGCTTTTTTAAAATTTGATTAATTTATTTTTTTATACTGCTCCTTGTGGAGCAGGAGTGTTCCCAGAGTAGCCCACCATGTTATATTGAAATGGATCTGTGTGCATAATGCAGCTGTCCATCTACATCGTATATTTTTGTCTCCTCAAGGGTAGGGACCACATGAGCCTTATTCTTGGGGCTTTGATCTCTACATGATGCAGACTTACATCTATTACTGTAACCCAAGTCTGCATGAGGGCAGAATCCAGAAGGAAAAGGAATCCCATGGCTGTGACTTGCCCTGTTATCCTAAGACAGATGTGTTCTGTAGTCCTGGGCTGGGAGCCTCTGCCTTGGCCTCCCCAGATCAAAGTCTTCTGACCCCACTGGAGCTTCCCCACATACATGTTCATCCTTCCCCTGCTCTTAGAAGTTGGCTTTGCAAAACAATAGGTTGGGTGGTGGGAAGATGTCACAGGCATATTCACTGGCCTACTTTACAGGGCAGTATGTAGGTGTCTGAGGAGGTATCTGTGGTTGAGTAAAGCTCCTAGGAGTTCTTTTAGAAATACAAAGAAGGCAGAAAGGCTGTCACAAACCTTATCAAGAGTCTTACTCTGATGTCAGCTTGTATATCACTGATGTCTGGTCTGAATTTGACTATACCATGCAAACTACTTTTAGTTAGTAAAGTTAGTTTGTTTAACAAACAACAGGCAAAAAAAATAAATGAAAGCATACTTTTCATTAGGTTGGGTTCAATATACGGAGAGTGCCCTGTGCCAAAGCCACGAGTTGATCGTCCAAGAAAAGTTCCTGTGATACAAGAGGAGAGGGCAATGCCTGCCCAGGTTTGTTTTAAAATGTTGCTTTTAAAAAAACACATTAAAGTTAAAATAGCTGTTAAAATAATGTGCATGCAATTTGGCCATTTTTTCTAAGTGTGCGGGTCTGGAGCCAGGTTTTGTCACTTAAATAATCATTTTATTTAAGCCTTTAAGCATTTTATTGGATTGGCTGCTTGTCTTTGTTTTAACTCATTTCTCTAGTTTTGATCAGTTCTCCGAAGCCAGGGTCAACCTCAGCACTGTCAACATTTACGGCTGGATAATGTTGGTTTGGGGAGCTGTCCTGCGCATTGTAGGATGCTTAGCGGCATCCCCAGCCTCTACCTGTTATATGCTAATAGCCCCCCCGACCCCTGAGTTGTGACAACCAAAAATGTCTACATGTGACAACAAATGTTCCCTGGGGAGGTGGGGGGAAAGTCACACCCACTCGAGAACCACTGTTTCTAAACCGCCCTTTTGTATTTTGCTATTTTATGTTCAACCTGAAAATGGTTAATCTGGTAATGTTACTATTCTATTAAGAAATTGATATGAAAATGTTACTGAGGCCAGGCACAGTGGCTTACGCCTGTAATCCCAGCACTTTGGGAGGCCGAGGCGGGCAGATCACAAGGTCAGGAGTTCGAGACCAGCCCGGCCAATACGGGGAAACCCCGTCTCTACTAAAAATACAGAAATTAGCTAGGTATGGTGGCAGGTGCCTGTAGTCCGGGCTATTCGGGAGGCTGACGCAGGAGAATTAGGAATCTAGGAGGCAGAGGTTGCACTGAGCCGAGATCATGCCACTGTACTCCAGCCTGGGCGACAGAGCGAGAGTCCGTCTCAAAAAAAACAAAGGTTGCCCGAGTGTGGTGGCTTACGCCTGTAATCCCAGCACTTTGGGAGGCCAAGGCGGGCAGATCCACCTGAGGTCAGGAGTTAGAAACCAGCCTGGCCAACATGGTGAAACCCTGTCTCTACTAAAAAGTACAAAAAATTAGCCAGATGTGGTGGTGGGTGCCTCTAATCCCAGCTACTCTGGAGGCTGAGGTAGGAGAATTGCTTGAACCTGGGAAGCGGAGGTTGCAGTGAGCCGAGATGGCACCACTGCACTCCAGCCTGGGCCACAGAGCAAGACTCCATCTCAAAAAAAAAAAAAAAAAGTTACTGAAACCAGAAAATCTGTTTTTTTTTAAACCATAATTTTTTTTGAGACAGAGTCTTGCCCTATCACCCGGGCTGGAGTGCAGTGGCGCGATCTCGGCTCACTGCAACCTCCGCCTGCTGGGTTCAAGCCATTCTCCTGCCTCAGCCTCCCAAGTAGCTGGGATTACAGGCAGGCACCACCATGCCCGGCTAATTTTGGTGTTTTTTAATAGAGACGGTTTCACCATAATGGCCAGGCTGGTCTCGAACTCCTGACCTTGTGATCCACCTGCCTCAGCCTCCTACAGCGCAGGGATTACAGGCGCGATGTCGGCTCACTGCAAGCTCCGCCTCCCGGGTTCATGCCATTCTCCTGCCTCAGCCTCCTGAGTAGCTGGGAGTACAGGCGCCTGTCACCACACCTGGCTAAGTTTTTGTATTTTTAGTAGAGATGGGGTTTCACCGTGTTAGCCAGGATGGTCAGCAAGACCCCATATCTAAAAAAATTTTTTTTAATTAGCCAGGTGTCTTAGACAAGGTAGAATGAATTAAAAAAAAAAAAATTAGCCAGGTGTAGTGGTGCACGCTTCTAGTGCCAGCTACTCAAGAAGCTGAGGTGGTAGGATCCCTTGAGCACAGGAGTCTGAGGTTACAGTGAGCCGAGATCATGCAACTGCACTCTAGCCTGGGTGGCAAAGCAAGACCCTGTCTCAAAAAAAAAAAAGAGTTCGGGTGTGCAAGAGAGAAGAAAAGGAGTTTGGGTGTGCAAGAGAGAAGAAAACGTTAATAGGCCAGTAAGTAGGTCTGTCAGCTTGATAATGACTTTTTTCAGTTAAGAAGAATGGAAGAATCTCATCAAGAAGCAACAGAGAAAGAAGTAGAAAGAATCTTGGGATTGTTGCAGACATATTTTCGAGAAGATCGTAAGTGTAACACCATTCAAAGTGGAGCAATTTGTATTTATCTGTTCACTGAGGTTACTTGTATTTAAAAGGCAATTTCAGCTGTATGTAATATTTGAATAAATACATATGCATTTTATGAGGATTCTTCTCCCCTTTAGAAATTTCATGTGAAAACTTTGAAGTTAACGTTTTCATTTTTATCTTTAAAAGATGGGGATTTTTTTTGTTACAAAATGAAATATGCCATTCAAGTGAGAAATGTCAAAAGTAGCTGTTCCACCTCCCCTCATTATAAAATGTAATGTGTATATTTTCAGATTATTTTATCAGTTTTATACACACCTACCTAAATAGTTTGTTTTGGCCGGGCGTGGTGGCTCACACCTGTAATCCCAGCACTTTGGGAGGCTGAGGTTGGGAGTTCGATACCCGCCTGACCAACATGGAGAAACCTCATCTCTACTAAAAATACAAAATTAACCGGGTGTGGTAGTGCATTCCTGTAATCCCAGCTACTTGGGAGGCTGAGGCAGGAGAATCGCTTGAACCCGGGAGACAGAGGTTGCGGTGAGCCAAGATCACGCCATTGCACTCTAGCCTGGGCAACAAGAGCGAAACTACATCTGAAAAAAAAAAGTTTGTTTTTTTCTTTTTTTCCAAGCTAATCATAATATGCACATTCTTCTGCTACGTGACTTTTCCATGTGGACATTCTTCCACATCATTTCATATAGATCTCCCTTGTTTTGTTCACTGATTCCCATTATATGGCTGTACTGTAAATATATTTAACAGATCCTCCATTAATGGATGATTAAGTTCCTTTTTTTTTTTTTTGAGACAGAGTCTCGCTCTGTCGCCCAGGCTGGAGTGCAGTGGCGCGATCTTGGCTCACTGCAACCTCTCCCTCCTGGGTTCACGCCATTCTCCTGCCTCAGCCTCCCAAGTAGCTGGGACTACAGGCACCCGCCACCACGCCTGGCTAATTCTTTTGTACTTTTAGTAGAACCTGGGTTTCACCGTGTTAGCCAGGATGGTCTTGATCTCCTGACCTTGTGATCCACCCACCTCGGCCTCCCAAAGTGCTGGGATTACAGGCATGAGCCACCGCGCCCGGCCAAGTTCCTATTTTTTTTTTTTTTTTTTAGGAGACAGTCTCACTCTTTCGCCCAGACTGGAATGCAGTGGCACCATCTCAACTCACTGCAACCTCCACCTCCTGGATTCAAGCAATTCTCCTGCCTCAGCCTCCTGAGTAGCTGGGATTACAGGCGCACGCGCCACCACATCTGGCTAATTTTTTTTCTGTATTTTTAGTAGAGACATTGTTTCGCCATGTTGGCCAAGCTAGTCTTGAACCCCTGACCTCAGGTGATCTGCCAGCATCGGCCTCCCAAAGTGCTGGGATTACAGGTGTGAGTGCCATGCCCAGCTGGATGATTAAGTTCTTTATAGCATTTTACTCTTGTATAAATTGCTGAAGTAAAAAATCTTAGTATGTAATTTTGTGCAGTTACACTTGTATTTCTGTAGCACAGCTTCTTAGAGGTGGTTTCCAGGTCAGTGGGCATACATGTTTTTAGTAGAGATGCCAAATTGGCCTCCAGAAGGGTTGGATTGATTTGCACTCCTGCAGCAGGAATGAGTACACATCCTTTCTTTGTCTCTGGCTAACGCTAGAGTGTACTGATATTAATGACAAGCAAAAATCAATTTTTTTTTCTCTTTTTGTCTATAGCTGATACCCCAATGTCCTTCTTTGACTTTGTGGTTGATCCTCATTCTTTCCCCCGTACAGTGGAAAACATCTTTCATGTTTCCTTCATTATACGGGTAAGATTAAAGATTATTTTTCTAATTGCTTTTATATGCTTTTAAAAGGCTACATAAGAAAAGCTGTAGAAGGGAGCTGGCAAAGGTATCTGTATACACTAGCCAGTATATGTTTCAGACCCATTGTAGCAAAACATTAATTGGCATATTAGGTAGAAGAAGCTAGCTAAAATTTTATATGCTTGCTTTTATGTTTTAGAAATTATTTAGAGAAAGAATTGGAAAAATTTGAATATGGAACTTTAGATTAGATAACAGTATGGTATAAATGTTAAATTTCCTGCATTTGATAGTTGTCATGTTGTATAATATCCTTGTTCTCAAGAAATACACACTGAAAGATTAGGGAAAAGAAGCAGGCCGCCTATCATTCTCACTTCATTCATAAATAATAATATGTAGAGTGATAAAGTAAACGTGGTAACTAACACTTTAACGACTGATGAATATGGGTAAAGGATATATGCCACGTGTTTATAGTAGTCTTATAGCCCTTTAAGTCTGAAATTATTTCAAAATTGGTTTTAAAACTCTACTCAGATATGTACCATGGAAATTTGCTTTAGACTATCTTTAATCTTACTTCAGGTTGCATTCCCACATGTAAGATGAATTTGATTATAACCTTAGAGAAAACCTATGTCTACCAACGTATTTTCTCAGAAATAATAACAAAGGCATATTTTGCCAGTGGTCCCAGTGACAGAATTATGCAGAATAAAATGTGGAGTATTCCAAAATATGTATAAATCAGTTAAAGAGACAAGATGAGTTTCACTTAAGAGATTCTCAGGATGGAGGCTGTGTCTGGGTGAAAGAGCTGATTAGAAACCCAAAGATACCCTGTGTAAATAAAAGATACTAGGGAAGTCTTATCTATATCATCACCTTATTATTGCTATGGTGTAATTTGATTTTCTGAGATACTGAATTTTCTGAGTAATTTTTTCCATCTAGTGCGTATAGGTTTGAGTCTTAAATGTTTGTCTTCTCCTAAAATCATGTTTTCGTTTTAGGATGGTTTTGCAAGAATAAGACTTGACCAAGACCGACTGCCAGTAATAGGTAAATGATACTATGTTTGGAAAAATTAGTTTTAGAGAAAATATATTTGTTAGTAGAATTTAAGTATTTTACTAAATGTAAATGAATTTTCAATGTAGATTAACTTTTACAATATTGTATCTTGCTCAACTACCTGAAGATACTGAAAACATGGCCAGCGTCTAAAATTTTGATGGATTCATCTATATCATTGATTCAACATCTGCTGTAAATATTAACAAAGAAATGATATAATTTCCCTCAGATCTTAATTTAGAAAGTTGGTGATTGCAGTCATTTTTGTAGTATCCCTCTTTCTAATCACGTTTTGTCAGATGCCGGCACCTTCTTTTCTCTTTGAGGTTCTATGAATCTTTCATTCTTACCTGAATAATTTCACACTCTCCATTACTCATGTCCTCCTAAGGTCTCCTGTGGAGAGTGAATATTTCCATCGCACTTACTTGCTACTTTCAATGTTCTCAATGTCCTATTGGACTCACTAGGGCTTAGCTCTGTGGTTGACACATAGATATGCAGATTTTCAAATGTCTGGAATGTGTTACTCTACTACATGTTTTTTGAAATGGAAACAGATGGAATGACTGGCTACTGTAATAATACTACAGCAGCTCCATAATGCATGAAATCCTAAAAAGTATGTAATATTATAAGTATCTTTTCAATACAGGTTTCATTGCTATTATTCATCAGTTTCCGTTTAGATTACCTGTTCCGATTTAATAACCTTTGATAAATTTGAAAAATTTGTCTTTCAAACAGAGCCTGTTAGTATTAATGAAGAAAATGAGGGATTTGAACATAACACACAAGTTAGAAATCAAGGAATTATAGCTTTGAGTTACCGTGACTGGGAGGTAAAGCTCTGCCTGTTGCCCCTGCATAGTTCTGACTCTGCCTTCACTTGCAGTAAGCCCAGTGCCTAAATGTTCATTATTGTCTGCCAGGAGATTGTGAAGACCTTTGAGATTTCAGAGCCTGTGATTACTCCAAGTCAGAGGCAGCAGAAGCCAAGTGCTTGATGCTAGCTGAAGGTAACCTTTTCAATGGGATGGCTACACAGTTCTATTAAAGTTCATTTGGCAATCCAAAGTATCCCTTTTCCCCATTCCAGTGAAATTTGAATTTTTGCCTCCCTGTAGTGCCCCATTCTTAGAACTGTGTGTAACAGGTGAGAAAGGGATAGTGGTTCTGCGTTCCCTTCTCTGGATTGATTAAATTTGTGCTGTTAAGATTTGCAGCTGAGGCCAGGCGTGGTGGCTCACGCCTGTAATCCCAGCACTTTGGGAGGCCAAGGCAAGCGGATCATGAGGTCAGGAGTTCGAGATCAGCCTGACCAACATGGTAAAACCCCATCTCTACTAAAAATACAAAAATTAGCTGGGCGTGGTGGCATGCACCTGTAATCCCAGCTACTCAGGAGGCTGAGGCAGGAGAATTGCTTGAACCCGGGAGGTGGAGGTTGCAGTGGCTGAGATCGTGCCACTGCACTCCAGCCTGGGAGACAGAGCAAGACTCTGTCTCAAAAAAAAGACTTGCAGCTGAAAGAAGCAGTGCAGGATTGTTCTTGGTTTGGTGGGTTTTGTTTTTGTTTTTGTTTTTAATAAAAAATAGGGAAGGGGTCTCACTATGTTGCCCAGGCTGGTCTCAAACTCCTGGGCTCAAGGGATGCTCCCATCTCAGCTTCCCAAAGTGCTGGGATTATAGGTATGAGTCACCATACCCAGCTGCTGCTTTTCCCCCAACAAACTGGTAAATTAGATAAGTGAAATATTGAATCCTCTCATCCATGTTGTTGTTCACCATCCCATTAGATTTGCTTATTTTATAAGTACAAAGCAGAAAAAGAGGATTAGGATAGAATTACCTTAGAATAATCTTGGTAAATTGGCATTTCTAAAATTTGTATTAGGCTATGAAAGAATTCTTCTTCATTTTTATGAAGGGTAACATTTCTAGAAAGAAATCTTAATAATGATCTGACATTTTGTAGTGCAGACAGTTGTGGGTGGGAATCAGAAGACCTAGATTCTATCGGCTATGCCCCTTACTTTATTTATTTATTTTTGCCCCTTACTTTAAAACCTTGGGCAAGTCACTTAATCTCACCCAACTTCTCTTTTTTTTTGAGACAGAGTCTTGCTCTGTCACCCCCAGGCTAGAGTGCAGTGGCACGATCTCAGTTCACTGTAATCTCTGCCTCCCCGGTTCAAGCAATTCTCCTGCTTCAGCCTCCTGAGTAGCTGGGATTATAGGCACCTGCCACAGTGACCAGCTAATTTTTCTATTTTTAGTAGAGACGGGATTTCACCATGTTGGTCAGGCTGGTCTTGAACTCCTGACCTTGTGGTCCGCCCGCCTCGGCCTCCCAAAGTGCTGGGATTACAGACATGAGCCACCACGCCTGGCTTCAACTTTATTTTTTTTTAATCTATAAATATATCTATAAAATGGAAAGATTTTCAAGCTAGATCATTGCTAAGAATTTTTTTTCTAGCTCAAATTTTCTGATTTTGAGCATTAAAATAAACTTTTTTGTACTTAATGTAAGCACTTAATATGTGCTTCAATTAATTGAAATACTTTTGTTCCAAGTTGTAAAAATATTTTAAATGAAGGGAATAGGCCGGGCGCAGTGGCTCACACCAGTAATCTCAGCACTTTGGGAGGGCGAGGCAGGCGGACCACGACGTCAGGAGATTGAGACCATCCTGGCTAACACGGTGAAACCCCGTCTCTACTAAAAGTACAAAAAAATTAGCTGGGCGTGGTGGTGGGCGCCTGTAGTTCCAGCTACTCAGGAGGCTGAGGCAGGAGAATGGCGTGAACCTGGGAGGCAGAGCTTGCAGTGAGCCTGAGATTGTGCCACTGCACTCCAGCCTGGGCGACAGAGCGAAACTCTGTCTCAAAAAAAAAAAAAAAAAAAAAGAAAAAAGAAGAAGGGAATAAATATGGAATAAATTTAAGATATATAATGTGGATTAACCTGGGCCCTACTCACTGAGGAGGGCTAATTGTTGGATTTAATTTATGTATATTATATGAACTTTTGGTTTATCATTTATAAACTGTTAACCAGCTATTCTTCCCCTTTTTAGGACTCAAATGGATAGTGAAGTCCAAAACGGAAAGCGGCATGTATCGTACATATTGTATGATTCAACATTTTTAAAGGCAGATTGTTTTTAGTAAAATGTAGCTTTTGATAGTTAATAAATTTGTCATGGTTGTCTTTGATTAAAGGAAACTCACCGCCATATTCACAAATAATTGTAGTTGCTCTTTATTTTCTAATTATTGGAGAGTGTCTCCTTTGTCTATTCCTGTCCCAGTGAAAGTTTTACTTAGGTTGTTAATGCCCTGCGGACCATTATGATTCCTTTTACTTCTTTTTTGCCACGAAGCTAGCTAGTCAAGTCAACAAATAGGTTGTATCATATGAAACTGTTGTTTTTATAGGTAAAATACGGTCAAATATGAGTAATTTCCTATGATTCAGCCTCTGATTTACACACAAGAAACTATTAAATCCTCTGGCAAGCCAGGCTGGACTACTTTCCCCAGCAACATCAGCCCTGGTTCCATCTTACCAGCATGCTACTCCATGCTTCTCATCTCGGCTATGCTTTCAAGTCTAGTCAGTTTCTTCTCCCAGTTCCCACTTTGCTATTTCATGTTTTCTCACTGCTTCCCTCTGGCATCAGGGGTAGAGGCGTCTTTTCTGTGGAAGACTCTGGGCTCCAGTGCTTCCTGCCTCCTAGGGGAGCCTGCTCTCTCAGTCATCCCCTTCACCTGTATCTGGAGTTTTCCCTTCAACCAAGCCCATCTCTGATTTTAAAAACATTACCATGACCCTCTTCAAGCTGCTATCCTATCACCTCTTTAATGAGAATCACTTGTCTCCCCTCATGTCAGTCCGTGGCAGTGTGGCACCTCCTTTCCCACTCATTGAGTCTGTTGTATGCCAGCTTTCCTAATTCCTTTCCAAATTGTTAACTCCAGTGGATATATGGCCGTGCATTTGACACTTGGAGATCTATGCCTTGAAACTGTGTATCCTTGATGTCTGTTGCTTTCCCTGGTTCCCCTTTCACAGTCACTGTCATCATTTATGCTGACATTTACACCATGAACAGTCTGACAACTTTGATGCCTAAACTTCTTGAAAATGTTACAGATACATGCAATCAGTTGCTCACTGGACAGCTTGTGGGTTATTTTAGACATGTACAAAACAGCCCTTCAAATCTCCCTAGAAGACCTATACTGGCACTTTTACGACTTTATTTTCTCAGATGGAAAACTAGGATTGCCCCCACCCTCCAAGCCCTTACCTTAACCAGTCACTAATCCCCATCTGATCTCTTCTCTCAGTTTGCCCAGGTTACTACCACAGACTCCAATCTGTTATCGCCTACTTCTGTCCTTCAGGTCTCTTCTGCTTCTTCAGAACCACTTGTCATATTACTCAGATTTCCCATTGCCTTCAAGATTAAAAAAAATCTGAACTCTTTAGTGATGTTCAAAGCCTCGAATGCTCAGGTCCTTTCCCTACATTTCCAGGCCCGCTTCCTCAGGACTCTAAACTCTAGCATTTATTTTTTTGTTAAACAGCTTTAGTGAAATATAACTCACACCGGATGCGGTGGCTCACGCCTGTAATCCCAGCACGTTGGGAGGCCGAGGCAGGCGGATCACCTGAGGTTGGGAGTTCAAGACCAGCCTGTCTCTACTAAAAATACAAAATTAGCCGGGCATGCTGGTGCATGCCTGTAATTCCAGTGACTCGGGAGGCTGAGGCAGGAGACTCGCTTGAACCAGGGAGACAGAGGTTGTGGTGAGCTGAGATTGTGCCATTGCACTCCAGCCTGGGCAACAAGAATGAAACTGCCTCAAAAAAAAAAAAAAAAAAATATATATATATATATATACACACACACACACACACACACACACATATAATATATATTATATATATAATTAACATACCTACAATTTCTATGTAAACTGTATAAATCATTTTTCATCTATTCATAGGGCTTAGCAACCATTACCACAATCTAATTTTTGAACATTTTTGTTCCCCTGACCCTGAACCCATTAGCTGTCACTCTACCTCACCTACCATTCTGACCTCTTACCCCTAAGCAACCACTAATCTACTTTCTGTAAATTTGCCTGTTCTAGACATTGCACATAAATGGAATTATATAACATGTAGTCTTAACACCATAACTTTCTAAGTTCTTGTCTAAAGTTGCCCCCCTTTTTATCTGTCATTTTTCTACTTTCTACTTGTTTCAAACTTTCCTAATTTGAGACACTTAAAAGTGGTTACATTTTGCAAACCAAGGCCATGTTGCTTTTCATTTTGTACCTTTTTGTAACTATTGAACTTACTTTTTTTTTTTTGGGAAGGAGTCTCGCTCTGTCGCCCAGGCTGGAGTGCAGTGGTGTGATCTTGTCTTACTGCAAGTTCCGCCTCCCAGGTTCATGCCATTCTTCTGCCTCAGTCTCCTGAGTAGCTGGGACTACAGGCGCCCGCCACCATGCCTGGCTAATTTTTTTGTATTTTTAGTAGAGAACGGGGTTTCACCGTGTTGGCCAGGATAGTCTTGATCTCCTGACCTCGTGATCTGCCCGCCTCGGCCTCCCAAAGTGCTGGGATTACAGGTGTGAGCCACCACGCCTGGCCAACTATTGAATTTTCTAACCTGTACTTTTTACTTTTTAAAGTTATCAACAGTGGCCAGCGCAGTGGCTCACACCTGTAATCCAGCATTTTGGGAAGCTGAGGCGCGTGGATCACTTGAGGTCAGGAGTTCAAGACCAGCCTGGCCCATGTGGTGAAATCCTTTATTAAAAAATACAAAATTAGCTGGGCATGGTGGCGGGCACCTGTAATCCTCAGAGGCTGAGGCAGGAGAACTGCTTGAACCCGGGAGGTGGAGGTAGCACTGAGCCAAGATTGGGCCACTGCACACCAGCCTGGGCGACAGAGTGAGACTCCATTTCAAACAAGTAAAGATAAAATAATCAACAGTGGTTATTATGAGCTACTTTTTCTTTAAATTTCTGAACTGAAAAATACATGTTATATTTTATTTTTTGAGATGGAGTTTCACTCTTGTCTCCTAGGCTGGAGTGCAATGGTGTGATCTTGGCTCACTGCAACCTCTGCCTCCCGGGTTCAAGAGATTCTCCTGCCTCAGCCTCCTGAGTAGCTGGGATTACAGGTGCCTGCCACCACTCCTGGCTAATTTTTGTATTTTTAGTAGAGACAGGGTTTCACCATGTTGGCCAGGCTGGTCTCAAACTCCTGACCTCAGGTGATCCACCTACCTCGGCCTCCCAGAGTGCTGGGATTATAGGCGTGAACCACTGCACCCGGCCATGTTATCTTTTAAAAATAAAACTTGGCCAGGCCTGGTGGCTTACGCCTGTAATCCCAGCACTCTGGGAGGCCGAGGTGGGCGGATCACGAGGACAGGAAATCGAGACCATCCTGGCTAACGCGATGAAACCCCGTCTCTACTAAAAATACAAAAAATTAGCCTGGCGTGGTGGCAGGTGCCTGTAGTCCCAGCTGCCCAGGAGGTTGAGGCAGGAGAATGGCGGGAACCCAGGAGGCGGAGCTTGCAGTGAGCTGAGATGGCGCCACTGCACTCTGGCCTGGGCGACAGAGCCAGAATCCATCTCAAAAATAAATAAATAAATAAAACTTATCACCTTCCCAAAGCCTTTCTTTTCCTCCAGGGTTTTGTCAATAGTACCTTGTTCTTAAATCAGTTGTCCTGTCTGTTCTCATCTCATGTATTCACAAATCTTTTCCATAGATGTCTCCAACGGCTGGGGAGGAGCCTTATTTCTGTGCTGAGGGTGGTAGGAATCAGGGTGGAATTGTGGCCATGCCTTCCTCCTGTCTCCGCTGCCTAAGAAGTTATCATCCAAGCTCCATTCTCAGTTCCCCCTAAATTGCTGCCCTACTCTAGTCCATATTTTCAATAAAACACTTTATACTGCATAACCGGACGTGCTATTTTTTTTTCTTCAGTGTTTTCTTCCCCACATGAGTTGTAAACCCCTTGAAGTACAGAGGGGCTACATCTCCTGGACAGAGTTAGGGTTTAGGCTTAGGAATATGATATTAAGTTTTAGGTGGATTGGAGAGTACAAGACAATGTGTTTCTGCATAATTGTAACAGGCTTGTACATCCTCTGCTATATTTACTCCTACAGAGAGGGAGCCATGCCGCTTTAGTCAAGATCAACTCAGAGGCTGTGAAATTGTAGGTTTCTGGATTTCTAGAAAAGTGTTGCGATTAGCAATGTTAAAAGAATAATGAAAAGCATAGTGAAGGATGAAGGTGTGTGAGTTAAGACTTTTCAGATTCTTGGAGGGGGAGATTTAAAAATGGCTACAATTTTTTTTTTTTTTTTTAGACAGAGTCTCGCTCTGTCCCCCAGGGTGGAGTGCAGTGGCCAGATCTCAGCTCACTGTAACCTCTGCCTCCTGTGTTCAACCGATTCTCCTGTCTCGGACTCCCGAGTAGCTGGGATTACAGGCACGAGCCACCACACCCGTCTTACTTTTTTTTGTATTTTTAGTAGAGATGGGGTTTCACCTTGTTGGCCAGGCTGGTCTTGAACTCCTGACCTCAAGTGATAACGCCTGCCTCAGCCTCTCAAAGTGCTGGGATTATAGGTGGGAGCCACCATGCCCAGCCCAAAGTTTTTTTGATAGGAGTCCGCTTTCCCTTTCCTTGGATTTAAGCTGGTCTTGGTGACTTATGTGACCAGTAGAATACAGAAGTGATGTTCTGGGACTTGTGAGGCTAAGTCATAAGAAGCCTTCTAGCTTCCAACAGGCCTCTTGGAATACACATTCGTGGAGTCGTGAGTCACCGAATAATAAGTCCAACTACCACGTGGCACTGAAACCACATGGAGAGCTGCAAATGAGAGATGGGCCAGGGAGGCCCAGCTTTCTAGCCTTCCCTGCCAAGGGCATGTGGGGAAGCCATCTTGGACCCTCCAGATGAGCCCAGTCATCACCTGAATATCCCCAGGCAGCTCTGGTGGTACCTCATGGGACAGAAATGTCCAGTTGAGCTCTGTCTGATTTCCTGACATAGAACTGCGAGATATAATAAAGTGGTGGTTGCTTTAAGTCACTAAGTTTTAGAGTTGTCACACAGCCAGCTGAAACACTTGGAAATACTGTGCTTGTGGCTTTTTTAATTTTTGCCAGTTTGATGCACTTAAAAAAACCAGGGGAGTATATGTTTTATTGCATTAATGATTAAAAGTATGCTAGTCTAAAAAATATAAAATAATTTAAACCTTATTTTTTTCTAGTTGACTTCTCAAAAATGGTGGCATACTCAAGAGCTCCCTTCAGAGTGGTTTCTTAATTTTATACTCTCTTTTTTCTTATTTCTCCATCAGAATCATCACTTTCCTAAGTGCTTTCTGGTAAGGTTGCAAAATTGGATAAGCTGTGACCCATTCAAACTCTTTCACCTTCTCTTTTTCCACTTGAGATTTTAGGAAAGATGGAACGGGGCTGGAGCGCTTCTGAGCGTGTCTTTGCTTTGAGTTCTCTCCCTCAGATCATTCGGTCTTGGTGTCCCTTCATCTGTTCCTTTGTCCATGCCACCTTGTGCTTACTGGTTTCAGTTTTGTGTGTTTTCTGGATATTTTCATGCTTTCCATCCTTTTCCCGTGTTAGTATTTTAGGGGAAAGTATTTCACTGGGAATTCTTTGAGGGAGCAGTCGGTGTTTGTGGTCTCTGAGGCCTCTGGTTTGTTCAGCCTGGTATATGTTTCTTTGTAAGACTCAGTTCCCTCTCAGGCACTAGATAGTCCCATTTTTTAGTATCTTCTGTTTTCTCACGTTGTGATCTCTTTTCCTCTTCCTCTATTTTAGTTTCCCATTTTGGAACCATATTGTATTTCCATGCTTCTTCCATCATCATTTCTTGATGCTATTGATAGTAGTACGCCTCTGCTTTAGCAAACTGGAAATCAGAAGACACGGCCTTAAGTTTATGAAGTGTTTCATTCTCCTGCTGAAACTTGTGGACTAAACAGTTTCCTCACTTCTGAAGAATGGACACCACCTAGGCTGGGCGTGGTGGCTCATGCCTGTAATCCCAGCACTTTGGGAGGCCGAGGTGGGTGGATCCTGAGGTCAGGAGTTTGAGACCAGCCTGGCCAATATGGTGAAACCCCATCTCTACTAAAAATACAAAAATTAGCTGGGCGTGGTGGTATACGCCTGTTGTCCCAGCTGGTTGGGAAGCTGAGGCAGGAGAATCGCTTGAACCTGGGAGGTGGAGGTTGCAATGAGCCGAGATCGCACCACTGCACTCCAGCCTGGGCGACAGAGCAAGACTCCATCTCAAAAAAAAGGATGGACACCACCTAAACCCTTATGAAAGGGAAGTATTAGAACATTTTAAGTTGGATGTCCTTTATTCTATTTCCATGGTACAGATCTAAAACTCCTACACCATGTCCCAGTTAGGGACACTTTTTTGTTTTCTTAGATGGAGTCTTGCACTGTCACCCAGGCTGGAGTGCAGTGGTATGATCTCAGCTCACTGCAACCTCCGCCTCCTGGGTTCAAGCAATTCTCCTGCCTCAGCCTCCTGAGTAGCTGGGACTACAGATGTGTGCCACCATGCCCGGCTAATTTTTGTAATTTTTAGTAGAGACAAAGTTCCACTATGTTGGCCAGGATGTTCTCGAACTCCTGACCCCAAGTGATCTGCCCGCCTCGGCCTCCCAAAGTGCTGGGATTGCAGTTGTGAGCCACCGTGCCCAGCCCCACATACCTCCTACACTCTCCTCCTGCAGTGTTCCCTCCTACCTGAGGACTTTGCCGTAGCCTTCCCTGAGGAATCAGAAGCAGTCCCTCCGGAGCTCCTCCCTCCTCGCTGCCAGAACCACCACCTTGCCTCTGTCCCAACTCTGCCTTCCTGCCTTTACAGAGGAAACGCTGCCCCTGTGCCTTTCCAAAGCCAAGCCTTCCACCTGTGCTTGTTGAGCTTCAAGACTCAATTTTGCAATTATCAGATTCCCTTTCCCCAAAATCTCCCTGCTGCTGGGTCACTCCCATCCACATACAAATAGGCTTCAGTATATGTCATCTTTAACAAAAGAGGAAAGCTCTTCCTCTATTGTACACCCTGCTCCGGTTTTTACCCGCCTTTTTTACTCCTCTTCACAATATAATTTGAGTAGTTACCTGTGTTCCTTCTCCATTTTCTCACCTCACCTTTTCTCCTCAATCCACTTTTGCTGGGTTTTCATCCCCCACCCCCTTTTCCCCCCACTACTTCACTGACTGCTCTTGTCTAGGTCGTCACTGGTTTTTTTCTTTTTTTGAGACAGAGTCTTGCTCTGTCACCAGGCTGGAGTGCAGTGGCACAATCTCGGCTTACTGCAACCTCCGCCTCCTGGGTTCAAGCGATTCCCCTGCCTCAGCCTCCTGAGTAGCTGGGACTACTATGGTCCTTATGTAGACCACTCTTCAATTTCAGCTTAAACGTCACTCCCTCAGATCTTCCACAAACTCTCTCAGAGAAAACCTCATCCTTCCATGACACTTACAGTAATTTATGCTGTTTGTCTAATATCAATGCTCCTCACTAGACTAAGCACCCCTTTGTGGGGGCAGGGGTGGTTATTCTCTGTTCAGTGCTGTCCGGCCAGCACCATTGGTGCTCACTGAACCAAATGCTGAACTAAACAGGCAGAGAGCACTTTCCCTCGAAACACTTGGGCCCCTTCTACCTCAGGGATAAGCTTTTTATGATTATGATTATTACTGGCTCCAAACTCCATGGTAAATGTATTTCCTCACCTGAATCTTCTTTTCTAATGGGGAATAGGACCCTACTGCAATCTGAGGGTCTTGAGTATTTTTAGCCCAGGCCAATCTAGAAGATCAAAAAGAGAAATTATACTAGGATTTGGAGAAAGGTTTCAGGAAACATGCTCTAGTGTGAATTATATTAGGGAGTTGATTTGGGACACAATTTCCATGTATAGCAGAAGGCATTTCTCTCTGCCAACAGGCAGGACTCTATGGTATGTTTAACTTCTGTCTTTGCCCGAAGGAAGGAAGGAATGCACTCTGATAAAATTTGAATAAACAAAGAGAGCCGCATTTTGTTTGGGGCTGAAACTGTCAGAAGTACCTTTATATTAACACTGGACAGAGAAGACCATATTGCTATTTCAAATATCACAAACCACTGTTTTTGTATATTATTGCTAGGACAAAGAACTTAGCTTTGATGAGAAAAGTTTTCAAAGTCGGTAAGTACAAGAAAACAAGCAAAAGTTGGTATGTACATTTTAAGTGCAGTTATGTGCAAAGTTATTAGCAAGCAATATAATTTATAAGCTGTCATTAATTTCCAACAACAGCTATCTAACATCTTTCATGATTCTTGACAAAGGTTTACATTTTAAACTGGTAATAAAACTGTATGACAAAAGTTTTTTAAAATTTAATGCAGAAAAATATAGCTGAGAAATATGTTACTTAGGATAGAGAACAGTCATGTTTAAGCATCCTGGAGACCTCTTCTTAATCTGATTAGTTAGTAAATAGGTTCTATGTTTAACAACCTGCGTTATAAATATTTTGTTTTCTTTGGTTTCTCTTAGCAAAATAAGGGAAAGATTTTGTAAGACAGAACTGGAAAAAACAAAAGACTATTTGTCTAGTAAGTATTAATAAAGCTAATTTCTTAAAAAGACAGACTCATAATACTGTTTTATATTTTTCTTTTCTAAGAGGTTCTTATATTGTTTCCATAGCAACATTTATTGAGTTTAGTATACACTAGGCATTACACTATGAACTTAAATGGATTATTTTACTTAGCCTTCCAAACAGTCTTATGAGATAGGTCTTTATTATCCCCTAATCTTAGCAAAGGGACTGAGGCTATGAGAGGTTTCATGACTTGTCAAAGGCCCCAGGAGTAGTTTCAGAGTCAAGATATGTGCCTACATGACTCCAGAGCTCATCATTTTCATCCTTGGGCTATACTTATTCTCAGATAGCTGAATATTCTCTTGCCCAAAATAGCAGGAAAATAATACCTACTGTTCCTCTGCACTCAGCCTCAATCATTCGGAGTCTGTCACCAAAGACTCAGATCCTGTTTGTTGATCCTTCGCTAGTCCCGTTCCACTTCCTCCTCATAGCACCTTGAGTCACTGCCTCATGCTGTTATGACGCCTTTTGCTTCCACCATTGCCCTATCAATTGCCAGCTTTATATACATCTTTGCTCCTCTCTCTCCAACTCTCAGTGTCTGCTCTCCCATGTTCTAATCACTCATTCTCTATTCTGCAAAGCACTGTTTTCCAGACATTAAAGTTTCTGACCCTCTTTCAGACTTTCAGCTACCTACTATTGATCCTTCAGGATGCCTTGGGCTGATTTCTAAGGCAACCAGAAGCAGTCACAAGCTTTTCTGTGTGTCATCGCTATCCTAGACTGAGACTACTGTGAGGCAGTATGTGAAGACATAGTATGGTTGGCAGGGAATGGGCTTCACTCAGTGTAAGCTGGGCTGAATGGTCAGAGAGAGAAGCTAAAAGGGGCTGTGTTTCAACAGGCACAGGCATCCCATCTCAGTGCAGAGAAAACAATGTAAAAGGCAATGAAAGCATCTGATTTGCTTTTCTTTGGCATATATGTTGAGTATTCTCCATGGAAATGGAATCAGTGTAAACCCTTGGAGAGGATGCTGTATGCATATTCACAGTAGTTGGAGGAGGCTGGGTGAGTGGGCAATTGGCTTAGTCATGTGGCCTCATCATCACTTAGCTGGGGTGTCACTCAGCTAAATACTAATGCTGGGGAGGTTTTAGCTTTAACACACTTTAATATATTTTTAGTCACATATTATTTATGTTGATAACTGGTCTTTAAAGATAGGAAGCAGGCCGGGCACAGTGGCTCACGCCTGTAATGCCAGCACTTTGGGAGGCTGAGGCGGGTGGATCACAAGGTCAGGAGTTCGAGACCAGCTTGGGCAATATGGTGAAACCCTGTCTCTACTAAAAAATACAAAAATTAGCCAGGCATGGTGGTGCGTGCATGTAGTCCCAGCAACTCGGGAGGCTGAGGCAGGAGAATCACTTGAACCCGGGAGGCAGAGGCTGAAGTGAGCCAAGATCACGCCACTGTACTCCAGCTGGGGTGACAGAGTGACATTCTGTCTCAAAAAAAAAAAAAAAAAAAAAAAAGGAGGAAGCAGGAAGCAAAAAAGGTACCAGTGTTGAAATGTTGAAATACAAATGAATGAAAATGATTCTGTATATTCACTTCAAGATACTCTCTACCATGTATGCAAGCTGCATTCATCCAAAGTCATCATGTAGCCCAATGAGACATCTCTAGTTCTTTAAAACAAATGTGAAAAGGAGAAAATACAGTAATTAATTACCTGGATTCTTACTTAGGAATTAAATCTGTCCCTCCCAAAATGTGCCATGTGCAGAGAAGTGATTCAGACTGTAGCCCAGCCAGATGTGGTGGTTTATGCCTATAATTCCAGCACTTTGAGAGGCCAAGTGGGAGGGTCACTTGAGCCCACAGGTTCAAGACCATCTTGAGCAACATAGTGAGACTTCTATCTCTACAAAAAAAAATTTAGGCCAGGCTCAATGGCTCATGACTGTAATCCCAGCACTTTGGGAGGCTGAGGCTGGCGGATCACCTGAGGTCGGGAGTTCGAGACCAGCCTGACCAACATGGTGAAACCCTGTCTCTACTAAAAATACAAAATTAGCCGGGCATGGTGGTGCATGCCTATAATCCCAGCTAGTCAGGAGGCTGAGGCAGGAGAATTGCTTGAACCCAGGAGGCAGAGGTTGCAGTGAGCCAAGATTGTGCCATTGCACTCCAGCCTGGGCAACAAGAGCAAAATTCCATCTCAAGAAAAAAGAAAAATTTAAAATTGGCCAGGCTTGGTGGCATGCCTGGGGTCCCAGCTACTTGGGAGGCTGAAGTGGAAGGATTGCTTAAGCCTGGGAGGTCAAGGCTGCAGTGAGCCGTGATTGTGCCACTACACTCCAGCCTGGGCAACAGAGTGAGACTCTGTCTCAAAACAAAAACAAAAACAAAAACAAACACCCAAAATCATATTCATAAATAGTTACAAAAAGTAAATATATGGCCAGGCGCAGTGGCTCACACCTGTAATCCCAGCACTTTGGGAGGCCGAGGTGGGCAGACCATGAGGTCAGGAGTTCGAGAACAGCCCGGCCAATATGGTGAAACCCCATCTCTACTAAAAAATACAAAAATTAGCTGAGCATGGTGATGCGCACCTGTAGTTCCAGCTACTCGGGAGGCTGAGGCAAGAGAACCTCTTGGACCTGGGAGCCGGAGGCTGCCATGAGCCAAGACTGCGCCACTGCACTCCAGCCTGGGCGACAGCATGACACTCTGTCTCCAAAAAAATAGGAAGCAAAAAAAATACCAGTATTGAAGTACAAATGAATGAAAATGATTCTGTCTATTCACTTCAAGATACTCTCTACCATGTATGCAAGCCGCATTCATCCAAAGTCATCGTGTAGCCCATTGAGACATCTCTAGTTCTTTAAAACAAATGTGGGCCAGGCGTGGTGGCTCATGCCTGTAATCCTAGCACTTTGGGAGGCCGAGGTGGGCAGATCATCTGAGGTCAGGAGTTCGAGACCAGTCTGGCCAACATGGTGAGACCCTCAACTCTACTAAAAATACAAAAAGGTAGACAGGCGTGGTGGTGTGCGCCTGTAATCCCAGCTACTTGGGAGGCTGAGGTGCAAGAATTGCTTGAACCTGGGAGGCAGAGGTTGCAATGAGCCAAGACTGCGCCACTGCACTCCAGCCTGGGCAACAGAGCGAGACTCCATCTTAAAAAAAAAATGTGAAAAGGAAAAAATACAGTAATTAATTACCTGGATTCTTAGGAATTAAATCTGTCCCTCCCGAAATGTGCCATGTGCAGAGAAGTAATTGAGACTGTAGCCCAGCCAGATGTGATGATTTATGCCTATAATCCCAGCACTGTGGGAGGCCAAGCGGGAGGGTCACTTGAGCCCAGGGATTCAAGTCCATCCTGAGCAACAGAGTGAGACTTCTATCTCTACAAAAAAAAATTTAGGCCGGGCTCGGTGGTTCACGCCTATAATCCCAGCACTTTGGGCGGCCGAGGCTGGCGGATCACCTGAGGTCGAGGAGTTTGAGACCAGCCTCACCAACATGGAGAAACCTTGTCTCTACTTAAAATACAAAATTAGCGGGGCATGGTGACGCATGCCTGTAATCTCAGCTAGTCAGAAGGCTGAGTAGCCTCCTGTTGGTGAGCCAAGATGGCGCCACTCACTCCAGCCTGGGCAACAGAGTGAGACCCTGTCTAAAAAAAAAAAAAAAAAAAAAAACCCCAAAACCCAAAAAAACAAAACCAAAAAAAACTATAGCCCCCCAAAATAATATTCATAAATAGCTATAAAAGTAAATACATGGCCGGGCGCGGTGGCTCACACCTGTAATCCCAGCACTTTGGGAGGCCGAGGCAGGCGGATCACGAGGTCAGGAGATTGAGACCATCCTGGCTAACATGGTGAAACGCCATCTCTACTAAAAATACAAAATATTAGCGGAGTGTGGTAGTGGGTAGTCCCAGCTACTCAGGAGGCTGAGGCAGGAGAATGGCGTGAACCCAGGAGGCGGAGCTTGCAGTGAGTGGAGATGACACCACTGCACTCCAGCCTGGGCGATGGAGCGAGACTCTGTCTCAAAACAAAACAAAAAATTAGCTAGACGTGGTGGCACGTGCCTGTAGTCCCAGCTACTCAGGAAGCTGAGGCACGAGAATCGCTTGAACCTGGGTGGCAGAAGTCGCAGTGAGCTGAGATCACACCACTGCACTGCAGCCTGGGCAACAAAGTGAGACTCCATCTCAATTAACAAACAAACAAACAATACATGTATTTTATGCTTTAGAAAAGAATTTCAAACATCAGGTCATGTAATGGTTCAAAAGCATTAAATTACGTTTCATTCTACATTTTATATTAACTTGATCTCCAAACCAAACATAACACCATTTTAAAATTGATAAAAACCATGTCACTCAGATTTCAAACTCATGTGATATTAATTCAGCCAAAATTCTTATACATCTATGACCTGACGGGACCATAGGATACCACAAGCCCCTTTCATTCATTGGCTAAGAGTCAGGCATTGTGTGAAGTGCTAAAAGGCAGCCTCTTATTTACCCTCATGTGAAAAAAGAGAAGCCTCTTTTTTGATAAAGAAAAATATGCAGTCCTGAGTGTAAGCCTCCCTTTAAGTAATCAGCTTAAATTAAAATAACACTTATATAAAGAAAATCACACGGACCTAAAATTACTTTTTATTTAAGTACTATGTTGTAAATTGTTTCTCTTTTCTGACAAGAGAAACTAGACCAGAGAAAGAATATTTTTAAGCCAGTAAAATAAACAGAGAACTTTTCTGATAGTAAATCAGGTTGAAACAAACTATGAGCAAGACTGGGCTTTGCTCTGTAAGTGAAAGACTGCCTGAGTTGTGAAGAAAATGACTCTGATCTTCACACACCTAAATTTTAATCCTTCATAAAAAATCATGAAATGTGTTTAAAGAGTTATGGGAAGTCCTAGCTCATGGAGAAGATGGTGGTGATTGAATGGAAAGGGTTGTTAACCCCTTCTCACATAAAGTGAACTTGATATGAACTTCACAGTAAAATGCAAGAGCAACTTTTGGCATTGGAAACAGCGCCTTGCCTGCTGTCTCCATTTTGCAGAAGTCTGAGTGCATCCAATGGCATCTAAACACCAAACACGGACCCCTCCAACAATCCTATGAGGTGATAGGAATATCATCCCCATTTTACGTATGAGGAAACTTTAAGAGAGTTAAGTGACATGTTTAAGGCCACAAAGATGCTAAGTGGGAGACTGCAACTTAAACACCAATGTCTAAAAACAAAGCCTGTGATCTCATGCATATGCCATCCCACACAACCTTGGAATATCAAAGGAGTGGCAACAGTCTACTTTTGGTGAACTTACAATCCAAGTAGGCGGGAAAGAACTATATGCAAATATATCACAAGTGTAATAAAGGGGTAAAAATGCATTGCTTACATATTGAGAGATAACAAAGGGCTGGAGTCTTTAATGTGAGGTGGAACTGAAGACAGAGGCCTTCTTGGAAAAGGAAGTGCTTCTTGAAGTAGATTGAGAGCACAATCTGAGCAGAAATGTGGGAATACTCCTGAGACCAGCCAGGAGATGACTCAATCAAACTGGTTGTTAACAAGAGGAAGTTACACAAGCCAGAGTACCACATACACAGGGGGATGCTGGAAGCCAGAATATAGAGTACAGTATGGGGAAGGGACACTGAAGCCAGGACATGATGCAGAGGAATCTTGATGACTTTCCAAAACAAATAAAGACTCTGAAATGCTGTTAACAGCAAAGTGATTAAAAAGAAGAGATGCTTGATAAAAGATCCTGAAACCATAGGGCCTAGAAGCAGAGACAGAGAATTGGGCTGGTACACTAGAGGTGCAAGAACCTGGTTCTAGACCAGCACTGTTCAACAAAATTAGAATGTGAGTCACAGATGTAATAGAAAATTTTCTAGGAGTTTAAAAAAATAAAAATAAATAGGTGATTTAGTTTTAGTGATACGCTTTAACATAGTATATCCAAAATATTGTCAACCAACATGTAATCAACATACAAAGATTTTACACTGCTGTTCTTTAATCAACTTTCTTTTTTTAGAGCAACTTTAGGTTTACAAAAATATTGACTGAAAAGTACAGAGAATTCCTACATACCTTCTCTCCACAAGTTCCTCCTATTATAAACATCTTGTATTAGTGTGGTACATTTGTGATAACTGAGGAATCAATATTGATACATTATTATTAACTGAAGTCCATAGTTTACATTAAGATTCACTCCTTATCTTGTACCTTATATGAGTTTTGACGAGTATATGACACGTGTCCATTATTACTGTTTCATACAGAATAGTAGCACTGCCCTAAAAATCTCATGTCTGTACCTATTCATCTTTCCATCCCTCAATACCCTGAACCCCTGGCAACCTCTGATCATTTTACTGTCTCCAGAGTTTTGCTTTTGCCAGAAGTCATATAGTTAGAATCATATACTATATAGGCTTTTCAGATTGGCTTCTTTCCCTTAGCATTATGCTTTTAGGGTTCCTTTATGTCTTTTCATGACTTGAGAATGGCAATCCAGCTCATTTCTTTTTATTAGTGAGTAACATTCCATTATATGGATGTGCCAGTTTGTTTATCCTTTCACCTCCTGAAAGACATTTTGGTTACTTCCAAGTTTTGGCAATTATGAATAAAGCTGCAATAAACATTTGTGTGCAGGTTTTTGTGTGGACGTCAGTTTTCAACTGCTTTGGGTATATAACAAGGAGCACGATCACTGGATTGTATGGTAAGAGTATGTTTAGTTTTGTAAGAAACTGCCAAACTGTCTTCCAAAGTGGTTGCAGTGCATGTTGCCTCACCATCGGTGACATATGAGAGTTCCTGTTGCTCCACATCCTTGCTAGCATTTGGTGTTGTCAAACTTTAGCCATTCTAATAGTTGTGTAAAGGCATCTCATTGTTGATTTGATTTAATTTGAAGTTCTCTAATAACATGTAATGCTGAGCATCTCTTCATATGTTTTATCTGCCATCTGTTTATCTTTAATTGTCTGTTAAAATCTTTTGCCCGTTTCTAATTTGGCTGTTTGCTTTTTTATTGTTAAGTTTTAAGAGTTCCTTGTGTGTTTTAGATACCTGTCCTTTATCAAATACGTGTTTTGCAGTTTTTTTCTCCCAGTCTGTGGCTTGTCTTTTCATTGTCTTAACAGTATCTTTTTTTTTTTTTTTAGATGGAGTCTTGCTCTGTCACCCAGGCTGGAGTGCAATGGCGTGATCTCGGCTCACTGCAACCTCTGCCTCCCAGGTTCTAGCGATTCTCCTGCCTCAGCCTCCCAAGTAGCTAGGATTATAGGTGTGCGCCACCATGCCCGGCTAATTTTTCTACTCCTAGGAGAGGTGGGGTTTCATCATGTTGGCCAGGCTGGTCTCAAACTCCTGACCTCAGATGATCCGCCTGCCTCGGACTCCCAAAGTCCTGGGATTACAGGCATGAGCCACCATGCCCGGCCAACAGTATCTTTCACAGAGCAGAAAGTTTTAAATTTTAATGAAGTATTACTTAATTTTTTTTCTTTCATGGATCATGCTTCTAGTGTTATATCTAAAAAGTCATCACTAAACCCAAGGTCACCTAGACTTTCTCCTATGTTATTACCTTGGAGTTTTACAATTTTGCATTTTACATTTAGGTTTATAATTCATTTTGAGTTAATTTTTTACATTGGATATAAGGACTGTGTCTAGATGTATTTTTTTTTTTGCATATGGATGTCCAGTTCTGTGCCATTTGTGGAAAAGACTATCACTTTTCCATTGACTTGCCTTTGCTCCTTTGCAAAAGATCAGTTGGCTGTATTTGTATGAGTCTATTTCTGGGCTCTCTGTTCCATTTATCTATCTGTTCTTTCACCAATACTACACTATCTTGATGACTAGCTTTATAGCAAGTCTTGAAGTCCAGTAGCGTCAGTCCTCCAACTTTGTTGTTCTTCAGTGTTGTTTTGGTTATTATGGGTCTTTTGGCTGTCCATATAAACTTTTGAATGTTTGTTGATATTCAGAAAATGACTTCCTAGGATTCTGACTGGGACTACTCAGAATCTGAAGATCAAGTTGTAAAAAACTGATGTCTTAACAACATTCATCTTCCTTCAACGAACATAGATTCTCTCTTCATTTATTTCATTCTTTATTTCGAGGTTTGTAGTTCTCCTCACATAGATATTGTATTGGTCCTTTCTCACACTGCTGATAAAGACATACCCGAGACTGGGCAGTTTATAAAGTAAAGAGGTTTAATTGACTCACAGTTCCACATGGCTGGGGAGGCCTCAGGAAACTTACAATCATGGCAGAAGGAATCTCTTCACAGGGCAGCAGGAGACAGAGTGAGTGTCCAGCGAAGGGGGAAACTTCTTATAAAACCATCAGATCTCGTGAAAACTAACTCACTATCACAAGAACAGGATGGGGGAAATCGCCCCCCATGATTCAATTATCTCCACCTGGTCCCTCCCATGACACGTGGGGATTATGGGAACTACAATTCAAGATGAGATTTGGGAGGGGACACAACCGAACCATATCAGACATTAAACATATTTTGTCAGATTTATACTTATTTCTTTTTTCGTTGCTAATGTAAATGGTATTATTTTAAATTTCAAACTGTAAATGTTCATTCCTCTTTTTTTTTTGGAGACAGGATCTTGCTCTGTCGTCCAGGCTGGAATGCAGTCTGCAGTGGGATGACCTTGGCTCACTGCAACCTCCACCTCCTGAGTTCAAGTGATTCTTGTGCCTCAACCTCCCAAGTAGCTGGGGATTACAGGCACATGTCACCACGCCTGGCTAATTTTTGTATTTTTAGTACAGATGGGGTTTTGCCATGTTGGCCAGGCTGGTCTTGAACTCCTAACCTCAAGTGACCTGCCTGCCTTGGCCTCCCAAAGTGCTGGGATTACAGGCATGAGCCACTGTGCCTGGCCTGTTCATTTCTTTTTTTTCTTTTTTTTCTTTTTTTTTTTTTTTGAGACAGAATCTCACTCTGTCACCCAAGCTGGAGTGCAGTGGCTTGATCTCAGCTCACTGCAACCTCCACCTCCTGGGTTCAAGTGATTCTCCTGACTAAGCCTCCTGAGTAGCTGGGATTACAGGCATGTGCCATCACGCTGGGCTAATTTTTGTATTTTTAGTAGAGATGGGGTTTCACCATGTTAGACAGGCTGGTCTCGAACTGCTGGCCTCAGGTGATCTACCTGCCTCGGCCTCCCAAAGTGCTTGGATTACAGATGTGAGCCACTGTGCCCAGCTAGCCTGTTCATTTCTGATATATAGGAAAGCAATTTATTTTGGATATTAACAAGGCTGTATCCTGCTACCTTCCTGTAATTGGTCATTAGTTCCAGGAGGCTTTTTTTTGTTGTTGCTGTTTCTTTGGGATTTTCCACATAGACAATCATATCATCTGCAAACAAAGACAGTTTAATTCCTTCCTAATCTATATACCTTTGTTTCCTTTTATAGTCTTAGTACATTCACTAGGACTTCTGCTAAGACATTGAATAGAAATGGTAAGAGAGGACATCCTTGCCTTGTTCCTGATTAAGATCAGGAGATATAAGATCATTTTTTAGGAGAAACCACCTAGTTTCTCACCATTAAGTATGATGTTAGCTGTAAGACTTTAGTAGATGTTCTTAAATTGAGGAAGGTCTCCTGTATTTTAGTTTGCTGAGTATTTATCATGAATGGGTATTGAATTTTGTCAAACGCTGTTTCCATATCTACTGATATGATCATATGACTTTCTTTCTGATTTGAGGTGATGGGCTACAGTAATTGCTTTTCTAATATCGAACCAGTCTTGCATACCTGGAGTAAATCCTACTTGGTGATGGTGTATAATTCTTCCTATACATTGTCAGATTTGATTTTGGTATTAGAATAACGTTGGCCTCACAGAATGAGTCAGAAAGTATCCCCTTTGCGTCTATTTTCTGGAAGAGACTATACATAACTGGTATAATTTCTTCCACAAATGTTAAGTAGAATCTACTAGCGAACCCATCTGTGCTTGGCGCTTCTGTTTTCAGTCATTAGTCATTCATTAAACGTCTTTAATAGATACAGACCTATTCAGATCTTTTTCTTCTTTGGTGAGTTTTGGCAGATTCTACCTTTTAAGGAATCCATCAATTTTCTCTAGGTGGTCATATTTGTGGGCACAGAGTTTTAATTATATCCCCCTTTATTACTCATGGATAATGGACAATAAAGGTCCATGGATCAGTAGTGATGGTCCCTCTTTCACTTCTGATACCAGTAATTAGTCTTCTTTTTTTTCCTTAACCTTACTAGAGGTTTATCAATTTTATTTCACAGAACCAACTTTTGGGTTCACTGATTTTCTGTACCCATTTCCCCTATTTAATTTCTTTGATTTCTACTCCAATTATCATTATTTTTTTCTGCTTATTTGGGATTTGGCCTTTTTTTAGCCTTCGAAGGTAGAATATTGATTTTAGATCTCCTTTTTAAAGAATGCATTTACTGCTATACATTTCCCTCTAAGCACTGGTTTTGCTAAATCTCACAAATTTTAAGTTGTGGTTTCATTTTCATTTAGTTCAATATATTTCTTTTTTTCTTTTTCTTTTTTTTTTTGTGTGTGTGTGATGAAGTCTCGCTCTTGTCTCCCAGGCTGGAGTGCAATGGCATGATCTCCGTTCACTGCAACCTCCGCCTTCCGGGTTCAAGCGATTCTCCCGCCTCAGCCTCCCAAGTAGCTGGGATTACAGGCGCCTGCCATCATGCCTGGCTAATTTTTGTATCTTTAGTAGACAGGGTTTCATCACGTTGGCCAGGCTGGTCTCGAACTCCTGACCTTAGGTCATCTGCCTGCCTCAGCCTCCCAAAATATGGGGATTACAGGCGTGAGCCACCACGCCCAGCCTAGTTCAATGTATTTCTAAATTTCTCTTGAGACTTATTCTTTCACCAAAGCGTTATTTATAAGTGTGTTGTTTAATCTCCAAGTATGTTGGAATTTTCCAGCTGTCATTTTTTTTTTTTGAGACAGGGTCTTGCTAAGTTGCCCAGGCTGGGCACAAGTGATTCTCTGCCTCACTCTTCTGAGTAGATGGAATTATAGGCACACATCACTGTGTGTGGCTAATATCTGTTATTAATTTCTAGTTCAATGCCATTGTGGTCTGAAAGCAGACACTGCAGGTTTTCTAGTCTTTAAAATGTGTTAAGCTGATTTTTTTATGGTCCAGAATGTGGTCTACTTTGGTGAATGTTGTGAGCTTGAGAAGAAACTCTTAGGTGAAGAATTCTATAGATGTCAATTAGATCTAGTTGACTGATGATGTTATTTGATTCAACTATATTTTTACTGATTTTCTTCCTGGTAGATGCATCAATTACTGACAGAGGGGTGTTGAAGTCTCTTAGTATAATAGTGGATTCATCTATTTCTCCTTGTAGTTTTATCAGTTTTTGCCTGATGTAGTTTACCACTCTATTGGATGGTGTACCCACATAAAGGATTGTTATGCCTTCTTAGAGAATGGATCTCTTTATCATTATGTAATGCCCTTCTTTATTCCTAATTTTCTTTACTGTGAAGTCTGTTTTTTTCTGAAATTAATATAGCTACTCTAGGTTTCTTTTAATTAGTGTTAGCATGGTATAACCTTCCTCATTTATTTACTTATTTAATTTTGAAACAGGGTCTCTGTTGCCCATGCTGGAGGTCAGAGGCGTGATCATGGCTCACAGCAAGCTAAACCTCCTGTGCTCAAGTGGTCCTCCCACCTCAGCCTCCCAAGTAGCTGAGACTACAGGCACACACCACCAGGCCCAGCTAAAAACATTTTTTTTTTTTTTGTAGAGACAGGGTCTTGCTATATCGCCAGGGTCTTGAACCCCTGGCCTCAAGCAATCCCCTCCTTGGCCTCCCAAAGTGCTGAGATTATAGGCATAAGCCACCATGATTGGTCCATCCTTCTGCTTTTAATCTAAATGTGTCTTTAAATTTAAGGTGGTTTTCTTGTAGACAACATATAGTTGGGTCTTGTTTTGCTTATTCATGCTGACAGTCTGTTTTTTAACTGGTGTCTGAGATCACTGACATTTAAAGTGATTATTGATATAGCTGGATTAATATTTGCCATGTTACTTTTTTTTTTTTTGAGACATAGTCTCATTCTGTTGCCCAGGCTGGACTGCAGTGGCACAATCTCAGCTTACTGCAACCTCTGCCTCCTAAGTTCAAGCGATGCTCCTGCCTCAGCCTCCCGAGTAGCTGGGATTACAGGTGTGTGCCACCATGCCCGGCTAATTTTTGTATTTTTAGTAGAGACGAGGTTTCACGTTAGCCAGGCTAGTCTTGAACTCCTGGCCTCAAGTGATCCACCCGCCTTTGCAGATCAGTCAGAGTGGTGGGAGAAACTATAGGGAAAGGAGCAGGCCTTCTTTAAGGTCAGAAGGCTCTGCATAGCTTCGGGGGAGAAAGCTGAAGGCAGCTGTTCTCTAACCCTGAGGCAGAGGGCGAGGAGTATGTGCAAGGGAGTGAAGGGGAAGTTATCTTGATCAGGCTCGTGTGTTTGAAGTTGTCCAGAAACTGACCTTTGAACATCTGCACAAGGTTCCCTGAAAGGGGAACAATAAATGTTAATTATCCACAGATTGTGTTTGCTCCAGGCTTTTGGCACTGTACTTGCACTGAATAAAAGCAAGCAGCTCCAGCTTCTCGGGGCTGCACTCTGGCCACTTGAGCCGGGCAGTGCACTAGCTGCTCTGACACTTCATGCCTGTGTCTGAGTACTCATTTCATCCGTTGGTCAGCCAGGGTCTGAGGGACAGACCTGGCATGCCTTAGTCTCCCGAAGTGTTGATATTACAGGCTTGAGCCACCGTGCCTGGCCCATGTTACTATTTTTTTTTTCTGCTCTTGTTCTTGGTTTTTTTCTTTTCTTTTTTTCTGTTCCACTCTTTTTCAGCCTTCTTTTTTTTCTTTTCTTTTCTTTTTTTTTTTTTTTTGAGACAAGAGTCTTGCTCCGTTGCCCAGGCTGGAGTGCAGTGGCATGATCTTGGCTCACTGCAACCTCTGCCTCCTGGGTTCAAATGATTTCTCGTGCCTCAGTCTCCCAAATAGCTGGGATTACAGACGTACGCTATCATGCCCGGCTGATTTTTGCATTTTTAGTAGAGATGGGGTTTCACCATGTTGGCCAGGCTGGTCTTGAACTCCTGACCTCAGGTGATCCGCCCGCCTCGGCTTCCTAAAGTGCTAGGATTACAGATGTGAGCCACTATGGCTGGCCTGCCTCTTCGGGTTTTAAGTTAAGCATTTAATATGATTTGATTTTTTCTCCTAATTTAGTCTATCAAATGTTTTTGCTTTTTAATTTATTTTTAAAATTATTTTCATTTATTTTAACTTTTTATTTCCATAGTTTAAATGGTTGCCCTTGAGTTTGCAGTATACACTTTTTTTTTTTTTGAGATGGGGTCTTGATCTGTCACCCAGGCTGGAGGGCAGTGGCGTGATCTTGGCTCACTGCAACCTCCATCTCCTAGGTTCAAGCAATTCTCCTACCTCAGCCTCCCAAGTAGCTGGGTTACAGGTGACTGCCACCATGCCCAGCTAATTTTTGCATTTTTAGTAGAGATGCAGTTTTTCCACGCTGGCCAGGCTGGTCTCGAACTCTTGGCCTCAGGTGATCTGCCCGCCTCGGCCTCCCAAAGTGCTGGGATTACAGGTGTTAGCTACCGCACCCAGCCTGCAGTATACGTTTATAACTAATCCAAATTCTCTTTCAAATAATACTATACCACTTTATGAATAGCACACAAGTACCTTATAACAGCATTTCCATTTATTACCTCCCATCCCTTATAACACTGCCGTCATTTATTTCCATAAGGTTCAATGATCATACTACTTACCCATAAGCTATAATTACCAAATACACGTTTTTTCTGTTTTTTAAGATGGAGTCTCGCTCTGTCACCAGGCTGGAGCGCAATGGTGAGATCTCAGCTAATTGGAACCTCTGCTTCCCAGGTTCAAGCGATTCTCCTGCCTCAGCCTCCTGAGTAGCTGGGACTACAGGCACGTGCCACCATGCCCAGCTAATTTTTTTGTATTTTTAGCAGAGGTGGGGTTTCGCCATGTGGGCCAGGATGGTCTCAATCTCTTGACCTTGTGATCCGCCCACGTTGGCCTCCCAAAGTGCTGGGATTACAGGCGTGAGCCACCATGCCTGGCCCAAATACAAGTTGTTGTTATTATCTGTGGCCAACTGCTGTTAGATCAATTAAGGTTAAAAACATTTTTACCTCCATTTATTCCTTCTCTAATGCTCTTCCTTTCTTTATGCAGATCTGAATTTCTGAGCCACATTATTTGCCTTCTTTTTTTTTTTTGAGATGTAGTCTCGCTCTGTCGCCCAGGCTGGAGTGCAGTGGTGCGATCTCCGTTCACTGCAACCTCTGCCTCCCAGGTTCAAGTGATTCTCATGCCTCAGCCTCCCGAGTAGCTGGGATTACACGTGTGTGCTACCACCATGCCCCGCTAATTTTTTGTATTTTTAGTAGAGACGGGGTTTCATCATGTTGGCCAGGCTGGTCTCAAAGTCCTAAGCTCAGGTAATCCACCTGCCTCGGCCTCCCAAAGTGCTAGGATTACAGGCGTGAGCCACCATGCCCGGCCTATTTGCTTTCTCTCTGAAGAATTTCTTCAACATTTCTTGGAAAGCAGGTCTACTGGCAACAAACTCCCTCCATTTTTATCTGAGATAGTCTTTAATTCCCTTTCACTTTTGAAGGATAATTTCTCTGGATATAGAATTCTAGGCTGTTTTTTGTTCTTTCAATATTTTTTAAATACTTCACTCTCCTCTCTCCTGGCTTCCATGGTTTCTGAAGAGAGGTGTGATGTAATTCTTATTGTTGCTCCTCTATATGTAAGGTCTCTTTTTTCCTCTGGCTTCTTTCAAGATTTTCTGTCTTTGATTTCTGGTGCCTTATATATGATACACCTGTGTAGACTTTTTGGCATTTGTGCCTGCTTGGTGTGTTCTGTACTGTTGTAGTTTTAAAATTCAAATTAATTAGGGTCAGGCGCGGTAGCTCATGCCTGTAATTCCAGCACTTTGGGAGGCCGAGGCAGACAGATCACCTGAGGTCGGGAGTTCGAGACCAGCCCGACCAACATGGAGAAAGCCCATCTCTACTAAATATACAAAATTAGCTGGGTGTGGTGGCACATGCCTGTAATCCCAGCTACTTGGGAAGCTGAGGCAGGAGAATCACTTGAACCCGGGAGGCGGAGGTTGCGGTGAGCCGAGATTGCGCTATTGCACTACGGCCTGGGCAACAAGAGCAAAACTCCGTCTCAAAAAAAAAAATTAATTTAAATAAAACAAAAAAATTTAGTTCCCCAGTCACACTAGCTACATTTTAGGTGCTCAACAGCCACATGTGGCTAGTATCTACCACACTGGTGGCCAGATCCAGATAGTTGAGGAAAGGAGATCAATCTAGGGCTCCTGACAGTGAGTGGCCTGCAGAGGAAAGCACCTCCTGGACTCTGCTGGCACCTGAGGCACCCTGCTGCTCCTGTTCACCTCCCTGCCTCTGCTCATACAACCCAAACCTGCTTCCTGGAGTGTCCCTCCTCTCTGTCCTCAGATTATCTTTATTTTACCCTTTTTGCTCTGCCTTAACTTAGGTCCCATCTACTTACAACACCTTTAGAGGGAAAGGAGAATGTGTTTTACTTTATTACCTTTAAGAAACATGATCTAAGCCTGTTGTCACCATGCAAAGATCCTTCACATCACCAGGGCCTAGGGCCGAGCCTCACACTTGTGGCTTTGTAGACTCAATATTACATCTGATAACATTAAAAATGTTAATGGGGGCCGGGCACAGTGGCTCATGCCTGTAATCCCAGCAGGATTGGGAGGCCGAGGTGGGGGGGATCATGAGGTCAGGAGTTCAAGATCAGCCTGGCCAACATGGTGAAACCCTGTCTCTACTAAAAATACAAAAATTAGCTGGGCGTGGTAGCGCGCACACCTGTAATCCAATCTACTCAGGAGGCTGAGACAAGAGAATTGCTTCAGTCTGGGAGACGGAGGTTGCAGTGAGCTGAGATTGTGCCATTGCACTCCACCCTGGGTGATGAGAGTGAAACTCCATCTCAAAAAAAAAAAAAAAAAAGAAGTTAATGGGACCGAAAAATTTTTTTGTCACCATGTTATTGTCAAGTAAGAAAATGAAAAGCAAAGACAACTGTCTATTGCTAGCATCTCATAAGCAGAACGACATTCTAATAGTGTCCTCCATTTTCCCCCAAAAAGGAGGAAACTAAATGAAGCTATGTATTTTTTTTTTTTCATGGAAGACAAAAAAGTTGCCTCTGACCTTGAGCAAAATAGACATTTAGGAACTCACACAGCTCCAAACCTAGTATTTGTTTATCTCTTTTCCATTTCGATTTCTTTTATCTTTATTACCTTTTCTCCCTCCAAATGTCTGTTATTAGTTGTTTAACCTTGGGTAAGTTATTTAGCCTCTCTGATCTACATTTCCTAACTTGTGAAGTTGCTATAAGAATTAAGGGAGTTAACACATATGCTGGCCGTGCACAGTGGCTCACGCCTGTAATCCCAGCGCTTTGGGAGGCCAAAGTGGGCTGAGCTCCCAAGCTCAGGAGTTTGAGACCTGCTTGGGCAACATGGTGAAACCCCGTCTCTACTAAAAATACAAAAATTAGCCAGGCGTGGTGGTGTGCACTTGTAATCTCAGCCACTTGAGCCCAGGAGGTTGAGACTGCAGTAAGCTTTGATTGTGGCACCGCACTCTAGCCCGGGTAACAGAGTGAAACTGCCTCAAAAAGAAAAGACAAGCCAGGCGCAGTGGCTCATAACTGTAATCCCAGCACTTTGGGAGGGCGAGACAGGAGGATCACCTGAGGTCAGGACTTTGAGACCAGCCTGGCCAACATGGTGAAACCCCATCTCTACTAAAAATAAAAAATTAGCCCGGTATGCTGGTGCACTCCTGTAATCCCAGCTACTCGGGAGGCTGAGGCATGAGAACTGCTTGAACCCAGGAGGCAGAGGTTGCAGTGAGCCAAGATCATGCCACTGTACTCCGGCCTGGGCAAGTGTTAGACTCTGTCTCAAACAAACAAACAAACAAACAAATCAAAAACCAAAAAACACCACATATGCCTAGGACTTTGGACATTCTCATTATTTTTCAAGGCTGGCATGTCTTGAAGTGCCCTGGCTGAGGTTAGTGTAGGACTTAGGATAAGGATGAGGCTTTAGAGGGACAGAAGTGAAGTGGGACAGGAATATTAAGACCAAAAAGCCTCCTGGTCCACCTTCTGTCCAGAGCATATTCTGCTCTCTTTCTGATGCATTCCACGGGCTTTGCTTTTGTTCAAAATGAGAGCCGGTCTGGGAAAGGACTGGGAATAGTCAAATCTGCCATAAAGAACAAAATGGATGAAGCTTGACTTAAGAACATGAATACTGAGATATAGCATGCAGTTTTCAAGTTTAAGAAGTTGGAGGAACGCCTGAGAAGCTGCTGGATATTACATGGCCACTCCTTAGGTGCCTTCCGATTGTGGGAGGCACAAGTGATGCTTGGCAGTATTAACAAGCGTGGGGAAAACAAAGAGAGATCAGACTGTTACTGTGTCTTCGTAGAAAGAAGTAGACATAAGAAACTCCATTTTGTTCTGTACTAAGAGAAATTCTTCTGCCTTGAGATGCTGTTAATCTGTAACCCTAGCCCCAACCCTGTGCCTGCACAGACATGTGCTGTGTTGACTCAAGGTTTAATGGATTTAGGGCTGTGCAGGATGTGCTTTGTTAAAAATGTGTTTGAAGACAGTATGCTTGGTAAAAGTCATTGATATTCTCTAATCTCGAGTATCCAGGGACACAATGCACTGTGGAAGGCCACAGGGACCTCTGCCCAGGAAAGCCAGGTATTGTCCAAGGTTTCTCCCCATGTGATAGCCTGAGATATGGCCTCGTGGGAAGGGAAAGACCTGACCGTCCCCCAGCCCATAAAGGGTCTGTGCTGAGGAGGATTAGTGAAAGAGGAAGGCCTCTTTGCAGTTGAGGTAAGAGGAAGGCATCTCTCTCCTGCTTTTCCTTGGGAATGGAATGTCTCAGTGTAAAACTCGATCATACGTTCTATTTACTGAGATAGGAGAAAACCGCCTTATGGCTGGAGGTGAGACATGCTGGCGGCAATATTGCTCTTTACTGCACTAAAATGTTTGTGTAAAGCCAGACATAAATCTGGCCTACGTGCACATTGAGGCATAGCACCTTTCCTTAAACTTATGACACAGAGATCTTTGCTCACGTTTTCCTGCTGACCCTCTCCCCACCATTACTCTATAGTCCTGCCACATCCCCCTCACCGAGATGGTAGAGATAGTGATCAATAAATACTGAGGGAACTCAGAGACCAGTGCTGGCGCGGGTCCTCCGTATGCTGAGCCCTGGTCCTCTGGGCCCACTGTTCTCTACACTTTGTCTCTGTGTCTTACTTTTTTTCTCAGTCTCTCGTCCCACCTGACGAGAAACACCCACAGGTGTGGAGGGGCTGGCCCCCTTCAACAAGTCACCAGGCCACCAAGAAACCTCCTTCAGCTAGGTACATATCTAACACAGGCCCTTGGGGTCAAGAATGTCAAAACTCACCTCAAAAATTTATTTCTATTTCTCTGAGTTTCATTTCACTTTTTTAAACACACTTAAAACAATATTGTATCATCAGCTTTATTGTTGACTGGGAAAACTATGAGGACAGACAGGCTTAAATTATCTGTGCACGCAGAGGGAAAGATAAGGCATATTACCTTGTTGGAACTCTTTTTTTTTTTTTTTGAGATGGAGTCTCGCTCTTTCGCCCAGGCTGGAGTGCAGTGACGCGATCTCTGCTCACTGCAAGCTCTGCCTCCCGGGTTCACGCCATTCTCCTGCCTCAGCCTCCCGAGTAGCTGGGACTACAGGCGCGTGCCACCACGTCCCGCTAATTTTTTGTATTTTTTAGTAGAGAAGGGGTTTCACCATGTTAGCCAGGATGGTCTCTTATCTCCTGACCTCGTGATCCACCCGCCTCGGCCTCCCAAAGTGCTGGGATTACAGGCGTGAGCCACCGCGCCCGCCCCTGGAACTCATTTTTTAAAAAATTTTTTTGAGATGGAGTCTTGCTCTGTCACACAGGCTGGAGTGCAGCGGCGTGATCTCGGCTCACTGCAAGCTCCGCCTCCCGGGTTCACACCATTCTCCTGCCTCAGCCTCCCGACTAGCTGGGACTACAGGCGCCCACCACCACGCCAGGCTGATTTTTTGTATTTTTAGTAGAGACGGGGTTTCACGTGTTAGCCAGGATGGTCTCAATCTCCTGACCTCATGATACGCCCGCCTCGGCCTCCCAAAGTGCTGGGATTACAGGCATGAGCCTCAATTTTATATTTTGCCCTAGACTCTTATTCCTTAAATCTTCCTTAAAATAGTGGTTGCAAAATGGAGGCCCATGGGCTGGATTCAGCCTGTAAAACTGTTTTGTTTGGACTGTAGAGTTAAAAAAAACAAACAAACCCTGTATTTCCAGCATCTCATTAAAAATCGTATGAGGCACCGGACTTATAGTGGTACAAGACAGCAACTGTCTCTAGCTGACAGTTGTTTCCTTTAAAAGCCGTTAAGAGTTCTTTAATTTGCGAACCCTCGCCATTCACGGAATACCTGCTTGTGTTCTTGTATTCAGGGCACTGGAGTGCGTGCCAGCTGGTCTGGAAGCAGCTCCAGCAAGTCACTTACACGGTGGCCAGGGGCGGCCTGACTTTCAATCCGAGACCCGCCGGGAATGACTTTGGGATAATCACAACCTCCGGTCCTCAGTTTCCTTACCTGTGAAATGGGGCTGATAACGCACAGCTGTGGGAAGCACCGGCCCAAACGCAGGGCTTGGGGACACGACCACCATCCCCGCCCACGGGTCCCCGCGCCAGGCTTCGCTCTCCACCCCTCCCGCCGCGGGCCCCAGCGCTTCGCCGAGGTCGGCCCCGGGCGCCAAGAGGCGTGGTCGGCCCGAGCGGACCCTCGCGGCGGCCATGGCGTCGGTGGTGGAATACAAGGGCCTCAGGGCCGGCTACCACTGCGGCTACTGCGATTCCAAGGAGGGCAAAGCGTCCTGCGGTGAGTGTTCCCGACGCCGGAGTTGGCGCGGCCGCCGCGCCCCGCACAGGCCCTCGGCGGGGGAAAGGGCAGGCTCGCACCCCGACTCCCGCTTCCCTTCCCCTCTTGACTCTCCCCATCCTGTTTCCCTTCCCGCTCTGTCTCTCCGCCTCACCCTCACTGACGACGGCGGCCCCTTATGGAGAAGGAACGGAAATAGTGGAAAGCTGCCCTCGGTCAAGATGGCGCGGGCGGCGTCAGCTCCAAGAGGCGCCGGGCCGGCCGGGCCTGCGGGCGCCCGAGTGGCTTCGCGCGAGCCTCGGGAGGCTCCCGGGCGGCGCGCTGCATTGTGGGGTGGCGGCGGCGGCCGCGCTAGCGACGCGGGGCCGGGCGGCTGAGCGTTCGCGGGGCCGAGGCCATGGCTTTCTGGGCGGGGGGTTCGCCCAGCGTCGTGGACTATTTCCCTAGCGAGGACTTCTACCGCTGCGGCTACTGCAAGAACGAGTCGGGCAGCCGCTCCAATGGTGAGCGAGCCGGGCCGGCGGGCGTGGGAAGCCGGGCGCCCGGGTCTCGGGATCCCAGGGTCCCCCAGCGAGGACGCGAGGGGGCCGGAGCCCCTGGCCCCAGTGCCACGGCCGAGACGGAGGGGGCACTCTCGGGAGGGCCGCGGCGCCGGCTTAGCGGGGCAGCTTCGCGGTGCCTGTTCTGCAGGAAAATCCTAACCGGTGCCCGTACTCTCGAAATCGTGGTGGTCTCCCCAGAGTCGGGAGACGGACGCCCGTCTGGGGTAGATTGTGTGAGGTGAAGGACGGCGCGCAGTGCCAGGGAACGCCCCAGAGCCGTAGTTAATGGCCGGGGCTGACCGGTGGGTGCTGCGGTGGGAGCGTCCCGGGAGCGAGGGCGAAACGCGGTGCAGAGGGAGCTGTGGGTGTGCACACAGGTGCCGGTCATGTATGAATCAGACTTCCCTGGACGAATGTACAGGAAGGATGAGCCCTTTGCATCTCTGGGTTAAAAAAAAAAAAAGTTAAAAAAAAAAAGGACAAGAAACTGGTGACCGCGGTCGCTACCGGCGAGGGATTCTGTTTGTCCTGATCTGTTTGAAATTTTTACCATTTGCTTATATGCCGTGTCTTTCCTCCACCCACCCGGACGACAGCAAAGCCAGCCCACAAGTTTGTTTTGTTTTTCCATCGTGATTCAGATTTCTTTGGGGGAGATTTGTTGCTGGTAAACAAAACATCGTGTTTATTTCCTCTCTTGCCATGCATTTGCCAATATAGAATGTAGACTCTATTATTTTAATAGAACAGTCTAGCTTTGTGGAAAACGAGATTCGCATGAAAACACACAGGCATTTTCCATGAAAAAGGTGTAAGTGGGGAATGATTTGGTCGATAACGGTGTGTGCATTTGCTCCTTCATTAAAAGTGTTTATTAAGTGCTACTTGTGGGCAGCGGTTTTGAGTAGACAGTTATGCAATCGTTAGAAGTGAGGATTATGAAGACTAAATGGAAAAATGCTTCCAGTTTGGACTTAAACGGAGAAAATCAACAGGATGCAAATGGCTTATGCGACATGATTACAGTTCTGAAAGGAAGAAGGCCCGGAAGTACACCAAATCGTGACAGTGGTAATATGGCCTTAGAGTATTGTGGATTTCTACCTTCTCTTTTTCAGAATTTTTGTATTTTGGCTATAATATTTATCAAATCAATAAGTTACATTAAACGTGCCTAAAATTAATATTTTAATAGGTCATTACTTATTTTTTTCCAATAATTGTGATAAGAGAAAATTGGCTAACATAAATGTCTTGTATTTCACGTTTTGTCGAAGAAACCTGCCTGCAACCTTTCCATCAAGAGAAAATAATCATCAATTTCTAGTATCTCGATTTTAATTTTAATACTCTTTATTATGGGGCATCTACTTACTTGGTAGGTGAGTTTTATTTTTTTATTTACAGATGATGAAATTGAGGCTTATTGGGTAACTCCTTAGTGTGAGTGAGTGCCTGCCAGGTGTCGGGATATTTCTGTTGGACTCCAGTGCCATGCTTTTCCCACTATATTCTGCTCTATCAAGCCTGTCATATCTCTGATGTGATTTACTGTTTACAAAAGGGAAAAATCCATTTATTTATTTATTTATTTTGAGACACAGTTTCACTTTTGTTGCCCAGGCTGGAGTTCAGTGGCACAATCTTTGCTCACTGCAACCTCCACCTCCCAGGTTAAAGGGATTCTCCTGCCTCAGCCTCCCGAGTAGCTGTGATTACAGGTGCCCGCCACCACGGCCGGCTAATTTTTTTGTATTTTTAGTAGAGACGGGGTTTCACCATGTTGGCCAGGCTTGGTCTTGAACTCCCGACCTCAGGTGATCTACCCGCCTCGGCCTCCCAAAGTGCTGGGATTATAGGCATGAGCCACTGCACCTGGCCCATTTCTTTTTTAACTTTAATTTTTTTTTTTTTTTTAAGAGGCAGTCTTGCTCCTTTGCTCAGGCTGGAATGCAGTGGTGTGTTCATAGCTTACTGCAGCCTCAAATCTCAAATTCCTGGTCTCAAGCCTCCTCCCACCTCAGCCTCCCAAGTAGCTGGGACCACAGGCACAGGCCACAAAACCTGATTAATTATGATTATTATTTTTTTTTTGTGAAAACAGAGATTTGGTATGTTGCACAGGCTGGTCTTGAACTCCTGACCTCAAGTGATCTTCCATGTTGGCCTTCCAAAGTGTTGGGATTATAGGCTTGAGCCACCACCTCATGAAGCCTTTAGTTCTGATATGCCTTTAAATGTTTCCTCATAGTCTTCGTTTTTTTTCATAGTTGCGTGATTATTCCATCATGTTGACAACATCATAGCCCCTGTAATCATCTTCCTGTTCCTTGGCATTTGAGTTACTTTCTTTCTTTCTTTCTTTTTTTTTTTTTTTGAGACAGAGCTTCACTCTTGTTGCCCATGCTGGAGTGTGGAGTGCAATGGCTCGATCTCGAGTCACTGCAACCTCCGCCTCCTGGGTTCAAGCGATTCTCCTGCCTCAGCCTCCCAAGTAGCTGGGATTACAGGCATGTGCCACCATTCCCGGCTAATTTTGTGTTTTTAGTAGAGATGGGGTTTCACCATGTTGGCCAGGCTGGTCTCAAACTCCTGACCTCAGATGATCTGCCCATCTTGGCCTCCAAAAGTGCTGGGATTACAGGCGTGAGCCACTGTGCCCAGCTGAGTTACTTTCAGTTCTTACACTTAGAAGGAATATTGTTACATACTTTTCTCCAATTTTTGATGCTCAAGACTGTACTGTAAATATATACCTGTATATAAATCAGGAGAACTAATAAGCACAAAACATTTTGCTAAGTTTTCTGAAGAGACCAGCATGTTAAATCATTGGGGATATTTATTAAAGTTTGAAGGTCTGATGCAGTCTGATTGCAGTGAGGACTTAAATTTATGCTGTCATAGAGACTATTGACTAATCCTCAAATAAATATAATTAACTTCGATGTGTTTTTTTGAATGAAAATATATATAGTGTCATTCTTTATTTGTGCTGTGTGTATGCCCAACTAACAGCTGTGAAGTATGTACAAACTTTTCATTTATCCAATATGAGTGTTTTGGAATTTTAACCTAAACACTCCTATTTTTTTTTTTTTTTTTGAGATGGAGTCTCACTCTGTCGCCAGGGCTGGAGTGCAGTGGCGTGATCTTGGCTCACTGCAACCTCCGCCTCCCGAGTTCATGTGATTCTCCTGCTGCAGCCTCTTGAGTAGCTGGGATTACAGGCGCCCGCCACTATGCCCAGCTAAATTTTTGTATTTTTAGTAGAGATGGGGTTTCACCATGTTGGCCAGGCTGGTCTTGAACTCCTGACCTTGTGATTTGCCCGCCTTGGCCTCCCAGAGTGCTGGGATTACAGGCATGAGCCACCGTGCCCGGACACACACTCCTATTTTTAAACCTCACACTTTGAATTTAAAAAAGAAAAAAGGTTACCCTGCCGTAATTAACACACTACTTATTTTTTCAGGCATGTGGGCACATTCCATGACAGTACAGGATTATCAGGATCTCATAGACCGAGGATGGCGAAGGTAAAGCTTCCAGATACAAAGAGACTTCCTACTGTTACTCAGGTTCTTGAAAAATACAGCATGCCTTTGAAATGCTTTCCTGTTGGAAAGAGGTTTAAGAAAAATTTTTATTATATTCTTTTATGTAGTGATTTTTTGTCTCCTTTTTAAAAAACTTTGTTAGGAAAATGTCAAATATCTATAAAAGCAGAGAGTACATTAGAATGAACCTCAAGTACCTATCACTAAGCTTCAGCAGTTATTAACGTTCTGCCAATCATGTTTGATTCTCCTGCTCCACCTTTTAATATTTAACAGCAAATTACATCAGTAGGTTATTATGACATTTATCCTATCAATAGATAGGCAATAAGTATGTATCTCTAAGAGAGAGGTCTTTTTTTCTTTTTAACTTATCCACAATGCTGTATCACACCTTACAAAATTAATAAAAATTCTTTGATGTTACCTGTTACCTACTTTTTATTAGATTTTCCAGATTGTCTCAAAAATGTCTTCTTTAACAGTTTATTTGGATAAGGATTTCCTTAAAGTCCACACATGGCCTGTTTTGAGTAGTTATTTTTATGTGGATGATTTTTAAGTAACTCTTAGGTAAAGTTCCTTGTGTAAATATAAGTAATATTAAATACTGTACGCTAATACTTGCCAAAGACGTGGGATTGGGAGCACCAGCTGAAATATCACAACTTTCCTTAAACTTAATGAGATTCAAAAGGTAGACATAGGTCAGATTTTAAAGGACTTCACATGCCATGATAAGGAACTTTTTTTTTTAGAGACATGGTCTCGCTCTGTTGCCCAGGCTAGAGTCGCTCTCTTGCCCAGGCTAGAGTACAGTGCCATCATCATAGCTCACTGTAACCCCAAATTCCCACACTCAAGTGATCCTCTTGCCTCAGCCTCTGCAGTGGCTAGGACTACAGGTGTGCATCACAACACCTGGCTAATTTTTCAGTTTTTTGTAAGATCTTGGCTATGTTGCCCGTGCTGGTCTCGAACATCTGGTTGCAAGTGTTCTTCCAGCTTAGCTTTTCAAAGTGTTGGGATTATAGGTATGAACCACCATGCCTGGCCAGAACTTTTTAGAAGGCAGTCATGGAAGGATTTTATGGTAAGAGAGAAATGTGAAGGAATTTGTTTTAGAAAAGATTGTTCAGATGGCTGAGAGGTATTTGAGGGGGGGTCATAGAGGCAGGAAGATGAGTTCAAAGGTTATTGCGCTATCCAGATGTGCGATGATGAGGACTGTCACCTTAGTGGCAATGGTGATAGAGAAGAGGGGACAATTTAGGATAGGGTTTAAAATGAAGGAAAGCTTGCTAATAGGATATAGAGGTGAATTCCAGGGAGGAGTTTAAAATGACTCCCAGGTCTCTGACTTGAGAACAGAATGAACAGTTCTGTTAGTACCATAGACCTGGAATGCATGGAAAGAAGCGGGTTAGTTTTGGGGTACTCCGTGCTGGTGCATGTGGAATACCCAAGTGTGGTTGTCACAGGCATCACATACATGAGTCCCACAGCATCGTGGGCATTTCTCTCATTGCCCTTGTGGTATTGGGGATTGGTGGCAGGTGAAGGCAGAGCAGGGGTGGCAGATGCTGGTGAGAGGGGAACTGAGATGATTGGCCGTGGGGTACACAAGTAAAGCTTTAGGAAATAAAAGGCAGGGTTCTAAACTTTGCTACACGCACTTTGAAGATTATTTGGCTTATGAAGAGTAATTAAACCTACATGCATTTCTACAATGTTGATTAGATTTTTAACCTTAATTTAATGCTCCTGTGCTAGGCTGTTTTGGTGCAAGTGAAAAATATATAAGACATTAACAAACTATTTTTATAATTTTAGAAGTGGAAAATATGTGTACAAACCTGTCATGAATCAAACATGTTGTCCTCAGTACACAATAAGGTAAGAATTTTAATTAGTAGAAAGAGGATTTATAGTATGAAGATTGTGTATAATATTTTAGTAGTCTCTTGTGCTTTTTTAATGTTTATTTCCGCTCTAGGTAGATGTCCTTTAAAAGGAAAAGTAAATGAGTTATGTCTTTTCTTCATACTGATGCTGTATTTATGTGCTGATCAGTAGGTTTTAGTAATATTGTTTGATTGGTTCAGATATAAATATGTGAAAAAAATACCCTCTTAATTTAGCAATCTTGTCAATGAATGCCATGAAATATTGGGAAAATGTTGGTAAATATTCACATTACTTTTGGATATTAAATATTATAGGACTTAGCTTAGAATTTTCTGCATTCTGGTGTATTGCTTGACACAGTGCTTGTGTTCAAGCAATGCTACAGGCTCCTATAAATTACTTGGTAGGTTCACGTTCTCATGTTGTGGGATTCAGGAGGACAAGAGAGACCTCGGGTTAAAACAGGAGAAACTTTATTGAGTGCACTTAGGCCCAGCTGACTCAACGTCTAAAAGACTGGGCCCGGAACAAAGACTTTTATACACAGTTCACAGAAGGGGGTGGGCTAGCTTGAAGCAAGCTTACAGTGGCGTGAAAGCAGGGATACAGAGGCAGGACAAACTCAGGATTGCACATGACCGTTGCCAAGCAACCCAGATGTCCGTTATCTAGGTTTGCCTGGGCTTATCCCATAATCTTCACTATGGTGCCCAGGCAGCTGCAGTTCAGGCCTACTCAGGCTTCTCATGACATTCATTGTACTTCTCAGATAAAACAATACTTGAAGTCACTAGTTACAGAGAACAGGAATCTATGAACTCATTCCGTAAAACAAAGGAAAATTTATTTTTTCTTCTCTGCATGTTGAGTGCTGGGAGAATCTCCAGAGCACACTAGATAATATTATCAAGGCTTTTCCTGGGTCTGGGCCGTGCCTGTTGCTGCCTCTGGGACAAGTCGGCCTAATACAGGAAAGCTTATTTATCTTTCTTTTTAATTTTATTTTTCTTTAATTTCCCACCTCACTCACTTATAAGTGGGAGCTAAACCTTGGGTACTCAGACATAAAGATGGCAAAAGTAGAAGCTGGAGACTACTAGAGGAGGAGGGAGGGCGTGAGCTAAGGGTTGAAAAACCAACTTGGTATGACGATCAGTACCTGGGTGGTGGGATCATCCATATTGCAAACCTCAGCATCATGCAATATATCCAGGTCACCAGCCTGTACCTATACCCCCTGAATCTAAAATAAAAGTTGAAAAAAAAATTAATTGGAAGGAAGAGGGCTTAAATTTAATCTGCCACTTACACTTAGAGTCCAGTTTTTTTTTTTTTTTTTTAAAGAGACGGAGTCTCGCACTGTCGCCTGGGCTGGAGTGCAATGGCGCGATCTCGGCTCACTGCAACCTCTGCCTCCTGGGTTCAAGTGATTCTCCTGCCTCAGCCTCCCGAGTAGCTGGGATTACAGGTGCCTGCCACCACGCCCGGCTAATTTTTTGTATTTTTAGTAGAGATGGGGTTTCACTATGTTGGCCAGGCTGGTCTTGAACTCCTGACCTCATGATCCACCTGCCTCAGCCTCCCAAAGTGCTGATATTACAGGCGTGAGCCACTGCACCTGGCCCAGAGTCCAGTTTTCTTAAATGGGAAACTTAAACCAAAGTCTATTTTCCTACAAAGTCTTCGTTGGATTTTTTCATAATCTTTTGGATTTTCCATGTACCTTCTCACCTCACCCTAACATAGAAAAATCTTCTCTCTTATTCTGGTTATAAGGTCATCATCATCTTTTTCTTCTTTTTTCTTTTTTTTTTTGAGACAGGGTCTTGCTCAGGCTGGAATGCAGTAGCACAACCATGGCTCACTGCAGCCTGCCTGCCAGGCTCAAGTAATCCTCCCACCTCAGCCTCCCAAGTAGCTGGGACTGTAGGTACACACCACCAGGCCTGGCAAATTACATTTTTTTTTATAGAAAAGGGGTCTTGCCATGTTTCCTAGGCAGATCTCACCATGTTTCCTAGGCTGATCTCGCCATGTTTCCTAGGCTGATCTCCAACTTCTAGGCTCAAAGGAGCCTCCTGCCTCAGCCTCCCAAAGTGCTGGGATTATAGGTGTGAGCTACTACTGCACCTGAACCTTTTTTTTTGATAGAAAATGTGAAAAGTGCGTTAACATTTTGAAGCATGTATTTGCCCCCAATTTCAATGTGTATATATACTCATAAAATTAAAAGACAGTTTTACTTTAAGAAATGAAAAATTAAAAAATTAAACAGTTTTTTGTCCATTAGTTTTTTTGTTTGGTCCTCAAAGCTGTCTCCCTTGGTTGCTCTTAACTTGTTTTTGGGTTGCAAACCATTTTGAGAAGTCGATGAGAGCTGGCCTCCTGCCCAAAGGGATGTAGACAAAAATATGTAACATTTTGCATATCCTCCCCACCGAGACTGAGTCTTGCTGTGTCACCCAGGCTGGAGTGCAGTGGTGTGATCTCAGCTCACTGCAGTGTCCGCCTCCTGGGTTCTAGCAGTGCTCTTGCCTTAGCCACCTGAGTATCCGGGACTACAGATGCCCACCGCTAGGCCTGGTTAATTTTTGTGTTTTTAGTAGAGACGGGGTTTCACCATGTTGGCCGCGCTACTCTCGAACTCGTGATCTACCCACCTCAAAGTGCTGGGATTTCAGGCGTGAGCCACCATGCCCAGCACATTTTGCGTGTTAATTTTAGAATGATCGCAGACTCCCAAAGGTTCACTGATACTTGATTAGGAGCTTTTTTTTTGAGATGGAGTCTTGCTGTCGCCCAGGCTGGAGTGCAGTGGTGCTATCTCGGCTCACTGCAACCTCTGCCTCCCGTGTTCAAGCGATTCTCCTGCCTCAGCCTCCCGACTAGCTGGGATTACAGGCGTGCACCACCACACCTGGCTAATTTTTTTGATATTTTTAGTAGAGATGGGTTTCACCATGTTGGCCAAGCTGGTCTCGAACTCCTGACCTCAGGTGATCTGCCCGCTTCAGCCCCCCAAAGTGCTGGTGTATCTGGAGTTGGTTCCTTCTGGTGGGTTCTTGGTCTCGCTCACTTCAAGAATGAAGCCGCAGACCTTCGCAGTGAGTGTTACAGCTCTTAAATGTGACGCAGACCCAAAGAATGAGCAGCAGCAAGATTTATTGTGAAGTGTGAAAGAACAAACCTTCCACAGTGTGGAAGGGGACCCTAGTGGGTTGCCACTGCTGGGTAGGGTGGCCAGCTTTTATTCCCTTATTTGTCCCTGCCCATGTCCTGCTGATTGGTCCATTTTACAGAGTGCTGATTGGTCCATTTTATAGAGTGCTGATTGGTCCATTTTATAGAGTGCTGATTGGTCCATTTTACAAACCTCTAGCCACAGAGCACTGATTGGTGCGTTTTACAATCCTCTAGCTAGCTACAGAGCGCCGATTGGGGCGTTTTACAATCCTAGCTACAGAGAGCTGATTGGTGCATTTTACAATCCTCTTGTAAGAAAAGTTCTTCACGTCCCCCCCACCCCCGCCCCGACCCAGAAGTCCAGCTGGCCGTTGGATTGGCAGAGGATGAGAAAAATGGGGTCTGGTTTGCTGACACTGTGTCATTACACAAAGAATAGAATGACAGAGTATCCTGTGCTGTCCTCTTTCAGTTTTCGTGGTTATAAAGAGAAGGTATCTTCTAAGGCAGAAGTCATTTGTCTTCAATTAGCAATTTATTGGATTATGGACAGGATTCTATTCATAAGTTTGAAGTTGATTGGCTTAATCTGTGATCAGAAAAGGGTGATTTCGATTGGTTAAAGAAAAAAGAATCTAAATTGTATTTGGTGCCTGTTACATGGAAAGCACTATTCTAAGCATATTGCCTTTATAAAAGGGGATTCATTAACATTGCAAAATAAAGTAGTTATGTGATTTTTGCATTTTACGTGGCATCAAATGTTTCCTGAATTGCGTCTCTTTGTAATTCATTATACATCATCTTTTTTTTTTTTTTTTGAGACAGAATCTTGTTTAGTCTCCCAGGCTGGAGTGCAGTGGCGCGATCTCTGCTCACTGAAACCTCCGCCTCCCAGGTTCAAGTGATTCTTCTGCCTCAGCCTCCTGAGTAGCTGGGACTACAGGCGCATGCCACCATGCCCTGCTAATTTTTGTATTTTTAGTAGAGACGGGGTTTCACCATATTGGCCAGGTTGGTCTGGAACTCCTGACCTCATGATCCGCCTGCCTTGGCCTCCCAAAGTGCTGGGATTACAGGCGTTGAGCCACTGGGCCCAGCCACATCATCTTTTTATGGAGTCATTTTCCATATTTACTCTTCTGGTTATTTTTACCTTGTATATAACAGCAGTTGCAATGAGAACTTAGATAAAGGAAAGGGGCTTATAGCTAACAGCTTAGCTTCTTGTTAGTCAGTAGGGACTCTCCAGTATGTGTGTATAAATGAGGATGAACTTTTCTGGCTATGATTTTTTAAGTTTTTTATTTTTATCAGAATTCCACATGCTCATTAAATGTCAAGTTGCAATAAAGTTTGTTTTGGAAAAAGCAATCCCCCAACCCCCCTGTCCCATTTCCTGTTCCCCTAAGGCAGTCATCTTGAAACATTTTAACTAATTCTTTTGGTTTTTCATCTCCCTGTCTTTAAGCAACATGCTTATATAATTGTAACACTTGCATTTTTTTTCTTTTTCTGTTAGTTTTCTCCATTATTTCCGGGCTTCTCTCTGTGGAAGATAAGGATTTAGTTTTCTCTTATCCCTGTTTCCCTGCCACATTCAAGCTCGTTTTTGTCCCCATCCCTAGCTTTCCATTCAGAAGTGTGATTTTGGGCAGATGTGTTCATATCCATTGTGACTGTGTAAATATGCTTCACAACTGAACCATGGCGGGTACTGTGATTACTTTTCCTGCACAAGTTTTTGCTTTCCTTGGAGTTACTAATTATCTTTTTTGTTTGCATAGTGTATATAACTATGACCAGATTATTTTGAAAATAAATCCCAGTTATGTAAGTTTTTTCTTAGTATATTTAAACGCATCAAGTGCTATGATCGCTTTTATCTACTTGAGAAAAGTCCCTTGTGGAGCCTTCTGACCGGCTTGATCTGAACAGGTTACCCCCTGCACCTGAAGCATCACGGTCAGCCTGGGCTATTTTTTTTTTTGAGATGGAGTTTTGCTGTTGTTGCCCAGGCTGGAGTGTACTGGCACAATCTCAGTTCACTGCAACCTCCACCCTTGGGCTCAAGTGATTTTCCTGCCTCAGCCTCCTGAGTAGCTGGGATTACAGGCGCCCACCACTATGCCTGGCTAAGTTTTGTATTTTTAGTAGAGATGGGGTTTCATCATGTTGGCCAGGCTGGTCTCGAACTCCATACCTCACATGATCCACCCACCTCGGCCTCCCAAAGTGCAGGGATTACAGGCATGAGCCACCATATGTGGCCTGGGCTATTCTTTTTACTGTCATCTTGGGGATTTTTTTTTTTTGTTTGAGACGGAGTCTCGTTTTGTTGCCCAGGCTGGAGTGCAGTGGCGCGATCTTGGCTCACTGCTCCCTCTGCCTCCCAGGTTCAAGTGATTCTCCTGCCTTAGCCTCCCGAGTAGCTGGGACTACAGGCATGTGCCACCATACCTGGCTAATTTTTTGTATTTTCAGTAGAGACGGGGTTTCACCGTGTTAGCCAGGATGGTGTTGATCTCCTGACCTCGTGATCCACCTGCCTCAGCCTCCCAAAGTGTTGGGATTGCAAGCGTGAGCCACCGCGCCCGGCCTGGGGATTCTTTTTAGCACCTGAGTTGGAAACCCTTCTTTCTTGGATTATTCCCTTGTTTTAGTGAAGCACATCTTCTAATAGAGAAAGTGCATAAGAGTTACATTTTTGAGACCTTGTGTGTCTGCAAACTTTGATTCACTGCTCAAACTTTAGTTTGGGAGGGTACAGAAGTGCAGGATGAAAATAATTTTTCTAGAATTTTGTTCCACTATCGTATTATTACTGTTGAGAAGTGCGGTGATATTCTGATCCTCATACCTTTGTCTGAGACGTGTTCTTTCTCTTTGGAAGTGTTCCTTTTTTTTGTTGTTGTTTTTTGTTTTTCGAGGCAGAGTCTCGCTCTGTTTCCCAGGCTGGAGTGCAGTGGTGTGATCTCTGCTCACTGCAAGCTCCGCCTCCTGGGTTCATGCCATTCTCCTGCCTCAGCCTCCTGAGTAGCTGGGACTACAGGTGCCTGCCACCACGCCCGGCTAATTTTTTGTAGAGACGGGGTTTCACCTTGTTAGCCAGGGTGGTCTCCATCTCCTGACCTTGTGATCTGCCCGCCTCGGCCTCCCAAAGTGCTGATATTACAGGCATGAGCCACTGTGCCTGGCCGAAGCTTTTCTTTTCTTCTCTTTTTCTTGTTTTTTTTTGTTTTGTTTTGTTTTGTTTTTTTTTTGAGATGGAGTCTCACTCTGTTGCCCAGGCTGGAGTGCAGTGGTGTGATCTTGGCTCACTGCAAGCTCTGCCTCCCAGGTTCATGCCATTCTCCTGCCTCAGCCTCCCAAGTAGCTGGAACTACAGGTGCCCGCCACCACGCCTGGCTAATTTTTTTTGTATTTTTATTAGAGACAGGGTTTCACCATGTTAGCCAGGATAGTCTCGATCTCCTGACCTCGTGATCCGCCTGCCTCGGCCTCCCAAAGTGCTGGGATTACAGGTGTGAGCCACGGCGCCCGGCCTCTCTTAGGAAGCTTTTCTATCCTCTGTTCTACATTTCATAGTCAGTTTGGCTATGTGTCTGTTTTTATCCATCACAGACAAACTGGAGGGGCCCTTCTTATCTGGGGGCTCGTCCCATCTTATCCTTTAGTTCAGGGGAATTTTCTTAAATTTTTTATTCTATCTTTTCACCTCCATTTTCTTTTTTAATGCCTTTATTTAGATTTTGGACCTTTTAAACTAGTCTCTGACTTTACCTTTTCTCTTCAGTTTTTCATCTTTTTTGCAGAATCTTCTGGAAGGTTTCTTCAACTTCAGTTTTCAGGTCTTCTACTTAATTTTTACATTTCTCCTGTCATATTTTTACTTTTGAAGTTGTTTTTGTTCTCAGACTCTTATTTGTTTATTTAATAACACCTTGTTATTTTATGGATGTAGTGGCTTAATAAACGAGATCTTCCTAAGGATTTTTTTAAAAGGTTCTCTTCTTTCTGTCATGGTCTATGTCCTCCAGGTTACTTTCTCCAGTTTGTTCGGTACCTATCTTTTCAGTGGAGGCTCTTCTCGAGTGTCTGGTGATTCTGACTTTTCAGTGTTCCATTGGAAATTCCGTGTACCTGATGGGTTTGGTTTACTGTGGGTCTTGGGTGTTTCTCGGCCTTGTTTACTGTGGGTGATCTGGCTGGGCTCTTCTGTTGGGGAATCCCTGATGTTAGTATTTTTAGGTCTGATCACATTCTGGAGAGAAAGTATTTCATAACCTGCTGTTGTTCTGGACCTGGGTTGGTGATCTCAACATGTACTGTGTACACTTTTATTTAAGCCGTTTTCAGTAGTACCGCTGCTTTCAGCTGTGGCTTGCATCCATCCTGTAAGAGGCTCTATGTTACTCTTTCCTGCAAGTTTGCAGTTTTCTGCTGGGTTGAGTAGGGAGTCGTCTAGTCATCTGCGGATGGGAGAGGGGATCTGACATCTATCCTAACTGCTTCGAAAACAAGACTTTGAAGGGATCTTTCTATTTTTAGACCTAACTTTCACTCATATTTCCAGAGCTATGAGGTGTCACCAATCCCTAAGACTTTTAAGGGTAATATAGAGAAAATTGGCTTTTTTTTTTTCCACTGTTGGCCTAGGATTCAACTTTCTTTGGTCTGTTAAAACAGCATTGCTTTGTATATCTGTTTTCCAGCTTCTAACACTTCTGTCCTTCTCTTTTTTCTAGTGTTTTATGTCTTTCTCTCTTTAAAAAAAAAAAAAATCTCTTGCTGGGAATGGTGGCTCATGCACGTAATCCCAGCATTTTGGGAGGCCGAGGCAGGTGGATCACGAGTTCAGGAGTTTGAGACCAGCCTGACCAACATGGTGAAACCCTGTCTCTACTGAAAATATAAAAATTAGTAGGGCATGGTGGTGCATGCCTGTAATCCCAGCTACTCAGGAGGCTGAGGCAGGAGAATCACTTGAACCTGAGTGGCAGAGGTTGCAGTGAGCCAAGATGGTGCCAGTGTACTCCAGTCTGGGCGACAGAGTGAGACTCTATCTCAAAAGAAAAAAAAAATCTCTTAACTATAATCTTAGTGTGATGTGGGCTGGGATTAGAGGCTACATTAAGCCCCATCTTTAACCAGAAATCTCAGGCATGAGATGGTCTCATTGTACTAGGTGATATCCAGAACTGATTTCATTTCTTCAAGGTTTGAGTTCACTTTTTAAATATTTATTTTGCTTTCCTAGGTGCCGACCTTTACAATTTCAGCCTTCAAAATCTCACAAGAAGGTTTTGAAAAAAATGTTGAAATTTCTAGCTAAAGGGGAGGTTCCCAAAGGAAGTTGTGAGGGTAAGATGGGCTGGGTCTAAAAACGATTTACTATCTGTCTTTGCAACGGTCCCACTTTCAGTCATCTTGGGAAGGGGAAGGGTCATTAATACAGTCATGTACTGCTACTACTATGATGACAGCGACTACTGTTAGCACTGCTATTACTGTTACCATCGGCCCCCAAGTCAAGGCATGGGAATATATATCAGAAGAGTTTAGCGTGGAAAGAATATTGAGGATCATGTTAAATTTGTGATTTCTTGGAGTTTATCAAAATATCTGTTTCCAGAATGCTTTGATAACTCATCTTTCTTGATCCTAATACTATCCTTATGAAGTAAATAGAAAGTGCCATTGTCTCTCAAGAAGCAAGTGCTTACATGCAGCTTGGACAAGATTGCCCTATTCCTTTTAATGCTGAATAAAGATCAGCTTTTCTGTGTTTGAATAAGGCTTTACTTCAGTAAATTATACTGTTTGAAATCCTCTTATTTGTGTGATCAGTTTTGAATTGTGAGTGGCTTTGCTAAAACATAATAGCATTTATTTAACTTTAGTTACACATGATTTGCTTTTTTTCTTAGTCTTTTTACTAATTTTGGTTTTATTTCTTTAAATTTTCATATTGGGGCCGGGGGCAGTGGCTCACGCCTGTAATCCCAGCACCTTGGGAGGCCGAGGCAGGCGGATCATGAGGTCAGGAGATGGAGACCATTCTGGTTAACATGGTGAAACCCTGTCTCTACTAAAAATACAAAAAATTAGCCTGGCGTGGTGGCAGGCGCCTGTAGTCCCAGCTACTTGGGAGGTTGAGGCAGGAGAATCGCTTGAACCTGGGAGGCAGAGGTTGCAGTGAGCCGACATTGTGCCACTGCACTCCAGCGTGGGTGACAGAGCAACAAAAAATTGGCCGAGCTTCGTGGTGCACGCCCGTAGTCCCAGCTACTCGGAGGCTGAGGCACAAGAATCAGGGAGGTCAAGGCTGCAGTGAGCCAAGATCCTGCCACTGCACTCCAGCCTAGGTGACAGAGCAAGACTCTGTCTCCACCAAAAAAAAAAAAAGGAATTAGGTTCTGAGTTAGAAAAATGAACATGGAGATAAGCATTGAAGATGCTGTCCATTTGTAAATTGGTGGTTGCCTTTCTTTTATTTTTGGAGACGGAGTCTTGCTCTGTCGCCCGGGCTGGAGTGCAGTGGCTCAATCTTGGCTCACTGCAACCTCCACCTCCCGGGTTCAAGGCATTCTGTTGTCTCCGCCTCCCGAGTAGCTGGGACCACAGGCACCCGCCACCACATCTGGCTAATTTTTTTGTATTTTTAGTAGAAACGGGGTTTCACTGTGTTGGCCAGGCTGGTCTCAAACTCTTGACCTTGTGACCTGCCCGCCTTGGCCTCCCAAAGTGCTGGGATTACAGGTGTGAGCCACCACATCTGGCTGCCTCTCTTTCTTTTGTAGTGTTTATATTTGGTTGTTTATTTGACTTGTTACAGGCTTCTGAATTATCTGTGCCTGGAACTAGGAGTGATGTACTCATTAGAGTAAAGGAATAAACAGCTATGACAAAAAGATACCAAAATGCAATAACTAAAAGAAAGATAAAAGTCTGTTTCTTTCGGGGCCGGGTGTGGTGGCTCACACCTGTAGTCCCAGCACTTTGAGAGGCCAACACAGGCGGATCACGAGGTCAGGAGATCAAGACCATCCTGGCTTACACGGTGAAACCCTGTCTTCTCTAAAATTACAAAAAATTAGCCGGGCTTGGCCGGGCATGGTGGTTCACGCCTGTAATCCCAGCACTTTGGGAGGCCGAGGCAGGTGGATCACGAGGTCAGGAGATCGAGACCATCCCGGCTAACACAGTGAAATCCCGTCTGTATTAAAAATGCAAAAAATTAACTGGGCATGGTGGTGGGCGCCTGTGGTCCCAGCTACTTGGGAGGCTGAGGCAGGAGAATGGCGTGAACTTGGGAGGCGGAGCTTGCAGTGAGCCGAGGTCGCGCCCCTGCACTGCAGCCTGGGCGACAGAGGGAGACTCCTCAAAAAAAAAAAAGTCTGTTTCTTTCCTCACATAACAGTTCAGTGTGGGTGTTCTAGGTTGGCGTTCAACTCTTCTCCCCACCAGCCATTCTGGGCTTTTCTTTAACATGTGATTTCCCAGGTTGCTCTGGTTTTTACTAATCCAGCCATTGTGGGGAAGGGTAGAAGTTCAGGGTCGCAAGTTTCCTTTAAAACTAGTGAGGCATAATTGGATGTATCAGTTGTGTTATGTTCTGTTGGCAGGAGCTTGGTCACCACTTGTAAAGGGACTGGCAGTACATTGCCCTGCTAGGGCGCCACAGTTTTTGTTTTTTTTTTTTTTTTTTAATTTACTGTAGAGATAGTGTCTCACTATGTTGCCCAGGCAGGTCTTAAACTCCTGGCCTCAAGCAGTCCTCCTGTGTTGGCCTCCCAAAGAGCTGGAATTACAGGCATGAACCACCATGCCCAGCTGTGCCAGTCTTAAGTGCAGCTCTCTTATTTTGGAGGATGAGAATGGATTTGGTGGACAGATAGTAATTCTGCCACAATGGATAATAGGAACATTGTATTTCTGTATTTACCTAACTGTATCAAATAACCCAGCTGATGGATTTTTAATTTCTTCTGATTTGTAGATGAGCCCATGGATTCCACAATGGATGATGCTGTTGCGGGTGACTTTGCATTGATAAATAAACTGGATATACAGTGTGATCTTAAAACACTCAGTGATGACATCAAAGAGAGTTTAGAGAGTGAAGGAAAAAATTCAAAGAAAGAAGAACCTCAGGAATTACTTCAGTCACAAGATTTCGTAGGAGAGAAGTTGGGCTCTGGTGAACCGTCACATTCAGTTAAAGTTCACACAGTTCCTAAGCCAGGTAGTAAAGATTTTTGATACCAAGTCATATTCACGGCTTTGCTTTTTGCTGAGTCATTTTAAACCCTGGGTCTTTCCATCAGCCAAAAGGATGACTTAGTCGTGCAGTCTGTAAAACAGAACCCTGCTTTGTTTATTATTGCCTAGAATTAGATGGACAAATCATGCCTTTTACAAACTACTATGCTTAAAAAGCCTGTAACAATAGCCTTATCCCTAAATACAGATATTTTCAAAGAGTTCCATTTCTACTTACTACTTTAGGGCCTTACAGGGTTGAGAATCAAATTTTTCTCAGTGAAAAGGAGTGATAAACATTCTTATTTTAACATTAAGTGAGACAACATGAATTATAGTTATTATGTCCAAAATACAGACATTATAAAATTCTTCAGTTTATCATTAAATTTTTTAATGTAATTTTAGTGTATTTTAGTTTTAAAATGTCCAGATTTTGATGTTTAACTTTGCCTTTAATCAGGTAAGATTTTTTTATGTTATTACTTATAAAAGAATTAGGCTTAATAAGTTTATCCAGTATTAAATGAATTTAATATGTGTGTATATGACTCTTTTAAAATTATTTCGTGAAATGTGAAGTTGGATGGTTATTAGTTTATTAGATGTGTCAGTTTTTGAATTAGTTCTTATATTTATGCCAAATGATCCAAGGGAAAGATTTTTAGTACTATTTTAGTTTTTCTTGTCTAAACTATGTTACACATGTTAAAGTAGAGAAAATTCTCCATTTGCAATTTTATTGAATAGTTTTTTACATAAGGTTTTCATGTTAAGTTGATTTTGGTCTGAGATTTCATCCTAATTAATACTAATAGTTCAAGAAAATATTTATTTTTTAATTTGAGACAGGGTCTTGCTCTGCCGCCTAGGCTGGAGTGAAGTGGCGTGATCATAGCTCACTGCAGCCTTGAGCTCCTGGGGCCAAGTGATCCTCTTGCCTTAGGTTCCTGAGTAGGTAGGAATACAGGAGCTTGTCACCATGCCTAGTTCTTTTAAAATTTTTTGTAGAGACAGGGTCTCACTATATTACCCAGGCTGGTCTCCAACTCCTCACCTAGTTATCCTCCCACCCTCGCCTCCCAAAGTGCTGAGATTACAGGCATGAGCCACTGTGCCCAGCTCCCAGTGAAATATTTTGAATAATTCAGACAGTTTCTTTCAACTATTTCTCTCTGGGGGGTAGGGTCAATTCTTTTATTATTTTTTAATAAAATTACTTATAGTTTGTCAAATTTAAAAAATCGTTATTCAAACATAGATGAACATAGATTGAATAGTATAATCGACTTCCATGTACTCTACCTGCATTTGAAACAATTACTGACTCATGTCATAGCCACTCTTGTTTCATCTAGTTCCCCCTTCCAAAATTATATTGAGGCAAATTCCAGACATTGTGATATCCTGTATTTCAGAATACGTTTCTAAAAGATAAGAACTTTAAAAAAAATATTCACAATACCATTATTATACTTGAAGAAAATTTCTTAATGCCATTGAATAGTGTTCAAATTCCAATTTTTAAACATTTGTTTGTGTTAGGATCCAGATAATGTCCACATATTGTGATTGTTGATATATTTAAAAAATCTCTTACGGCCAGGAGTGGTGGCTTACAACTGTAATCCCAGCACTGTGGGAGACCGAGGCAGGTGGATTGCTTGAGCCCAGGAGTTTGAGACCAGCCTGAACAACATGGTGAAACCTGTCTGTACTAGAAATACAAAATATTAGCCAGGTGTTATGGTGCATGCCTGTAGTCCCAGCTACTTGGGAGGCTGAGGTGGGAGGATCACCTGAGCTTGGGAAGTCGAGGCTGCAGTGAGCTGAGATCGTGCCTCTGCATTCTAGCCTGGGTGGTGAGAATGAGACCCTGTCTCAAAACAACAACAACAATCTCTTTTGTTCTAGATATTCCCCTTCCATCATTCCTCAACTGGGTTGTTTGTCTTGGGTTGTTTGTTCCACTTTCTGTATCTGACAGGTTACGTTTGCAGTTTAACATGTTCCTCTGCCCGCTTATAAATTGATAGTTGGATATAGAGCCTTGATCAGATTCTAGGCTAAATTTTCTTTTGTCTATTTTTTTGCCGTGGGGCAGGGGGGCAAGTCTTAATCAGATTTGAGTTTGAATTATTTGAGGATGGGCAAGATCACTTCATGGGTGTTAGAGTGGTCTTTCAGGAGATGTGTAATGTCTGGGTGCTTCTCTTTTTGTTAGTGCTAATAGTCATGGATGTTCCATGCTTAAATTCATGTATTAGATACTCTATCATTTCTTCGTTTCCTGGCTGGCTGGACTGCTTCTATAAAGACAGCCTTCCGCTCATCTGTTTGTTTCTCATAAAAACCCATAGCAAAGGCAGGATATGTTCTTTTTTTTTGAAAGAATCTCACTCTGTCGCCTACGCTGGAGTGCTGTGGCGCGGTCTGGGCTCACTGCAGACTCCACCTCCGGGTTCCAGTGATTCTCCTGTCTCAGCCTTCAGAGTAGCTGGGATTACAGGTGCATGCCACCACAGCTGGCTAATTTTTTATATTTTTAGTAGAGACGGGGTTTAGCCATGTTGGCCAGGCTGGTCTCGAACTCCTGACCTCAGGTGATCCACCTGCCTTGGCCTCCCAAAGTACTGGGATTACAGGAGTGAGCCACTGCACCCGGCTGGTAGGATACATTCTTGATTCCTTCTTTTTATTTATCATTTTTCAAAATAACGTCTAACAGTGACCAGTTAGTTTTCTTGTTGGTATCATTGGGAACTCATGGATCTGAACATACTGCTGTTGCAATCTGTTGCTCCTCTGAAAGCTTCTTTAAGTTGGCTTTTGAGGCCTTTCGACATAATCCTGGTAGTCTTTGACAGCTTCCTTACTATTTGGCATGATATTATGCTCCTGGAGCATCTTGTACAGGCATTTCTTCGAGCAGTTGTGGTTCCTTTTAGTGGGAATTGGTATTTGGAGATCACACACTAGATTAGGAGTGCACATTATTGCTGCTGGCTTGGTCATTGTTTTCTAGGCTTCGTTGGCAAATAGACTTATGAGGTTATGAGTTCATACTGATATTTCCAATTCAAATTCAGGACTACAGCATTTTAATCTTTTTTTTTTTTCGAGACGGAGTCTCGCTCTGTCACCTAGGCTGGAGTGCAGTAGTGCGATCTTGGCTCACTGCAAGCTCTACCTCCCGGGTTCACGCCATTCTCCTGACTCAGTCTCCCTAGTAGCTGGGACTACAGGCGCCCACCACCATGCTAATTTTTTGTATTTTTAGTAGAGATGGGGTTTCACCGTGTTAGCCAGGATGATCTTGACCTCCTGATCTCGTGATCCATCCGCCTCGGCCTCCCAAAGTGCTGGGATTACAGGTGTGAACCACCGTGTCTGGCCGCATTTTAATCTTTTTCTTTATTTTTTTTTGACACAGTCTCGCTCTGTTGCCCAGGCTGGAGTGCAATGGCGCTATCTCAGCTCACTGCAACCTCTGCTTCCCGGGTTTAAGTGATTCTCCTGCCTCAGCCTCATGAGTAGCTGGGACTACAGGTGTGCACCACCACACCTGGCTAATTTTTGTACTTTTAGGTACTTTTAGTAGAAATGGGGTTTTGCCATGTTGGCCAGGCTGGTCTCGAACTCCTGGCCTCAAGTGATCCACCTGCCCCGGGCTCCCAAAGTGCTGGGATTACAGGCATGAGCCACCGTGCCCAGCCATACCTTTTTATCTTTTTCTTTTTTTTTGATGTTTGTAGTTTCTTCTGCACTGAGAAACCTAGTTCTCAAGAACACTGAGGATGGTAAAATTAGATTAGAATATCACACATTAACCTTTTGCTTTTTCCCACATTACACAGTTTTAGAATAACAACCTTACTTCCAGCAGTATGGTTACTGAAACATTAAAAACTATTTTTGCAGGGTTCTTATTTTTTTCACTTAAGGTATCTCTCACTAAAAATCCGAGACTATTTAAAAATCCTTGGATTTTGGCCGGGCTCAGTGGCTCACACCTGTAATCCCACACTTTGGGAGGCCGAGACAGGCGGATCACCTGAGGTCAGGAGTTTGAGACCAGCCTGGCCAGCATGGTGAAACCCCATCTCCATTAAAAATACAAAAATTAGCTGGGGGTAGAGGTGCGTGTCGGAAATCCCTGCTCCTCAGGAGGCTGAGGCAGGAGTATTGCTTGAACCCAGGGGGCAGAGGTTGCAGTGAGCTGAGATCACGCCACTGCACTCCAGCCTGGGTGACAGAGTGAGGCTCCATCTCAAACAAACAAAAAACCTTGGATTTTTTTTTTTTTGGAACCTGCAAAAGCAAACCTGCATTTCCTTTTTATTTTATTTTATTTTATTTTGAGACAGGGTCTTACTCTGTCTCCCAGGCTGGAGTGTAGTGACACGATCAGGACTCACTGTAGCCTTGACTTCCTAAGCTCAAGCAATTTTCCCACCTCAGCCACTGGAGCACTTGGGACTACCAGTACACGTCACTACACCTGGCTAATTTTTTGTATTTTTAGTAGAGAGGGGGTTTTGCCGTGTTGTACAGGCTGGTCTTGAACTCCTGGACTCAAGTGATCTGCCTGCCTCAGCCTCCCAAAGTGTTGGGATTACGGGCGTGAGCCACCACACCTGGCCTAAAAAAGTTGATTTGTAGAGATGAGGTCTTGCTATGTTGCCCAGGCTGGTCTGGAACTCCTGTGCTTAAGGAGTCCTCTCACCTTGGCCTCCCAAAGTGCTGGGATTTAGAGACATGAGCCATCATGGCTAGCTTGCATTTCCATTTTAATTTAAAAAATATTACAAATCTATTCCCTTGGACTTAATTAGAAATTATGTAGGTCTCCTAAACTCTATTTAAATCACCTGGGACTAATCAGGAATTCTTGAGTTGCTTTGAACCTCTGTGGGTGCAGGGTTGGTATAGTGTACTGATTTTACACTGATGATCTATTTTCATTCTGTTGAAGCAATTTATTGACCTGGGAGATCTGTATCCCCTAATATGCTGAAATCCTACTTTTTTTTCTCTCTCTTGGAGACAGAGTCTCGCTGTGTTGCTTAGGCCTGGAGTGCAGTGGTGTGATCTTGGTTTGCTGCAGCGTCTACCTCCTGGGTTTGAGCGATTCTCCTGCCTCAGGTTCCCAAGTAGCTGGGACTACAGGTGCACGCCGACACTCCCGGCTGATTTTTTTGTATTTTTAGTAGAGACAGGGTTTCACCATGTTGGCCAGGTTGGTCTCAAAACTCCTGACCTCAGGTGATCCGCCCGTCTCGGCCTTCCAAAGTGCTGGGATTACAGGCGTGAGCCACTGAGCCCCGCCTGAAATCCTACTTTCCACTGTAGTAACGTAGTATTTATAAATGTAGAGCAAAACAATCATGAGAAGACTTACCCAGCCCAGTGACTTAATTAGTGTAAAGACGATACAGGTAGTCAGTCCTTCATAAAAATGCTGAAAATGTGTGTTTCTTAGTTCATGTTAGTTTTAAATTTGCTTATAAATTTATAACTTCTGTAAGGAATGTAATTTTCAGTATAGAAAATGGAAGGTTTTGAAAATTACTATTTATGGAATGTTTATATAGGTAAAACATTATTTTAGATGTTGGTAATACAAATAATAGCTAATAATAATAGTTAACCCTAATTGAATGGCAGTTAATTTTTTATGAGCTGCACAGGTATTAACTCATTTAATCCTCACAGGAACTCTATAGGTAGGACTGGTTTTTGTTTTTCTTGTACAGACAGGGAAACGTGCCCAAGGTCAGCTAGCCAAGTGACAGAGCCTCGTCCATGACCTCAGGCAGCTTGTGTCAGACAGAGTGTGTGTGCTCAGAGCAAATTTGAGAAAAGACACAGTCTGTAGTCCAAGAAAAGTAATTCTGTTGGTCAGTAGAGTAATAGTTATAGAAATGGTCTTTTGTTACCTGGTTCAGACTTAACTTAGGCTTATTTAAAGTCATTTTTTAATAAGTAAACTTTATTTTTAGTTAGAAAACATGTTAATGAAGTTGTGATACAGTCTGAACTGTTTGTGAACTCACTATTTTCTCATCAGATTGGTTTTCATTTGATCAGCTTATGGTCTCAGGCAAGCCCTTTAACCACTCTAGGTTTTGATTTTCTTCTCTTTAAAAACTGAATTTGCTAGTTTTATAAACCTTTTTTTTTTTTGCTGACTTTGATATGGTTTGTGAGTACCCTGTTTTGGGATTTTTTTTTTTTTTTTTTTTTTTGAGACGGAGTCTCGCTCTGTCACCCAGGCTGGAGTGCAGTGGCGCAGTCTCAGCTCACTGCAACCTCCACCTACTGGGTTCAAGCAATTCTCCTGCCTCAGCCTCCCAAGTAGCTGGGACTACAGGCGTGCGCCACCATGCCTGCTTCATTTTTTTAATATTTAGTAGAGACAGGGTTTCACCGTGTTAGCCAGGTTGGTCTCAATCTCCTGACCTCGTGATCTGCCTGCCTCGGCCTCCCAAAGTGCTGGGATTACAGGCATGAGCCACTGCACCGGGCTGTTTTGGGATCTTAAACACCTTATTTCTTTAATATCTTCTAAAAAATTACTAGCATAATGTTCATTGTTGGAAAATTCGGCCAGGTGCGGTGGCTCACGCCCGTAATCCTAGCACTTTGGGAGGCCAAGGCAGGTGGATCACGAGGTCAGGAGTTCAAGACCAGCCTGACCAGCATGGTGAAACTCCGTCTCTACTGAAAATACAAAAAATTAGCCAGGCATGGTGGCACACACCTGTATTCCCAGCTACTCTGGAGGCTGAGGCAGGAGAATTGCTCGAATGGTCCGGTAGGCAGAGGTTGCAGTGAGCTCAGATGGCGCCACTGCACTCCAGCCTGGGTGACAGAGCGAGACTCTGTCTCAAAAAAAAAAAAGAAAATTTGGAGAAAAGAGAACACTACAAAGAAAGGTAAATCCTGTCTCTGTTTCTGAAACAAAGTAAAATGACTGTTACCATGGTGTCTCCTTTCCAGGTTTTTTTCTAAGTATTTTTATTTAGTTTATAATAGTAAAAATTTTTTTATTTTAAAGGGATGTCAGTTTGATATTTGGTCTGTTAATTAGAACAAAACTCTGATTAACTACAGCTGAACTAATGAGACCCAAATACCTGCAGTATTTGGAGAAAGACACAGATACCTTCAACTAAGCAAGGATTCCTTTTTTGTTTTTTGAGACAGAGTCTCACTCTGTCGCCCAGGCTGGAGTGCAGTGGTGCCATCTCAGCTCAGCACAACCTCTGCCTCCTGGGTTCAAGTGATTCTAATGCCTCAGCCTCCTGAGTAGCTGGGATTACAGGTGTGTGCTACCACACCTGGCTGATTTTTGTATTTTTAGTAGAAATGGGGTTTCACCATGTTGACCAGGCTGGTCTCGAACTCTCAACCTCAGGTGATCTGCCCGCCTTAGCCCCCCAAAGTGCTAGAATTCCAGGTGCACAAGGATTCTTTTAATTTAAAAAAACCTGTCAGTGTTTGCGCTGGGATCAGTATTCCTTTATACCTGGTTCCTAAGTATTTATGTTACCAGTGCTTTCAGAGAAATGTCCCTCAGAAATGTTGGGCAGAGATAGCAGTGTCCTTTTAATGCAGCAGGTACTTTGATTTGATTGTGTTCTTCCTCACAAAGGCAGAGAAGTGGATGAATGTTTTTTTTTAAAAAAAGATATTTGGGCCGGGCCTGGTGGCTCATTCCTGTAATCCCAGCACTTAGGGAGGCCAAGGTGGGTGAATCACGAGGTCAGGAGTTTGAGACCAGTCTGTCCAAGGGAGTTTGAGACCAGTCTGGCCAACATGGTGAAACTCCATCTCTACTGAAAATACAAAAATTAGCCAGGCACGGTGGCACACACCTGTAGTCCCAGCTACTCGGGAGGTTGAGGCAGGAGAATTGCTTGAACCTGGGAGGCGGAGGTTGCAGTGAGCTGAGATCATGCCATTGCACTCCAGCCTGGGTGACAGAGCGAGACTCTGTCTCAAAAAAAAGAAAAAAAAGATTTTCAGCAGTAAGAGCCACCTTGGAAAGTTTCTGTGCTATTTACTTTCTCTAGCAACTCCCACTTCTAAGGTAGAATTTTAGATCCACTTACAGCTCTGTATCAGGATCCTCTGAAACATCTACCCCAAAGCTAGCCTAACCATTGAAACTCTTTGGACTTACACTGTAGAATCTTTGAGACATGTGAAAAAACTTTTCTAGAACCAAATGTGATTGGTCTAATATTTTAAAATTCTTTTTAGGCAAAGGGGCTGATTTGAGTAAGCCTCCATGTCGAAAAGCAAAGGAAATCCGGAAAGAAAGGAAAAGGTTAAAACTAATGCAGCAGAACCCAGCTGGAGAACTTGAGGGTTTCCAGGCTCAAGGTCACCCACCATCTTTGTTTCCACCAAAGGCTAAATCCAACCAGCCAAAATCACTCGAAGATTTAATTTTTGAGTCTTTACCAGAGAATGCATCACACAAGTTAGAGGTACTTTGGAGGACTTTTGTTGTTTGTTTTATTATGATTTTTTTTTGTTTGGGCATATCGTTTATTTTTATTTGAAGTTCTAATTAGTTGATGTTTGCTAGTTAAATAATGAGAATTTAAAAGAAATTAAAGAGAACTGGGAAGAAGTAACATTTGTATTTACTAAGTTAACTGCTGTTTGAGGGAAACTCCTTTTTTTTTAAAAGACTTTTTGAGAATACATAGTTGGCCACCAAACTTGTGAAAACAGTGTCAATTTTAGCATGCTACCTTGATTGAAATTTAATAGTTAAAATGAAAGAAATACTCTTTAAAATTGTGTTTTTAGCAGTTTTGGTTTAGATAGTGAAAGACAATAGATTACACAAGGCAAATCACTATTTCATCCATTATAATATTCTGATCTTGGTAAAGACAGCAAATGGTGTCATATACATAAGCCAGCAGTTAGGAATTATCTAAATAGGGCTAAATTGTACTGCTGAAATCCTCTCTCATTAGTGCCAAAACCACTTTGGGCATAATATGAATACTTTTAGAGCCAAATTCCTCCATTTTTCCAAATTTATTTTCGTTTCTAGATCAGATCAAGATTTCTCAGTATTAGTTTCTCATATATAAAATTCAAAAACAAGGGCTGGATGTGGTGGCTCACACCTGTAATCCTAGCACTTTGGTAGGCCGAGGCAGGTGGATCTCTTGAGGTCTGGTGTTTGAGATCAGCTTGGCCAACACAGTGAAACCCCGTCTCTACTAAAATATAAAAATTGGCCAGGCGTGGTGGCGTGCACCTGTAATCCCAACTCCTAGAGAGGCTGAGACACCAGAATTGCTTGAACCCAGGAGGTGGAGGTTGTAGCGAGCTGAGATCACACCACTGCACTCCAGCCTGCGTGACAGAGCAAAAGACTGTCTCAAAAAAATTCAAAAACATTAGCCATAATGATTTTTATCTTATTCTCATATGTGATTAGTAACTGGTCAGCCTTTGAATTTTGTAGCTTACTATCATCTAAAAATATCACTTATCACTGAAGTCCTGATAATAAAAATTAACTTTCATGCATTCTAAGCCTTAATTCAGTATATGTATTATCAGACGTAGAATTTAGCTTTTTTTTTTGAGACGGAGTTTCACTCTTGTTGCCTAGGCTGGAGTGCAATGGCGCGATCTCGGCTCACTGCAACCTCTGCCTCCTGGGTTCAAGCGATTCTCCTGTCTCAGCCTTCTGAGTAGCTGGGATTACAAGTGCCCACCACTACGCCCGGCTAATTTCTGATATTTTTAATAGAGACAGGGTTTCACCATGTCAGCCAGGCTGGTCACGAACTCCTGACCTCAGGTGATCACCCGCCTCGGCCTCCCAAAGTGCTGGGATTAGAGGTGTGAGCTACCTTGCCTGGCCAGATTTTAGCTTTTATAACTCCTTGGCTACTCTGATTTGGATACAGATTTTTTTGTCCTTCCAAAATTGTAAACAGAGTTGAATACACTACTTAAAATATTTTACAAGGTGTCTTTTATCTTTGATCATAAATAGTAATGTATTCAGGAGGCCAAGCACGCTTAACATAACAGTTCTCCAGTGGTTACTTGTACTTTTTGAATGTAATGATACTCAGGATGTATAGAGATCTTTTACCACTGGGTGTCGCTCTTTCTTCATAGAATTACGTCTCACGGCACACATGTCCAGTTTCCAGCTGTTTTCATTGCATTGCATTTGACTGTTTTACTGTTCTGTTTTGCTAATACATTTTAAGTGGCTAGTAAATAATGTTAAAGTAAATGTTAGCCATTACTGCGTGCAATTACTGTTTTAAACTTATCCTTATTTTACAAGGTTACTTGACCAAGATGGTGACATTGTAAGATTTGAACAAAGGAAATGTGACTTCAGAGTCATGGTTGTTAACTATGCTATGAAGTAGGAAAACTTTATGAGGTCTTTTTAACTCAAACAGTCAAGTTTTAAGTTGAGGGTTAGCAATGATGAATGAGTGGCCAAAAAATGTATTCATATTTTTAGTCTTTCTTAGAATTACTGGTAGTTGTGCACAACTAGAGGGTATTTATTTGTGTGTGTATGTGTCGTGTGTGTACGAGTGCTGGAAATACTCTGCCAGTTTACAGTAGAGGCAGGCTTACATAATTCAGTCATGAAAGCTGAGGCTTATAGTTTAGAGGGGATCGTCCTCTTCTTAATGAGTCTGTAAGTTACAAAAATAACTTTTTTCTTTATTTACTAACTGGTTGGTTTTTAATATTAAAATATTTAGGTGCTTTAATAATTGTTGAAACTTGGTTTCTTGGATGGGAGTTACTCTTAATGCATATTCCACAGAATGAATAAATGAATGAATTAGTAAACTTGTTTTTTTAACTGCTTCTGAAGGTGAGGGTGGTGAGATCATCTCCACCAAGTTCGCAGTTCAAAGCCACACTTCTGGAGTCTTACCAGGTCTATAAACGTTACCAGATGGTTATTCACAAGAACCCACCTGATACGCCAACCGAAAGCCAGGTCAGCAGGCCAAGTGTAATTTTCCTGTGCAAACAGAGCTTTCCCTTCCACTTAATATCATTTAATGAAATCTTGGTTTATTTGTGCTACATTTTATTTGTGTTCAATTTGCAGCATATCTGCAAAGACCTAAGACTGAATTAATGGACATTCTGAAAGTGCAAATTTTACCTAGTGCCATGTTAAGTACCAGCCATGTATAATTTCAGAGTCAAAGTAACATGTAAAATTATTTAAAGTCACTATTTTAGATGCATTTATCTAAAAGATAGTAATAGAGCTCTAAATTAAAATACCTGTGAGGAAAACTCAGGAAACTATATTTTTATGGTAGATACGTACTTTGCCTAACATGATTTTAATGCTTTATCTGTATTTGAAAGATGTATGTAGGAATAATTGATCCCAGTTAAATTATTCTTTATTAATGTGCTACCCTTGCACAATTGAGTGGGACTAAAAAAGGAAGATAGTAGAACATTTTAATAGAAGAACTCATATGCTAATAATTTTGTAAGTTAAATGACCCAAGAAAAATCTGTAAAGGAAAAAAGCTTAAAACACTTAGTATAAGTAGAGGTGGCAAAAGTAGCGATCATCACCATGATTAACAACAATATTGACTCTAGTTTATGCAGAAAACTACAATTAGTGGAGAGAGAGAAAAAAAAAAGAACAAATTGTTGGCTCTTATGAGGTTGAGATTTTCATAAGTTTTAGTACAGTTAGCACTTCGGTCTCTGCACCCGTCTGCCTCGTCTAAGGTTTCTTTTCATGACAAATTCGAGTTCGAGCTTTGGCGTGGATTTGTGGAGATCTTACTGTAGCCTCACCTTCAGAAGCATATCATCAGAGATGTTTCAATAGCATTTGCTTGTATTTTCCTTGCTCTGAAGGTGAGGTTAGTACCTGTCTCCTTTGAGGACCCAGAGTTCAAGTCGTCTTTCAGCCAGTCCTTTTCTTTGTATGTCAAGTATCAAGTGGCCATACACCAGGATCCACCCGATGAATGTGGGAAGACTGAGGTATTGTTAACTGTTGTTTTCTGTGTTGATAAGGTTGTCTGGGAAGAAGTATAATATATACCATTTTCTTGTCAGGTGGAGCTGATGACCCTTTCAGTGTGTATTACTGAACTTCTGTGAACACTCACATGACTCATACATGTGAGCATTTTAAATCCTTAGAAAAAAGGATTGCAAATTCAGGATGCGTTCTTAGTGTTTTCTCTAGGAACCTGAAAGTAGTGGTTTATAAGGTCAGTCATCCACTCTAGGTCAACAGTCATTTACTGAGTGCCCATCGTGTGCCAGACTGTGCACCACAGAACAAAAGGAGTCTCTGTCTTCAAGAAATTGATAATCAAATGGGAAAGACAGACCAATAAGCAAAAATACCTTAACAACAAGTGAATTAGAAAGAAATACCTACACCTAACCTACCGAACATCATAGCTTAGCCTCGCCTGCTTTACACATTCTCAGAACACTTATAATCTGCAGTTAAGCAGAATCATCTAACACAAAGCCTATTTTATAATAAAATGTTGAATATCTCATGTAATTTATTGAATACTGTACTGAAAGTGAAAAACGGAATCGTTTTCCATCATTGTAAAGTTGAAAAAGCATAAGTCCAACCATTATAAGTTGGGGACCTTCTGTTAGATATAATATGGTTTAACGGGCGTTTATTGAGGGTCTGTCTTTGTCAGTCTTGGGATATTGAAATGAATGAGATGGCATCGTTGTCACAGTAGAACCATGGTATGTTGGAAGAAAGAGGCCAACAGATGCAGAAGAATTAGAGTTTTGATTTTTTGACTGCTTTTGTTTTTTTAATGACACGATGTGTAAGCTAAAAAGAGAGGGTTAATACAACAGGAGTTAATGCTGCATGTTCCCTGAGAAAGGGCTCACTTCCCAGATCCCCCAGAGTCTTCTGGTTAAAGTGTCATTTGCAGACCTGCAGCATCAGCAGTACCTGGAACACAGACTCTCAGTCCTATTCATTCAACATCTACTTTTTTTTTTTTTTTTTTGAGACGGAGTCTTGCTCTGTTGCCAGGCTGGAGTGCAGTGGCGCAATCTCTGCTCACTGCAACCTCCACCTCCCGGGTTCAAGCGATTCTCCTGCCTCAGCCTCCTGAGTAGCTGGGACTACAGGCGCGTGCCACCACAGCCGTCTAATTTTTATATTTTTAGTAGAGATAGGGTTTCACCATGTTGGCTAGGTTGGTCTTGATCTCTTGATCTTGTGGTCTTCCTCCTTGGCCTCCCAGAGTGCTGGGATTACAGGCATGAGCCACCGGGTCCGGCCAGAATCTACATCTTAAACTGGGTTTCCAAAGGATTCAGATGCACATTTCAGTTTTGAGAGGCTATGTCCTAGGTTCCCTGTTGATCCATGCCACTGTGGGTGATAGCATTTGCAGATAGTAAGGATTCTGCTAGGCCTAGGAAGCTTCCTTTGATATTCTCAGGGGGTCTTTTTGCTTTCTGAACTTTCCTCCTTCCTAGTGCTCTGGAGATGATGCCTTTCTACCTCCCTGCTTAGCAGGTAGGAATAGTTGGACAAAATGTTTCTGTGGCCCGGTGTATTTATTCAAGACTTCCCCAGGAGCTTCTCCTAGTAGGCTTCAGGCCTCTGGGAAGTCCCTTTATGCAGACTTAGAGCAGCACTAAAGGCATTCATAGTCTGAATTGGGGTGGTAGACAGGTATGCAATTCCAGTGCCTTTAGAATTAGCCATTGGATTAGTAGGGACAGCCAGCTTAGTGTGAAACTGGAGGTTAGAGAGGTTTTTCTGAGGGAAGTGACATTTGAGCCAAGTCTGGAAAGATGAGTAGGTGTTTGCCAGGACAAAAAGGGAGAAAGGTGTTCTGGGCAGCAGGACTAGCAAAATGCAGAGGTGTGGAGGGTAAAATTGTATGCCATTTTGAGGAACTACTATTAATACTTAGTTTAGTATGGCCAGAACATAGAGTACCTGTTAGGAGGTAATAGGGGATGAGGCTTTTTTTTTTTTTTTTTTTTTTTTTTTGAGACAAAGTCTTGCTCTGTCTCCCAGGCTGGAGTGCAGTGGCGTGATCTTGGCTCACTGAGCCTGGGCTCACTGCAGCCTTTGCCTCCCGGGTTCAAGCAGTTCTTCTGCCTCAGACCCCTGCGTCTCTGGGATTACAGGTGTGTGCCACCATGCCCAGCTAATTTTTGTATTTTTAGTAGAGACAGGGTTTCACCATGTTGGCCAGGCTGGTCTTGAACTCCTGACTTCAGGTGATCCACCCACCTTGGCCTCCCAAAGTGCTGGGATTACAGGTGTGGACTACTGTGCCCGACCAAGGGATGAGGCTTTTTGGAGGTTTAGGTAGGAGCCAGATTTTTAAAAAAATAATATTTTAGAAATACTTAAACTGCGACATACCTATCAGCAGTCTTCAACTAGCCTCAACATGCTGCCATTCTTGTTTAATCTATCTCTCCATACTTTTTTGTTGTTATTTTGCTGTACTATTTTATACCAAATCTCAGACATATCATTTTATAATTAAGTCCTTCAGTATGTATCTTAACTGACTTAAAATGTGGGATGATCAGATACGTGCCTCCTAATGTAATCCAGTAAGAAGTATAAACCACCACCTGTGGAATGTTCTTGCTAAAGAAATTGAATCTGGATCTATCCAAGCTTCTAGATCTACTGACCAGTTCACAGGAAATATGAGGGGTAAAGGAATACGTTAAAATGACACTTGGGCACTTAGATAAATTACCTAGTTTCTTTAAATAAATTAATAAAGAAGCACTTAAAAAGGGAACTCTATTCTTAGATTAAAAGTTATTAATATAGACATCAAAAAATATATAACTACAGTACCATTATTACACCCAGCAAAATGTATATTATTTAATGCTTAGTACATGTTTGATTTTTTTTTTTTTGGTGGGGGGAGACAGAGTCTTGCTCTGTCGCCCAGGCAGGAGTGCATGGTGCCATATTGGCTTACTGCAGCTTTGCCTCCCAGGTTCAAGTGATTCTTATGCCTTAGCCACCTGAGTATCTGGGACTACAGGCATGTGCCACCACGTCTAATTTTTGTATTTTAGTAGCAATGAGATTTTGCCACATTGGCCAGGCTGGTCTTAAACTCCTGTAATCCTAAAGTGCTGGGATTACAGATGTGAGCCACTGCACCTGGCTGATATACTACATTTTGTTTTCCACTCATCCATTGATGGAATTTTTTTTTTTGAGCCGGAGTTTCGCTCTTGTCAACCAGGCTGGAGTGCGATGGCGTGATCTCTGCTCACTGCAACCTCCGCCTCCAAGGTTCAAGCGATTCTCCTGCTTCAGCCTCCCGAGTAGCTGGGATTACAGGTGCCCACCACCACACCTGCCTAATTTGTTTTTTTGTATTTTTAGTAGAGATGGGGTTTCGCCATGTTGGCCAGGCTGGTCTCAAACTCCTGACCTCGTGATCCACCCGCCTCGGCCTCCCGAGGTGCTAGGACTACAGACGTGAGCCACCGTGCTCAGCCTTGGGTGGTTTTTATTGTTTGGCTTTTATAGAAAATTCTATTATGAACATTTCACGTTCACGTTTTTATGTGGATGTGTATTTTCTTGGGTGTATACGTACGCGTGGAATTACTGGGTCACGTGGTAACTCATGTGTTTTCCTTTTGAGGATCTGCCAGACTTGTTTTTCAGAGAGTGAAATCATTTACCATTCCCACCGGAAGTGTATGAGGGCTCTGCTTTCTCCCTCCATGTGCTCACCAACACTTGTGTCTCTTTTTTCTTAAAATTGATTTTTATATTACTTGTAGCATGTGTAAAGTGGTGTCTCATTATGGTTTTGATTTGCATCTCCCTTCCTGTGCTTTTTGGCCTTTTGCGTTTCTTCTTTGGAGAATTGTGTATTCTAACCCTTTGCTCATTTTATTTTTTATTTATTTATTTTTTGAGACAGAGTCTCACTCTGTCGCCCAGGCTGGAGTGCAGCGGTGCGATCTCGGCTCACTGCAAGCTCCGCCTCTCGGGTTCGGGCCATTCTCCTGCCTCAGCCTCCCAAGTAGCTGGGACTACAGGTGCCCGCCACCACGCCCGGCTAATTTTTTTGTATTTTTAGTAGAGACGGGGTTTCACCGTGTTAGCCAGGGATGGTCTTGATCTCCTGACCTCGTGATCTGCCTGCCTCAGCCTCCCAAAGTGCTGGGATTACAGGCGTGAGCTCCCACACCCGGCACCCTTTGCTCATTTTTTAATTGGATTGTCTTTGTTACTGAGTTGTAGGAGTTTATTATATATATTCTGGGTACAAGTCTCTTATGTATGTGATTAGACTCTTTCATTTTGTGAATTATCTATATCCCTAGGAACATTTCCTGGTGCAAATCTATTTTGTCTGCTCTTAGTAGAGCCACTCCATGTTGTGATTCTTGTTTGCATGACACATCTTTTTCCTCCTTTTACCTTCAATCTGTTTGTGTCTTTGAATGTAAAGTGTGCCTCTTTTAGACACCATGTAATTGACCTGGGTTTTTGTTTTTGGTTTTTTAAAGTCCATAGGGAGAACAGTGTCCCTTTTCATTGAAGTGTTAAATCAGTTCACATTTAATGTTTTGATTGAACTAGTTGAATTTATGCCTTCCATTTTACTTCCATTTCCATTTCCTCGATATGTCCATGTTTTTTTTTTTCCTCTGTTCCTTTTTTTTTTTTTTTTGAGATGGAGTTTCGCTCTTGTTGCCCAGGCTGGAGTGCGATGGCGCAATCTTGGCTCACTGCAACCTCCGCCTCCCGGGTTCAAGTGATTCTCCTGCCTCAGCCTACCTAGTAGCTGGGATTACAGGCGTGTGCCACCACGCCCGGCTAATTTTGTATTTTTAGTCAAGACGGGGTTTCTTCATATTGGTCAGGCTGGTCTCGAACTCCTGACCTCAGGTGATCCGCCTGCCTCGGCCTCCCAAAGTGCTGGGATTACAGGCATGAGCCACCGCACCCAGCCTTCCTCTGTTCCTCTTTTACTGCTTGCTTTTGCATTAAATATTTTCTAGTGTATTAAACGAATATTTTCTAGTGTAACATTTTAATTCCTTGAATGATTTTTTTCACTATATATTTTTAAGATATCAGTGGCTGCTCTAGTATTTAAGATAGAGATCTTAATTTACACAATTGACTTCAGATTTATATGAACTTAATTCCAGAGAGATGTAAAAAAATGTTACTTCTGTATCATTTTAGTCCCTCTTTCCCTTTTTTGTGCCATTATTGTTATACATATTACATGTATCTATGTTAAAAATTCAATAATTATAATTATTCCTTTATATAATTGTGTCTTTTATAAAGTTGAGAAAAGGAATAAGAACAATTAGTTATTTATAATTTCTTACGTTAACCAGTTTATTTACTATTTCTGGTTCTCATTTGTTCTATGGATTCAAATTACCTTCTAGTATAGCTTTGCTCCTCTCTACTTAATGAAATTACTGTCAAATACATTAATTTTCTCCATGTTATTGTCCCAATGGTACAATTATCTACATAACGTTTTTACAATTTTGTTTTTTTTTTTTTTTTTGAGACTAAGTCTCACTCTGTCACCCAGGCTAGAGTGCAGTGGCGTGATCTTGGCTCACTGCAACCTCTGCCTCCCGGATTTAAGCAATTCTCCTGCCTTAGCCTCCCGAGTAGCTGGGACTACATGTGTGTGCCACCACTTCTGGCTAATTTTTTGTATTTTTAGTAGAGATGGGGTTTCACTATGTTAGCCAGGATGGTCTCGATCTCCTGACCTCGTGATCTGTCTGCCTCGGCCTCCCAAGTGCTGGGATTACAAGCGTAAGCCACCGTGCCCGGCCTACAATTGCTTTTTAAGTCAGTGAAGAGAAGAAAGGACAGTATGTATTTATTTATGAGAAGCCTCTGATGTCACGCCCTAGAGGGCTCAGCCTGGGGCATATGCACAGTCACCCTGGATGTCAGTGGTCTTAATAGTGTTCTTTTTGTCTCTCCCTGATCTTTTTAAAATGTTTACCACTGAGGCTGGGCGCCATGGCTCATGCCAGTAATCCGATCACTTTGGGAGGCCAAGGCAGGTGGATCACCTGAGGTCAGGAGTTCGAGACCAGCCTGGCCAACATGGTGAAACCCTCTGGAGGGTCCTACTACTAAAAATACAAAAATTAGCTGGGCATGGTGGAGGGCACCTGTAATCCAGCTACTCAGGAGACTGAGGCAGGAGAATTACTCCAACCTGGAAGGCAGAGGTTGCAGTGAGCCGAGATGGTGCCATTGCGCTCCAACCTTGGCGAGGGCGACAAGAGGGAGACTGTGTCAAAAAAAAAAAAAAAAAAAAGTTTTGTCACCGTTTGTGTCCCACCCAAACTTCCCCGTATCTCTTTTCCAAATAAAGAGCACTGAGGAACCCCCTTTCCCTAACCCCTCCTCCCTTCTCCCCCAAATCTTTCTGCCACTCTTGTGCTCTCTTTGAATGACACCTCTGGTCCAGGTAAGATAATTAAATTTGGGGCTCATTAACAGGGATTAACCTGCCAGTTGCCCTAGTGATAGTTCTATTAAGGAGATGGTCACTGCTGCAGATGAGATTCTTCACCGGTCGTGTTTTCATCCTAGAAATTCTTTCTCCACTTGGCAAACCCTTGGCCTACAGATAGAGAGTGCACTATCTGTGGGGCTGACTGCTGAGAAAAACTGATTGGGATGTGCTACTTGGCTTCCCAGTCTTGAAGCATGGTGTTTTATATTGAAAGAAGCTAATTTTGGTGTGGAGTTCAAATGTACTTTTCCCCTGTACATGACTACAGTTTTCTACGTCAGGAAATGGCCAGTGTTCATTTCTTCTCTTTCTGCTCTAATGCAGAAAGAGAAGCCAAAAAAGTTCTTTGAAAAGTTTGCATTATACTGACTTGCTTTAAGGGACTCTGTACAGTATCACACTGTGGTGTAGTTTTGTTAATATAAGAGGGAAAACTAATTATGTTCAAGAAAATACATTTTTTGCTTTTTTCGTTGGAAAACATTTAAAGTAAAAAACAGTTAATATGCCTATTTGAAGATTTCAGGTAACCAACCACATTAGTGCATAAAATCCAGTCTGACTCTGTAAAATAATCATTTAAATACTCTGAAAAATAGGTTATTTTTTGAGAAATTTGATGCAAAGATAAATATAGATTGCCTGGCTATTCTAAGCAATTCTTTTCAGTAACCTTAATACAGACATCATTAAGAAATAATTTTTAGGCAGCTAGAAAGGGTAAAAGTTCTCCGTGGAATTTTCCTTTAATAAAAAGCAGCTCTAAACCATTTCTTCTCTAACAGAAAGCACCCTGAGGAGTCAGGCATAGATATGCAAACTAGAAGCTTTTATATGTAAATGCAGGCAGCTGTACCTGCAAGCCAGGTATATTCAATATGGTCTCTCCTGCCCTCTTTTTCCTGTCGCCACCATGTGCCGGCATCCTGGTAACCTCCATGTAAAATCACATGTTCAGGTATCATGGCCACCACCTGGTGGAGGCCACATTTGCATAATAAAAGACTAGGGTGGGAGGGTCAGTCTTTTCGAGGGCTATATAAATGGCATACCCGATCAACCCAATCCCCTGAGCCCCATGTAAATCAGTTACCACCTCTTCAGTCCTCTGTACAAAACCGATTGCCTTCTGCCACAAACTGGAGACCCTTTTTGGGCAACCCACTTTCTCAGCTTGAGGAAGCCTTTTCTCTTTCTTTGTCTGCTAAACTTTCTGCTCCTAAACCCTCTCCTCGTGTGTCTGTGTCCTGAATTCTTTATTGACCGTGACAAAGAACCAGGGTATATACCTCAGACAGTGGAGCCGTTTCAACATCTTTAGAAAAGTAGCACATAATTGCAAATAGTGAAATAATATAGGACTTTGTAAATTAATCCAGTATGTGTGTTTCCATGACTGTTTTCAGTCATTCAGGTAGATATCAGATTTTCAGAAAGTAATGTGATATAAATTGGAGTAATTTGTGACCTGTCTCGTTTATAATACAGTATAAAGCTAACTTTTAAGAATCTTTATTTTTCAGGATACCAGTAATTCTATGTGATAGAAACATGAGATTTTAGCTGAAATTCTATTGATGTTATTCTTTAGAAAATACTGTTGTCTAATAATATGTGCCGTTGGTTTCCTAGAATAGAGTTGACCTCTCATCTCTTCTTTACTGTCTCAAAAACAGCCTAGTCATAAACCCAGTAATCTCATCATACTTCTGCATTCACTGACTAATTGTTTCCCAAATTTTATTATCAACATTATCAGACATAAAGGAAAATTGAAAGAATGGTTTACTGATTATACTGATGACCTGTACATCCCTCACCTAGTTTCAACAGTTGTTAGTTTTTCTTTGCTTTATCTTTTTTTTGTGTATGAGTCATTTTAACATCCATTATATATCATGACATTTTACTACTAAATTCTTTAGCATACATGTTCAAACAATGAGATGTGCTTCTACAAGACGTGGTATAATTATAACGCATGAGAAACTTAATGATAATTTGTAAATATCATCTACTATTTAGTGCTTATTTTACATTTTCCCATTTTAAAAGATATAGTGTTTAATCAAAGTTTATTACATTTTGTGATATCGTTTTAGATTCTTTTATTCTAGGGCAGCTTCTTAATTTTTTTCTGTAATATTGACTTCTTTTCCTTAACTTTCTACTTTGAAACTTTTGGAGTTTTTGAACAGAAAAGTTGAAAGAATGTAATGAACACCCAGACTCCATTCACCAATGTTGACAAGTTGTTAACAACTTTGTTAGGTTTACTTTATCTTTCTCTCTTGAACCATTTGAAAGTTGTGCATGTTATGACATTTTGCCTGGATGTGCTAAGCATACGTCTCCTAAGAATAAGTATATTCTCTTATATAACCACAATATTTACTCTTTAAAAACTGTAGAAATTCTATAACATCACAGTCCATATTCAGATGTTCCAAGTGTACCAAAAATACCTTTACTTTTTTTTTTTTTAAGAGACAAGGTCTTGGTCGGTCACCCAGGCTGGAGTACAGTAGCATGGTCATAGTTCACTGCAGCCTTAAACTTCTGGGCTGAAGTGATCCTTCTGCCTCAGTCTCCCTTCTGAGTAGCTAGGACTACAGGAGTGGACCACCATGCCAGGCTAATTTTTAATTTTTTTCCTTTTGTAGAGGTAGAGTCTTGCTATATTGCTCAGGCTGGTCTTGAACTCCTGGCCTCAAGCAATTTTTCTGCCTCGGCCTCTCAAAGTGTTGGGATTACAGGCATGAGCTATTGTGCCTGGCCCCAAAATAGAAAATAGCTTTTATAGATGAATGAAAATAGGATCCAGTCACGGTTCACACATTTTACATGAACTGTATTGTGTTTATGTTATGTTTATGACTGTTCTGTTTCTGTAATCTTTTTTGATTTTTTCATTTAATGACTTTGACATTTAACCCAATTATCTTTAGAATGTTCCGTATCACAGTTCGGTTTTTGTTGTTATCTAGTAATCAGATTCTTAAGTGTTCTTAAAAGTTTAATGTTTTTAGGTGTAGGTTATGTGTACTTAAAAAAAGTTTTTTATTGAAGTATAACGTATATACAGAAAAGTATGCATAAGTGTTCAGATAGATGAAATTTCACAAATTGAACTCACTGTTAGATTAAGAAATTGCTACTCGGGAAGCTAAAGCGGGAAAATCGCTTAAACCCAGGACGCAGAGGTTGCCGTGAGCTGAGATGGTGCCACTGAACTCCAGACTGGATGCAGAATGAGACTCTGTCTCAAAAAAATAAATAAATAAATAAGTTGATTACTACTAACTCCTCAGAAGCCCCTGCTTGTTCTTTTCCATCACTACCGGTATTTTCTTGACTTGTAAAACTACAGATTAGTTGTGCCTGTTTTATACTTAATGTAAGTAGAATCCTACTCTTTTGAGTGTGGTTTCATTTGCCCAACATTATGGTAGTGTGAGTTATCTATTTTATTTTGCCTGTTGTAGTAGACTGTTAACTCTCATCGCTGTATAGTGTTTTATGTATGACTATCCAGAATTTATCCCTTTCTACTGTTGGTGGGAATTTTAGTAGTTCCTGGTATGAGGCTACCGTGAAAAGTGCTGCATATGTACATCCTTATACATACCTTTTGGTAAACATACGGACACATTTCTATTTGATGTGTGCCCAATAGAAATGCTGTGTCGTAGGGTGTGCAGGTGTTCAGCTTTTTTCATATTGTCAGTTTCCTCTAGGGCTTGTGCCAGTCTTACTCTTTTACTGTATCATATCAAGCAGCATGTAATGTCGGTTGTCCTTCATTTGTGATGGGGACATTTAAGTCTGTTGTCACTTGGTTTGCTCACTTGGTTGAATAACAGCCATCAGCTCTCTTTATTATTATTATTATTCATTTATTTTTTGAGATGGAGTCTTGCTCTGTCGCCCAGGCTGGAGTGCAGTCGCGTGATTTCGGCTCACTGCAAGCTCTGCCTCCCAGGTTCATGCCATTCTCCTGTCTCAGCCTCCCGAGTAGCTCGGACTCCAGGCGCCTGCCACCACGCCCGGCTAATTTTTTGTATTTTTAGAAGAGACAGGGTTTCACTGTGTTAGCCAGGATGGTCTCGATCTCCTGACCTTGGGATCCGCCCACCTTGGCCTCCCAAAGTGCTGGGATTACAGGCGTGAGCCACTGCGCCCAGCCTCTTTATTATTCTTATATTTTTTTCTTTGTAATTAGATCTTCTCATTTTAAAGGCATGTTATACCCTTATTATGATAATATTTCTGAGGTAGGAGGAATAACCTCTTTCCCAATAACCTGTTGTCCATTTGTTTTAGCATCTTTGATGATCCTTGCCTGAAGTAGTTATTATGGAGAGGTGGGAGAGGTAGCAAAATGGTGATTTGTCTAATTGTATTATTGTTTCTACACTTATTAGCTGAAATTCTTTCTCTCTGTAAAGAAGAGATTTCTCTCTGTATTCACAACTCCCTACCTCTCACCATCTTTTTTCCTTCTGATAGCATTGTAGGCTCATGGCCTTATATGAAGTGCTATAATCCATTGCCATCTGTTTTATTTTTTATTTTTCTTCTTATCGTTTTTTGAGACAGAGTCCTGCTCTGTTGCCCAGGCTGGAGTGCAAGTGGCGTGATCATAGCTCACTGTAACCTCAAACTCTTGGACTCAAGCAGTCTTCCCACCTCAGCCTCCTAAGTAGCTAGGAGTACAGGTGCACATCACTACATCCAGCTAATTTTTAAATTTTTTTTTGTAGGGGGGCGTCTTGCTGTGTTGTCCAGGCTGGTCACCTGGCATCACCTGATCCTCCTGCCTCAACCTGCTAAAGTACTGGCATTATAGGTGTGAGCCATTGTGCCCAGCCTGTAATGTTTTTTAAATTAGTTCAGGGAACTTCCTATGAGAGATGGAAATAGGAGGCGATATCTACTTCTGAGGGATGCTTATTTTGAGGATAGTTATCTTATATTCAGGTGTATGTATATTCACTTGTTTAGACAATGAGTGTGGAAAGGAAAGGTCGTGATGAGTCCATTCTGACCCCATGGAGACTTGAAAGGAGACGGTGGAAGCTGCGCCACTGTCTCACTCCGCCACCAGGTGGTGGTGTAGATCGAGAACCCTTTGCTCTTTCATCTTGGCTCAGCTTGCTCTCTGCAAGTTGTGTGTTCACAGCCCAAGAAGTATGAATAAAGGCTTCTTTTTCTATCATTTATTGTAATTTTCATTGAGGCATTAAAAGGATAATTACAAGTGATTCTTTGCTTGTTAAAGGTTTTAAATATTTTCTGGACTTTAATCTCGAGAAGTTTTCATCTTTATTTTTTTTCCTCTTAATGGCTTACATTTTTGTATATGAAAGTAGTAACTTATATTTAGAAAATTATTCAGTGTATTAGAGAATTGACATTCTCCAATTAGGCAAAGACCAGACAATCATATATAGGCACACACAGTAAGTTCTCACTTAATGTCATTAATAGTTCTTGGAAACTGTGGTCATAGGTGAAATGACATACAAGGAAACCAGTTTTACCCTAGGCTAATTGATATAAACAAGAGTTAAGTTCCTACAGCATATTTCTGGTCACAAAACATCACCAGACTTCTAAATAAAAACCAAAGCACTTCTAATATTAAACATTGAAATAAATGTGAGCTATACATACATTTAAGAAAGATTAATAAAAATAAGTAAGATATTATTAACCCAGTGATTTCAGTTCAGGTGGCGGGGAGCTGTAGCCTATTCTGGAAGCTTAGGGCGCAGGTTGGACACTCACCCTGGACAGGAGTCTGTTCCACCACAGGGCATATTCACGCACACACCCACACTCACACTGGGACCATGTATACACAGCAGTGAACCTAACGTGCACACGTGTGAGATGTGGGAGGAAACTGGAAGACCCAGAGCAAGCCCACACAGATGTGGGGGGAATTGCAAGCTCCACACAGACAGTAGCCCTGGCCAGGAGGTGGGTTTTTTTTTTTTTTAAATCATCAATGTATTTTTGGTTTTTGTTTTTTATTTTTTGTAGAAGCAGGATCTTGCTATGTTGCCCAAGCTGGTCTCATACTCATTGAAGTTATAACAAAATGATGTTGAGCAAAGCAGTGCCACCTGAGAACCTGCTGGTGCTACAGGTTGAGTATCACTTATGTGAAAATCTGAAATCCAAAAATGCTCCAAGATTAGAAACTTATTGAGTGCCAACATGACAATCAAGGGAAATGCCCATTGGAGCTTTCAGATTTCAGATTTTTGGATTAGGGATACTTAACCTGTATTTTATAAATATTTAACTCTGGCATATAATTAACAGAATGATAGTAAGATCCGAACATTTTGAAACTTTTTAATATTTATTTAATATTTATTTATTTATTTAGAGACAGTCTTTCCCTCTGTTGCCAAGGCTAAAGCTCAGTGGCACAATCTCGATTCACTGCAACAACCACCTCCCAGGTTCAAGCGATTCTCGTGCTTCAGCCTCCCAAGTAGCTAGGACTACAGGCGCATGACTCCAAGCCCGGCTAATTTTTGTATTTTTAGTAGGGACAGGGTTTCACCATGTTGGCCAACCTGGTCAGGAACTCTGGACTCAAGTGATCCGCCTGCCTGCCTGCCTTGGCCCTCCAAAATGCTGGGATTCCAGGTGTGAGCCCCTGCACCCAGCCACATTTTGAAATGCTTTAGGCATGTTTTTTTTTTTTTTTTTTTGAGACGGAGTCTTGCTGTCACCCAGGCTGGAGTGCAATGGCGCGATCTTGGCTCACTGCAAGCTCCACCTCCCAGGTTTATGCTATTCTCCTGTCTCAGCCTCCCGAGTAGCTGGGACTACAAGCGCCCACCACCATGCCTGGCTAATTTTTTGTGTTTTTTAGTAGAGATGGAGTTTCACCGTGTTAGCCAGGATGGTCTCGATCTCCTGACCTCGTGATCTGTCTGCCTCGGCCTCCCAAAGTGCTGGGATTACAAGTGTGAGCCACCGCGCCCGGCCTCTTTTTTTTTTTTTTTTTTTTTTTTTGAGACGGAGTCTCGCTCTGTTGCCCAGGCTGGAATGTAATGGCATGATCTTGGCTCACGGCAACCTCCACCTCCCAGGTTCAAGCAATTCTTGTGCCTCAGTCTCCCGAGTAACTGGGATTACAGGCACGTGCCACCACACCTGGCTGATTTTTGTATTTTTAGTAGAGACAGGATTTCACCATGTTGGCCAGGCTGGTCTTAAACTCTGGATCTCAGGTGATCCACCTGCCTTGGCCTCCCAAAGTGCTGGGATTACAGGCATGAGCCACTGTGCCTGGCCTAAAGCACATTTTTTAAAGCCAGGCTAACTTACTTGAATAAAGTAGAGAGCTTAGGCAATTATTTGTATAATTCAATTAAGGAAGCCAGTTTCTTTAAGCAACTCCTAAGTCAGGGAACACTTGTGTATTGTAGTCTGTGTCAAGGTCCGTGACAAGACATTTATTACTAATAGTAGTAAAGACATTTATAACTAATAGTAGTTAAATGACCAAAGCTTTTCAGTCATTTACTATTGGAGAGAGACACTGTTATATCTCAAGCATGTTCCTTTTTGGGGAGATCCAAAGGGGTGGAGTCAAAACTAGCACTGGGAACATTCATCTTTCTTTCCTTCCGTTTCTTCTCTCCCTTCCACTCTTTTCCCTTCCTCCCTCTTTTTCATTGTTTGACATAGGCTCTTGCTGTGTCACCCAGGCTGGAGTGCAGTGTCGTCATCATAGCTCACGGCAGCCTTGAACTCCAGGGTTCAAGCAGTCTCTCCTGCCTTGGTCCCCTGAGTAGCTGGCACTACAGACATACGCCACCACACCTGGCCTTTTTTTTGAGAGGAGACCTTGCTGTGTTGCCCAGCCTGGTCTTGAACTCCTGGCCTCAAATGATCCTCCCAAAGTGCTGAGATTACAGGCATGAGCTACTGTGCCAAGCCAACATTTAACTCAAAGTTCCTTTCGGTCAGTAACTTCCTAAAACTTGTCTCAGATCACAAAATCATACCATCATACAACATTGGAGGTGAAAGGATTTTAGGATTATATAGATGAATGTCTCATATTTAAAGAATTAATTAATTTGCCTAAGGTAACATGAGTAGTTAGTGGCAGAGCAATGTCCTGAAATTGCAGTGCTTTTTTTTTTTTTTTTTTTTTTTTTTGAGTCTGGGTCTCACTGTGTCGCTCAGACTGGAGTGCAGTGGTGCCATCTCGGCTCACTGCAACCTCTGCCTCCGAGGCTCAAGCAATTCTTCTGCCTTAGACTCCCCAGTAGCTGGGATTACAGGTGCTCGCCACTACCGCCCGGCTAATTTTTGTATTTTTGGTAGAGATGGGGTTTCACCATGTTGGCCAGGATGGTCTCCAACTCCTGACCTCAAGTGATCCACCCGCCTTGGCCTCCCAAAGTGCTGGGATTCCAGTCGTGAACCACCGCACCCCAGTCTGCAGTGCTTTTTATACTAGACATGATGTTGCCATTTGTAAAAGTTAAAGTGGGCCTCAGTAAAATATGGAGTGATTGACATCAGTGAGTGAAGTGTTCATTGTAAGCAAATTTTCCAAGCATTGGAAACGTTTTTTATTGCTGAGATATTATGTACTCTAATAATTTAAAATGACAATGTTCCCAAAATGTCTTGTGTTCTTCCTCAGCTTCTCAAACAGAATGCCGAGCAGGACTTGCCTGTTGATAATGGCTCTCATATTTTCCTAGGAATATTCTTCTGCTCTTGTCGTATTTCAGTGTGCCATGGGCTACTGCTTTTATCTCTAAAGTTACTCTGTTGTCCCCTTTATCCTTTCTCTTTCTTGCTGACAATTCTTGTGTTAGTTTGTCTAGTATTAGCATTTGTTCCCTTTCTAATTTGTAATTTCTTAATATGCTCGTTAAAATATGGAGCACCTAAGTACTGTCGAGGCATTTGGTAACTGTTTAATCAGTGAGTAAATCAGATAAAGATCTCTTGCTCTTGTGGAACTTGCATTCTGGGGGTGTGGTTGGGGGAGAATGGTCAGAGATAGTCATTAAACAATAAGCATAATACATCAGTAAATTATACAGAAGGTTAGCAGGGGGTGTTGTGGGAAAAATAGAGCAGGTATAAAGGAGGGTTGGAAGTATCGATTATTGGCTTGGAAACTAGATCACCAAGTTTATTGTTAGTAAAGTTACAGTCAAGAGGAAAGTGGGAAAAGGAGCTTGCAGGACTCTTCTGTAAGTTGGGAATATAAGCATTAGGAGGTGCCTTTTTGAGTCCTCATTTTCACTTCTATTGTTTTTTTCTGGGGTTTTGTATTTGATTTCAATGTCTGAAGTTCTGGAGTAGCTTGATAATTGACCTCTGCTTAAGGTTTAGCTTTATATAACAATAATTATTACAATTAATTTGAACATACATTGTTTTCTGAAAGTTGAGGATTAAGACCATGAAATGGGATGTTAGCTGTCAAAAGGAATGCTTGGCATGAAATGGATGCTGATTCTTGATTAACCTCCTGCCTGAGAACAAATGTGCCCAGTGATAGACTCTTTGGATTGAATGGTGTGAAGGTGATATCAGTACTGCCAAACAGTGCTTGCTGTGTTTACAGTTCCATACATTTTGGGTCAGGATATTGTTGACATGAAGGCTGAGTAGCATCCAGGGTGAAAATGTGAACTCTAATCAATCATTTCTGCCTTAACTCTCATCTCCTCTACCTACTACCTGTGTGGCTTTCAGCAAGTTCCCAATTGCTCAGCTCTCTTCACTCCAGGTTCCTCATTTGTATACAACACAATTTGTTGTGATAATTACATAAGGCTATACTTGTAAAGGTGCTTGGCCAAATAATCATTGACTAAACTTTTGTTACTAGGTCTGGATGATGTTATTAGGAACTGTCAGAGATCCTGAGGTCAAGGGCAAGTAAGTGATCCTTCTGGTTACCCAGTCAGCATTTGCACATGAAATTTTATTTTTCTTGGTTGTTTTGTTTTTCTTTTTAATTCAAATATTCGTCTGAATTAAAAGAACATATGTTTTACATTTTAATATTAAAATCAGCCTATTCAAATAAAAAAAGAAGTAATATTCAAAACCACTCAGTTTGATTTATCAACATATAATTTTAGTCTTTGAGAATTTTTAATATTTTAATTTTTCCTTTTATGCCACAGAAAACCTGTAGGCCGGGCACGGTGGCTCACGCCTGTAATCCTAGCTCTTTGGGAGGCCGAGGTGGCTGGATTGCCTGAGTTGAGGAGTTTGAGACCATCCTGGGCAACATGGCAAAACCCCATCTCTACTAAAATACAAAAGAAATTAGCCGGGTTTGGCGACGTGCACCTGTAGTCCCAGCTACTCAGGAGGCTGAGGCAGGAGAATTGCTTGAACCCAGGAGGCGGAGTTTGCAGTGAGCCGAGGTCGTGCCGCTGCACTCCAGCCTAGGTGACAGAGCAAGACTCTTTAAAAAACAAAACAAAGCAAAACAAAAAACTTGTAAAGAATTTTTAATATGTTGATTCATCTATTATACCACATAAAACCTGTAAAAGATATCATTTGGGAAAAGATTTATTTGTGATTTTCTTTCCTTTTTTTTTTTTTTTTTTTAAGAGACAGGATCTCATTATGTTGACCAGGCTGAAGTGCAGTTGGTTATTTGTAAGTATTATGATCACTGTGCACTATATCCTTGAATCCCTGGGCTCAAGCGATTCTCCTGCCTCAGCTTCCCAAGTAGCTGGGACTACAGTCACGCTCTAGTGCCTAGTTTCTATTAAAATACGTGTATTTCTTAATTGCTTTACCTAGAACTGGAGACAAAGGAGCTATAGGTGTCCTGTTTTTTTATTCTGGTGGTAGAGCTTCTTGTTCATACAGGAGCAGATCTCTCGTTTTGATAAGTTAGCTATATTGGGGTACTGTAATCCATAGCATACTTTGTGCTCGTTACACTAACTTATAAAAATACTGTATGCAAGAGTCTGAAGAAATACACAATGCCCAGCAGAGTGTCTGGAATGGAGTAGAAGCCCAGTGAACATGTTTTGAATGAATGAGCAGCTGAGTTGACTACTTTTAAAAAAACAGCTGGAGAGAGAATTCAGTTGTTGCCAAATTGAAAGCTACTTGGGAAGAAAATAGTGTTCTTGAAACTTGTGACATGAAGCAAAAAGGAAAATTCAAATGATGTCATAAGCTTTTGACAGTTGTTCTACTATAATAAGTAAAAGCTGCTCTTAATTTCCTGAGTGAGAGTGTTGAGCAATTTACATACAATGAGTTAAGCACATTTTAGTGAGTGCAAAGCTCATGTGATAGAAACAACTTTGCTGTGAGTGCCATTTGTCTTTAGCTTTTGTATTTTAGGTCTGTTTTTCACATTAAAACTGAAGAGCATCAAGTTTTATGACCTCCTGGTAATCACTTGACAAGTGAACAATAGTACCTTTTGATGGCTAGTCTAAACAAGGAAAGTTTGTATTTTCACTATGGTCATTCATTATATATGCCAAATAATTTTAAGTAACTGCCTGTATGATTAAAAAGCAGTTGATTTTCATCTAGTCAGTAGTAGTTAATTATAAAAGTAAAACATATATTACATATGGTTATTTATCCAGAGTATAATTCTGCCCTTAAGAATATGTAAAAATAGGGAATATATTTGTATAGGTCTCTAAATATTTATATATATATACATATATATGTATATATATATTTGTGGGCTTTTATGTGACATTTATTCCAGAAATAGCTCAAAATTTTGTAATGGCTTTCATATTACTTTTTCCTGGACTGTGGAAGAATGTGATTCTTCTATTCAAGCAGTCATATAATCATTTAATTCGGGGCATGTTCCACTCACTGTGGTAGATACTAGGGATGCATAGATGAATAAGACATGTTTGGTTCTTGTATGTTTTAGCCCACAAATAAAATTTAAAATATAAGTGTCATTTCATAGCATTGCATTGATGTTAAAATGTTAAAGATCATTAGTAATACATGTACCTGACAAGATGTGGGCGTATTCAAACTTGCTTTACATTAGTTGGTCTGGTAAATTATGCAAGCAGTACCTGTAACCATTATCAATATGTTTATGTTAATATAGTCATTTATTCTTAATAATAATCAAATAGCTAATAACATATTCCATTTTTATTACTTTGACCAGATGGCATTAAAAACAAATTTGTCTTTATTGTGGTTTCCTGCTAATTTTGATTTCTTGGTTTTGTGGTATTTTCTATTTATCCCTAATTTATGTTATTTGGATTTTTGGAAGACACCCAATTTTTTAAGGTTAATTTGAAAGATTTTGCCTAGCCTAGTGTAATTTCAGTGATACCTAGTTTTGTCCTCCATATTTCTTGGTATGTATTCCTTGCTCCTCACAAATGGTATGTGCTGGAAGTTTTTCTGCAGGAAGCTAGTGCTTGGAGGACATGGATGTTCCCAAGAAGGTCTAACAAGAAGGGGACAGGTTTTTACTTCAGCATTACTGGGTCTTCCTTACTGGTGACTGCTTCTCTCTGTTTATGGAATCTCACCGTGACCTGATGACTTAATTCTATAGAGTAGCCAGGGGCTGTGAAGAAACATGGGAGAAAGAAACGATTATGAATATTCATTTACTCATTGATGAATTACTCCCATTCACAAATGAATGGATGCATTTATTCGTTGAATTCACGAGTAGTTGAATGCATGTAGACATTTAAGTAGCAAATATTTGAGTCCCTACTATGTGCCAGGCATTATTTTGGACTGAGGATGTAGCATAGGGAACAAGATAAAGTTCTTGCCCTCAGGGAGACTATGTGTTAGAGAGGAAGATAAATAATAAGTATGCAATATAGTGCCAGAGTAATGTGTGCTAGCAAGATACATGGAGGGATAGAGTGAGGGACAGCGTGGTGGAAGGTAAGAATAGATAAGGATATCAGGAAGAGGCTCAGATAAAGGAAGCTCGTTGACAGACACCTCTATAAAGAGCATGCACTTTGTGCATAGCTGGGGGAAGTACATTTCAGGTAGTTGGGAGAGTACCTGATGTTTTCAAAAAACATCCGGGACACTGATGAGGCCGGAACACAAATCATGGTGGCATCTGTCTTGATGATTTCTGTTGCTTGTGAAAGTTTTTTTAAAAAAATCCCCACCTATACTTTTTGCCATTTGTTAGCTGAATTTTTCAGTATCATAAAATTGTGTATTTTGTTGTAGACTTATTTTCTTGTTACCTAAACACCTATTTGTCACCTTATTTTAGTGTTATTTTAGTTAAGCTGAGACTCTTCTTGTTGGTATCTCTGGATTTTATTGCTTTCTTGTTGAGTTCTGGTTAATGGTATTGTTAAGTCCTTGGTATAATGAAGGGAAACCATAGATTGGAAAAGGTTTTGAGGTTCTGATGGTAATTTTGCTGTCTGTAAAATAATGTAACATTTTTGGATCTCAGTATGTAAAAGAGGTGAACTAGATAATTGCTAAGATATATCTTAGCTGTCAAATTGTGTGCTTTCACTGATTTTAGGAAAAATCCCCAGGTGGAACTATAGTTTTTTCTTCTTTTTATTTCCTTTTTTAAAATTAATTTTTAAGTTTATAGTGTAGTAAAGTGCATAAATCTTAGGTGTATAGCTTGTTGATTTTTTTTTCTTTTCTTTTCTTTTTTTTTTGAGACACAGTCTCCCTCTGTCGCCCAGGCTGGAGCGCAGTCGTGTGATCTCGGTTCACTGCAACCTCTGCCTCCTGAGTTCAGGCAATTCTCGTACTTCAGCCTCCCAAGAAGCTGGGATTATAGGTGTGCACCACCATGGCCGGCTAATTTTTGTATTTTTAGTAGAGACAGGATTTTGCCATGTTGACCAGGCTGGTCTCGAACTCCTGGCCTCAAGCAGTCTACCCGCCTCAGCCTCCCAAAGTGCTGGGATTACAGGTATGAAACAACACGCCTGGCCAAATTTTTACTTATGTATATGCTCTTATAGTCACTGCTCGGATTAAGAGAGAACATTTTCAGCATGCTAGAAGGCTCCCTCGTGGCCCTTCCCAGTCAGTATTTTCCTACCCAGAGGTTAACTACCCTTCTATCACTGTAGATTAATTCTGCCTGTCCTTTAGCTTCATATAAATTTATCATACAGCATACACTCTCCAGTCTTCTTTTACTTAACATTCTGTGTGAAATCCATGTGACATATAGTAGCAGTTTTCTTTCAATGCTATGTAGTATTCCATTGTGTGGATACAGCATAATTTATTAATCTGTTCTACTATTGCTGGGCATATGTGTTGACAGCTTTTGCCTGTTACGAATAAAGTTGCTATGAACATTCTTGTACGTATCTTTTGATGGACATAACACTAATTTCTCTTAGATATATACCTGGGAGTTACACTGCTCAGCCATGGAGTAAACATCTTCAGCATTTATAGAAATGTGGCCAGTTTTCCAGAGTGCTTGTACCATATAAACATGCTCGTTGTGCCACATCCTCATTAACATATGGTGTTTTCTGATGCTTTAGTTTTAGCCTTTCTGGTGAGTGGATAGTAGTATTGTATTGGGGTTTTAATTTGCTATTTGCTGATGACTAAATAGGGAGCTTTTTACGTATTTATTGGCCATTTGAATATGCTCCGTTTTGTTAAGTCTTTAAGAGTTTGCCCCCCTACCTTTTTAAAGTTGGATTCTTGTGTTTTTTCCTTATTGACTGTGAGAGTTCTCTATATTCTCTGATATGAGTCTTTTGATATATATATATATTCTAAATATCTTTTTCCAACCTGGAAATAACTATACTCCATACCTAGGAAAATATTATTTTGGAAGAATCTAATTTTGAAAGCCTTTGAGTTTTGGTACATTTCTAAACACTTAGCTTGCAGATCAAGAATGTCAGCAACAGATGTAAAGATTTCTCTTGTATAAAATTTCGGCCTTAGTGTTTACTTTAAAAAACCAGAAGGTGTTTTTTTCTCTTAAACATACTTGTAAAATTATTTCCATACTTCTTATGAGATGTTTTAGTATTTTGTGCTGGTATTTATTTAATGCAATTAACATATAGGCCTTAGGTCATTAGCGTCCTATGGCAAATGATCTTCCTGTTAGAGGAGCAAAGGATTCTGAAATCAGTACAGAATGCCACCAGAACCAGAGTCTTTCTTTGGTGGGTGTTCTGTTTGATGATTTTGCCAAGAACATGTTTTTCTTTGTGATTTTATATGAACTCTGTTTATGATGATTTTGTTTGCTGCTGATAATGTTGGAAAGCAACACAATTTTTTTTTTTTTTTTTGAGACTGGAGTGTCGCTCTGTGGCCCAGGCTGGAGTGCAGTGGCGCTATCTCGGCTCACTGCAAGCTCCGCCTCCCGGGTTCCCGCCATTCTCCTGCCTCAGCCTCCCGAGTAGCTGGGACTACAGGCGCCCGCCACCACGCCCGGCTAATTTTTTGTATTTTTAGTAGAGACGGGGTTTCACTGTGTTACCCAGGATGGTCTCGATCTGCTGACATCGTGATCCGCCCGCCTCGGCCTCCCAAAGTGCTGGGATTACAGGCGTGAGCCACCGCGCCCGGCAGCAACACAATTTTTTAAGATTCCATTCTTTTTGAGTGTAGCTCTTTAAGATATAGAATTGTTATACTGTTATCTGGATTTTATAGATTCATATTGCAAACTTAAAAGTTTAATTTTAGAAACAAACTAGGCTTGAAGGTAGTAAATAAATGATATTTTAACAAGTTCATATGTATATCATTGGTGTTAAGTATAGAGCCACCATTTCTATTTATAAAATATATGATGATTATTATAGTGAACGTAGGAGGTAGATATTAGTGAATAACCTAACTTACAATCCAAATCCCTGTTGCTGTTAGAAATTAGGGAGAAAGGTGCAAAAAATAGTAAAAAGATATTTAGTGAAGTAGCTCATTAATTAGGATATGTGTTAGCAAACTTTGAAATCAACATTTAGAGCAAAACATTTATAACTAGCTCTGCATATTAGTGTTTTATGGGCTTTTGTGATTCTGGGCAGATACTAGAATTTTTCAAGAGGCATTTTATTATAGTACATCTGTGGCATTGCTTTGAGCATTTGCCCATAACATCACCAGGAATATTATTGGGTAGGGACCAGAACTCTTAAATGGGGGAAAAAAAGGGCGAATAATTCATTGATAGTATTGGATTTTCTGCCATTTTTGAGAGTGCCACACTGAGTATTTTCAGTGAGCAATTCTAGTAAGCACAGATTGGGGAAAACAAATCAGAGCTGGTAGGGACCAGTGTTGCCTAAAATGAGCTTTGTGGAAAATGGATTTTGTGGAATGTTAATAGATATTATATGAAATTAAAAACAAAAATCTCTAGTCATGTAACTTTGGGAAACACTTGACTGAGGTTGAAGTAGAAGAGTTTTTTTGTTTGTAAATACAGGAATGTGAAAAGCCTTTAATATATCAGTGTAGCCTGCAATTCACTAAGGTAAGGAGGAAGGGGAGGTGAGGCCGCTATATAGTAAGAGCATTTCCCAGACTTACGTGGCCATGGAATCGTTTTTTAGAGAGTGTCTCAGGAGACTGCCGTGCCACAGGATACCACCTGGGGAAGGTGGTTTGGCTGAAATCCTTTTACACATCAAAAACCAAGACCTGGCTGGGCGCGGTGGCTCACGCCTGTAATCCCAGCAGTTTGGGAGGCCGAGGCGGGCAGATCACCTGAGGTCAGGAGTTCGTGACCAGCCTAGCCAACATGGTGAAACCCCGTCTCTACTAAAAATACAAGAATTAGCCAGGCGTGGTGGTGGGCGCCTGTAATCCTAGCTACTCGGGAGGCTGAGGTGGGAGAATCGCTTGAACCTGAGAGGCGGAGGTTGCAGTGAGCCGAGGTTGTGCCATTGCACTCCAGCCTGGGGGACAAGAGCAAGACTTCCTATCAAAAAAAAAAAAACAAAAAAAAACCAAAAAAAAACCCTCAAGGCCCAAATTACTTAAGTGGGTAGACCTAGGAAGATTCTAATCCTCAGGCAAAAAAGGAGATATAATGCTTCAGAAGACAAAGGTTTAACTATATTGGAGTGTAAATAAGATTTTTGTTGTCTTTTTTTTTTTTTTTTTTTTGAGACGGAGTCTCAGTCTGTCGCCCAGGCTGGAGTGCAGTGGTGCGGTCTCGACTCACTGCAAGCTCCGTCTCCTGGGTTCACGCCATTCTCCTGCCTCAGCCTCCTGAGTAGCTGGGACTACGTGCCCGGCTAATTTTTGTATTTTTTTTTTTTTTCTTTTAGTAGAGATGGGGTTTCACTGTGTTAGCCAGGATGGTCTCGATCTCCTGACCTCGTGATCCACCCGCCTTGGCCTCCCAAAGTGCTAGGATTACAGGCGTGAGCCACCACGCCTGGCTAATTTTTTGTATGTTTTAGTAGAGACGGGGTTTCACCGTGTTAGCCAGGATGGTCTTGATCTCTTGACCTCGTGATCCACCTGCCTTGGCCTCCCAAAGTGCTGGGATTACAGGTGTGAACCACTGCACCCGGCCTTGTTGTCATCTTTTAAGATGTTTTGAATCTTAATGTCTAAGGTGCCAAATGTAATCAGAAGAGGTAGCACAAACAATCCTTTCTGCTACGTTGCTTGCAATTGGGATAGAGAATAGCTATAAAAAAATGAATTTAGGGAATTACTTGAATCTGCCCTTTTTACTCCCCACTAATAGGTTAAATAAGATCTTCTCAAACCTTAGCTTCCACTCCTTGTTAAATACAGATTTAATTCTCATTCTTTTGATGACTTTTTAAATGGGCGCTAGCTGTGTCTTTTGGCTGCTTTGAAGGTTTTATTTGTCTGCAATGAAATATGAAACAATAAAACTTTTTTCTTTTGTGGAATCAAATTAATTTCTTAGAGTTGTAGATTTATCAGAGACATTCTTTACATAAAACCTAGTTTGCACTGCCTTAGAACTACCAGTTATTTATAGTGTAAATATGTGCCAGAAATTGAACAGGGATGGGAAGGGAGTCTAAAATGTTAAGTTAACATAATTTAGAGTCGTAACTGACTTAAGGCTTCCAAATTCCTGATAGAATTTAGTATTTTACAATGAGGTGTAATTTAGATTGATAATTGCAAAATTTTTAAATAAAGGTTTTATTAGATTATAATCTAAAATAATCAGACCTGTCCCCTGACAAATTATAGGACAGTAAGTGGAAGTAGGGTACAATAAGTGAAAAGCCCAGGAAATATAACTGGAAGTATATTTTGTTAATGTGAGGAAATTTTGGATATTTGATATGACTAGTTATAAGATTTGGAATTTCACTTTGGCAAATAGTGACACCTTACTGATGTTCCTTGGGTTAGGAAAAAAAAATGTTATTTATCTTTGTAAAAAATGCCTTTTGGTGTTGAGTGTTTCCTTTTTCTTTAAAAGATAGGAATTTAACCACGGTTACTTATTAAACAAATAAGGCATTTCAGGAGCAAAGTGGCTTGAATTATCTGTTGAATAGTTTATATTACAAAGAGAAAATAATTATCATTTTTCTGGTACCTTTTTTTTTTTTTTAACTTACCAAAAAGGAAGTCATTACATCCAAATTGCTAGGATCTTTTGACAAAATTAGCAGTGTATTTTCTTTGGTCCTTATTCCCCCTACCCCTATACTTAGAAAAAGAACTTACTGATTGTAACTAATAGGAGGTCTAACTACAATTTTGTGCACTTGGAAAATGGTTTAGAAAATTTTGGTAAGCATTAAGTGCTTCTTTGGCGGGAATGAGAAAGGATTATGTTATGAGTCAGGCTACCGATGATGAATAGAACAATGGTACCAGGCTTGGTAAATGAGAATACTTTAAGAAAAGCAAGGTCAGTAAGAAGCTGTGGAGCGTGAGCACTGTCTGTGTGTATCCTTTTTCTTTTTAGAGGCCTAGAGGATTTTGAAAATGGTACTGATGCCTTTTATGCCTGGATTCTAAATATAGACCATAATTCTTCAGTTTTTTAAAAAAAATTCAAGACTTGACAGAATAATTGGCATTTAGAATTTTTATAAATTTTATCAAGTGAATCAAATTGACAGTGTTATTAATATTGTTACAGGTAACTTAGCTGTTAAGTTTAAAAAGCCAAATATCATGCAGGTTATTCCTTTATTGAACTATGTTAAATCAAGATACTCCTAGAAGTAATCTTTAAAAGTGGGTACATAGGAAGATAAAGAATATGGCTATGTTAACCTACGATTGTTATTAGAATGAGAAAATTATATGCCCATCTGCAGAATCAGATATTTTGTAAAACATATTACATTTTTTATGTTTTCAATATTACGCCCAAATATTTTGAAAAGGATCTTTCTCTTAACTACTGTTAACTTTACCCATTATTTATTATTAAGTAGTCCTATTAATATAGTCATATCAGACAAGTGATATTAATGTGTGCAACCATCTGCGTGCAGCCGTAGTCTTTTTTTTTTCAATAGACTTTACTTTTTAGTAGTTTTAGGTTCACAGCAAAATTGAGCCATAGTCCTTTTTAATAGTAATCAGACATCATGATAGTGTTTGTTAAGGAATCTATTTCTGCTTTCAATTGCAGTGTATATAGAAAATGTATTTTGCAGTCTCATTTTTTTATAATTGTTCTTTCAAAGTATTACCATTTCTACTGAATATAATATGTACAGTTTCATTATGAAGGAATTTACTAAGTAATTAACTGAAGTGAAACATAAAAAAAAATGGGTTTTACTGATGCTCTAAAAGAGAGAAGGCATTTTTTGAAATCTTTTTCATGTCGTGGGAATAGGAGTGTCAATGTGTGTCTTGTGATTTGTTATTCTGTTTTTACTGCTTTAGGATTGAAAACTTTTACTTAATGTATTTCACATTTTGGTGGCTTCAAACAGGATGAGAATTTTTTAGGTCTATTTTGAAAAAGCTGTGACACAAATGTGGGACATATACACATGCCAAAAATGTGTATAAATTGTTGAAGCTTCAAGGAGACATTAGTTTTTATAGACAACATTTATATTCTTGTCTTCATTGTTATTTAAAGTAGCTTCTATGCTAATTAATGCATCAATTACTACTGAACATGACTTGCTTATAAATTCAAAAGTATTTGTATAATATTAACATTCACTTTTGGGGAAAAGCGTAGAACCCTTCAGAATCAAATTTCTGATTTTAAAATCAAAATTTACCATGCCTCATTTTTCTCCACTGTTAAAACTGGCTAGGCTTTGAACTGGCACTTCTTATTCTTGGGAGGAAGGGTAGAGATTGTCTTAGGTTGGGCTGCAATGAAAGAATCCAAGACCACAAAGCTTGCATTTTAAATTTCAATAAAATTATTTGCTTCATGTCAGCATTAAGAAGACTTAAAATTTTGGTATATTTTGCACTTTCAGAAAGTTATCTTAAGAGTTAATGTAATGGAACTGCATATTGATATTTAAATTAAGAAAAAATTCTTACTGTTTGCATTTTGTTTTTTTCTTTTCTTTCCTTTTTTTTTGCTTCCTACTGAAGTGTTTACATTTTAATATATTGTCAACTAGGGCCTAAATGATACTATTTAATTGAATGGCTTTGGTATGTGTTAGTGATATTCTAAGAATATATTTAGTGTTTTTGGTGGGAGTATGTGATAGATTTTTAAAACTTTGTTATGGAAAACCTCAAACATTTACAAAGTAGATAGAATCACGTAATGAACCCTAATCTCTTGTCCTCACTCATTTAATGTCATGTCTAGTCTGTTTTATCTTACTTGTTTTTTATTTTTGGGACAGAGTCTCGCCCTAGTCTCCTAGGCTGGAGTGCAGTGGCGCAATCTTGGCTCACTGCAACCTCCACCTACCAGGTTCCAGCAATTCTCCTGCCTCAGCCTCCCAAGTAGCTGGGATTACAGGCGCCCACTACCACACACAGCTAATTTTTGTATTTTTATTAGAGACGGGGTTTCACCATGTTGGCCAGGCTCGACTCGAACTCCTGTCCTCCCTCAGGTGATCCACCCGCCTCGGCCTCCGAAAGTGCTGGGATTACATGCGTGAGCCACCACGCCCAGCTAGTCTGTTTTATTTTATACTATTCCATATTACTTTTCTCCCCACTTCTCCAATGATCATGAAGGGAATCCCAGACATCATATAATTTCATTGATAAATATTTCAATGTGTAACTCTAAAAGAGAATACAAGTTATTTGTATTCCCTGCGAGTACTAGCTTTGTTGTGGGGAGGAAGTTCATGAGTGCTTGGAAACAGTCCTGTCATTGTATTTTATTGTAGTTAATTTGCATTTAGAAAGATCAAGAGTGTGTATTATTTGGGTATTATTAACAGTAAATCTCAAAGGATTTGAAATGTTGAATCTGTAAATAACAACAATGAAAACATTATGAATTACCGTCATGTATATGCATGAAGTTATGTGACGGTCCTCATTTCAGAGGTATACTACAATTTGCTTTGTCATTTGTTTCTATCCCCCTCTATAATATGTTTATTTAAATGCTGATCATATAGCATTTAGTTTCAGGTGATATTCTATATTCCTCTATGTGTGTCATAAAAAGAAAGAGAAAGGTGAGAGAGAAGGGAGAAAGGGAGAGAGAAGGAAGGAAGGAAAGGGATATGGGACTGAGAAAAGAGAAAGATCAGAACATGGTAAAGACCACAGATGAGATGCCAAATTGTGGAGCTAAAACCTCACCTTCTTCTCATTCTCACTCACCTGACCTCTCTCTTGGTCTTTCCTCTCCCCTGGTCTTTCCTCTCCCCTTTTGTTGGTCTCCTCATTGGTTTATATCTTCTTCTCTTGGCATTTACTGAACTTTGCCTGTCAAATTTAGGTCAGGAAGATTGCTGATTTTTCTCCTTAAAAGATGTTTTTATTATGTAGGAGTTGTGAGATAAAATTTAAACAAAATATTTTAGGACTGATTTGTTGTGCTTTATGTGCTTTTATATAGATTTTTAAGAATATTTATTGAAAGGAATTCAAATAGGTGCCTCCTATGGACTAGGCTGAACCTTTCTATTCTCTGGATGAATTTTATGGACACATTAATTTTCTATAATCTTTGGGTTCACTTTAAGTGGATTTACTGGAAAATTGTATAATAATTTTTTCTTTTTCTCTGTGTTCCTTTTTGCCGTCTGTTTACTGGATGAAATGGATTCTGTTCAAATTTGACTGCAGTTCACAAGATTCCTTTGCAGTTCACCCTTGGAGGTAAGAGTTACTCACTGACCTTAATATTAGAATTGGTAATTGAACACCATTGTTGATATCTTTCATTAGGCATTTATTTGATAATTTAGGAGTGCTCATTTTGGTGGGACACATATATTCTTCAATAACAGTAATGGAGTGAGTTACTGCAGGCTTTTTTTTTGGATAAAAGTTTCTAGAAGTTATATCAATAGCAATTCACTTTCATGACAGGTTATTGCCTCTTTTTAAGTATATTTTCTTTCTGAATAAGTAGAGAGAAATCAGTCCTTCATTTTAAAGAGGCTTGTTGTATCTTCATTACTCCTGTAACTGTTTATTTAACAGCAGCCTTATGTTCTGTAAATTGCCATGGTATTAAAAGAGAGCTGGAAAAATCAGAGGCAAAGGCTGTCTTCAAGGAAGTTTCAGTTAGAGAGACCACTTTAAAATCCATGAGTTGACAAGAGAAGAGCAAAGTTATTGAGGTGCTGTTATAGCAAGGCAATATTCTGGGTTCTTCATTCACTTTTTCATTTAATCCTCATCATGGTTTTCAATGTAGAACTGAGAATCCAGTGATAAAATTGTGAGATAAAGAAAAACTATTAGATGTTTAGAGAACTAGATATCGTTATGAGCTGCATTTGCAGAAAAACTTGTAGATGATCATCAAGACTTGGAAAAGGAAGTAGAGAAAGGGTGGAAGCAGAGTTATGTGAAGAAGTGGTGGGACTTAGAACCGAAACCGGGTAAGACCTTGCCTTCACTTACTAGCTATATGACATTGGGTAAATCACAACTGCCCTGAGCCTCATTTTTGTTATCTTTTAGATGCAAATAATAATTCCTACCTCTCAAATAAGTGATGGAAATGGGAGCAGTTATAAACTGTGCTAGTCACATCATGGCACTATTTTGTGTTCTCCTCTTAGGCTTCAGCTCCACGTGATGAGACTCTGTTCCTTGCCTTGCACTTGTCCTTCCCTTTGTGCCTATTGTTTATTTCATTTTATGCTTTCCCAACTTCTTCAAATCATATTCGTCTTCAGGGTTGAGCCTCAATACTGTGTCCTTCCTGAGACCATTTCTGCTTTTATAACATTTTGTTTATTTGATTATTGAAACTATTATTGCTGATAATGTGGTGTGGCCTACACTGGCGCATTGAAAACGTGTGGTAGCCAGCCTGAGTGGTCACCAGGAGAAATGGACCAGACCAGAGAGGGTAGTCCCATCCAGGTTTGGTCACATTGTCTGAGTATCCAGGATCAACGGGGAAGCAGAGTGGTATAGTGGAAAGAGTCTAGGCTTTGAAATGAGAGAGGCCTGAGTAGCCCACGGGCAAGTCATTGACTCTTGAGCCCTTTTCCCTGATCTAAAAATGGAGATAATAATACTTACAGGGATATTAAAATTAAATGAGATGATCTGTGGCAAACACTGAGCACAGCGTCTGGCAGATAGAATTTTAATTAAGAGTTAGGTGTGAAGTGAAAACCAAACCATAAAAAAGTTGAAGACAATATAAGTTTTATAGCCCACTCTATAGTTATGGAAGCACTTTCTAACTTCAAAAGCAATGGAAAGTATCAAAAAACAAAGAGTGAAAAAATTAATTTGAGTATGTAAAGATCCATAATTTTGTACATGAAAACAAATATAGCTAAAAGGTAACTTGGATAAAGTATGATGAAAGGGTTATACTTAATGTAATGATCTTCTAGAAGCAATTAATATGAATTTCTTTTTCATAAAATGTGGTTGGATTTTTATCAGGTAATTGATAAGATAAAATACAAATGGTAATAAATGTGTTTTAAATGTTTACTCCTATTAGTAATAAAAGAAATGCAGTTTAAAATGACAGTGATCTATAATTTTTTTTTAACCTATCAAGATATCTTATTTTTTAAGTGAATGCTTGACAAGATATAATGAGATGGGATGTTTATAAACTTCATCCTTTCTAGGAAGCAGTTTGGTCACATACACTAAAGGCTTTATATACATTCATACCTGTGGTTGAGTAATTGTAGTTCAATAATCACTGTCAGAGAGTTCATCAAAGATGCGGACAAAACTTACATAAAAATGAATGGTAAAAAATTGTAAACAATCTAAATGTACAACAGGAACACGTCAAATAAATTATGACACAGCCATATGATAGAACACCCTACAACCATTAAAATGGAGAATATGTGTTCGGAGTATATATTGATGAATAACACATATAAAATACATTTGATATATTGAGAGGTAAAAGCACGATGCAAAATTATACATGCAGATCTCAGTTTAAACACAATTTAAGTGCACAGAAAAGTAGAAAGGAGATGCACAAAATGTTAACAACTACAAAGTGTTGTTTTATCCTTTACTCTTCCAGTAAAGGGCCCACAGTGGGTAGAGGTGCATTGGTAGCTTTTTGGTAATGCTTCTTATAATCAGTGTTTGACAGGTGTACAACGGGAGTCTCTTTGATTTGATGTGGAAACGGCATCTAACCTTGGGAAAAAGGGGCTGGCAGGAACTTAGATGAGATAATGTTGATAATGTATAATGCTTTGCTCTCATTTTAGCAAAAGATTAGAGGAATGAACAGGAATAAGGGTTTTTAGCAGAAGGCAATTAGGCTGGGTTGGCTTTCCTGTACAGGGACCAAATAAGGAGGCTTGAGCTTGACGTCCACTTTACTGGGGCAAGTAGCAATTTAAGGCTACTACTCACCGATGGCAAAGATGCTTCTTAATAAATCTTAACAGTTGACGTCTCTCAAATGTAAGCTCATTGAGAGAGGACCCTGTTTTTCTTGTTTTATTGCTTTCCCATTCTTAGTATAGGTAGAATATAGTAGGCACTGAGTCAATAAATATTTGTTCAATGAATGAATGAACAAATGAATGAATGAATTTGGTGGGGCTAAGACTGAGAGTAGCAGTCTTTCATCCATAATTTGGTAGGACTCAGCTAAAAGTAGACAAGTTCCAATATTTACATTTTAATGTAGTTAACAGTCTGTCTTCCCAGTTAGACTGTACCTACTTAAGATTGAGAGCTTTGTCCTTTGTAATCTTCGGATGCTCTCAGTTATAGATAGGTCTTGGAGTGTACCTAGAGTACACTAGCTGCAGCTAGAGTATATAGAATATACAAATTTTTTTTTTTTTTTTTTTTGAGACAGAGTCTTACTCTGTCACCCAGGCTGGAGTGCAGATAGCACTATCTCAGCATACTGCAGCCTCTGCCTTCCATTTGAAGCAATTCTCCTGCCTTAGCCCCCCAAGTAGCTGGGATTACAGGTGCCTGCCACCATGCCTGGCTAATTTTTATATTTTTAGTAAAGACAGGTTTCACCATGTTGGCCAGGCTGGTCTCGAACTCCTGACCTCAAGTGATCCACCCGCCTGGTCCTCCCAAAGTGCTAGAATTACAGGTGTGAGCCACTGCGCCCGGCCACAAATATATACTTTTAAATTACATATTACTACTCTGGTTAAGTATTGGGAATATATGTGTGGAAGTTTCACTCTTTGGTGAAAAGTAGTATCCAAAGTTTAATGATAATTTCTGTCTGTTTCTGTCTGCTTTCATCATTTAATGATCTGGAGTGGTATTTACCTTGGTTAATTATCTTTTTTATTACTGGGTTTATGACATTGGAGAGGAAGAGAAATCAAAATTAAAGATGACCAATGTAAGTCTCCTTTCTTGATGGGAAATATTTTGAGGGCTTTCTGTTGATATTTTTCTAGTTTGCAATTCCACAGGGGCCACTTGAGGACTTAAGTTAGTGGCAGCTACCCCTAAGTCTCCACCAGCAGCACTAAGCAGGGGCTGCTGTTCCTTTGCCACCACATAGCTCCTGACAGCCAAACCAAAGGCAAGGCAGGAGAGTGCTGGGAATCTCTGAATGTTTAATTTTGCCATTAAGCTTATGACTTAGCTGGAGAAGGAAAATTACAAATATGGTCTATACCCAGCACCTTCTTTAATTTTGAATAAAAGTCAAATTATTCTGGCAGAGACAGTAAAATACATGAGAGTTGCAGTTGAAAACAAAGCCGACTTTAAACTTCACTTTCTCCACAATGACTACTATGAGTGAACCATGTCCCTTTGTTGTAAGTCCTAAACAGTTAACTGCCACATGAATCTAATGAAATTGTCAGGTTATAGTAATTACATCAGTAATTTGATATGTTGTCATTTGAATGGACCATGTGTGGAGAGTCAGTTACTTCCCTCTGTGGGGCTGACCCTTTTACATTCCTGTAAGCTGAAGACTAATAGAGCTCATTAAGCTTTATGGGAAAAGAGCTTTTATCACCTCGTCAAGTCAGGCAACATATTTCCATTAGATCCCTAATTTCGGGTGGCTCTGTAGCTGCTGATATGTACTCCCCTGCTAGGCTTACACCGGACCCCGGCCTTACAGACATTTTTATTGACATTTCTAAGTCTGAATTACATTTTGTGTGGCACCACTTACAGATGTCTTCAATTAAATGTGGGTAAATAAAAGGGATTATATATCAGAGCCCGAAAGATTCTTGAATTTCTCATCTGAGTCAAACTTTGCCAGCTAGTCCAGTAGGGCACAGTCTCATTGTCACTTTTGTAGGTAGAGAGCTATAGGAGAGGCATTTATAACAAAAGTTAAACCAGGTGTGAATGTAGGTCACCTAGGTTTCTCTTCAGGTGTGTCCTTCTGTTCCTTCATTTCAAAATTTTCTGTATTAATAGGATAATAACTTACTGATAAGTTAGCACCTCTGGTGTACAGGTACTGTGCTTTCCACTTCCCTTATTTTAATTCTTACAGAATGTCAATGAGGTAGATATTCCCAGTTTTCTTATGAAGAAAATTGAACCCAGAGAGGTAGATTAGGTAGGTGCTCAATATCACAGCTACTAGTATGTGACAATAATCACAAGATAGGAAGGAAATAGAATGTGGTTAAGATTCTAACATTACATGAAGTGATATGATAGTATTTGAAAGAAGACCGTGATTAGTTAGGGAGTATTTAGTAAGCCCCAGAGCAGGGTTTCTCAACCTTGGTACTATCAGCATGGTGGGCTGGATAATTCTTTGTTGTGAGGAGCTGTCCTGCACATTATGGGAAGCTTAGCATCTCTGGCTTCTGCTCACTAGATGCTAGTAGGACTCACCCCTCTGAGTTGCAACAAAATGTCTCCAGACTTTGCCAAATGTCCCTAGGGGGACAAAATAGCTTCCTGTTGAAAACCACATCCCTAAAAAAGCCTTAAAAAAAAATACAAAGAGGTATCGTTAATAAGCCAATTTAATGATAAAATGTTTCAGTCCAACAAAAGACGAGAAAAAGTGAACAAAAAACATGTGGGACAAATAGAACAAATAGCAAGATGGCCCACTTAAATTCAACCCTACTGATTATGATGGTACTAAATATAAATGGTCTAAGTGAAAACTCTGCTTCATGGTAATTTCTGTTTCTGAACGTCTGCACGTTCAACACTAGCCAATGGTCATACATCAGGGGTCCCCAGTTCCCAGACTGGGACCAGTACTGCTCTGTGGCCTGTTAGGAACTGGGACACTCAGCAGGTGAGCAGCGAGTGAGCGAGCATTGCTGCCTGAGCTCCACTTCCTGTCAGATGTGCTGTGGTATTAGATTCTCATAGGAGCATGAACCCCATTGTGAACTGCCCATGTGAGGGAGCTGGGTTGTGAGCTGCTTATGAGAATCTAATGCCTGATGATCTGACTTGGAACAGTTTCATCCCTATACCTTCCCCTTCTCCCCTCTGACCCTTGTCTGTAGAAAAATTGTCTTCCACGAAACCAGTCCCTGGTGCCAAAAAGGTTGGGGACTGCTGTCATACATTAGCTAATGAGCTCTTTGGGAACTGAATTTTAAATTTTTTAAATTTTAGTTAACTTAAGGCTAAGTGGCCACATGTGGCTAGTGACTATACTATTAGGGCAGATTGGAACATTCCAATTAAAAGTCAGAGATTGTCAGGCTAGATAAAAGGAAAAAATCAACATCCATCTTAAATACAGAGACATGGATAGGTTAAAAGTAAAAGGCTAGAGTAAAACACTACTATACGAATACTTATCCTAGGAAAGTTGGCTTATGCCTGTAATCCTAGCAACTCAGGAGGCTGAGGCAGGAGGATCAGTTGAACCCAGGAGTTTGAAACCAGCCAGGGCAACATAATGAGAACCCCCATTTCTAAAAGAAAAATAAAAAAATTATCTGGGCGTAGTGGCGTGTGCCTGTAGTCCCAGCTGTGAGAGAGACTGAGGTGGGAAGATCATTTCAGCCTTGAAGTTTGAGGCTGCAGTGAGCTATGATTGCACCACTGCAGTTCAGCCTGGGCAACAGAGTAATACCACATCTCTAAAAATAAAAATGAAAAAAAAACTTAAGAATTTTAAGTCAGAGTGGCTGTATTCTTATCAAAGTAGACTTCAGGGCGGCTGGGCGCTGTGGCTCACGCCTGTAATCCCAGCACTTTTGGAGGTCGAGGCAGGTGGATCACAAGGTCAGGAGTTCAAGACCAGCCTGGCCAATATGGTGAAACCCTGTCTCTACTAAAAATACAAAAATTAGCCGGTGTGGTGGCGGGCGCCTGTAATCCCAGCTACTCGGGAGGCTGAGGCAGGAGAATCGCTTGAACCCGGGAGGCGGAGGTTGCAGTGAGCCAAGATCGTGCCACTGCACTCCAGCCTGGGTGACAGAAAGAGACTGTCTCAAAAAAAAAAAAAAAAAAAAAGTAGACTTCAGGGCAAAGTTGGAAGAAAGAGTGACATTTCATAACAATAAAAAGGTCAGTTCATCAAATGAATATGCAGTAATTTGAAATGCGATCCACTTAATAGAGCCTCAAGATAACATGAAATAAAAACTAATAGAACTGAAGGGAGAAATGTAGTAGTTGGGGACTTCAGGACAACTTTCTCAGTAATTGATAGAACATTTAGACAGGAAATTAGAAGTAAAATAGGAAGCATGAACAACACTACCACACAGTATGCTCAAGAGTAGCAGTGCATGGGGTGTTGGCTAGCTATATGTATACCCCCCTTTAATTGCATGCAAATTAAAGGGTGGGTTATTCAGAAATCTCTAGAAAGGGGGCAGTAACTTCCGGGTGTTGCCATGGTCTTTGTAAACTGTCATGGCACTGGTAGGAGTGTCTTATGCCAATGAACAGCAAGGGCAACTAGAGGTCACTTTTGATGCCATCTGCTGGTTCCTGCTGGTTTTTTCATTTCATTCTGTTGGGACCGGCAAATAAGTCCTACAGGTTTCCTACCTCAGTAGTATTCATTTGGCTGTTAGGAAGAAAAGAGGCCTGGCGCGTTAGCTCATGCTTGTAATCTCAGCACTTTGGGAGGTTGAGACAGGTAGATCACTTGAGCTCAGGAGTTTGAGACCAGCCTGGGCAACATGGCAAAACCACGTCTCTACAAAAAAAAAAAAAAAAAAAAAATTAAAAAAATTAATCAGTTGTGGTAATGTGTGCCTGTAGTCCCAGCAATTCTGGAGGCTGAGGTAGGAGGATCACCTGAGCCCAGGAGTTCAAGGCTGCAGTAAGCCTTGATCACAACACTGCACTCCAAAGAAAGAAAAGAAAGAACCATAGGAACCTAACCATCTCTTGAGTCTGTCAACGTAAGAAGTATCATTGCTTGGAGTAGCTGTAGATATCAAGGTCTCTCCAATGGCTAGAATTCAGAAGGAATGGCTGTTACTCAAAACTGGGTCCTGTACGGAGCTTGCAGAGTCAGCAGTAAAGGGATGAGGTGGTCGGAAGGTTGAGTCGTTAAGCTGAGGAAGGGAGTTAATTTTACTGAACGAAGAGAACACCGAAAATCAAATATCCAGAAAGCTGGCCCAAATTCGAGAGCAGTGGAGATAAGGCTAGGAAGAGGGCTGAGCTGGTGAATTGGGGGAAGCTTTTACCTGCTCTCTGTTCTAAGGCCTGGGAGGCTCAGCTGTGTTTAAAGAGCCAGGCCCCGGGAACAGAGAGGTAACTACTCGGGGGACTAGACATCTTCAGAGAATAATTGGCACTCTGCTCTTGGTACTGAATTGAATCAGAAGCAGAAAGCTAGGCTGTGGCTTGATCATTTGGGCAAAAGCAGAAAATAGGAGTACATTGTTGTTGTTAACCCTAGTCATGAGGGCTTACGGTACTTCAGTTAGTTTTTGGATGTGACCTGATAATTGAGTCAGTGTAAGTTGCAGCCATATATCTCTTTTTTTTTTTTTTATTATACTTTAAGTTTTAGGGTACATGTGCACAATGTGCAGGTTAGTTACGTATGTATACATGTGCCATGCTGGTGCGCTGCACCCACTAACTCGTCATCTAGCATTAGGTATATCTCCCAATGCTATCCCTCCCCCCTCCCCCCTCCCGCCACCCCACAACAGTCCCCAGAGTGTGATGTTCCCCTTCCTGTGTCCATGTGTTCTCATTGTTCAATTCCCACCTATGAGTGAGAATATGCGGTGTTTGGTTTTTTGTTCTTGCGATAGTTTACTGAGAATGATGATTTCCGATTTCATCCATGTCCCTACAAAGGACATGAACTCATCATTTTTTATTGCAGCCATATATCTCATGATATCAACTGGAAGTCTTTTCCTAGAAACCAGTCCCATATGATAAATATACCAAAGTTGATTTCTGAGAATAAAGTACATTTAGAATAAAAAACTAAACATTAAATAAAAAATGCCAGGAGTTTCCTGGCTGAAGATTTTCCTGCTTGGGGCTTGGATTAGTATAGGCATCTTAAAATCCAAGTCATTTAAGACATCTTTTGGCTGGGTCAGTCTTCCTTTAGCGAGTAGTGGTGTTGCTGCAAGCACCTTTCAGTTGTGTTGAAAATTAGGGTCATCTGCCTTGACAATTTTCATTGCCCATTAGATGTGCATGAATGCTTCAGAAAATGTTTGAATAGAAAATCCTGGGGTGGATTAGTTTCCATGGGGACATCAGTCTTGTTTGATGTTGGCAGTCATTGAGTTCTCAGTCTGGGTTGTCACTGTGGGATGTATTTTTCCCTCATAAGAAATATTGTAAAAGCAGGAATCTCAAATTGAACTGACGACGTTAAGTAAGGGCTCACATAAGCATAGTTACTCTGGATTCTAAGGTGTTTACTAGAGTGCTTAATAAACACTGACCTGTAGAATTGAGAAGTTCGGGATTCTGTTACTTAGCCTTTTTGACAGTGCCTCACTAAAAGTCTTTTTGTTGGAGAATTAGGATTTAAAATAAAAGGAAATGTCAAAGTAAAGAAAATAACTTAAATAACAACGTCCTGATATTTATCTATTTGTTCTGCAGTAAAAATGCAGAAGTAAATTTCTTATTTCTGTCCAACTTATTAAAAACATTTACTGTACTTCCTTTCTCAATTACATAAGCTTGGTAAAGTTTCTTTAAAATTTTTATTTCAGTGCTTCTAGTATTAAGTTGTGAATGTTGGGGTAAACCTTTTTGCTTTCATGGAAACATTTAAATTCCAAAGAATTATGTCATTGACAAATACATTTCTTTGTTCATCCTTTGGTTTAGTAAGTAGTAAGTGGCTAAAATCTCTTACCTCTTGTGTTGACTAGAGCACGTTGATACAGTGTGATTGTGTGTTGGCATGGTGGACTGCAGAAGCAGTGTCCAGCAAGACAGACACTAAACTGAGAGTTGGGAATTTCAGGCTTTGGTCTTTCTTAGCATTCCCCTAAATTGGCTTTGTGGCCTTGAGCAAGCCCCTTAGTCACCCTGACCCTTCCTTTTCTCACTTACAGAGTAAGAGTATTCCAGATAAAGAGGTCCCTCAAAACTAAGTGAACTTAGCCAACATGTCAACACGTATTATAGCGTTTTCTCATTCTTAGATATTATGACCAAAGCCAATAAAAATTCACTTCCCCAACCTACTATACTTTCTCAAGTTTTGTGTCCACTATGCTGTTTTATGTTCTGTAACAAGCTGCCACTTTGGAATAATCCTACTCACATTTTCCTTAAAAAGCAAGTCTTTTTTATAAAAATTATTTTATATTTTGTGAGATGGAGCCTCACTGTGTCGCCCAGTCTGCAGTGCAGTGGCACGATCTTGCTCGCTGCAACCTCCGCCTCCCAGGTTCAAGCGATTCTCCTGCCTCAGCCTTCCGAATAGCTGGGATTACAGGCACCTGCCACCATGCCTGGCTAATTTTTGTATTTTTAGTAGAGACAGGGTTTCACCATGTGGGCCAGGTTGGTCTTGAACTCCCGACCTCAAGTGATCCACCCACCTTGGCCTCCCATAGTGTTGGGATTACAGGCATGAGTCACCATGCCTGGCCTAAAAATCAAGTCTTACACCATTACTCTGCTGACACAAATGTATGTCTCTTACTTTTGCCCTTAATATGGCCTGAACCATCATATTAATTACATCTCTTAATAAAATAATAACTTGTGGCTCACGCCTGTAATCCCAGCACTTTGGGAGGCCGAGGCGGGCCGATCACGAGGTCAGGAGATTGAGACCATCCCGGCTAAAACGGTGAAACCCCGTCTCTACTAAAAATACAAAAAATTAGCCGGGCGTAGTGGTGGGCGCCTGTAGTCCCAGCTACTTGGGAGGCTGAGGCAGGAGAATGGCGTGAACCCGGGAGGCGGAGCTTGCAGTGAGCCGAGATCCCGCCACTGCACTCCAGCCTGGGCGACAGACTGAGACTCCGTCTCAAAAAAAAAAAAAATAAAATAAAATAAAATAATAACTTTTCTTTCATAGGGAGAAATGGGAGATAGCTCATTGAGAAGTAACTGTTTTATATGAGCATTATAACAGACTGAGAAAGTATATAAATCACAAATTTCACAATTTTCTTGCATATCCTTTTTTTCTTTCTTTCTTTTTTTTGGAGACGGAGTTTTGCTCTTATTGCCTAGGCTGGAGTGCAATGGTGCGATCTCAGCTCACAGCATCCTCCACCTCCCAGGTTCAAGCTATTCTCCAGCCTCAGCCTCCTGAGTAGCTGGGATTACAGGCATGTGCCACCACGCCTGGCTAATTTTGTATTTTTAGTAGAGACAGGCTTTCTCCATGTTGGTCAGGCTGGTCTCGAACTCCCGACCTCAGATGATCTGCCCGCCTCGGCATCCCAAAGTGCTGGGATTACAGGCGTGAGCCACCGCGCCCGGCCCTTACATATCGCTTTTATACCTTCTTATATACATTTTAAAGTGGCAAAGATGAGCATGTTTGTTGACAGACCCCAAAGATGTAGCCATTCTGTAGTATATATATAATATATTAAAAAAATATAATATATAAAAATATATATATTATATATATATTATATGTATAAAATATATATATTATATATATATAATAAGGAAAAGTAGGTAAACTTTTAATTATGGTCATTGTTTTAGTGTTTGTTCCTAGTTAGAAACTATTCGGGTATCCAAAGATGATTTAAGTTGTTGATTTACATTAATTTACGTTTTAAAATTACCTAAGGATCTTCAAAGTTATGGTGAAGCCAACCCAAACCAAAACATATAAAAATGTTTGTCATTTGTTCAGCATCACGAGGGGAAATACAAATCAAAACCAAAATGAGATATCACTTCATACCTATTTGGTGGGTTATTATAAAAAAAAAATGGAAAACGGTAACTGTTGGCATGGTTGTAGAGAAATTGGAGCTCTTGTGCATTGCTGGTGGGAACATGAAATGGTACAGCTGCAGTGGAAAAATGTATAACAATTCCTCAAAACATTAAAAGTAGAATTACCATGTCATCTGGCAATTCCACTTGTGCATATATACACAAAAGAAAATAGGGACTTGAACAATATAGCAGTGTTCAGAGCAGCATCATTCACAGTAGCCAAAGGTAGAAGCAACCCAAGTATTCATCGGTGGATGAATGGATAAACAAAATGGTACATAGATATGAAGGAATATTATTCAGCCTTAAAAAGGAGGGAAATTCTCAATCACACATGGTGAATGAACCTTTACAATATTATGCTAAGTGCAATAAGCCAATTACAAAAGGACAAATATTATATGATCTACTTACATGAGGTACATACAGTAGTCAAGTGGCTACAGCTAGAAAGTGAAGTGATGGTTGCCAGGGGCAGCGGAGAGGAGAGAATGGAGAGTTAATTATTTAATGGGTACGTAGTTTCTGTCTTGGATGATCAAAAAAATTATGGATGGATTGTGTGGGTAGTTACATGATAATGTGAATGTACTTGATGATGCTAAACTGTACACTTACAAATTGTTAAAATGGGTATGTAGGTTGATTCTGTTTCTTTGCCGTTGTGAATAGAGCTATGATGAATGTATGAGTGCCTGTGTCTTTTTGACAGAATGATTTATTTTCCTTTAGGTATATGCCCAATAATGGGATTGCTGGGTCAAATACTATTTTTAGTTCTTTGAGAAATCTCTACACTGCTTTCCACAGTGGCTGAACTAGCCCATCAAAGGTGGAGTGGATAAAGAAAATGTAGTACATATACACCATGGAATACTATGCAGCCATAATAAAGAACAAAATGATGTCTCTTGCAGCAGCATGGATGCAGCTGGAGACCATTATCCTAAGCAAACCAACACAGAATCAGAAAACCACATGTTCTTGCTTTTAAGTGAGAGCTAAACCTTGGGTACACATGGACATAAAGATGGGAACAGTAGACAGTGGAGGCTATGATAAAAAGAAGGGAAGTGGGGCAAGGGTTGAAAAACTAACTGTTGGGTACTAGGCTTAACTACCTGGGTGTTGGGACCATTTGTATCCCAAACCTTAGTATCATACAACATACCCGTGTAACAAACCTGCATCTTTACTCTCTGAATCTAAAATAAAAGTTGAAATTTTTAAAAAACCCAAAGTGAAGTAAACAATAAAAATAAAAAAGTGGTTCAAACAAATTTTATGGATGTTTTACTATAAATAAAAAAGTTTAAACAATGTTTATCAGAATTATAATTCAATTTAGTTGAACACAAACTTAGATTTTTCAAAATCTTCAGCATTACAGAGGTATGATGTTAGCTTTTTTGATTAGTAAACCAATGAGCAGTTTTGGAAGTTCAGTTGAACTATTCTCTTTAGAAACCAACCCCTATATGACATCCTTCATTTTGTTACGCTTCGTTGCACTTCTCAGATACACCGTTTTTTACAAATTGAAGGTTTGTGGCAATCCTATGTTGAACAAGTCTTTTGGTGTCATTTTTCCAGCACCATTTTTTGGCACTGAAATATTTTTAAATCAACGTATATATATTGCATTTGGATGTGCTGTTGCACACTTAATAGACTACAGCATAGTGTAAACAATAGGAAAACCAAAACAGTTATGTGATTTGCCTTATTGTGATGTTCACTTTATTGCAGTGGTCTGGAACAAAACCCATAGTACCTGCAAGATGTCTATATTATTACTATTATCTTTTTGAGACAGATTCTGGCTCTTTCACCCAGGCTGGAGTGCCGTAGCATGATCTCGGCTCACTGCAGCCTCCTCCTCCTGGGTTCAAGCGATTCTCCTGCCTCAGCCTCCTGAGTAGCTGGTATTACAGGTGCCCACCACCACACCCAGCTAATTTTTGTATTTTTAGTAGAGACGGGATTTCTTCTTTTTGGCCAGGCTGGTCTCCAACTCCTGCCCTCAAGTGATCTGCTCACCTTGGCCTCCCAAAGTGCTGGGATTACAGGTGTAAGCCACTGCGCCCGGCCAGGTATGCCTGTATTATTTTTAAAAATCCACTCATGTATTATACTTAATACTAATAATTCTGAGAAAAGCGATAACTTTTTTCCCCTCAGACCAAACATTTTAAACTAGCCTTATTTATCCAAAGATTTACCTTGGTTATATATACCTGGATTCTTTTTTTTTTTTTTTTTGAGATATAGTTTTGCTCATGTTGCCCAGGTTGGAGTGCAATGGTGTGATCTCAGCTCACTGCAGTCTCCGCCTCCTGGGTTCAAGTGATTCTCCTGCCTCAGCCTCCCGAGTAGCTGGTATTACAGGTGCCCACCACCACACCTGGCTAATTTTTGTATTTTTAGTAGAGACCAGGGTTTCACCATGTTGGCCAGGCTGGTCTTGAACTCCTGACCTTAGGTGATCCTCCTACCTCAGCCTCTCAAAGTGCTGGGATTACAGGTGTGAGCCACCACACCTGGCCTATACTTGGATTCTTAAAAATGTTTCTGAGCTAGCAGTTTCTGTTAAGAGTTTCTTTAGTTTCTGTGAATTTGGAGAATATTTTAATTTATATACCTGCTTTCTTATCTCTGTAAATCAATTTTACAGAGCTCTTCTGTTTAAGAGCTGTAACATGTAATTTATTAATACCCTCTGGAGGTAGGAAAATATTTCACATACAATGAGAAATAACGGCTTTTTCGAATTATAGATGCAGAAACATGTAGAAGGCTTTTCGCTTCAGTTCTACAACTTTAGCTATAGATCACAAGTAAACACAGAAACTCATCGTTTCAGATCTCACAGGAGCTGTTTTCCTTAATTGATTAACTCACAAATATACAATTAGACAAACAAAAGGACTAACAAACCAGATTCTCTGTCATCTGTCATCCAACAGAGAATAGGTTTCTGTCATCCATCCAACAGAGACCATAAATGAAATCTACCTATTACTGTTGCAATCTTGCCAGTGCACCATGTTTCAGTCTTGTCATCTGAGGTAGTACATGGAATTATTTGTCTCATGACCAAGAAAATTAAGGAGTGTGGACACAGAGTGAGATTGGAGCAAAAGTTTAATAAGTGAAAGAAAAAAGCTGTCCACAGCAGAGAGGGGGCCTGGGAGAGGGTTGCCATTTTTACAGTTGAATACAAAAGCTTTTATAAGAATGCCCCCTCATCTCTGTAGCTGTTTGTGTAACTTCCCTTACGTGTGAAGCTGTCTGTGTAACTCCCCTTATCTGTGCAGCTGCGGGCATGTCTTTAGGCAAGCACAAAGTACAGCTTCTCTTGGTTGTGCAACTGTGGGTTTGTTTTGGGTAAGGTCCACCCTTCCCTGTGCAAGTTCCCGTGGAACCCACCGTGTACATGCCTGAAAAGGGGAGGAAACTTTTTCCTGGGAGCCCATGGGTTACACCAAGAACAAAGGCTTCTGTATTGGGCCTTGCTTTCTTACCTGTGCAGCTGCAGCCCGAGTTTTCGCCAGGCTGCTCTATTTGTGCCTGCAGCTTGATTTTTTAGGGTGTTTCTGTGTTTGAAGGAGTTTTACCAAAGACCCATCCTAACTGTCTGCCTGACCGTTTTTTTTCCTTTCTCATTACTACCATCCCTGGGGATAATATATGGGTCACGAGTGAATCAGAAACACAAAGGCACAAACTTAGTGGAGAAGCAGAAAAATACATAGAGAAACAGTGAGCAAAGTTAGAGCTTTATGGCTGCATGAGCATCTCTTTGGGAGCCAAGAAAAGTTGTGTTAGGCTTAACAGACTGTGAGGTGTGTTTCTCATTTACTTAGCTCCATCTAGTCTACTTGAGCTTCTCAGTGGATGACCTCCAGAACTGCTGACTATAATTTTTAAAAAGATAAAATTGTGACCTTCATGCAAATAGAGGACAAACACATGCCAAATATTGACTCAGTTAGTGCAAAACCAGTAAGGCATTAAAACTGGTACAAAGAACATTTAAGAATATGTGCAGATATTAAGATATATGCATGTGAATGAGATGAGATTGCTAGATTAGATAAAAACAACTGGTTATTGTCTTATATGGTGGTAAACCATGTAAGGGATTATTTGTTCCCCACCCCCAACAGAAATCTACAAGTTAACCTCTGCACCTGCAGAGTTGTAAAATAACCCAGTCAATAGAAAATCAAGCCTAGAGCTTCACTGAAAGAATACCCAGTGCTGTAGTCTGAATGTTGGTAGTCCCCCAAAATTTATATGTTAGAACCTAATACTCAGTGTCATAGTATTCTAAGAGGTGAGGCCTTTTGGAAAGTGATTATGTTATACATGCTCTGCCCTGAATAATGGGATTACGTGCCATTATAAAAGTGGTTGAAGGGAGCTACCTTCCCCTACCATCATGTGAGGAGACAGAAGCCACCATTTATGAGTAACAAACCCTCACCAGACACCAAATCTGTTGGTGCCTTGAATTTGTACTTCTCAGCCTCGAGAACTGTGCATAGTAAGTTTCTATTCTTTATAAAATGCCCAGTCTAAGGTATATTGTTATAGCAGCCTGGATAGACTAAGACACCCAATAATTACTCTTTTCAGATAATCTTTCTACCACCTATTTTTTTTTAACAATGATTTAAGTTGAGGATTCCTTATCTGTTCTATTTAATAATTACACATTAAGTATGCCATATCTGAAATGCCTGGAAGCAAAGTATTTCGGATTTTGGATTTTTTTCAGATTTTGAAATATTTTCATTATACTTACTGGTTGAGCATCCCAAGCCTGAAAATCTAAAATCTGAAATGCTCCAATATGCATTTCCTTTGAACATTATTTCTCAGTGCTCAAAAAGTTTCTGATTATGGAGCATTTTTGGGATGCCTGACCTGAACTAGTAATTCTTCAATTTAGTTTTTTTTTTTTTTTTTTTTGAGACAGAGTCTAACTTTGTTCCCCAGGCTGGATCAGTGGCATGATCTCTGCTCACTGCAAGCTCCACCTTCTGGGTTCACGCCATTCTCCTGCCTCAGCCTCCCGAGTAGGTGGGACTACAGGCGCCCGCCACCATGCCCGGCTAATTTTTTGTATTTTTAGTAGAGACGGGGTTTCACCGTGTTAGCCAGGATGGTCTCGACCTCCTGACCTCGTGATCGGCCCACCTCGGCCTCCCAAAGTGCTGGGCCACCGCACCCAGCCTCTTCAATTTAGTTTTTTAAAACTCTTTAGATTATAACATTAATGCATGTTTATTGAAAAATACAGAAAATAGAGGAAAAGAATTTAAAAATTACTCATAATCGCTCCATTGATAATACTAAATTTATTTTCCCCTGTCTTTAGTGTCTAATTGTCAGCCAGAAAATTAGGAATCTGTTGCACTTGATTTTTAAGTAACTTATCTAAAACTATGTGCCATTTTAACAGTGAGCATTACTAGTTGCATTTTCCAAATTTATTACTTTTTCATTTCTTAACTGTAGACTATTATTTCAAAATTTTAAATTTAGTTTTTGATGTTTTAGAGAAATGAAGCCACAGTGGCTTAGCACATCTTTGTGTTTCTATTATTTATTTATTTTTTTGAGACAGAGTCTTGCTGTGTTGCTCAGGCTGGAGTGCAGTGGTGCGATCTCAGCTCACTGCAACCTCTGCCTCCCGGGTTCAAGTGATTTTCCTGCCTCAGCCTCCCAAGTAGCTGGGATTACAGACACCTGCCACCATGTCCGGCTAATTTTTGTATTTTTAGTAGAGAAGGGGTTTCGCCATGTTGGCCAGGCTGGTCTCAAACTCCTGACCTCAAGTGAGCTGCCTGCCTCTGCCTCCCAAAGTGTGTGTTTCTATTTTTCAAACTTCGGTGAAGTGTTTCATGAAACTGTTAAAAAAAAATAAAAAAGCAAAACAGTTGCAGGAGTGAGTTATTTTAACACAATGCAGACTTTGTATCAGGTGCCTAAAAGGATTACCTTTGGGTGCCTCCATTAACTGTTATTTACTAAAAATTCGGGACATTAATTGTCTCATCATAGATTTTTGTATTGTACAGGTACAATGTGGGAGAGGTATTTTCAGCTGCTTTGGAAGAGAAGAGAACTCAGGTTCTGCTCTCTTAAAGCCCCTGAAGACTTTCAGTCTTCCTATCTTTGAACTTCGTAGTAAATCCCCTCAAATACTGGCCTGATGCCTGGCATATGACTCTCCAGTCTCCTGTTCTTTTGAGCCTTCACTGTGTTCTGGGCATAGCTAAGGTACATAGAAGCAGGTGGGTAAAGAGACAGGTCTACTTTATCACAGTAAATATGCACCCATTTTGGGAGCAGTTTGGCTGGAAGCCAGAACTAGCCTATTAATATTGATGACATTTCTACACAGTGCCTTTGGTATTATACCACATAGGTCATTAATCACAGAAGTCATTCCTTTCCTCCCCAACATTTAAGGTGGTTTTTCTTCTGTATAGGTAGAGGTGAAATTTATTATTATTTTTTCTTGTTATCAGCTAAATCCTTGAAATTGAGGAATTAGTTAATTAATTCTTTCAGATATCCAAAATATGCAAAACTGCAGACTGGTAAAGATAAATTACTAAATTTTGCTAGTCACATGACAGATTTATGTATGAGGAAATGAAAGATAACTGCTGTTTAAGTAACTTTGCTGTTAAGTTAGCTACTCATGTAATTTTGTAGACTCCATCTCAAAAAACAAAACAAAACAAAAACAAAAACTGACCTAGACTTTTTATAGTCTGCAAAGTGCTTTTATTTGTATATTGTTGTTTCTCACAACTAATGACAGTTGAGACTGACCGGTAGTATGATTCTTGTTTGAAAAATGCAGACATTGAAACTTTTATTTTTTATGTTTTTATTTTTTGAAACAGGGTCTTGCTCTGTTGCCCAAGCTGGAGTGCAGTGGCACGATCTCGCTTCACCGCAACCTCTGCCTCCCAGGCTCAAGTGATCCTCCCACCTCAGCATCCAGAGTAGCTGGGAGTACAGGCATGTGCCACCACACCTGGCTACTATTTTGTATTTTTAGTAGAGACAGGGTTTTGTCATGTTGCCAGGCTGGTCTCAAACTCCTGGACTCAAGCGATCTGCCCGCCGCAGCCTCCAAAGTGCAGAGATTACAGCTGTGAGCCACCACACCCTGCCTGGACACTGAAATTCTTTTTTTTTTTTTTTTTTTTTTTTTTTTTTTTTGAGATGGAGTCTCGCTTTGTGGCCCAGGCTGGAGTGCAGTGGTGCGACCTTGGCTCACTGCAAGCTCCACGTCCCAGGTTCACGCCATTCTCCTGCCTCAGCCTCCCAAGTAACTGGGACTCCAGCCTCCCGCCACCATGCCTGGCTAATTTTTTGTATTTTTAGTAGAAACGGGGTTTCACTGTGTTAGCCAGGATGGTGTCGATCTCCTGACCTCGTGATCCACCCACCTTGGCCTCCCAAAGTGCTGGGATTACAGGCGTGAGCCACTGCACCCGGCCTGAAACTCTTGAAAGAGGTTAAATTACTGTCTTACTTAGTTCAAATAGCCAGAAAAGTGTACAGTGGAGTTAGGGCTCAAATCCACATCTTTTGACTTTGAATCCTATAACCTGCTCAGTTTCTATTTGCCGCTTACAGTTGGCAGGCTCCTCTTCTACCTGTACTTCCAAAATAAATGGATATCAGTGATTCTCAAGAGTGTGGTCTGGTAATGCCAGGGGTCCCTGAGGCCCTTTCAGAGGGTCCTCAAGTTCAAAATTATTTCATGATACCAAGACATGATTACCTTTTTGACTAAGGTTTAAGGAAATACAATTCCACATATTGAAGTAGAATTCTCAAGGCAGTAAATAGAGAATGGTAAGTGAGTTAAGGAGGCTTCTCTAGGAATGGATGACTGAGCCTCCTGGAAAGCTAAGTTAAGGGACTGTTGTAAGACATAGCTCTTTTGGACCTAGTTGGGGTGGGGTGGTAGAGGAGAGTATAGAGAGTTGGAGGATACCCCTCCAGTGGGCTAAATAATTTGTATGTATGTATTGTTTAGTGTTGATTCTTTTTAAAAAACAGGTTCATTCTTGGTGTTTTCGAGCTTCTCTGTGTTAGGACATATAACGAAATGCTTATGTTGTTAATTGCTGCATGGAATACTCAATGCAACTGTGTGGATAGGTTGAGGTAATTAACCACTTCATTATTTGATAGTGAGTTAGTTTCTAGTTTTTCTCTATAACAACAATACTACGTGACCACTCTTATAGATAAATCTTTGTATTGATTCTTCAGTAAGGGCAAACCACTCTTATAGATAAATCTTTGTATTGATTCTTCAGTAAAGGCAAACTCCTAGCTGCAGGATGACCAGATGTGTTCATAAACAAACATCAGACATGTTTGTTAAATCAGTTTATGGTATTGGAGGGCAGGCACTGAATTTTTTTTTTTTTCCTGAATTTCTTAGCTAGGCGTGAGTGATCTGGGGGTTCTGGCTGCTCCAGCTGCAAGGAACACAAAGAGAATCAATATCTCAGGCTCACCTCCAACTCATTCTCCACAGCTGCCACGTACCTGTTGAAAAAAATTGTACTGATTGACTTACTAGCCAAATTGAGAAGAGCAGATCATTATTAACCAAGAGTGCTGAGTCGACCAGTTATCTTTTAGGAAAATGGCCTCTGACCTGCTTTTCTTGGATCATCTGTGAAGTGATGGGAGGCAGAGTAGATAGGTATATAGCTTATTGTTTCCTAAGTAATTATGAGGCAGCCCATATCTTACAGGAAGTGCTCTGCATTTGGGGAAGACCCCAGCTTCCACAGGAATTGAGAGATGGGAGTAATGTCTATGGTAGGACAAACTGGTTATGACTGGACTCAGAGGAGAACAAACCTATGAAGTAACTGAAGCAGGTTTTCAGATGGGAGGTCCAGGGATGAGAAACATGATGAAAATCAGAAACTGAGAAGGTAATTGTAGTTTGAACAAGTATTTCAAGCTGGTACAACAAGTAAGACTGATTTATATTTAGGGTTAACAGAATGCATTGTTTATTTAATAATGTGCTTATTGAGATTATACTTATATTCTTTTTTTTTTTTTTGAGATGGAGTTTTGATCCTGTCACCCAGGCTGGAGTGCAATGGGGTGATCGTGGCTCACTGTAATCTCCACCTCCTGGGATCAAGCAATTCTCGTGCCTCAGCCTCCTGAGTAGCTGGGATTACAGGTGTGTGCCACCATGCCTGGCTAATTTTTGTATTTTTAGTAGAGATGGAGTTTCACCACGTTGGCCAGGCTGGTCTTCAACTCCTGACCTCAGGTGATCTGCCCGCTTCGGCCTCCCAAAGTGCTGGGATTACAGGCATGAGCATACTTACGTTCTTAATAAATACTTTTTTTTTTAGAGGGAGTCTTGCTCTGTCACCCAGGCTGGAGTGCAGTGGCGTGATCCTGGTTCACTGCGACCACCGTCTCCTGGGTTTAAGCAGTTCTTCTACCTCAGCCTCCCAAGTAGCTGGGATTACAGGCGCCCATCACCATGCCCAGCTAATTTTTTCATTTTTAGTAGAGACAGGGTTTCACCAAGTTGGCCAGGCTGGTCTCGAACTCCTGACCTCAGGTGATCCGCCCGCCTTGGACTCCCAAAGTGCTGGGATTACAGGCATGAGCCACCGCACCTGGCCCTTTTTTTTTTTTTTTGAGTTTCACTCTTGTTGCCCAGGCTGGAGTGCAATGGTGTGATCTTGGCCCACTGCAGCCTCTGCATTCCGGGTTCAAGCGATTTTCCTGCATCAGCCTCCTGAATAGCTGGGATTACAGGCCCCCACCACCACACCTGGCTATTTTTTTGTATTTTTAGTAGAGACGGGGTTTTGCCATGTTGGCTAGGCTGGTCTCGAACTCCTTGCCTCAAATGATCGGCCTGCCTCTGCCTCCCAAAGTACTGGGATTACACGCATGAGCCACCACACCCAGCCGATAAATAAGTTTTTTAATGAATGAATGAATGAATGAATGAATGAATGAACGCACATTAGATTTAATGAGTCCTAGAATGATGTACTACATTGAAGTTATGGAAGAATTTAGACTTATTTCAGAGCTGCCTAATTAGCTTTTGACTTGTAGGTTTTCTGACATTTGACAGGCTTTCCACCTTAAATATCACAAACTGACAGCTTTTCTCAGTTTCCATGTCACCGCAGTGGCTGCTTTCATTCACGATTATTATTATTATTTTTTAGATGGAGTCTTGCTCTGTCGCCCAGGCCAGGGTTCAGTGATGTGATCTCAGCTCACTGCAACCTCCGCCTCCCAGGTTCAAGCGATTCTTTTGCCTCAGCCTCCCGAGTAGCTGGGATTACAGGCACGTGCCACCACACCTGGCTAATTTTTTGTAGTTTTAGTAGAGACGGGGTTTCACCGTGTTAGCCAGGATGGTCTCGATCTCCTGAGCTCATGATCTGCCCGCCTCGTCCTCCCAAAGTGCTGGGATTACAGGTGTGAGCCACCACGCCTGGCCTGTTCACGATTTTTTTTTTTTTTTTTTTTTTTTGAGACAGAGTCTCGCTCTGTCCCCAGGCTGGAGTGCAGTGGCGTGATCTCAGCTTACTGCAACCTCTGACTCCCTGGTTCAAGCAACTGTCCTCCCTCAGCCTCCTGAGTAGCTGGGATTACAGGCACATGCCACCACGCTAGGCTAATTTTTGTATTTTTAGTACAGACAGGGTTTCACTGTGTTGACCAGGATGATCTTGATCTCCTGAGCTCGTGATCTGCCCACCTTGGCCTCCAAAGTGCTGCAATTACAGGCATGAGCTACCGCGCCTGGCCTTTCACTATTATTATTATTATTACTATTTTTGAGACAGAGTCTCGCTCTGTTACCCAGGCTGGAGTGCAGTGGCGCGATCTCAGCTCACTGCAACCTCCGCCTCCCGGGTTCAAGCGATTCTCCTGCATCAGCCTCCTGAGTAACTGGGATTACAGGTACCCACCACCATGCCCAGCTAATTTTTTATATTTTTAGTAGCGACAGGGTTTCACTATGTTGGCCAGGCTGGTCTTGAACTCCTGACCTTGTGATCCACCCACCTCGGCCTCTCAAAGTGCTGGGATTACATGCGTGAGACACCGTGCCCAGCCGCATGATTATTTTTAAAGACAGGTAGTCTCATTCCTATCAGCCTTGAGGCTTACATTTTTAAAAGATGGTTTTCATAAAATTCACTAATATGTAGAAACTTGTTTATTTCTTGTTACATAGTTGAGCCTTCTGATTTCTGAGGTAGGTGGTTAGGCTTCCAGTTCAATAGCATGTTAGACAGAATATTGGTGTCCATTCACTGTTGTAGTTATAAGAGGTTAACATTTCTTCCAGTTTTCTTTTGGTTAGTGCTTCTTTTTGCTCACCTGCTTTACTCTTTGTATTGTATCTGTTTCTATGGAAATAAAGACTTTTTTTAAAGAGCCATGCTGTATATGACAGTGAATACTAAAACTGGTTTTTGACATAACTTATCATTCATGGAAATACTTTAAAGATGTATTTATTGCCCAGATAACATTTTATTTATTTATTTATTTATTTATTTATTTATTTATTTATTTAGGCAGGCTAGTCAAATGAAGCAGCGGGAATGGAGAAGGAACAAAGAAATCTGTACTGGTTGTTATCAGTTAGTCGTAAACACCACTGCCCTCAGACCAGCCCCAAACAGCATTTTAACACCACCAATGGAAGTTTGAGAAATTGCTGATACTGCTAGCACCTTAGTAAATCCTCTCTTGTGGTGGTTGTTAACCTTGATAATCTCCACAATTAATCCATTTTCCTCCTTTCATACAATACTCTTTGGAAGGGAGTTGTGTGCAGCCTGCACTTAAGTAGTAGGGAGTTATGCTCCCCTACCTTTAGGGCAGAATAGCTACATAAACTGTCTGGAATTCTTCTGCATGGGAGATTTGTGTCTTCTGCCTCATTTATTAATTTATTCAATCATATATATCAGTGTGGACTAATGAATATTTATCTCATACTTGGGATTATAAAGTCAGTACTGTTTTATTTTGTTGCTCAGATTGTTCTGGCTTTGTGCATTGGTTGCTCTTTCAATAGACTTCTGTGCTCCATTGGTATACCCCCTCAATGTTGGGTATTTTGGTTTTGGGTTTTTTTTTTTTTTTGAATAGTGCTACTTTACTTTCTGGTACTTCAGGCTGATCTTGTATATTTCCTGCCTGAGTTCTGGAATCAGCTATTTCTCCTTGGGGGCCCTGGTTTCTTTTATTGCAGAATAGTGTTAGACACCAAGATCTGGGTGCTAGGAATGCTCATTGCTCCTGGGGTGGTGTTTCTTCTAGACCCTCTCAGCTGACAGAACAAAGAAATATGTGTGTATGCTAATGCATATATATGCACATATCTATAATCTATGCACATTTATAAATATTTCTTTGTGTAACTGTGCATCTATACTAAGCTAAACATGAGTTCTTATTAGTGTTTCCAACTCTAATCCATTAGCACATGAATCTTTCTACCTTTTTTCCCTTGCTTATCTGTAAATTCCCACTGTAACTGTAAGAAACCTGATTCTTACTGTCTGCCATCCATTTACTGAATTGGTCACCTCCAGTATTCGTGTGTAGAAGTATCAGAATTGTTAACCAGTAACTCTGTGGGAAACAACTTTATCAAGTAGGATACGGTGCTTAGGTGCAGAGTTCCTGTTACCTTCATTCTTAGAAACCGCTTTCATTTCCAGAGTTGCTTAGGTCAGCAGCTTTCCCCTCCCTCAGCAGTTTCAGTAAGGTAGTTTCATACATTTGTAATATAGTTAGATTCACTTGTCACAGCTTGTGTTTCTTCCTGGGATGCTGCAAACTCCTAAATGATTTTTTAAAAATTTGTATGCATTACAGTTCATTCTTTTGTGTTGTAATGTTCTGTGGGTTTTTACTGATCTGTTATTGCTGCAATATCATATAGAATAGTTTCACCACCTAAAAGTCCCTGTGCTTCATCTATTCATCATTCCCCTAATAGCCCACAAACTCCTGCCAACACTAATCTTTTTACTGTCACTGTAGTTTTGCCTTTTACAGAGTCTTCAGGCATACCTTGGAGATAGTGTAGATTTGGTTCCAGACCATTGCAATAAAGTAAATATCATGATAAAGTCACTTGCACAAAATTTTTGGTTTCCCAGAGCATATAAAGGTTGTGTTTACACTGTAGTCTCTTAAGTGTGCAGTAACATTATATCTGAAAAAACAACTTACATACCTTAAATAAAAAATGCTTTATTGCTAAAAAATGCTAATGACGTGAGCACATGCTTAGAAAAATTGCCCCAATAGACTTTCTAGTGGGGTTGCCACAAACCTTCTTTTTTTTTTTTTAAACTCATTATCTGTGAAGCAAAATAAAACAAAGTGCAATTAAATGAGACATGCCTATAATTGGAATCGTGCAGGATATAGCCTTTTCAGATCGGCATCTTTCACTTAGCAATATGTAAAGTTTCTCGTGTGTGTGTCTTGATAGTTATTCTATTTATTGCTGAGTAATCTTTCATTGTATGGATGTACCATAGTTTATCCATTTGCCTATTGAAGGACATCTTGGTTGCTTCCAGTTTTGTGTGGTTATCAATAAAACTGTTATAAACATTCACTTATAGGGTTTTAGGTTTTTGTGTGACATAAGTTTTCAAATCAATTGGATGAATCCCTAGGAATGTGATTGCTCTTTTTTATGTTGAGATCTTTAATTTTATGAGCAGCTCCTAAATCATCTATACCATTTTACATTCCCACCATCTGAATGAGAGTTCCTATTACTCTGCATCCTTACCAGCATTTGGTATTTATTCAGTTTTTGGATTTCAGCCATTCTAGTAGTTTTGTGGTATTATCTCATTGTTTTAATTTGCAGTTCCCTAATGGTAAGTGATATTGAGCATCTTTTCATATGTTTGTTTGCCATTTGTACATCTTGGGGTGAGGTGTCTGTTCACATCATTTGCCCCTTCTCCCTTATTTTTAAAAATAAAGACAGGGTCTTGCATAGGCTGAAGTGCAGTGGCACGATCTTAGCTCACTGCAGCCTTGAACTCCTGGGCTCAGAGGATCCTCCCACGTCGGCCTCCCAAAGCACTGGGGTTAGAGGCATAAGCCATGACACCCAATATTTTGCCTACTTTTTAATTGGGTAGTTTGTGTTCTTGTTGTTGAATTTTGAAAGTCTTTGTATATTTTGGATACCAATTCTTTATCAGATATGTCTTTTACAAGATTTTCTCCCAGTCTGTGACTTGAGTTTTTATTTTAACAATGTTTTTCACAGAGCAGAAGTTTTTAGTTTTAATAAAGTACAACTTAGCAGTTTTTTTGTTTCATGAATTGTGCTTTTGGTGTTTTATCTAAAAACTCATTGACAAACCTAAGTTCACCTAGATTTTCTTTTATATTATCATCTGGAAGTTTTCTAATTTCTCATTTTATATTTAGGTTTATGATCCATTTTGAGTTAATTTTTGTGAAAGGTGTGAGGTGTGTGTCTGGATTCCTTTTTTTTTTTGCGTATGGATATCTGGTTGTTACAGCACCATTTATTGTAAAGAGTATTCTTTCTCTATTGCATTGCCTTTGCTGCTTTGTCAAAGGTCATTTGACTATATTTGTGTGTGTCTGTTTTATCTCATTGACCTTGACCTATGTCTGTTCTTTCACCAATATCACTCCATCTTGATTATTACAGGTTTATAGCAAGTGTTGACATTGGGAGTGTCAACAGTTTTTTCCAACTTTTTTCTTCCACAGTATTGGGTTCGCTAGTCTGAGACTTTTGTCTCTACATAAACTTTAGAATCAGTTTTTTGATAGCTGCAAAATAGCTTGCTGAGATTTTGATTGTGATTACATTAAATGTATATATCAACTTAGGAAAAACTGAGATCATGACAATATTGTCTTCTAATCCATGCACACATAATATTTTTCTGGTTTTTTAGATCTTTGATTCCTTTTGTCGGAGTTTTGTAGTTTTCTGTGTATATTTTGTTTGATTTATAACTAAACATTTCATTTTTTGTTGTATTGCAAATGGTATTCCAAATTCCAGTCATTGTTGGTATATAGAAAAGCACCTGACTTTTGTATATTACCCTTGTATTCTGGGACCTTGCTGTAATTGCTTATTTCAATTTTTTGTTGTTACTGATTTTTGTTTGTTTGTTTTAACCTACCTCAGTCATGTTATCTATAAAGAAAGACAGGCTTTTCCTCCTTTCCAGTCTATACACCTTTTATTTCCTTTTCTTATTGCACAAGCTAAGCTTTCTAATATGATGTTGACTAGGAGTGATGAGAGAGGATATCCTTACCTTGTTCTTTCTTACTAGTGAGTATGCTGTGAGCTGTGGGTTTTTGCATATATATTATTTAGCTAATTGAGAAAACTTTCCTCTGTTCCCAGTTTGTTAAGAGTGATTAGTCATGAATAGGTGTTGGGTCTTGCCAGTAATGTTTCCTGCATCAATTGATATGATCATATGATACTTCTTCTTTTGACCTATTGATGTGGTGAATTACATTGATTGTTCATTAATTGCCTTTTAAAAAGCTGCTTTTCTAATGTGAAGTCAGCCTTGCACACCTGGAATAAATTTCTCTTTTGTTCATGGTATAATTCTTTTTATATATTGTTGGATTTGATTTGCTAATATTTTGTTGAGGATTTTTGCATCTGTGTTCATGGGAGATTGATTTGTAGATTTATTTTCTTGATTTTTTTGCTTGGTTTTGGTGTTATTCAACCTGTTCTCATTTTTTTTTATTCTCTTCTAGCTTTTATTCATATAATTCTCTGATTTTAGCTGTGTGAAAATGATGTACAAGTAGTATTATATTTGTTCACTTGAATTAGTAATCTCTAACATTCACTCAGTCTCCAGGAAAGGCTGTTTTATGCTCCTTGATACTGTTCTTTATATGGTTTTCATTTAAGATCAGTTATATTTAAAATGTTGAATTTTAAAATGAGAAATGTCATTTAACTAGCTATATTTACAGGAAGATGGTTATATTCTGAAATCTCTAGATTTTTCCTGTGAAGTTATAGTTAAATTAAGATAATAATGAAGAATAACTTTGTTTTCCTTTGACTAATAAGGAGAAGTATCATAGTCCTTTGTACTTACACAAGAACTCTCACCTAGAAGATACAATGGGATTGTGTACCTTCTCAGAGCTGAGGCACTCACAGAACAGGCTTAACTGGCAGTATCTCACCTCACCCTTTTCTTTTATGTTCCTCATATTTTTCTCATGCATTTCTTTCCTAACCTTTGTGTGAAATAGAAGAACATAGTTTTTATTTTTTTATTTTATTTATTTTATTTCAGTAGGTTTCTGGGGAACAGGTGGTGTTTGGGTAAGTCCTTTAGTGGTGATTTCTGAGATTTTGGTGCAGCCGTCACCCAAGCAGTGTACACTGTACCCAATGTGTAGTCTTTTATCCCTTACCCACTCTTGCCCTTCCGTCTAAGTCCCCAAAGTCCATTGTGTCATTCTTATGTTTTTGTGTCCTCATAGCTTAGCTCCCTCTTATAAGTGAGAAGATACAGTGTTTGGTGTTCCATTCCTGGGTGACTTCACTTAGAATAATGGTCCTCAACTCTATCCAGGTTGCTGCGAATGCCATTATTTTGTTCCTTTTTATGCCTGAGTAGTATAGAAATGGAAGGACATAGTTTAATAGTGATTTTCTTATCCTGTAAAATGCTGTATTTCCTACTGTCAAGTATTAAAACAAGTAAATTGAAGAAAACATAAATTGATTTCTCTTTTTGAATTTTGTATTTAGTCAGTATTTCTATGATGAAAAAGTTTTGCAGCTTAATATAGGGTGTGACTAGGGATGATGATGGAAACAAAGAGGAAAGTTAAGGACTTATTAACCTGAGGAAAATGAAAGTATATATTAATTATAAGATTATTTTAATATTAAAAAAATGGCTGTTTGTGCCTCTGCTTTTTCTTAGGCAGAGACTCCCCCTAATGGGCCAGATTGTGGCTATGGCTCCTTTCACCAGCAGTACTGGCTTGACGGAAAGATCATTGCTGTGGGGGTGATTGACATCCTCCCAAACTGTGTATCATCTGTGTATTTGTACTACGATCCTGATTATTCGTTTTTGTCTTTGGGCGTCTACTCTGCACTACGGTAAGATTGCTTTTTGCCGTTATTGTAGTGGGTTATATAGAACTTCAAATAATTACTCATTTGATTATATTTAATTATGTAACAGTAGAAGTCCTAATTGACAGTGTATTATAATGATTTGTTGCTAGTCTCTTACATAGAATACATACTACTATATAATAGGTAATAGGTATTCTATATGAGTTAAATACTCCTATATAATATATACTTATATATAATTTGTAATTTTCATTTAAGAATATATTTAAAGTCACATTGAATTTTAAAATAAACATCATTTAACTAGTTTATAGGAAATATACATATTATATAAGTATATAGTTATGTAATATATAAGTAAATATTATGTATAACTAGTATCTATAATCTATAATCTCTAGTACTTTTATATTGTATTTATAAGGTACTATCTTTAGAACTGATGCCAGTGTCTGATGGTAATTCTCTAGCTTTTTAAGGTATCCATCTAGTTAAGAAGTCATTGTATTTGTGGGTAGCTTTTGTTGTTTATACATTTATTTAAGGCCCCCTTCAGAACTACTTATATTCCTTAAACGTTATATGACTTATATTCTTGTCATCATTATCTTCTACTTTCTTTTTTCCTTTTCAAATGAGATGGGGTCTTGCTGTGTTGCCCAGGTTGGTCTCGAACTCCTGGGCTCAAGTGATCCTCCTTCCTCAGCCTTTCAGGTACCTGTAATTACAGGCTTGTACTACTGCATTCAGCTTTATATTTTTTACTATTAATTAAACGTTAAGTTAATGCGGTGTAAATGAATCAAAGTAATATGAGGCTACTGGAAGAAATATACATGTATACAGAACAGACCTGGGGAATTCCTGGCCGACTGGTTGAATTTATGACCCTCATCAAAAGATAATTTCCCTTTTGTGTCCATGGCTGCAAACATATGTATGCAGCACAAAACATTTTTAATGGTGAGAAGATTGGAGTCTTCCTCCAGTTTTCTCTATTTATTTCTGTTTGTCTATGTGTATATGTGGTGGAGGAGGGGAAGGAGGGTTGGGAACTATTTTTCTTTTGTTTATCTGGGAGCTTGAGTCTCTCTTTTTCTCACTGTTTACTATTGTGTCATACTTTTCTCTTTTCATCTCTCAGTCTTCATGTCTGATGGTCACGTTTTCACGTCACAGTAAAATGTACTGCCAGATTATTTTTGTGTATGTGCTTTTTTATGAATTATAAAAGAGTTGAAATTTTTCATTAAATCAGCAATTTAATGTTTTTAACAATCTGGTCCATAAGTGATTTTTTTGTGTGTGTTTCAGTGGCCCACAATATAAAGTTCTTTGTCTTAGCATTTTCAACTTGACTTTTTTCTTAATGCCAATTTTTAACAAATCCACAATTAGGTAATATTTACAATAGATCTCCATAACAGTCTTTTTATTCTTATGTATTTAATCACATTTTTGTATAAAGTAGTTTAAAAATATTTATGGCTGTTGGTGCTCTCACTGAAATTGAAATTGATAATTTAAAGTATTCATGTTTTATAACTTTAGATTTTGCCATTATTACATAACTTCAGAAGTTTTATTTCAGAAAAGATATATTTTCTTTGTACCTAAATCAGTCAATACTTTCAAATAATTGCTGGTTTTTTGTTTTGTTTGGTTTTATTTTTGTATTATCACTTCACAATGTGTTATAGATTTTTCTAGGCTTCTCAGATGGATTTTTAAGGGTGAAATTTATTTCTACATAATAAGCTCTGGCCTGTGTCTGAAATATTTCATGGCTCAATAAACTGAGTGATAGTTTAGATATTGATATGGTAAATAATTAATTCCCAGCAAAATTAGCAAGAGTTCTATTGATCACCTTGTATATCCCTGCAAATACTAGAGCTGGAGAGCCGGGAGGGAGCAGGAGAGGAGCCTGAGGTCATGAAAGGTTTGCCAGTTGAGGGTGGGATGGTTGCGGCTGCTCTGCGGTCTTGTCACTTCCTTTTGGTGCTCTTGAGAAGATGAGTTGCGGAGTTTATAGAAAAGGAAAGGCAGCCAGGGGATTGACCTCTTGAAGCAAAATTGGAGAAAGTAGGTTACCAGTTGCTAATTCTGTTATTGATTTTAATGTATTTTGGTGAAATATTTTACCCTCAATTTCTTAAGTTTCTTAAGCAATCCAACAATCAATATAGTTTTATGTTTTTAGATTTATATAATGTAGCCTGTAGATTTTTATTTTTTTATTTTTTTAATTCATTTTTGTAATCAGCCTCTGCTTATCCATAGCCTGTAGATATAAGAATTGTTTGAATTGGGGATCATGAGCATGGCATTTGTTTGCATATTTTTAGAAAGATACATTTTAAAAAGGTAATTACACTCATAGACATGAATAAGACAGGTTTCTGGTTTGTCCAAGCAGACCATAAATAATAAAACAGACAACTTAATTTCAGATACTCCCTAGCACTGTGACACAAATAAAATTAGAGGTGGTGGGCATGAAGCCTGTTTTATATAGATTGGTCTTTCCTCGTAGAGAACAGGTGACATTTCAGGGGCAAAGGAAGAAGAAAAGGAATCAGTCATGTAAAAATCTGAGGGTAGGAAGAAGTTCAAGTGAAGGTTAGCAAATCTAAGTGCCTCGAGGTGGCCAGGAAAAACAAAAATGCCTTTTGGGCTCGGGTGTAGGGAAGGACGTAGAGAGCCTTATGCAAGGGGCACAGAGGCAGGTGGAGTTGGTGAGAAGGAGGCAGGTGGAGTGAGCTGGTGAGAAGGAGGCAGGTGGAGTTGGTGAGAAGGACGCAGGTGGAATAGCACTTGTAGGAGGGTGGGGAGGTTGGGTTTTATTTATATGTGGTGCCAACCCACTGCTGGGGTGGGGGATTGGGAGATCTGATTAATATTGTAAAAGATTACTTGGCCTGTTCTGTGGAGATTATGGAGGGGTAAGAGTGGAAACAGGAGGCTGCTGGGAAGCTGCTGCAGTCATCCAAGGGCACCATAATGCTGCTTGACCCAGAATATCTGAGGTGGAGGTGGTAAGAAGTGGTCAGATTCAAGACATATTTTAGAGAGAAAGCCCAAAAGACCTGCTGATGGATTGGACATTGGGATGAGAAGAAAAGAATTAAGGGTGACTCCAAGGTTTGGGGCCAGAACAAATCCGGAGAGAGGTGATGAAATGAACTGACGTGGGCAGGACCAAGTGGATTGGTACCCTGGCTGGGTGGGCCTTCTCGGAATTGGTGGTCTTACGCTTGCTTGTGTCAGTGCATTCTTTCCTCAGTTTGAACTTTGAGAGTGGATTAATTCTGGAAATAGGATTTATTCTGTTATAGGCTAATATTGTTTAGTCTGGTTGGATTTAGAAATAATTTTAATTTAAAAATGAATTCTTACGGTAATAATTCTTTAAGGATTTAAATTTGAAGTAGAAAAATGCACAGAATATTGCATTACAAATACATTTCTTTAGAATTTCAAGCATCAATTGCTACTAATAAAGAAAAGAATACCTTCAAGAAACAAACATAAAAACAAAACTACTTTCCTCATACTTTAGAAATATACTGAAGTTTTACTAAGCACTTTCAAACTAGTCATTTAGCTGGGCAAGTAGAATGAAATTCTGTGCCAAGATTTATCAGGATGCAAATGAAAAAAAATTCATGCATAGGCGTTATAGTGGAGAGACTGACAACTTCTTACGTTTGAGTTACCTGGCTTATTCCAACAAATACAGAAAATGTGGTGAGATAACATGGTATTTCCTGCTGTCTAGTTTTAGGGGAAATAAATATTAAAGTTGTGCCTAGATAAAGGAATGAATTAGATGTCATATGCAGCTGAAAGTCTTTGCATGTAAATGGTCATAATAATAGTTATTCGTCCTGTAATTTATTGGCTTTTGAGTTTTCTAAAATGTGCTGTACTGTTTTTAACCTGTTAAGCCCAGATTCTTTGAGAACCATAGGGCATGATGAATAATAACAGGACACTGTAGATCTCTTTAATTTTATGCTGCTTGAAGTTTAGATCAGCTACTTTGTCCAATAAAGTGTAAAACCTGAACTTAGATGCATTTGCTTAAAATTATGTAGAGGGTTTTATTATTTCTTTAGTAAAAATTGTATAGTGTTTTAAAAGTAGTTTTTCTTTCAATATTTGTAATTTTTTGATAGCTTAATACCAGATTTTATCAAATGTTTACCATCAAATTACACAGATATTTGTACATTAGAACCAGAATTAACTGCCTTCAGCTTTCTTCTTTTTCTTTTCGCAGAGAAATTGCTTTTACTAGGCAGCTTCATGAGAAAACTTCTCAACTCAGCTATTATTATATGGGTTTCTACATTCATTCATGTCCCAAGATGAAATATAAGGTAAAGTTGATTTTCACATATGTGTATTTTTATTATAGAAAAATGAATCTCTCATAAAATTTTTATCTCAGGGCACTGGGTTTGAAGCTTTGAAGGAAGGACGAATGGGTTAATAGGAAATCTCTTTGCTGCCTCAGAAATTAAGCTCTCTGTAATGAGAACCACAGCCTCTTCTGCTCTTGTAATCCATTGCATTATTGTGAGATTTAAGTATATTTCAGAATTTCCCTTTAAAAAAAAGTTTTATGACTCTCGTTAATGAAACTCTTTGATGTTTCCTGAGTATGCGTAGCCCACTATAAAAACTGCAGAGTGAAGACCAATGCAGAGGAGCAGACCCACCGCCTTCCACCCACCGCGATAGCAATAACAAACACGTCTGCTTTACTTAGAGTGAGGCTTTCAGCTCTGAAGTTGCATGGATCTTCTACTTAAAACTTGTGAGCTAGGGGAAGATTAGGGGCATTTTACATCAAACCAGGGTATACAGTGGTCTGGTCAGTGGCCTAGGAGGACATGGGTTTTTTACTATAGAAGATGTGGAAGAGGAAAGGAAGGAGTAGCTCAAGAAGAAAGTAGGTAGGATGGAGAAGGACGTTTCTAGGAGAAGAAGCAGTAAAAGAAAGGATTTGGAAGGGCAAGTGCTGATGATGTATTTGTAGAGGAAAGGGTAACTGAAGGACTGTGCAGGACCCTGAAGGCCAGGCTAAGGTACCTAAATTAGGCACCTGGGAGTCATCAACAGTTGTAGAGCAGAGCAGAGTAAATCAGAAAATATACATATGTCCACACATAGAAATATGACTTAACGGGGGTTTTCAGACATGCCACATTAAAGAAAAAAGTGTAATTGAACCCCTGTGTACCCATTACCCAGCTTTAGTAATTTTCATGCATTTATTTCATCTATTCCTTCATTGCCACCTCCACCCTCTCTTGAATTATTTTGGAGCAAATCAAAAGTATCACTTAATCTGCCAATATTGTAGTGTGTATTTCTAAAAGATAAGGGCATTTTGAAAATGTAATCACAATTTCATCATATACCTAGAAAGTATTAGCAGCGTTTCCAAATATCATCTGATCAGTGTTCCTATTTCCTGTTTCCTTTATTGTCTCATAATCTTTTTTACAGTCAATTTGTTTGACTTAGGACTCAGTAAGGTTCATACATTATATTTGCGATGTGTCTCTTAAATCTCTTTAAATCAATAAATCCCCACCCCCCTCCCCCAGCCTTTTTTCTTTCTTACAAAGGAATAATTCACAGGACTTGGTGATTAATTACATTTGGGGATGATTATATTTCCAAATCTTTGATGTTAAGCACTGAATGACTGGGGAGATGGTTCGATTTCAGAAATTATGGATTCTGAAAGTAACACTGGCTTTGAGAGACCAGTGAAAAAGCAGTGCCTTGCTGGTTTTACATTGACAGTCCAGGTAAGCTGATCAAGGTGTCCTGGCATTTGGAGATTTTCTTTTGAGCTCATATTTCAGTGTACATTGTAGGGAGATAACCCCTGAATTTGGTTATCTTCAAAAACTTCCTTTATGCCTGAATTACTAATTCACTTGATGGGCCTTAACATATGTTCTGTACAGAAGGAAAAGTATGAGCATATTTCCGTTTTGCCTAAAAATAATGATTTGCTTACGTTTTTACTAGTGTTTTATCCTTCTGGCTCATTTTCATCTGGTACTAGATCTAAATTAGTTCAGAGCAGAAAACTCTAGTACTCAAGATACTTTAATGTATTTATAAGACTCAAAGAAAACTCTGGCTGTCCTTATATTAATCTTCCTTTATGTAGTACACGACCCATTCAAATGAAGTATTTTCATACTAGACTTAAGGACTTGCACAGATTTCACTTTTATGTCTCATCTGTGATGGCCGTTCCAGTCTCACAGCATTTCTCTTGAAAGTTTTTCATTATGCCTAAGCTAAATTCTAATTTGCCCTATATTTTAACCTGGGTCTTTGTTTTTTTTCTTTTTTCTTCTTTTCCATTCGTGGAAATGTTGAATATAGTTTCATCATCCTTTTCCTCTTCATGAAGATGTTTTGCTGACACCTTTGTTGACTCTAGTCCAGACTAAATATTTTTTATTCTTTTGTCTCCTTCCTAGGTAGAGCCCTGCTTGGAAGTTCAAGCCAGCCTGTGTATAGTTTTAAGTTAAAGATTTTAAAAATACCCTATGTGCTTTTCAGTCTACCTTAATTATATCCAATCCAAATCCATAAGAATTATAGCTTCAAAATATTTATTTTTTGTTTAATTCCATTTATATGAGAGGTACCCCCATGCCTGCTTGCCTTCTGGTTTACTTTCTTCCTTCATCCAGGAAATGTTTATTCAGATCCTACTGGAAATAACAGCCATGAACAATACAGGCAAGATCCCTGATTTCTTGGAACTTCCATTCTAGTGGTTCACTAACAGTAATCAAGAAGACAGATGTCAGATAGGGATGAGTGCTGTGTGGTAGACATTAATTAACTGAGTGTGGCTACTTTAGATTGTGTAGTCAGAGGGTCCTCTCTGAGGACAAATGTTTAGGCTAAGATTTGAATGTCACAAAGTCAGCCAATGGGAAGTTTTAGGGTCATTTCAGAAAGACACTGAGGAAACAGCTAGTGTAGCACTGCCTAGCCTTTAGTTGCTGCAGTCGTCAGTTTTGACTGGAGTTTATGACCTGGAGAACATTTTCATAAGACCTGTGCTTAGGCCATATCTTCAGAGATTTTAAGTAATTGAACTCTGGGATCAACCATGGGCATCAGATTTGTTTAATGCTCAGAAGATTCTGATATGAAGTCAGACTAGAGAATCACTGTACCAGATTATTTTTTCACAGCTGAGAGCCTCATGAGGAACTAGAAAGATAATTATTCCCCATTTTAAAGTTTGCTGTTTTCTGTTTATTAAATTCAGAATTACTCCTATTGAAGAAGCTCCTATCTTTGCCCTGTCATCTGTGGCCTAGAACATGGAACACTGACCAACTAGAGAATTCCCATTTTTACCCCCACTTGAGACCTTTATCTGTACTGTACTGTCGTTTTTTTTCCCCTTCCCTTTGCCCCTCCCCCAAGCTTGCAAATTCCCCATCTTATCATTTTTCAACTCCAGTAATCTCTACTGGACTCTTAAGACTAGATTTCATCATTCACCCACCTACCCCATAGCAGTTTACATTTCTTCCCAGAACTAGTCTATCTCCTGTGCATACATTCCATGAGAATCTAATTGACATTTAACTTCTTGTGTCCCAGGTGGCAAACAATGTGCCTGCTACATAGTAGGTATTTAATGCTTAATATACATTTGTTGAACTAATGAATGAAAATACTAATGCAGAGAGCTGACGAGTATGTAGGATAGTGAGAAATGCCTTCTTTTTTTTTTTTTAACAAAGATTTGTTGAGCATGAATGGGATGGCTTCCCCTTTACAAATAGGTTATAACTTAGTAACAGATACGCAGTTCTAACAGAATGTGATAGGTATTGTGACTGATTATCTTTGAGTATTGATAAATACTCTGATAGCAAAGGGAGGTGGTGACACAGGAATGTGTAACAGTTTGGAGAAGTTGCTTGACTTCATCTGGTCTCAGTTTTTGCAACTGTAAATGGGAGTAATGTAGAAATTAGACAGGTTGTTATCTGCATTTCAGTATAGACTCTACCTAGTTGGGTAGCATTCATAAAATCATTACCTGAGCTTTTGTTGGGACCTGTCAAGGCTCTCTCTGTTTGTATACTGATAAATGACATCCAAATTTCTAAATGCCTGCTCTTGTTGTTAACCAGACTTCTTAGATTAGTTTAGATGCTGGGGAAAAGGAAAGGCATATATTACTGAATACCAATACTACCTCTCTCTGAAAGTTCCCAGAATTGCGGACACTTGTCTTTTACTTAGAGGCCAATGGCAGAGTATTAGTCCGTTTTCACGCTGCTGATAAAGATATAACTGAGACTGGGAAGAAAAAGAGGTTTAATTGGACTTACAACTCCACATGGCTGGAGAGGCCTCAGAATCATAGTGGGGAGGTAAAAGACACTTCTTACGTGGCGGTGGCAAGAGAAAATGAGGAAGATGCAAAAGCGGAAACCCCTAATAAAACCATCAGATATCGTGAGACATTCACTACCATGATAACATTATGGGGGGAACCACCCCCTTGATTCAGATTATCTCCCACTAGGTCCCTCCCACAACACGTGCAAATTATGGGAGTACAATTCAAGATGAGATTTAGGTGGGGACACAGAGCCTAACCATATCAGACGCTGAGCTCTGTTAGGGGATAGTGCTACAACGTAGGGAACCTTTAAGTAACAAATCTTATATTGTGCCATGGGATGTCTGTCAGCTTTAGCTTTATCTGTTTAGGACAAAAAAAGTCTCTTTGAGCTCAGGTATTTATTCTGAATAAAATGGTTAGTTTGCTCCATTGGAGTGAGGAGAAATTGGTACATTTGTGCTAGGACTCCAACCTGTATGTTATAATTAATGGCAATCTAATACTCAGTGCTAGGCCACAGAGATCAGAAAAGAGTATCCTTTCTATGCTAGCACCATTGTAATATTCCTACTTATCCCACAAACTGAGCTATTGAATTTCAGGAGGACTAGTCAGGGTGTGTGGCGGAAGATCATGTCACTCCTTTAGTCCCTCTTCCAAATATTGCATCAGAAGCTAAGACTGTAATTTCTGTTTACTTAGGGATAAAGCTGGGCAATTCAGAATAATTTATGGTCACTATAGATTATTGCCACTTCATTCCTGTTTTTAAAATAGCAAGTTACTGTGACTGTAGATCTTTAGAGCAACAAGTATCATTATAAAAGATGACTGATTATATACATTTACTGGAATTAGTGGCTGGTTTGGGTTGGTAGAAATTACTTCAAAAGCAGATTGGTCTTTTTTTAAATAAAGTAAAGCTGACATGAAAACTAATGTTGCCATGTGGGAATTTCTTTCTGCCATTTTTTTAGAAAATTTATGTTTTTTCAAATCATGAGTCTTGACAAAAATCAATTGACAAATCAGGAAATTGAGAGAAAGTATTAGAATTGTCCTTCAAGAATTAAAACTAAGCAGTCAGCATGAAATGTTACTAGGTTGAAGGAATCCAATGGATGTCAAGTCAAAAGAAAGGACAGGAGGAAAGCCTGACTTGCGGAGCTGACAGTTAAGGTTGACATTCGCAGGAAGCAGGACACGAGTGCAGAGGAGGGAGCAGTCGTCGTCTAATCAGTCAGTCTTGCTTGTAGCTGTGTTATGGAATGTGTGTGTGTGTTGTCTGTCTGCTGATAATGATGTAAATAACAGTGTAAATATAAATATTAATAAGTTTATATGCAAAATATGAGTTAGTGTTCCAAGAAATAACAAATTTTGGAAGCAAAATAAGTTTATAAATAAACGTATGTGTGTAGTGCTGCTTATTTGCCAAGAAATCCAAATGTTAGGTTATTCGAAACAGTATCTAACAATGTTCACTGGAGTTTTCCAATGTTTTAGTATTCACTATAGGCTAAAGATATTTGTAATACTACTAACCTTAGTATTTCTTATTAAGTAATTTTTAAGATATCCATTATAATGAGTAAGGAGTCTGAAGAATATTGGAAGTATTAAGAATAACTTGTGATTTCAGGAATTATAGTGTTTCATTCCCAAGTCCCCAAAATTAATATGTTTAGAATTTGGAAACATGATCACAACTTAGGAAACTGAGCTACAGTCCAAAGTAGAGAAAGACAATCTGGGACTCAATGTTCCCATTTAAATAAAACTTTAAATTTTTTCCAATATATTACGTTCCCATTATTTCTTCTTGGGAGGGGGAATTCCGAAAATCTGAAGTAAACCTAGTGATTTTGTAAGTATTTGTGAGATAATGATAGAATTTTGAATATTAAATTAACTTCATACAGTCAGCATTTTCCTGGCATCATATTTTGGGAATACTTTTGGGTCTTCAACAACATATTGATTTTAATACTTTATATTTTAAGAAAATAGTTTCCATTGCCTTATGATTGAAAATGAGTAATTTTAGGTAACTGAGGGATTAAAGTTATTTTCATTTCAGTTAAGGATATTGTCTTTGTTCTTTCTGTATTTATATAACAGGATACCTGAGGTTTGAGAATTTATAAAGAAAAGAGTTTTATTTAGCTTATGATTTTGGTGACGGGAAAGTCCAAGGGCATGGCACTTGCATCTGCCCAGCTTCTGGTGAGGGTCCTATGCTGTGTCACAGTGGGGTGGAGAAACAGAAGGGAGACTGGAGCAGAGACCTGCAGGAGAGCCTGGGTTTATTTATAGTAACCTGCTCTCAGGAACACATCCATTCCCATGAGAGTGAGAACCTACTCACTCCCACTAGACAGCTTTAATCTATTCCCGAGGGCAGTTCTCCCATGATCCAAACACTTCCCACTAGGCCCCATCTCCCAACACTACCACACCAGGAATCAGATTCCAACATGAGCTTTGTCAGGGGCAAACCAGGTCAAACCATAGCAGATACCATGTTATACTTGCACATGAGAACCCTCAGTTACAAAGGAATAGCACATCTGCTTATTAAAGTAGATCTTTTCAGTCAGAAAATGTGCTGTTCAAAATTGTAAGATAGGTGTTGGTCCAAGCATGAATGTTCCTCATTGCAAATTGAAGGTCTAGAACTAGAGACCAGCAAGAAATAACTCACAGAAAATGAATTGCACACTATTGTAAAATCTCTCATTTTTGAGATTGAGTGGGGGTAAATTTAGCCTACGGCTACAAAAATAGTTAAAATTATATTTTTTCTTAGCATGAAAGTATGTAAAGCACTAGTAATGGCATATTTTTGCCACATTGTAAAGTATACATGGAAAAATCTACGAACATGTTTTCTATCTGGTATTAAAGAATAAAAGGAATTTATTTCTTCAATAGGAGCGATTTTTTTCTTTCTTTTTTTTTTCTTTTTTTTTGAGACAGAGTCTCGCTCTGTCGCCCAGGCTGGAGTGCAGTGGCATGATCTTGGCTCACTGCAACCTCCGCCCCTCTAGGTTTAAGCAATTCTCTGCCTCAGCCTCTGGAGTAGCTGGGATTACAGGTGCGTACCACCACGCCCGGCTAATTTTTTGTATTTTTAGTAGAGATGGGGTTTCACCATCTTGGCCAGGCTGGTCTTGAACTCCTGACCTCGTGATCCACCTGCCTCGGCCTTGCCAGGAGCGATTTTTTTTTTCTTTCCTTTTTTTTTGTTTTCTTTTTGTGACAAAGTCTTGCTCTGTTGCCAGGCTGGAGTGCAGTGGCACGATCTCTGCTCACTGCAACCTCTTGCCTCCTGGGTTCAAGCAGTTCTCCTGCCTCAGCTTCCTGAGTAGCTGGGACTACAGGCGCACGCCACCATGCCCAGCTAATTTTTGTATTTTTAATAAAGATGGGGTTTTACTATGTTGGCCAGGATGGTCTCGATCTCTTGACCTTGTGCTCTGCCCGCCTCGGCCTCCCAAAGTGCTGGGATTACAGGTGTGAGCCACCATGCCTGGCCAGGAGCAATATTTTTAACAACCAAGAAGGAGCAGCCTGTTAGGTACCTGGTACGTGCTAGACACTGGGAATACATTTGTAAGCAGTGTAGATGAGGGTTCTGCCCTAGTGAAGGTTACAACTTAGGAGGACATAGGTAATTACAATATAGTGCATAAAGTGGTAATGTGACAATTGAAACTAGATTAATGTTTCATTTGGATTTTCTTACATAGATTTGTACATGTAAGTTTCTTCACCATATATTTATTGTATGATGTAAAGCAAATTGAAGTATTGAACAGCAGGTCTGAAATAACACAAAAGAGCTCATTTACCTGATCTTTTGTATTGAGTAATGAGCTATCACAATGGCATGCTGAAATGATGTGTCTGTCTTTATGTGTAGTGAGCCCCATGTTTTGGTAGATGGTTTTCAAAGCTGTCCACCGTCAGGGCTTCTCATCCCTGTCTGTGCATGCTGCTCCACCCATCAGCAGTCTAGGCTGTTTTCCTAATCCTAGATTGGACTGACCTGGTGACTTACACTGACTGATGGGTAGCCTGGAAGGAACTGCCTGGGACTTCTGGGCTCAGGCCTTGTCTGGCAGCATTCACTTTCTCTGTCTTTGGAGCTAGCCATCATAGTACCCTGCTGAAGAGAGAGGCCACTGTATGAGGCCTGAAGCCATCTTGGATGTTTCAGCTCCACTCAAGCTGAATGCACCTGCGTGACTGAGCTCGAGACAGACCAGAAGAAAACCCACCTAGCTGAGTTCTAGCCAACCCACAGAATCATGAGGAATAATAAGTTATTGTTTAAGGCCACTACGTTTTTGGGTGGTTTGTTACTCAGCAATGGATGACTGAAACACATGGTGTAGGTATGAAAGTGACACCTTCATTCTCTGTTTTGCTGTGCACACTCATGTCTTGAATTGAACTGAGTGGATTTGAGACGTTTCTGATGGTGTAATGTAAGAGTTTTGGCAAAGTCACTTAATTTCCACATGCAGTCATGCCTAGAGATGTGCTCATTGGGCTTATGAGAATTAGTCTTTATAAGACATTTCATTTAATATCCTGACATGAGCTTACGAGGTATCTTAACATGCTGACAAATTTTTATTTTGCTTGCCTTGCTAATGGTGAGCACTACAAGAGGAAAACCAGTATGTGGTCATCGTCATAGTATATAGACAGGATGCATTACAGTAAATTCTCCTCCCTAAGGAATTTTGCTAATAAGTAGCAGTTATATTCTTGTGCATCATATTCTCTAAAATGCTTTTGTTGAATTTTTTGGTTTTATTGTTCATTGTTTATGGGTTTTCAATAAAGACTGATTTACATTGCATATATTCTGTAGTCATTACATTACATTACATAGATATTTTTTGTCCATGACCATAGTCTTACATGTAAGGCACAAGATAGTCACAAAATAATTTAATGACAGGTGATAAATACAGTCATTGATGAAAGGAAATTGTCTTCAAATGTTGTGCTGTCATTGCTCACATGAGCTATTGTAATAATTGTGGCCATTGTAATGAGACTTGGTACTGTTTTAGTGTAGCTCAGTATCAGTTCGGGGACTCAGGCACTGGTTGAAATTAGTGGAAATTGTATTTTCAACTGAGAAGAGTTTCTCCTGGGAGGAGCTCATCCTGCTGAAGCGGGAGGGGTAGTGTGGTTTTCTGGCTGCTGTCCGCAGTGGTGCTGGTCCTCTTGGTCAGCTTCTCTTACAGTTCCAAGGTGGTGGCTGCCCATTCAGGAATTGCGGGCCATCAGCAGTGACTAGAATCAGAAAAGAATTTTCTCTCCTCTGTCTCCTCTTTTTAAAAAAAATTTGCTGGGCACAGTGGCTCATGCCTGTAATTCCAGCACTTTGGGAGGCTGAGGCAGGTGGATCACGAGGTCAAGAGATTGAGACCATCCTGGCCAACATGGTGAAACCCCGTCTCTACTAAAAGTACAAAATTTAGATGGCCATGGTGGCGCACACCTGTAGTTCCAGCTACTCAGGAGGCCGAGGCAGGAGAATTGCTTGAACCCAGAAGGCGGAGGTTTCAGTGAGCTGGGATTGCGCCACTGCACTCCAGCCTGGCGACAGAGAGAGACTCCATCTCAAAAAAAAAAAAAATTATTGCCCATCAACAGTAAAGAAAATGTGATACAGATATACTATGGAATACTACACAGTCATCAAAAAGAATGAAATTATGTACTTTGCAGCAACAAGGATGCAGCTGGAGGCCATTCTCCTAAGTGAGCTAACATAGAAAACCAGATACCACATGTTCTCACTTATAAGTGGGAGCTAGACATTAGATACACATGAACTAAAAAGAGAGGAACAGTAGACATTGGGGACTACTAGAGTGGGGAGAGAGGGAAGGTGGCAAGGGCTGAAAAACTACCTGTTGGGTGCTGTGCGCACTACCTAGGTGACAGATTCATTTGTACGCCAAACCTCAACATCACACGATACACCTTTGTAACAAACCTGCACATGTACCCTCTGATTCTAAAATAAAAGTTGGAAAAAAATTATTGTTGCTAGGTGCGGTGGCTCATGCCTGTAATCCCAGCACTTTGGGAGGCCGAGGAGGGTGGATCACAAGGTCAAGAGTTGAGACCATCCTGGCCAACATGGTGAAACCCTGTCTCTACTAAAAATGCAAAAACGTTTAGTGGATGTGGTGACGCATGCCTCTAGTTCCAGCTACTTGGGAGGCTGAGGCAGGAGAATTGCTTGAACCCACGAGGTGGAGGTTGCAGTAAGCCGAGATTGCGCCACTGCACTCCAGCCTGGCAACAGAGCGAGACTCCATCTCAAAAAGAAAAAAAAACATTCTTGTTGGTTGTGGTAAAATACACATAATGTTTACCCTCTTAAACACTTTTAAGTGCTCAGTTTGGTGATATTAAGTACATTCACATTGCTGTGCACCATCACCACCTTCCATGTCATTTCTTCATCTTACACAATCAGTACTCTGTACCCAATAGACGATAGCTCCCCCTTCCCCACCCCTAAGAATTTGACTATTCTAGGTACCTCAAAAAAGTGGAATCATAGCATTTGTCTTTCTGTAACTGACTTAATTTACTCAGCATAATACCCTCAAGATTCATTCATGTTGTCACATATGTCAATTTCTTTCCTCTTTAAGGCTGAATAACATTTCACTGTATATACCACATTTTGTTTATTCATTTATCCATTGGCATCTGGGCTGCCCCAATCCCTGGGCTGTTAATGAATAATGCTGCTATGGACACAGGGTACAAATATCTCTTTGAGACTCACTTTCCCTTCTTTGTGTATACCCGTAAGTGGAATTGCTGAATCAAAGGTAATTCTATTTTTAATTTTTTGAGGAACTGCCACCCTGTGTTCCATAAGGCCATACCATTTCACATCCTGCCAGCAATGCACAAGTGTTCCAGTTTCTCCACATCCTCACCAGCACTTGTTATTTTCTGGGCTGCCGTTTGTTTTTCCTTTTAATACTAGCTATTGTAATGGGTGTGAGGTGGTTTGTGTCTCTTCCTAAGATTGAGGAAACCCTCACTGAGAAGCCTTCTAGCAGACTTCACATGTTTCGTTTGTCAGAGTTGTGCCTCTTATTTGTATGTGAGCTAATCACTGGTAAGGAGTTAGACTTAAGGCAAGCATGGTTGGTAATGGGAGAAACTGCTTCCTTGAGCACAGGGTCCTGCAGAGTGTGAACATCTGAAAAATTTTTAAAATTTCTGCCTAAGCCAATATTTTCTTTAAACTGAGATATGAAATATATTTTTAACTGAGCTGTTGGTTTAAACATTTCTGTCTGTGTGTCATATTTGTAACCTGTATTGTTGGAAAGAAAACTTCAATAGAAATGAGTCCTTTCAACCTTCATTCAGATTTTAATTGTGTGCCTAATGATACTCATCATATTAACCTTACTTTATTTCCCATAATTCCATCTTGGGAATTAGTGGAAACTATATTATTTAATAAATTATTATATAACTTAATATTTAAATTAAAGTGGAAGGTGGTTGGTGGAAATTATAATTTCTTTTAAAATTAATCCATTCTTAAAATTACTGTATTAATTTCACATCTCAAAATTTTATATATAGGCTTTTTTCCTTTTTTTCTTTACTTTGTCTCCTTTTTGGCGTATGCTTGAAAATAGCTATTCACTTTTTTTTTTTACTGTAAACATAGGGTTTCCCATGCTTTTCAAATATTTATTATTTGCATGCAAAGCTTAGTTCTCTCTTTTTAACCCCTTCTCATTTCAAAATGATTACATTTGAAAATGAAAATTAGAGTATATAGAAATGTTGTTAGGCATAATTAAATTTTTTCCCCCATATTATCTCTCAGAGTGCTGTGTAAGGCCATTCTATGATCTGAAGAAGGTATTTTGACTGAATTTTTTATACAGACATGTATGCTGTCCAAAGTAGACAAAGTGATTTCAGGCGGTCTGTTTGGTATCATGATGTGGCCAGACATCAGATCATTGAAACATCAGAAAGAGTTCTGAAATGTCAGAAAAGAAACAAAAGGCTAAATCCGTCTGTGATTAATTATGCTTATGTGAATGTCTCAGCTTGATTGTGAGAATTGGAATTCTGCAGGGCTTTGCCCAAAAGTAGGTGCTTGGCCTTACTATTATGATAGTAAGCACCTACAAAAAAATGGAATTAACAGAGCTGCGTCTGCAAAATCATGCACTACTGAAACCCCCAAGTTTCCAAGCTTTTCAAAGTTTCCTGACCAAACACGTTGGTAAATGTTATTTCACTATAGCCTTGCAGGCCGGGGTGATGCATGTGGACACACGTGGTAGGTGACTTTGCTACTACTGGACTGAAAGGAATACAAATGATCTCATCAGTTAACCCACAGCACAGGACAAAATACTGGATTCTTTTGATTCAGCATGTTTTCTTGATGTCAGATGTCCTGTGAATTAGACGTAGTCAGTGAGAAAAATTACCACAGGAGAATTTAGTAAGGGATTTTTGATGCCCCCTAGAGGTAGTGGGAGGTAAAAGAATTCTCATGGTCATCACAAATTCTTATTTAGAACACTGTCACATGTGGGGAATTTTGCCACACCAGAGTCAAAGCAGTTCTTTACTGTTCTAAGCTTCTCATTACAGATGAGAAAATTGAAGCTCAAGATGGTTAGCTTGCCCAGAGTTTGCCTTAACTCACATTTTAATTTTACCCACGAGAAGAGTTTGAACTTAAGAATTGAAATTCATGTAAATGGCATTGCTTATCAGATATATGATAAGGTGTATAAAACTTTCAATTTTGGAGTATCCTAAAGCACTTGCCATGTTAATTAAAGGTAAGTTTTAAGGGGAATTCAAGTACATTTAATCGTGTATATTTTTCTGATCCTTTGTCTAATCTCTCTCTTTACAATGAACTAGAAAGCTTGATGTAGTGCCTGATTCCCAACCTTGGAAAAGAATCAGTATCTGTGGAGCTTTCTAGAAAATGCTAATGTCTGAGCTCTACCCTGGCCTACTGAAGAAGGAAATGTGCTTCCTTCTCTTGCATAGCCCATGCTCTGGCTGCTGGGCACTATCTGTGTGCACGGAAACTTTTCTGCCTCCAAGCTCTGTGTGTTGTCTTGCACTGAGATGTTTTTCACTTGCCCCTGCGTGTAGAAGTACGAACTGCTTTTCCAGACCAAGTTCATGCACAGGTTTTCCCAGGAAGTCATTCTCTGTGTTTTCCCCACTTCACCTTCACCTTCTCTACTCCCTACATTCTAAAGCTGGAGGTAATCTCTTCACTTCCATGACCTCTTCTCATTATTTGTTTTGTTTTGTTTTGTTTTTGTTTTTTTTTGAGAGGAAGTCTTGTTCTGTCGCCCAGGCTGTAATGCAGTGGTGCGATCTCAGCTCACTGCAAGCTCTGCCTCCCGGGTTCATGTCATTCTCCTGCCTCAGCCTACTGAGTAGCTGGGACTAAAGGCGCCCGCCACCGTGCCTGGCTAATTTTTTGTATTTTTAGTAGAGATGGGGTTGCACTGTGTTAGCCAGGATGGTCTCGATCTCCTGACCTTGTGATCCACCCACCTTGGCCTCCCAAAGTGCTGGGATTACAAGCATGAGCCACCATGCCTGGCCGACCTCTTCTCATTTTTAAGTGCTTTATCTGTAGTTCTCCTTGGACTCTGGTTGTTTTTAGGTGTATATGATGAGTCAGTGTTTATGGAGGGCCTCTCCTATAAAACATCGTGAGAGATGCCCAGACAAAAGGAACATTAGACATGATCACTGCTTGTCCATTTGTGAGCAAACTGTGTCTTACCTGTCACTGTCACCAGTGCCCAGCAAATTAATTGGCAAATAAGGTACTCAGTGGAATTAAAAAAAATTTTTTTTGGGGAGCCTGCATTGCATGTGAAAGGTGACTCTGCATGGATAAAAATGAAAAAATGAAGGAAAGTTATGAGTACTGTGCACGGAAGATGTGGTACGAATCAAAACTGTGGAGTTAGGAAAAATTTTAGAAGTTCCCTTTCAGTAGTACAGCTTATGTTTTCTGTGAATTCGTGTCTCTTACCTACCTGTAGTTTCTTTTTAAGTAAACTTATTGAGGTGTGATATAAATACAGAAAACTGTGCCAATCTTACATATACAGCTTGATGAATTTTCACAAAGTGAGCACACCTGTGCAACCACCCAAAACAAGAAACAGAAGGTGCCCAGCACCCCACAAGCCCATCACTACCATCCTTGGTTATGGTCCCATCCCCCAAGGTAACCACTGTTCTCACTTTTAACACTACAGACTAGTTTTGCCTGTTTCTGTACTTTGCATAAATAGAAGCATTCAATGTACTTTGTTTTTTGATAGGTTTCACTCAACATTATCTTTGTGAGATTTATCCATGTGGTTGTATGTAGCAACAGATCGTTTATTATTGCTGGGTATGGTATACTATTTAATGAATATACCACATTTTTTACACCCATTCTACTGTAGATGGATTGTTTCTAGGTTTTGGCTAATATAAGTGCAGCTGTGAACATTATGTTACGTGTTCTTTGGTGAACATATATATGCATTCCTGATGAATAGAGATGTGGGTGTGAGTCGCCAGATCATAGGGTATGCGTGTGTTTAGGTTTAGTAACTATTGCCCATAATTTTTAAAAAAGTGGTTGTACTAATTTGCGATCCCACTGGCAGCATATGAAAGCTCCATTTGTTTCACTTCCTGATGGGTGTGTAGGGAGTGGTGGTACATTGTGTTTTTTGTTTGTTTGTTGCCCAGGCTGGAGTGCAGTGGCGCAGTCTCAGCTCACTGCATCCTCTGCCTCCCAGGTTCAAGTGATTCTCCTGTCTCAGCCTCCTGAGTAGCTGGGATTACAGGCATGCACCACCACGCCCAGCTAATTTTTGTATTTTTAGTAGAGATGGGGTTCCCCCATATTGGCCAGGCTGCCCTTGAACTCCTGACCTCAAGTGATCCATCTGCCTCAGCCTCCTAAAGTGCTGGGATTACAGGCGTGAGCCACCGGGCCTGGCCTGAGTTGTGGTTTTAATTTGCATTTTGTAGTTGATTGTCAATGTTGAGCACCTTTTCATGTGTATCGACCATTTATAAAGTGTCTTTCAAGTCTTTTGCCCATTTATCTATTAGGTTGTCTGTCTTAGTTGTCTGTAGTTCTTTCTAGATAAGAATCCTTTGTTGGATAAGTGTTTTACCAGATACCTTCTTCCACTCATTGCTTGCCTTTTTATTCCCTTCATGGTATCTTTTGATGAGCAGAAATTTCTAATTTTAATGTGTCCACCTTATCAATTTGTTTTCTTTATGGTAATGCTTTTGTGTCTTTATCAACAAATATTTGCCTACCCTATGGCCATGGAAATGTTTTCCTGGCCAGGCGCGGTGGCTCACATCAGGAATCTCAGCACTTTGGGAGGCTGAGGCAGGTGGATCACGAGGTCAGGAGATCGAGACCATCCTGGCTAACATGGTGAAACCCCGTCTCTACTAACGATACAAAAAGAAATTAGCCAGGCGTGGTGGTGGGCGCCTGTAGTCCCAGCTACTCGGGAGGCCGAGGCGGGAGAATGGCGTGAACCTGGGAGGTGGAGGTTGCAGTGAGCCGAGATTGCGCCACTGCGCTCCAGCCTGGGCGACAGAACGAGACTCCATCTCAAAAAAAAGGGAAATGTTTTCCTATATATTTTAGGAATTTTATAGTTTTACCTTTTACAATTTAGTACAATAAAAGAAACGATTTTAGTATATGGTGTGAGACAGGGTGCAGGACTGATTAATTTTGCTAGATGGATAATTTTATGTAGCTTCTTAAGGACACTGCCATGCATATATCAGTTTAATAACTTAGTTAAATTATTTGTATTATGATGAAATGTCTCAGCTTTCCCTTTGTCAGACTAGCATTGATTCCATTAAATGGGCAAAATACTAGTTTAACTGTTGCTCTCTTCCTGTAGAATTATATTAGCCAGTTTTCTACAGCAAATGCATGGTTGAAGCACTGTGCAAATAAGTCATTTTTGCTCTTGTAGATTTCTTCCAAATAACCAAAGCAAACCATGAGGACCTCTTTAATTAAAACAGGATTATATGTTTGTGGAAATTCAGTTAAGAGAATGATTAAAACACAATGAAGAGTTCTTAATAATTGTGCTATCAAACGTATTTGCCAGTCACGTCCCATTTTTGTCAGTTGCGTTTTATTATTGTTAATGGCATATATGTTTGTTTAATTATGCAGAAATTTACAATTTTTCTATAATACAATCTATTAATGCTTTTCCTTTATGGTTTCTAGCATGCTTCAAAAAGACGTTCTCTACCCCACATGTTAAAATGATGATATCTAAATTCATTGATTAGGAAATTTTCATCATATTGTTAGGTGACATAATATGCTGTTGCAGTTTTTTTCCCCTTGTGAATTGTGTGTGGTGTTTATTTATTTATTTATTTATTTTTGTTTATTTTTTGAGACAGAGTCTTACTCTGTCACCCAGGCTGGAGTACAGTGGGATGATCTTGGCTCATTGCAGCCTCCGCCTCCCAGTTCAAGTGATTCTGCCTCAGCCTCCCTGGTAGCTGGAATTACAGGCGCATTCCACCATGCCTGGCTAATTTTTCTATTTTTAGTAGCGGCAGCGTTTCACCATGTTGGCCAGGCTGGTCTCGAACTCCTGACCTCAAGTGATCTGCCCACCTTGGCCTCCCAAAGTGCTGGGATTACAGGCATGAGCCACCACGCCCGGCCTGTTTTACTTTTTTGGTTTATTTTTAAATTTTAATAGGTTTTTGTTGGGGGGCGGGGAACAGCTGGTATTTGGTTACATGAATAAATCCTTTAGTGGTGATTTCTGAGATTTTGGTGTACCCATCACCCAAGCAGCGTACACTGTACCCAATGTGTGTAGTCTTTTTTTTTTTTTTTTTTTTTTGAGACAGTCTTGCTCTGTCACCCAGGCTCACTGCAAGCTCTGTCTCCCAGGTTCACGCCATTCTCCTGCCTCAGCCTCCCGAGTAGCTGGGACTACAGGCACCTGCCACCACGCCTGGCTAATTTTATTTTGTATTTTTAGTAGAGACGGGGTTTCACCATGTTAGCCAGGATGGTCTCGATCTCCTGACCTCATGATCCGGCCGCCTCGGCCTCCCAAAGTGCTGGGATTACAGGTGTGAGCCAATGTGTAGTCTTTTATCCCTCACTCACAGTTTGTTTTTATGAGCCCATGTATATAAAACAGCATGTATTGTGAGTATGCATGGAAGCATATGCATGGAAATGTTAACAGTACTGCTTTCAGATGAGTATGCGTTATCTTTATAGCTATTTCTTAAAGCTGTTTTCATTTAGAGTAAAAGGATCAGAAACCCACAAGGAGTACATTCCATTCCAAGAGAATGATATTCGTTGATTTATGATCACATTCTTATCCTTAAATACTTCATTCAACTTTTAAGTGATTGTGTGATTTTCAAGTTAATGAAAATGAATTGATAATGCAATAGTGAATTATCTTCTTTTATCAGCACATTTACCCCATTGTTTAGACTGGAAATTGAAGTTTATCATAGAAACATTAATTTTAATGCTGGTTTGAGTAATTACAGCGACATTGTGGTTGGTATTATTGTGATTGCTAGGTCAAGTTCGGTTTCTTGATTTAAAAAAATGGTATCAGTATCACTTTAAAATACAATTCCACTTACCTCCAACTTATCTAGTTCTTATTCACTGTCATTTAAAATGATTTAACCTTTGTGATTTGAGGCAAGTTTTGTGGTTGTGTCTGTCGTGTATATATAATGTGGTTCAAGTGAAGGAAAATGAACTAGCCTGTTTATATTCAGGAGTCTTCTCTTGTTAAACAAGTTTTTAAACAAATTCTGTAAGTAGATCTTAAAGCTCCCTGCCTCACATTTACTAGCAGTGTCTTCCTCCCAAGATGATAATCCAGTGGGGTGTATTTAGAATAGAATAGACCTTTGGGTAAAATATATATGTTCATTTAAAAATAAAGGATTTTTTTCTTTACAAATAACCATGGACTTGCTCTGAGTTTGGTAAAGCATATGCGGCCTGCTCTTGATGCCACAGTTTTGTGTGTTTGAGTGCCTGCCTCTGCCATAGCAACTCGTTGCTCTAAATTGCTTTTTTTGGAGAGTGTTTTAAAAATTGCTATAAAATATTACTGAAATCATAGAAACATAGCTTTTATGTTCACGTGCTGATGTTTTTGCCAGAACTTTACATCTTTGACTAACTCACTTTTCTCTTAATGGTGTGATAATTGAATAGCTAATAACTCAGTAATTAAATTTAGCAATTAACCATCTTTTTTTTTTTTTTTTTTTTTTTTTGAGATGGAGTCTGGCTCTGTTGCCCAGGCTTGAGTGCAGTGGTGCAATCTCAGTTCACTGTAAGCTCTGCCTTTCAGGCTCAAGTCATCCTCAGCCTCCTGAGTAGCTGGGACCACAAGCACACACCATCATTCCCGGCTAATTTTTGTATTTTTTCTAGAGACGGGGTCTCACTTTGTTGCCCAGGCTGGTCTTGAATTCCTGAGCTCAGGTGCTGGGATTATAGGCATAAGCCACTGTGCCCAGCCTTAACTATCCTTATTGTTAACTTTCATCAAGAATCAAATTATTTTTAAAGGGAAATTCAAATTTTAGTTGTAAAATTTAAAGATCTAGGGTTTTATGTGGGATAATCTTATTTTTAATCCCTTCTTTACTTTGCGTTAGTGCCCTAGGGTTGGAACCATCCTTGTTGATGATAGAATCTCCCTATAGGCTTTGACTGTGACCTCTTCTCTTCTGCTTTTGTATAACATGTTCTCACCCCTTAACTGATGGCTTGACTCTTCTTATCTTTCCTTTACTCCTTTTCATCTTACAAGATTCATCTCAGGTTGCCTGACTCTCCTTGATACAAAGATACTGTTTCCATTGCAGCTTAGATGCTGATATCAACGTTTATGGGATTGTATTATAGCTACTTCTTTTCACATCTGCCTGTCTCATTAGATTGTAAGCTTTTGTAGAGAGGGGATTTGAGCTCTTCTTTTTTTTTTTTGAGACAGAGTCTCGCTCTGTCGCCCAGGCTGGAGTGCAGTGGCGTGATCTTGGCTCACTGCAAGCTCCGCCTACCGGGTTCACACCGTTCTCCTGCCTCAGCCTCCCGAGTAGCTGGGACTACAGGCGCCCGCCACTGCGCCCGGCTAATTTTTTTGTGTGTCTGTGTATTTTTAGTAGAGACGGGGTTTCACCGTGGTCTCGATCTCCTGACCTTGTGATCCGCCCGCCTTGGCCTCCCAAAGTACTGGGATTACAGGCGTGAGCCGCTGTGCCCGGCCTGAACTCATGTTTTTAAGCAGCAATCTCTGATTTATGGTAAATGTTCAATAAGTCTTTGGATGCATGGATATAGATATGAGGATAATGAATCATTTGCTTACTGGTTGGGGGAAAATGCATATCTACATCAAATAAAGTGGCATTGTTTGACACTTCTACAGGATAGGTCTTTTTATAATTTTGGCAATATTAATGAAAGATAAGTTTATTAAAAAGAGTGTTTCTTTTTAAAGTAATGACAAAACTGTTGTGTTTGAATTGTCAGATAAATGAACAGTAGAAATACCCTTGCATTGGCACTTTCTTCAGATTCTTTTCAGGTATTGCAAATAATTTAGAACATTTGTAGTTCTGAAAAGATAGTCCTGTATAATATTATAAATGGCTTATATTTGGTTTATGTTTGGATGAAAGGCTTCTTTTTAGATGAAATCAGTCACGTTCAGGGTCATATGGCTATAGACAAATAGTTTGATTTACAAATATTTTTATCAGTCCATTTGTGCTGCTGTAACAAAATACCTGAGACTGGGTAATTTATAAACAACAGATTTTTATTTCTCACAGTCTGAAGACTGGGAAGTTTAAGATCAAGGTGCCAGTGGTTTCTGAGTCTGGTGAGGGCTGCTGTCTCTGCTTTCAAGATGGCGCCTTGAATGCTGTGTCCTCATGTGGTGGAAGGGACAGGAAAACAAAAAGGGGACAAATAGTGTCCTCACGGGGCAGAAGGACAAAAAGGGAACAAACACAGTGCCCTTACCTGGTGGAAGAGTGAAAGGGGCCTAAGCTAGTTCACTCCAGCCCTTTCCTAAGGCACTAGTCCATTGATGAGGGTGGAGCCCTCATGACATAATCACTTTCCAAAAGGCCACACCTCTTAATACCACTACAGTGAGGATTAAGTTTCAACATGAATATTGGAGAAGACAATTCAAACCATAGCAGTATCTGATTAAATAAAATCTATTATATGTAGCACCCTTGAAACAACTAATAGAATATAGTATAAAATAGTTTTTCTAATAGTTTTTCTTTTAAAATAGTATAAAATAATTTTTCTAGGGAGTATGATAATAAATTTTGTATAATTGTATAATATAAACTTACAGTCTAAACACTATTTTAACAAAATACCATCAATTTGTTCCGTTCTCTAACATATTAGCTATAGTAGGGCAATGAAGTGAAATGAATAGGCGCCCATTCTGAGTTCCTATTTCTGTTTGCCCTAAAATAGCTATTCTCTATAGGATCAATTTTGTATCCCTCTTTTCCCAGTATCTGGAGACATTTTGGTTGTTGTAACTGGGATGGTGGGGGATGGGTATGTGTGCTACGGGCATCTGGTGGGAAGAGGTCAGGATGCTGCCAAACATCCTGCAATAGGACATACCCCAACAGCAAGGGGGAATTATCTAGCCCAGAATGTCACTAATGCTGAGGTTGAGAAACCCTGTTTAAACGGTTAGTGACTTGTCGAAGTCTGTAGGGCATTACGGTTGCAGCGCTTCTGTGGGTAGTCTGACTCTTGCTTTCAAATAAGAACCTACAGAAAGATTAACTTTGAGTTCACCATAACAAGCTTGAAATAAACTGTCCTGTATGACACACCAGAGAGAAGTTTCCGTCTAATTCATGACCCTGTGCAGCCACGAACTCACTCATTACCCCAGGACCACCTTAAATTTTCTTTGAGGGTGCTTCTGTGTGACCTTTATGTCAATTTAAAGATAATTAATGTTTCTCTACAATGAGATATGTCTAGCAAATATTGAGGTCCTTCAGAAGCAGTGGTAGCAAGAACAAAGAAGGTAAACATTCCCGGCCGGGCGCGGTGGCTCACGCCTGTAATCCCAGCACTTTGGGAGGCCGAGACAGGCGGATCACAAGGTCAGGAGATGACACCATCCTGGCTAACACGGTGAAACCCCATCTCTACTAAAAATACAAAAAAATTAGCCGGGCGTGGTGGCGGGCGCCTGTAGTCCCAGCTACTCGGGAGGCTGAGGCAGGAGAATGGCGTGAACCCGGGAGGCGGAGCTCGCAGTGAGCCGAGATTGCGCCACTGCAGTCCAGCCTGGGCGACAGCGAGACTCCGTCTCAAAAACAAAAACAAAAAAATTCCCAAGATGTGATGCTTGCTTTTTCCAGTTCTGGTGTGTATGGTAGGGTCTTATTTTTAGTATATGTAAATCATTGTTTTTCTGGCCATTGTAGAAATAAAAAGATTTGACAGCATCATAATAACCAAATGAATTGAATTACTTTCACTCTAGCAGCTAAATACACTTTATCTTTTTTAGTACGAAGAGCACCCTGTTGGCACATATATTTGAGGATTGGAGGTTCTAGTATTATAATTTTCCATTTTAGTGGGGCAGAGATGTTTGGTATGTCCTGTGCTCATGTGCTTCAATCTCTTAGAACCAAGCTGATTTACCCAAGTTTACGTGCATATATATGTGTTTAGAAATTGTTGCCTAGTATCCTACTTTGCTGGTGATGTTAGAATGAAAGCCAGTTTTTCCACCCTTCCTCATCCCGCCAGGATGCTCCATCACAGCTTAGGTCTTCTTTCCTTCTTATATCTCTATCTGTTCTATTTGTTCTTACGTCTTTATCTTCATTCTATAAAATAGGATAACTGTAGAATTTTTTCATACTTCACACTTTCAGATGCCATATTGTCCAAGTTTGTGGCAGTAGCTAATGGGAAGTGACCTTGAGTAACACAGTCATGTGTATCTTGGATATGCAGCAGTAAGTTGGAAATGACAGTGCTGAGAAGTCATCGTCACCAGCTTCCTCCATCCTGCCATCCAGTCCTGTGTCCAGCCTCAGCCATAGTACTGCTCAAGGATGATTTACATTGTGTGCGAATCATTTTGCTAGAAAATCTGTGGTGTTTCATATAGCTCTCTTAAATCCAGATTCCTTTGCTTGATCTTTGAGGGTTCCCTTTTCTTCCTGATCCCTTCCTGTCTGCCTTTAGACACACCATTGCCCAATACAGGCATCTTCCTTTCATTCTTTTCACCAGTTCATTTCTCCTCTTTCTTTGACATTCCTTCAGACATTATTTAGTCAATTGAGAGGTGTGCATTTGTGTATATAGTGTATGTATGATTTACGATTGATCTGTCAGCCCTGTAGTGATTTGCAGTAATCCTCCCATTTTTTTCTGTTGTGTTTGTCTTATACAGGGAAGTCCGTTTCACTCAGATGTCCGCCATGCCCACACCCCTTTTCTGAGGGACACTGCTATTCCCATAGACTCTGCTGAAGAGATTAGGGCTTCATAAACATGGATCTGAGAAGTTTTGAATTGTAGGCAGACTTTTGTACACAGCCACGTTTATGTCAAAGATAGAGTCCCTGGGTTACTTTCTTCTGGTTTTCAAAGGAGTCTGTGAATCAAAAGGTATCCAGATGAGAGAGCAGGGAGCTGGGAAGGGGAGCAAAAGCAGAGCCAGTGAATAGCAGATGAAAATACAGGCTGGGGCCTCCTGCTGCTGAGGGGACATAAATAACCTCCTGTTCCACCTGCTTGCCAGTTCTTGAATTATGATCTCTTATCCATGAGGTCTTCATCTAGCCTGGGTTTCCTCCTCTTCCTAGATAGCCTGGAATTCTCTGGAGGCCTGACCCTACATGACTAATATTTCTGTCCTCATTTCCTTATGGGCCTCCCTGTAATGTTATGTTTCCCTCTAACATGAGTATGTGCTGCTTACTGGAAGCACATGAGTGAATTTCTTTGTTTCTTCACCCAAAGAGCCATAGTAACAACTTTTTCTCTATCCACTAGGGAGGGTAACAGCTGTGCCACATGGCTCTGTGTCCCTTTCCCTGGGTGCTCAGTTTTGTGGTCAGTACTTGACCGCAAATAAATGAACCTCTTACCCAAGGTTGAGATGGAGAATGAGGAGGGATAAAGAGCTGGCAAAATATTGTGTAGAAACAGGAATTGATGAGATCAGAATAGATTTTGATCTTTCACAGAGAGTAAAACATTTCATCCTCTGTTTCTAAGGTGGTGTCCTTAGGGTTGTGATGCAGAATTCAGAAGAGTGTTTGATGGACCATGTTTGTGTTGGGCTTGATTTCATATTTAGTGAGATAAATGGCTACATAAAAACATTGACTTAAAACTGACGTGAGCAGATGGTAGAGAATATTCTATTATTTCAAATTTTAAAATAGTGAAACAGATTAATAAGGTCTAGGTTTTCTTCCCTGAGAATTTTAACAAACAAGTATCAGTGACAAACAGAATGTTAGTTGTAGTGAAAGAGGTATACGACTGTCCTATCTAAGAAACAGAGGATGTCTCAGCTGTTTTGGCCTATATCAATGAAAACTGAGATCAAGGTGATGATAATGAGTTGATAGTTTTTTTGTTAGATAGCTAATCATTACTTTTGTGACCTGGAGCTATCCCAGTTTAACTTAATTTGAGCCATAATTTTTCTAGGGACTTGCTGCTTGCATGTTTAGCTACACGGAGTTTTGAACTTGATTTACAAATGAAATTATAGTGAAGGAGGGAAGAGAAGGGAAAGGCCATTGTTATAAAAAATCAGAAAATGTCTATGTTCTTTTTTTGCAAATTCTTCAATAACATTTTTATTAATTTTTTAGGGACCATAATAATAAGCAAAACATAACATCAGAAATGTAGAACTTACTTAAACTAACCAGCTGCACTTCTGTGAATTTCGAGGGAGGAAGAGTTTTTAAGTGCTGCCTGACTACCTTGATAGGCCAGGAATTGGAAGGACTTAAAGGGGGTCTTGGGAGAATAAGGACATCCTCCTCCTCCTTCTTCTCCCCACCCCCCATTTCTCCCTTTGTTGCCATTTATTGATTTTTTAAATTGTAAATTTTCTTCCCATCTGTTTTGGGTAAACAGGAAAGATGATATTTTTCCTGTGTGGTATTTGTGTGCCTCTGTTGTTATAGAGTCAACATACCGTGGCTACATATTTTAGTTAAGAATTTGGGCCAGGTGCAGTGGCTCATGCCTGTAATGTCAGCACTTTGGGAGGCCAAAGCAGGTGGATCGCCTGAGCTTACGAGTTCCAGACTAGCCTGGGCAACATGGCAAAACCCAGTCTCTACAAAAAATACAAAAATTAGTCAGGCGTGGTGTCTCATGCCTGTAGTCCCAGCTACATGGGAGGCTAAGGCAGGAGGATCACTTGAGCCCTGGAGGCAAAGGTTGTAGTGGGCTGAGATAGTGCCCACTATCAGTCTGGGTGACAGAGGGAGACCCTGTCTCAAAAAAAAAAAAAAAAAAAAAAAAAGAATTTGGAATAAGGTTCATAGAAGGGAAATTTCTGCCCTTTCCGTATTCAAGGTCTTATATTCCAGTATAGCACCACGTAGTTACATTGCCCCTAGCTCTCAAGGAAAACACTATGAGAGTGTGATAATAGTTTTTCATATTTTTTTGGATACAGGATTCTAGAAAAAAATGTAGAGACATAGTTAAGTAGTTTTATTGTCTTAATTTAGATTAAATCAGATAAATTCATTCCCAGGAGTTTTGCTGAATTCTTTTTTAGGGTCAGTTTAGTAGGATTGGTGAGTCTTGCATGAGGATCTGGTAAGCAGTTTTACTTGTTTTCCGAGCATGGGGAAAGGTATGGTTTTGTTAATCCAGGTCTGCTTTGGAAACGTCACATTCCCAGACATAGCCCAAGGCCTTCAGTTAGTATTCCAAGTAAGATAATAAAACCAGACAGCTTAGTTTCATATTGTGTTACAATTAATAGCCAAATATTCAAAAAGCCTTCCTTTTTGTTGAACTATTTATTTGTAAATATTTTCAGACTTTCAGAGAAGTTGGAAGGATAAAAATAGTACAAAGAATACCGGTACAGTGTACTCTTTTGTCAGATTTACCTATTGGTAGTATTTTACCCCATTTGCTATATCTGTTGTCATTTTTTTCTCCCTCTTTTCTCCCCCTCTCTCTCCCTGTTTATATACAGATATGTGAATGTATGTTTATATACTTACACATATGCATGCATATTATTTTTTGAACCAGTGGTCCTTTACTCCAGAATACTTTAATTTGTATTTGCCAAGAATGGAGAAATTATCTTATAAATCACATTACAGTTATCAATTTCAGTAAATTTAACAGCAATACAATACTTTATATACTGTTTGTATTCCAGTTTTGTCATTCGACCCATAATGTCCTTTATAACATCAAATGGCAAACTTTATTTTAAAAAATTTGTTTTGGCTGGGCGTGATGGCTCACACGTGTAATTCCACCACTTTGGGAGGCTGAGGTTTGTGGATCTCGAGGTCAGGAGTTCGAGACCAGCCTGGCCAATATGGTGAAACCCCGTCTCTATTAAAAATACAAAAATTAGCTGGGCATGTTGGCATGCACTTGTAGTCCCAGCTGCTCAGGAGGCCGAGACAGGAGAATTGCTTGAATCCTGGAGGTGGAGATTGCAGTGGGCAGAGATTGCACCACTGCACTCCAGCCTGGGCGACACAGTGAGACTCTGTCTCAACAAAAACAAAAAAAAATTTGTTTTAAGTTAGAGTTATATACTAAATGGAGAGATTTTGATTTTGATAGGAGGAAGGTATTGATGTTTCAGTCATACTAGTCATATGTAATATTCCAGAAGAACTTTACTCTTAAAAATACATATTTAGTGGCCGGGCGCGGTGTCTCACGCCTGTAATCCTGTCACTTTGGGAGGCTGAGGCGGGCAGATCACAAGGTCAGGGTATCGAGACCATCCTGGCTAACACGGTGAAACCCCGTCTCTACTAAAAATACAAAAAATTAGCCAGGCATGGTGGCAGTCACCTGTAGTCCCAGCTACTTGAGAGGCTGAGGCAGAAGAATGGCGTGAACCTGGGAGGCAGAGCTTGCAGTGAGCCAAGATTGTGCCACTGCACTCCAGCCTGGGTGACAGAGTGAGACTCCATCTCAAAAAAACAAACAAACAAACAAAAAACATATTTAGCAGTTACCCCGAAAGGCTGAAGAACTTTGAATAGGATTTTTATATCACATGACAGAAAACCAAATAATTTACACATGCTTATTAAGCAAAGGAATAGATATTTAAAGAAAGTATAAAAATTGTTCTGCAGTAAACCTTGTTTTATCCAAAATACGGGCCATACATTCGTAGCAGAGTTGTTCTTTTCAGAATGTCCAGAGCTCTTTTGTGGTTCTTACTGGTTAATTGGACATCACTGGTTCAGCCTTCAGTAAACCTTCCTCACCTGGGCAGAGTGGAGATGTTCAGTGTTGATCTTTCTTGGCATTTCACTGTTGACCACTAACCTCTGGGTGCATTGTTTTTTTTTTTGTTTTGTTTTGTTTTGTTTTTTGTGGCTTTCCAAATTGCACACACTCCTGGTTTCCCTCACGATTCTCTGACTGCACTTTTTCATCTTCACCAGCCCTTCTTCTGTTTGCCCCTTGAATGTTGAATGTCCCAGTCTCTTCCACCTCATTGCATAACTTTTTTTCTTGATGTGTAAGTCCCTAAGTGCCTTTTGGATGTCCAGGACATCAAAACTATCTTTTTAATAATACTGTGTTATTTGCCCTTTTCCCTGTTGACATTTGCATTAATTATACAAAAGCAACTGTGATGGAAAACTGCTAGCGTCTTAGCACGAATCAAGGCATGGAAACATACCAGTAGCTGCGGTGCACTCGCAGTAAAAATAATGCCAGTTTTACTTAAGAATGTTCTTGATGAAACAATAAAGATTATTTAATTATAAGTACATGTGTTTTTTCCCCCATATTCAGTGTGATGAAATGGGTAGTATATGTAAAGTGCTTGTGCTGCATCCCAAAGTACAAAAGCTGTCTCAGGAAAAACACTCGTGTAGCTGAGTTGTATGCTAAACTGTAAACCAGCTGCTCTTGTCATTGGGTGCTTTTTTTTTTTTACTTGAAAAAACAACTGACTTGGTTATTCAGACCTGGCTATTTGAGAGACATTTTCTCAAAACGAATGTAGCAAACTTGTCACTTCAAGGAAAACAGCTGACACTGTTTGTTGCCAGTGATAAAATTCAAGCTGTCAAGTAAAAATGACAGTTTTGGAAAACTTGTGTTCATCACTATGGACCTAATCGTTTCTAGTACTTAAAGAATTCTCTGATGAGATCAGTGGTGATGCTAGAAAACATGATTGATAATTGGCCATTGAAACATGTCAACATTTGGGAGATCTGCCTAACTCAGTGAATCAGTACTTTCAAAATAACTGATGTATTATGTTACAGATCATAAATGGGTGAAAAATCAAAGTGCAAGATACATCAAAAGAGTTTAGTATTCTATAGAGTAGAAAAAGTTCAGAGATACGACTTTGGATTTCACATTGGGAATAACCTTTAAGAAATTACTTGTGGAAACTGCTAGTGCGATTTTGGTGTAGTATCAAAGATTACTCACAGTTACATGAAAAGGCTGCTAAGTACTGCTTCCTTTCCCAACCGTATCATATATTTGTATGAATTTTCCCACACACATAGTGTAATGGGCATTTTTTATTAATTCACCACTGTTAGCCCTGTTCACTTAAAATAAGGTGGCTTTTGCTATAAATTATTCTATAATATTTATAGTTGAAGATATCAAGCAAGTTGTGATTAATAGGTCTAACAAGTGGATATTGCCGGATAGTTTACAACCTTTAATCTTTGCATATGAGTGGAGTTTGAGAATGTGTGCTCAGATGCTTCCACGGTTGCCACTGAAGAGTTAAATCACGAGCTATATTAATTTGCCTCACTCTTCCAGTCCTCCTCGATCCTGGGATCTTGCTGTCGAACCCCATCTTCTGTTAGTGTTCCTGTTGCTTGAGCTGTAACCTGCTGTTGCTGTCTACTTCATGGACTGCTTTTCATTGTTTCCTGGAACCCTCTCTAAATCTTGCCCAGCTTGATATGTGTACTTTCCATATCTGGTCATCCAAAGTCCGGATTCTTTGTCACAGATCAAACCCTGATTTTGACAGTGGGTTTAAAAACATGGCTGTTTTATATATTTAATTTGAGAAACATTCGTACATCTACAAATTCACAGTAATAGAGGAGTTTTAAATAAATCCTTATTGAAATATACTATACGTGTAGAAAGGTTTACAGATGTGTAGATCCCCACAAATACCACAAGATAAACAGACCCTTGAGCCCCCAATTGTCTCCTGGAAATCGGCATTTCTCTCTCTCCCTCTGGCAATTACATTTTTTTACAGTAAGAGTCGGCAAACTTTTTCTGTAGGGGGCCAGATAGTAAATACTTCAGGCTCTGCAGCCACAGGCAGTGTGTGAACAAATGGGCATAGCTGTGTTCCAGTGAAACTTTCTCTATGGACATTGAAATTTTAATGTCATGTAATTTTCACATCACAAAGTGTTCTTTTGATATGTTTTCAACCATTGAAAAATGTAAAACCCATTTTTAGTTTGTGGGCCATAATAAACAAGCAGCAGACCAAATTTGGCCCATGGGCCATAGCTTGCTGACCCCCACTTTACAGTATGCCACTCACCCACTCTTTTGCTTACTCTGCTGCTAGTTCAGCCTATACAATAAGTTAACATCTAAATTAATTTATTGAATATCTAAATTAATAAATAGTCTAAGTCAGTGTCATCACGTGCATCATCTAGTGCATTATAGCCATTCTCCTCCAATCACAAAGATCAGCTATAATATAAGTACAGTTTGCTATGTGAAGTTCAATAATAAAGTTGCCCTGGTGTCTCTAGAACATGTATTACCAAACTGGGATACAAATGTTAAAATGGACTCCTACTTACATAAATGAAACTTATACTCTATGAAGTAATAAACCGTGAGTTCTTCCATGTGATTTACAAACTAAATGTAATGGCGATTGTTTGATTACCTTTGGTTACTCTTCCTTTCTTTTTGAATTTAACTTCTCAGATTCTTAGCCAATGTTCAATCATTCTAAATTTAAAGGATTATATAGTGTAGTTTTTCAGTCAGGAAATAACTCTGTTGTGAGTGCTTTGAAGTATTGCTAAAAGTCTTTATTGTCACCTGCGTGATATCTTGGGAAAGCAAATATTTAATTCAGCTAGCTTTTACTGAGGCCTGCTCTGTGTGAGGTACTTGGAGGACCTGCCTTAAGTCACTCTTTTGGTACTGATGACTTAGACATAGGCCCTGTCTTCAGGGAGCTCTTGGAGAGGATCAACATTAGAAAAATATCTTGCACGGTCAAACTGGTAAGTTCTAGAAAAAAGGAACAAAATTCTGTGGGAGCACAAATGCATGCTGGTAGGAGGGAAGAGAGGAGTATGTATTCATTGAATCTGACTTTTTCTCCTAAATTTTAAAAATGTCAAACCTGCAGAAAACTTGAAAGAACAGCATAATGAACACCCGTGTACGTTCACCTGAAGTCACCAGTTAACAACATCTGGCACATTGCTTTATCTTTGTATGTGTTGCATACTTAATAAGTGTATGTAGGTGTGTATTTTCTCTGCTAAACCATTTAAAGTAGGTTTCAAACATCAAGACATTTCACCCCCAAGTACATCAGCTTGGATCTGAGAACAAGGATATTCTCACACCTAACTGCAACATCATTGTCATTCTCAAGAGATTCTAATATTCTTACAGTAATATCATCAAATAGATAGTTCATGTTGAAATTTTCCAGTTGTCCTGATAGTGTATTTTATTCTTTCCCCCCCTCAATCCTGGGTTTAATCAAGGATTATGTATTTCATTTGTTATGGGTTTTTTGGGGGTGGGGGAGTCAGGGTCTCACTCGGTCACCCAGACTAAAGTACAGTGGTGTGAATACAGCTAACTGCAGGGTCAACTTCCCAGGCTCAAGTGATCTTCCCACTTCAGCCCCTCAAGTAGCTGGGAGTGCAGGCATGCTCCATCACATCTGGCTAATTTTTATATTTTTTGGTGGAGACAGGGTTTCACCATGTTGGCCAGATTGGTCTCGAACTCCTGAGCTTAAGCCATCCACCCACCCTGGCCTCCCAAGATACTAGGATTTACAGGCATAAGCCACTGCGTCCAACCTGCTATGGTTTTTTAAAGTATCATTTGAGTTTCCTTTTTATGGTTTCATGACATCAACAGTTTTGAAGAGTTTAGTCTCCTGTAATTTGAATTTGTCTGGTTGTTTCTTTATAATTTTATTAAGTTTACTCACTTTTGCGGGAATACTACCCATGTGATGCTGTGTCAGTCTCAGGACATCACATTAGGAGTCCCTTACTGTCATTTTGTCCAAGTATTGGTGATAGTAAGTTTGCTCACTTGGTTAAGGTGACATCTACCAGACTCTCCACTGTAAAGCTGCTTTTTTCCTTTGACTTACTAAATGTATAATATAAATAGTCATATAGTGGTCTGCGGGGCTAGACTTGGAGACTGAATATCTTGTTGCCCACAATCTTTTGCCAGTGGTAGGTTCTTTTTGTTTTTGACAGTTTCTTGCAAACGTTAAGGATTTTAAAAACATTCTGTGATTCCAATTGTTTGTAAATATTTAAAATATAAATATGTATGCATTCTTTTAATGAAAAGCTGCTGACAGTTGAACTGTAAATACATTTCTTTATACAATTTAAACATTTTAAAGTATTAGTACCATTTTAGCAGAGTTAAGATCTCGTTCTCAGACACGAGAGCTGCGTTCAAATCTTGATTTTATGCTTTATTGTATGTATGTACAGCCATTATAAGACTCAATCTCTTTATCTGTAAAATAGGGATAATCACCACCACTCCTTATGGGATAATTGTGGAGATTAATGAGGTAGCTCATGTAAAGCAGTTAGGATAGTGCTCAGCTTATAGTAACTACTCAATAAATACTAGCTTATTGTTGCTTCAATTAATACCAAAATTGACTTAATTATATATTAGTATAATCTTTACTAAAAGTTAGTAACTTCAAGTTGTAGAAAGAAAAAATTAAACGTTTGTTTATTATTTTATTCAAATTTCATGCTCATAGTACATTTGGTTTATTCTAGATTTTTATATGCCCTACAATTACAGCTAGATATTTTTGCTAAAAGTACTTTGGAAGGGTTACTTTTAATTGTCTTGTGTGATTCTTTGCAGTCATAGTGTAAGTGCTTCCTGCTGTTATTGCGGAAAGAGAAGACTCAGATGCTTGTAAATCATACACTTCCCAAAGACTAAAGTTAACTGGTACAGGCTTTACATATTTATTTAGCGATAGATTTTCATATCTGTTGCTCACAAACACACAGTGGAGTCTGCAGAGAGTTAAAACTCCCTTAATAAATAGTCTCTGTGAAGATAAAAAGAAGTTAGTAAGCATGGAGGCTATCATAAACTGCTATGGTTGTGTTGGAAGCTCTCAGGAGACAATTGAGCTCCCACTGGCCAAAATGTGGACAGTTTGAGCTTCAAAAGGATAACAGTAGTAGATTCAAACACATTATATATCTTCAGACTTACGAGCTTATAGTGCAAAAAAAAAAAAAAAAAGTTGCTAGAATGTGTGCTGCGTACCACATTGTATTACTCAGACACTCATCACCAGAAGCTGATAGCTCAACAGCTGATGGATCACCAGCCTGTGCTCAACAGCTTCCAAACATACTCAATGCTCCAAACATTTACGCCCAAAAGTATAATCATCTCTATGACTAATACCATAATTTCAGGCTCTCCGTAATAGTAACTTGTCAAAATTATACTTTTCCCACATCTGGAAGTTGTAGATTTCAGCTTCAATTTTATTAAACTATTTTCAGAGAGTTCTGATGTGGTAAACTGATAATTATGCTATTTCGGTATCTCTAAATTGTTATTGTTTGGTGATGATTGGCTCCTTAAAATTTTAAGGACATACATTTTTGGTGTAAAGTCCAAGATAGGTGCCATTGTAGAAGAACTTTATTTTAATGGTATAGTCATTGAATGAAGAACTAAGGGTTCTCAAGTTATCATTCAAAATTCCCTGGTGTTTGTAACATAATACTTTCTCCACAATAATTTAAAATTCTGTGAAATTGACTTGACTTTCTCACCTGTAAATAACTATGTTTAAGTTAAAAATGGTCATGTTTATCATGGTTACATGACTGATCATTTTTAGAAAGGGAGGAAATAATCTTGAACTTGCTACTAAAGTGTAGGCACTACACAAAAGCTGTTACATTAACTTTCTACCAAGTCCTTCCTTGCAGAAACACACAGAATACTGATGGCATCCAAGGGGACAGGATGTAAATTCTACCAGAACCCCTACTGCTGCACAGTGGAGGGAGGAAAGGTTATCCTTAAACTTGAAGCATTTAAGTCATTTGTGATGAATTTTCCATCAGGCCGAAAAAAAGGAATGATTACCAAAGATTACACCCCTGGGATAAATATGAGGTTAAAGCTAACTTCTTATTCCCCTCAGGGGTGTAATTAAACAGACCTTTATGATTAAGGCTTTCAGGCACTGAAAAATGTTTTCTGTTTTCATATTCTGGAAAAAATCATGGCTCCAGATAGAGATATGATTAGTTAGAGACAGCTTACTGACTTTATTAAAGCCGTGTATTTGTAGGAAACTGTTTTTTAGCATTGTTTGATTCAGGGCATATACATTTTAAAAAGAATGTTGAAAAATAAAACCAATTTGTTTCTGAGGGGACAGATCCTAAATGATTCTAATTAGGCAGATCTTTATAAACAGGAACATAGGACATTGCTGACACAATTTAGGTGTTCATACTTATTTCTGATTTTAGGTTGGGAATTTTAACAGAAAAAGAATATTAAGATTGTGGTTCTAATCTTGGTTTTGCCAGTAATTAGCCTTGATCAAGTCACTTAACTTTTCTATATCCCTCCCTCCTCCTTTTAAAACATATTTAAATGCAACTAGGGAAGTCTGAGGTCCAATTTTAAGATTCTGTGGTTCTCTCTTTTTAAGAAATACGATTGGACAGAAATCAGCTTAACTGAATAAGTATTTATTGAGAATTCGGTCCATACAAGGAATTCTTCATATGCATAGGGAACGTAAAGAAATTGATGTACTCCCAGCTCTTAGGAAACTCCAAGTTTGAATTTTAGGTCAGGGGGTGGAAGGGGAGGGGTGATGTAAAAATAAGAGAAACACAGCATATAAGCAGACAACTCCAATAGATTGTATTAAGTTCTAGAATAGGCCTCTGTGGAAATCTAGATATCTCCTAAAGACGTCAACGCTGACCCTTCCAATCTAAATTAGATTTCCCCATTGTATTGGTATGCTTTTTCTTCATAGCATTTATCATACTTTGTAATAACATTTCTGTATGATTATTTCCTTAAAGTTTGTCTCCCCTTTTGGACTAGAAAGTCCCTGAGAACTGAACCTGGCAGTGCTGTTGTTCACCATGGCATGCCCAGGACCTTGCTAAGGACCATGCTTAAGTCCTTAGTATGGAACGTGGAAGACGGTAGGCATTTAATAATGAGTCATTGAATGCAGGACTGGCAGCACAGGGGATGGTTCAGCCTGGGGATGGGAGCAGTGGGTGGTGAGGTGAAGCAGAGTCGAAGGAAAGCTTGGTAAAGTAAGAGTAGGCAGTTTTTAGGTTGGGTCTCAAAAACGGAGTAGGGGCCAGGTGCGGTGGCTCACGCCTGTAATCCCAGCACTTTGGGAGACTGAGGCCAGCAGATCACCTCAGGTCTTGAGTTCGAGAGTAGCCTGGTCAACATGGTGAAACCCTGTCTCTACTAAAAATATAAAAATTAGCCAGACGTGGTGGTGGGCGCCTGTAATCCCAGCAACTCGGGAGGCTGAGGCAGGAGAATCACTTGAACCTAGGAGGCGGAGGTTGCAGTGGGCCAAGATGGTGCCACTGCACTCCAACCTGGGCAACAGTGCAAGATTCTCTTAAAAAAAAAAAAAAGTGGAGTAGACATTGAGACCAAATGGGTAGCCTTGCCAGGCAGAAGATAGCCTGTGAGTACCCCGGGGTGAGTGAGTTAAAGGTAAGAAAGTAGACTGAAAGCAAATCTTGTGCCATGGACTCAGATACATGGTACAGGTTATCTCTCGACTGGAGAGCTTTGGCAAAAGGGCTGTGAATCCATTTGCACGCAGTGGATATAGACTAAGGGCACACACTTGTGAGTATAGTACTATTATTATTTTACAAACACAGATTCTATTGGGATTTGTAATATCCAGACTCATTTAAGAGCATTCATGAATTTTTAGTGATTTATCTCATTGTAATTTCTCATCAACTGTAACTAAAATTACAAAAGGCCCATGTTTTTTTTTTTTTTTAACTTTAAAAAGGGATCTTCCTACTTTCCTTATAGATATTGGAGAGCCAGTAAGAGGTTTTAAGTAGGGAACTTACATGATCAGTTCTCTCTAGCAGGAGTAGGAGGATGGATGAATTCAAAGGAGAAAACTTGGAGTCAGCCCCCTCACTCTTGTCTAGGTGAGGGTGGCCTCAGCTAGGGTAATGGCAGAACCAGTGATTCTAAGTGCTGTTTTCCAAGAAAGAGCCTTAAAAAAGCAAATAAACACCTAAATTGGTTCTTCTTACAAACATGGTGAATGCCAAATTTATATATAGACACATATATGAATATTCATATGCATATTTAATCTTTAACAGAAACTAAAGAGGCTTAGAGTTTTTCTTTCTCTCTTTATATTATCTTCTTTGTCTTCATCTTTCATTCTATGTCTTATTTTAAAAATCCTTTTCAACTTACGACCCTTCAGTTTGAAATTAAATTTGGGCCGTAAGTTGACTCCTTGAATCTTTGCTTCACAAGGTTTCTTTGTCTTTTTTAGAAGAAAAAAGATTAACTCAGGGTTTCCAAAATAAAAGCAAAGATTGTGATTAAAACTGAATTAGAATCTTGATTCTCTGTTATTTGCTAATAGTAAAATAAATAGCTCAGTCTTAAAGAAGCTTTAAAGTAAGTCCCGGAGCCTTTGAGAACGCTTGGATTTTAATTAAAGAAATACAGAATACCGTCACTTTCTGTTTGTCAGTGGAAAAAATATGTATTTTTAAATTTTCAAAGCTTAGCCTAGCAGCACATGGAGTACATCTGTTGGCTTTCAGAATTTGGGGAACACAAATGGATTCAGATGTTTAGGTCCTTTGTCTTTACTGGTCTCAGCTCACCTCGCCAACTGAGCATGGCACAATCCAAACACAGTTTTTGAAAACAGAGCAGCTAGAGTTACTTCTAAAGCACTCTCTTGGGGACTGATAAAGTCAATCTCTGTTTATGTAATGAAATCAGGGAGCAAGGGGTCTGCTGTAGTACTTTGTGGATGGGATTCCACTGGTGTTGTCTTTCAGGGGAAAGACTGGGTTTAATAAGCCTTTATTCTTACTCATTTTCTCTGGGGGTACAGCCCACTCTAATGAATTATTTTGAACTACTTTTGTTTATGTACTGTTAGAGCATCTCTTTAAGCAGTCGGTTTTAGTACAATCAATAGATTTATTGTAGAAAATTGGGATACTAGTGTCAACTTTACATGATAAAAGACTTAAACTTTATCTAGTTAATTTTTTTGTTGTTGTTCAGTGCTACTAATGTTCAGTGGCTGTGTGTGTGTGTATTTAAATAATATTGTCTTTTTGGTGTACTTACATTTTAATTTAACTTGAACTTTCAAAATAGACTGCTGGTTTAGCCTCTTTTCAAATATAAAATCCTTCCTATTCTTCAAAATATTTATAAAGTATTCTTGAGAGTGAAATCTCATAAAGATCTTTGGTGCAGGACCAGAGTTCAAAGGAAAGTTCGTTTGGTTTTGATTTGAAAACTGTAAAAACAAAGTGCCATCAAAATGGCAGGGCGTGAATTGGTAACTTCAATTTTATTGCAATCGGCCAAGCCCATCCCCAGATGTTTCCAATTAAAAGCCAAGAATGCTAACTTGGTTGAATATCATATGAAAGTATTTCTTTTCTGATTTTTTTTGTCTGAGAAAAATAACAAAGTCTCAAATGCTTTAACTCTAATTAAAGAAATAATTTCTCATTTGCATGTTTAAACTTAAAAAATAGTATAATATTTAAAGAGAATTCTTACATGTCACATTAGTAAACCTGTGTAGTTCTGAATACATAGGGCTTCACATCCGTCTTCTTATAAAGGCCAAAGGAAAAAGAAAGATTTTTAAAAAGATGTTAAAGCCCTTTAAAATTAAAATCACATATTTCTGGATTTACTATCGTAATCAAAGAGTGGACCTTTTAACACAGGATTTGTTTAAAAAGGGGTTGTTAGTAACTTCAGTGCATTTTTCAGTATTGTTATAGGGAATTTTCCATTATAATGTAAATAATAGGTTTTTCTTTTATTTCTGATGAATTGTATATTCAATTGTAAGAAGTACTTCTGTGGAAATCTAGGAAGATAGGAAGATGTAATCAGATAAAAGAAACCATAATGTAATTTAAAAACCATGAGTTTTATAATATTTCTCCAGCTAATACCAAGACACTTACTGGCAATAAATTTGAATTTATGGAAATTGGCATTTGTTCAGAGAGAAGATGGAGTTACTCTTTATAACTAATCTAACGTTAACATTTTGGATATAAATTTAAGTTTGAAGCTTCCTGAAACTGTAGACACAGGACCACATGCTAGCTGCAAAGATGAAACAGTTGTTTCTCATTTCATCTCCTGTTTGGTGAAATTTTGATGGACAGGTATTTGAGAGCTCAGGAGGGAGACAGCTGTATGGGTCTTGGATCTGTATTTGCTATTGGTGAGTGCCTGTTTTTTTTTTTGTTTTCCTAAACATGGTGCTACTTGGCCTGTAAGACATATTGCAGGAGGGACCTGTTCTGAGGAAGCTCCAGCTGCTGCTTCAGAGAAAGCTGATTCTTTCACCTGTGCATTCTACCACAGCTTGTTGACAGCTCTTGTTGCTGTCCTCAGTATTGCTGGCTGCTCCAGCTCCTTCGTGCTTCTGTAGCAGCCTGTGCCCACCACCCGTTCTTGATCATGGCTGTGAACGTTATTGGGGCCAACTGCCTCCTCTTCCCCAGCAGAGAATGAGCACCTCACAAGGCTTTTTTCGTCTTTTCCTCCTTGATGTCAAGCGGAGTCCCTGTGTATATTGAACTGAGTTGTGATTTTTAAGGTTTTCGGAAGTTATTTTGAAAATACATTTAAAAATTGTGCTTTTGTTTTTTTAAGGTTTAGGCAGGAAATGAGAATAGGAATAGAGTCTAGCTCTCAGTTCATCACTACTATTTTATCATCTTATTGTTTTATCTATACAGTAGAAGTAATGTCTGTCTTCATTACCTTTTTTTTTTTTTTTCTTGAGACAGAGTCTTACTCTGTCACCCAGGCTGGAATGCAGTGGCACGATCTTGGCTCACTACAAACTCCACCTTCTGGGTTCAGGTGATCCTCCTGCCTTAGCCTCCTGAGTAGCTGGGACCACAGGCGTGTGTCACCACGCCCAACAATTTTTGTATTTTTAGTAGAGAAGGGGTTTCACCATGTTGGTCAGGCTGATCTCGAATTCCTGACCTCAAGTAATCCACCCATTTCTGCCTCCCAAAGTGCTGGGATTACAGGCGTGAGCCACTGCACCCGGCCTGTCTTCATTACTTTTTAAAGTTATTGTGAGATTTAACTCAGACAATGTGCAGAATTATTATGAGGACTATGTTCTTAACAAATACAGAGAGAAGTAATTATTGTCTTTGTTGTTACCCACCAAAGTGGCATTGTTCAACTCTCCTAACAGATGAAGAGGCCCTTTCAGAAGTTGCCTTTCCTTCTCTTTTTTAAAGTGAAAATTAATATGAAAAGCTGTACATCTCTTTTGAGATAAATTTATTTCATTGGCATATACTTTCAATTCAAAAAAACTTTAAATTGACATGAGCCAGTAGTTTCTAACCTTCTTGAGTATGAAAACCCCCTTTTTAATTTCAGTAACTCTTATAGCCCCTGTCTTGATTATGTCCTTGTAATTCTAGCATTTGGTGATAATTCACTGAATTCCCAAAGGTTGAGAACTATTCTTATATAATAAGAACATGTGGGAGCCACATCATAAATACAAATTCAGCAAATACTGCTTCATGCATGCCATGTTAATGAGCAAGGCAGAAGGTGTTAAAGTAATGTCCACTGTTTAGAAAGTGGAAGTAGAAATGGTATAGGTGGAGTGTACTATGGTCGTTGTTCATTCACCCAGTAGTTATTTACTGGGCAGGTTTTGGAACACATTAGTGATCAAGTTAGACTAAAATCCCTGACTCTACATTCTAACAAGTAGTTTTCTATAGATATAAATAAATAAGGAAATTAACAAGACGGTTAGACAGTGATAAGCCCCATGGAAGTAAAACGGTAGGGAGGATAGGTGGGCTTCATTGAGAATGTGACGTTGAGCAAAAACTTAAAGTAGCTGTGACCAGAAGAGAGAACAGTCAGTGAGAATCTCTGAGGTGGGAGCAGGCCTAGCATGTGCAAGGGACCGCAAGGAAGCCAGTGTGGCGAAGGTGACATGATGGAGGAGGATAAAGCGGTAGACGACCAGTCTGAAGGGTAACATGGGCCGTGCCACTCAGGGCCTTATAGGCTGTGCCATGTCTTCGTATTTTTTTTTTTTTTTTACTCCCACTCAAATAGGAAGTGTGGTATGTGAGGAAATATTCTATTTTTAAATGGATAGTCAGCACAATAATGGTTGCTAGGGGCTAGGGGGCAAGGGGATGTGGAGTGACTGCTAATGGGTACTGGGTTTCTTTGGGGATGATGAAAATGTTTTGGAATCTGATAGTGGTGATGCTTGTACAACCTTATGAAAACAAAAAGTGCTGAATTGTACAATTTAAAAGGGTGAATTTAATGGTATATGAATTACATCAATGAAAACATTGCAAAAAAATGGATCACTAGGGCTTGCTGGAAACATTTTTTGCTCCTCCTCTGTATCAGTTTATAACTTTCGCCTTTGAAAATTCAGATTTCTAACTAGTTACAGTTTAACTGAGGGAAAGTCTCTTAGTGTTGTTTGCTGTGTTTTAATTAGAAGTAAAAGACGTTCGTCGACTTTAAAGTATCTCTGCTGAAATTATTACTAATTGTGAAATCCAATTTTTCCACGTACATATGTCCTTTTATACTTGTGTTCATTGTTATCCAGTAAGATATGATAGTGAGATAACTTTTAACCTCTGGCTATCAAAATGATTTTAATTTTTAGGCTGAATTCTGTTACATTTTGTTAAACTAAGATATTTTCCATGTATTTATTTTGCGATTCTTTTATAGGGTAAGAAATTGGATCAATATGATAATGCTCTTCAAATTATAGGCTAAAGCATGCAAGTGAGAAGAATGCCTTTGTTCATTCCATTAACCAAAAACCAAAAGTATATGATCTCCTCTTCCAGAAGACACAGTCTTTTTTAATAGAAATAGAGCAGGAAGTGCATTTAGCTAGGGTGTTTTTCTTCTCCTTTCAATGTTTTAGATTTAACTTTGGCATTTCCTAGATTTTCATTCTATGACAACCTAGTAAAATTAATTGAAATATTATGAGGCCATATTTTAATTTTTTTAATTGAGTCTTACAAGTAGTCTAAGTGGTTTTCATCAAAGAAAAAGACCATTGAATATTACAGCTCTACTTTGTGTAAAACATTAACTCTTCTGTGGTAACTGAAAATATAGACGTGCATAGGTAGTTTGTTTCATTTTGTTTTTGAGTTTTGTTTTCCAGTTCTAAAACAGTTTGTAAATAGTTGCAGAAGTTAAAATCGTTTGGTGAAGTCAGGAATCATAGGATTTGCTGAACTTTTCCCTTTGACGGCTTTGAACTGAGTGATGATCCCTCACCAAAAAAATGTTTAATTAATAATAAAAAGTAAGCATCCTTTCTCTATGTTTAGTATTTTTAAACGTTATTTTTTAACTTTTTCAGGCATCTTATCTTGAACTATGTTATCCTCTGTGGTAGCCTTCCCTCTTGAAATAGGTGCCCTTGCTTGGTAAGATTTCCTTTTGTTCTTGTTGGACGGCTGAATTTCTGAGGACTTGCAAAGGATGTCTAGCAGTCATCTTCTAAAATTGTGGATTGAAAGAACTCTCCAAAAAACTGTGAGAGAAGCCCTGTCAGACCAATTACATTTTCAAAATTTTGAGTACTTAGAAAATCTGTGGTAACTCATTTCTTCTTATTTACAAAAAGTCAGCACCCTAGGAAAGAATTAATCTGCTTTTACCTCTTTGTTCCAATCTGAATGAATGTACTTAGAGGTTGATTAAATATTTTTTCTTCTGACCATGGGAAACTATGTCCAAATCCTTAAGTAATTACATTCTTCATACAAACATTTCTCATTTTCTTATACTAGCTGAAGAGGCAGGGTAGCTTTCAACCCCCTGTGTTTTCGTTTGTGTGATGGTGACTTTGAATTGAGCTTTAAGCACTTTGGTCATTTAACTCTCGACCAGCTTAGTTTAGAAAGCATAACATTTCAAAGTGGTTTATTTCATAAATCTCAATTCTTTGACGGCTTGTGAGAATATCTGAAACACTGAAATGAGCCTGTACTTAGAAGAAAAATAATGTTTTAACCTAGTCTAAAAACGTGATTTCAGATGATGAGCAGAAGTTAAAATGTATGCATTTATGGTCTTCGAGTGAGATAAACTGAGTATTTAAAGAGTTAAAAAGTGAAATATCATTGTATGAGCAGGTGTTACCTTCTTAGAGCACTGTGAAAATTTAGAAACTTGGGACAGTTGTACACTGTCATATTTTTTATGTTTTATGCATACTTCATCTTTATCCAGCTTTATCACTCCCAGTAGGTTGTGAATTATCGAGAGGCATGCATTTGTTCATCTTTTTGTTCCAGCCTTTAGTGCCTGTTACATAGTGAGGATTTATGTAATGTTCATTGACTAAATATTCTTTTTTTAAAAAATTTTTATTTTTATTTTTTTTGAGACAGAGACTCACTCCATTGCCCAGGCTGGAGTGCAGAGGTGCGATCTTGGCTCACTGTAACCTCTGCTTCCGGGGCTCAAGCGATTGTTGTGCCTCAGCCTCCAGAGGAGCTGGGATTATAGGCACGTATCACCATGCCCGGCTAACTTTTATATTTTTAGTAGAGATGGGGTTTCGCCATGTTGGCCAGGCTGGTCTCAAACTCTTGGCCTCAAGTGATCTGCCTGCCTCGGCCTCCCACGGTACTGGGATTACAGGCATGAACTACCGCCCCCAGCCGACTAAATGTTCTTGATGGTCAGCATCGTTGTTAAATCTAGGCACTGGATTCAGGTGGCTGTTGATGAATCTGCGTATCCGCAAGGTTTATGTTATGAAGGAAAACAGGCTCTGTTTTAACCTTAAGGACTCAAAAGTTGATGTCCGATCACCCCCATCTCCACCCTCGATATTTGTCCTGTGCTTTTTTTGCCAGTGAGCATTCAGTTCCACCTTATATTAGAAAATGGGGCCATTCGTATGTTTAAGGTCTTATGTTGTTTTTTGAGATGATACATATGTTCTTTTTTTTTTTTTTTTTTTTACCAGACATTCTTGGTATTCTCTTCTCCTTTTTTTTTTTTTTTTTTTTTTTGGAGACAGGGTCTTTGTCACCTGATCTGGAGTGCAGTGACACAATCACTGCTGACTATTGCCTCTACCCTCTACCCTCCTGGGCTCAAGAGATATTCCCACCTCAGCCTCCCAAATAGCTGGGACTATAGGTGTGCACCACCATGCCCAGCTAATTAAAAAATTTTTTTGTAGAGATGGGGTCTCACTGTGTTGCCCAGCCTGGGTATTCTCTTCTTTTATGTTCTGCTGTCACAAAGATCAAGATATGCTATTCCATTTTTATTAGTGTTTCCTTATTCATGTTGGTAATATTTTTGTACCAAATTCAGAATCCTAGAACAATTAAGTAAAATGAGCCAGAAAATTCTACAAATGAAGAGTGATGAGGGGGAATTAAATCTCCAAGATGTTAAAATATAATATAAAGCTTTAATAGTTAAAACTATGTGGTACTGGTACTTGATAAGACAGGTCAGTATAACAGGATACGTAGAAAGTCTTGAAAGAGATTTCCCTATATATGGGAATTCAGTAAGTTACCAAATTAGCAGGGGAAATGAAGATTGTTTTAAAAATGATGCTGAGGTCACTGAATAAACATTTGAAAGAAATTAAGTTGGATTCTTTTTGTATACCTTATATCACAATAAATTCCAGATGGAGCATAAATGTAAATGTAATATTATGAAACCATGAAAGTACTAGAAAAAATATGAAAGTATGCTTTCATAACCTTGAAAGTGAGGGTGGCCGTCTTAATTATTGTGTAAACCCAGAGCCCATTTTTAAAAATTATCGATTTGACCACACATCAGATTTTCATATGGCGTAAGAGTATGGCATAGAAAGTCAGAAGATATATAAACTTGGAAAAGATTTGTGACATATTTTACAAACCAAGGGCTTAATATATAAAGAGTTCTTAATATATAAAGAATTGTTTAATAAGGAAAGGCCAGCAATTTAACAATAAAATGGGCCAACTTTATGAAAAAGAAAAATGCAAATTCCTCTAAATATATGAAGATACATAATGCTAATTAAAACCACATGAAATGTCATTTTTTAGAACAGCAAAGATGGAAAGTTTTGGTAGTATACTATCTTGGTAAGGATGTGAGGGAAATCAACTTGGGAGCATAATGTTGCTGATGAGAATGTAAAATGGCACAACTTCTGTGGAAAGTCATTTGACACTATAAAAGTTAAAACCCTTTTACCCAACATTCCCAGTTGAAGGAATTTATCCTAGGCATATTCACAAATGATATGTACAAGAATATTTATATTTTATCAAGTGTTTCACCATTTTAAACCAACAATATGTAAGTTCTAATTAGTCCAAATCCTTACCAAAACTTGTTTCTTCCGTCTTTTTAAAATTTAGCCATTCTAGTGGACATGCAGTGATAATGATAATTTGTTATGGTTTTAATTTGCATTTCTGGTAACTGACAACGTTGAACATCTCTTCACATGCTTATTAGGCATTCATATATCTTTGGTGAAGTGCTTAAGTGATTTGCCTTTTTTAAAAAAATGCATTGTGTTCTTATTATTGAGTTGTTATAATTCTTTATATATTCCGGATACAAGTCTGTTTTTAAATATATGTTTTGTCAAAATTTTCTCCCAGTTTTTGGCTTTCCTATTTATTTTCCTAGTAGTTTTTTTGAAGATAATTTTGAGGAAGTATAGTTCATCAGTTTTCTTCCTCTATGGTTGGTTCATTTTGTTTACAAAAGAAAACTTCTATACTCCCAGGTCAAGAAAATTTAGTCCTTTTTTTTCCCCAGAAGTTTTATATCTTTAGCTTTTATATTTAGCCTTTTTTCCGTCAGATTTGCAAAGTGATCTATCACCAAGAAGGAAAAAACAGACTTAGAAGCACAGCTTTAGGATGCTGTCTAGTTTTCTGATTCATGTCCTTTCCCCCAGTAAAACAGTTTCTGAGTTAATGGAGATAATGCCATTGTTTTTGATAAGATAGATAGCAGTGAAATATCTGGCTTTATTACACTTCCTAAGTAAATCCTCAATTCATTCCTAATTCTGTGTTTGAATATTATTAGATGCGTCTGTAGACCACCTGGAGCTGCCCGTGGTAGATGGCCTTCTACTGCTGTAGGGCAGTGAGGCAGCAACAGTGCAGTGAACCAGCAACAGTGCAGTGAGCACTCCAGGAAAGCTGAGTCAGAGACCTGACTTCTGGTCTTCACCCTGTTATCTGCTCCTATTGGAATAGAACAAAACTCTCCCTCTTATCCAACAAGCCTTCCCATTTCATCTAGAAGAAAATTCCAAACATCTGACTGCTGCCCAGAATGTCCCCCAGAATCTGATCCATCCCACTGTTCCATCGCTGTGGTGCCCTGCCATTTCCTGTTCCTTGGAGTTTTCTACTTGGCCCAACTCTGTGTCTTTGTTTATGCCGTTCCCTTTATCTAGATTGTTCTCATTTCTTTTCATCCTACCCTAGGCTTAATTCAGTCAGTCTTAAGTCCTCAATAAAACCCCATATCCTCCTTGAACCCTCTCCCAGCCACTCAAACAGGAAAGAATGTTTCCTCACATTTTGTGGATGTATAGCCTCTCTTTTTGGCTTCCAGACTTCTGAATGCTTTGCGAGCTAATAGGACGTGGTGTTCATTTTGTATCTATGCTTCATATGGTGACTCACACAGCACCTGGTATAGAGCCTTTCCGTCGAACAGAATCACTGCCGAGCTCTTAGGCTGTATTCTTTGTAATGAGTTTTGCACTGGTGTTTTTCAAACTCTATGGTGTAACTCATTTGTTGCTTGTAAAAGCAGTTTTGGTGGTTCATGAGCAGCATTTTTTGAAAAATGAAATAAAATAGACTAGAACATAACATCGGTAAGCATTGTATACTAAAAGGTTTGTTTCTGGTTTTATGTTTGCAAATATGTTTACTAGGCTGTGATATAGAATGTATTTTGTACTATGGGTTGTAGTAAAAAACAATTGAAAAACACTATACTAGATTTTAACCTCTATAATAAGTTTTAAAATTTAGAAGCGAGACACTTGGAATTTTAAATAAGCTCAAAGAATACAAAACCTTGATAGTTATGAAAATTTTCACAAAATGTTTTCAAATAATTTGTACCATCTTCATTATCCCCATTAAGTGAATGATTTTTTTTCTTTAGCATCTATTGTATAGTCTTTGTGTTAGATTTGAGGTGTATAATTGGATTATAAAAATATAAATTGGCCAGGCACGGTGGCTCATGCCTGTAATCCCAGCACTTTGGGAGGCTGAGGTGGGCGGATCACCTGAGGTCAGGAGTTTGAGACCAGCCTGGCCAGCATGGTGAAACCCCCTCTCTACCAAAAATACAAACATTAGCATGGCGTGGTGGCATACACCAGTAACCCCAGCTACTTGGGAGGCTGAGACAGGAGAATCACTTGAAAACAGGAAGCAGATGTTGCAGTGAGCCAAGATTGCACCACTGCACTCCAGCCTGGGTGACAGAGCAAGAATCTATCTCAAAAAAAAAAAAAAATATATATACACACACACACACACACACACACACACACACACGTATACATATATATACACATATATACATATATACACACATGTATACATATATACACATATATGTATGTATACACACATATATGTACACACACATATATATATACACATATATATGTACACATAAAATTTTTAAATGGAATTTTAAGTGGGATTTTTGAAGAAAGTTCAGTGGATTATCAGATGTTTCCCTGAAACTTGTTTCTTAAACTTCTCTTTATTATACGTTTATCAGTTTAGATTGCTTATAGAAGTATATTGATAAAACAGTACTTTCTACTACATTAGAGAAGAATGAATATTATCAACTGAGTCTACAAATCACAAATTAAAAAATTTGTCATTAAGGATAGTGAAATTCCATGTTGAAAAATAAGTTCACTTTATACAGTGCTCTAATACATGAAAAGAAACTTCTCTTTGTTAATTAACTAGTATTTGAAAGACAATTTTGAAACTGGTTATTCTCAAGTCAGCTCAGCAAGAATCACATTGAATATTTCTTCCAAAAGGGAGTAAAAACTCGAATTTTCCAAATCAACACAGGCATCCTAAGTCGTGGTGTTTAACTTTCAGAGAGCCTTGAGTCAAACGTGCTTTCATGAGATGGGAAAACTATCAGCTACAGGGTTGCTTAGTATTTACAGTAAAACAGTTTCTGGTTGACTTTTAAGTTTTTGCTTTAAACCTTTCCTAGAGCCCTCATCCCTTTATCTCTGGCATTGCTGTGTTAATAATGCCTGTGCCTTTTTCCTTCACTTTTCTTCAGGGTCAGTATAGACCTTCTGATTTGCTGTGCCCTGAGACATATGTTTGGGTACCCATTGAGCAATGCCTGCCTTCACTTGAAAACTCCAAGTACTGCCGTTTCAACCAGGACCCAGAAGCAGGTATGTTTGGAGCTGAGCTCAGCTGGAAATCATTGGCTTTGTTTTTATGATCCATGTGTGTGTGGCTGTGGCTCTTAACAGGGTCCAGGTAGCTTTGTATATTATAGAGTATGCTGTGCATGAGTGTGTGTGTGTGTGTAAGATAGAGGAAGACTTTGCACATGCACACAAACTCACGCAGTTTGGCACAAAATTAAGAAACCTCACGTGCTCGTGCACTTACTGACCTAGCTTCTCCCATTAGATTAGTTTTTATATGCTTTGAGGGGCTGATATCAATATCCATATCTTTTCCAACTATCACGGTGCCTAAAAATTGTCTGCTAGATGGATTATTTAGTCAATGTAGAGAAGATGGAAATATTGACCAACTGGACCGAATAAAGTTGTAGGATGGTTTCATGGAGGCAAACAGACTGTAATGGATTTTGTGACAATACTTTTTTTACTTTCTACTTGTATCTCTGGCGTACCCTTCCAGTATAGTCCCAGCCATATTTTGTTCCCCATTGTTCCCCTTTGGATGTTCTGTGTACTAAGAGTATATACAGACATTGAAAGTATATCCCTGGCTGGGTGCCGTGGCTCACACCTATAATCCCAGCACTTTGGGAGGCTGAGGCAGGCAGATCACGTGAGGTCAGGAGTTCGAGACCAGCCTGGCCAACATGGTGAAACCTCCTCTCTACTAAAAATACAAAAACTGGCTGGGCATGATGATGGGTGCCTGTTATCTCAGCTAGTCAGGAGGCTGAGGCAGGAGAATCGCTTGAACCTGGGAGGTGGAGGTTTCAGTGAGCTGAGATTACGCCATTGCACTTCAGCCTGGGCGACAGTGTAAGACTCTGTCTCAAAAAAAAAAAAAAAAAAAAGCATAGCCCTGGAGTTAGGCTTCCTGGATTCAGATCCTGGCTTCATGATCAGCTGGTAAACTGTATGCCCTTAGGCAATTTAATAATCTCCCTTGTCTCAGATTTCTCACTTTTAAAATGGAGGTAATAATAGGACCTACTAGCTGTAATGAGGATTAAAATGAGATAAACATGCTAAGAACAGCCCCCTATTACTGTTTTTTGGTGGTCACTAGCCAAATTAGAATGCTGCATCCTATATATGCCACAGGCTTTTGTCTGCATTTACTTTTATTTACTGTGATCCCTCTCTGCAAAATCGTGCAGTTTTGTTTACCTCCCTGTAGTCTAAGTACCACTCACAGTTCAAAGTAGCCCTCCTCCACACAGCCCTTGTAGTCCTCACGGCATTTAGCCGTGGCTTTGTAAGACAGGCACAGGTGCTGATGCTCTCAGGATGGGTTGCATTAAGTTGACATGCTTGTCTTCCCCTTAAAGTTCCTTGATATTCTCAGTTGTGCTTAATTGAACTTTGAGGTCTCACAGAACCCCACCACAGAGGAGATGCCTGATCCATATTTCTTAAGAGTATAAACATTTTTCTAGCTACCACCCGTTGTCTAAGTTTGGGAAAAAAGAAGGAAAGATCAATGGAAAGTCTGGAGGAGAAGAGAGGAGTAGATGGAGCAAAACCAAATGAAAGATAAGGGGGTGGGGAAAGGGACGCAGTAACTTCTTCAGTTCTAAGATGTGCATTTGTTTCACAAATCAGGTTTTTTGTGTAAAAAAATTGGCCCATGTAATGTATTTTGTTACCTCCTTGAAAAGCTGTTATGAAATCAAGAGTGACTCTTTCTTACACATGATGATACCTTAGAACCTGATGACGAGTGACCATAGGGACCCAGCTGACTCATATGCCAGGTACCCTGGCATTAGCCCCTGTTTTTCTAGATGTTTAGGTTTCCTAGAATAACCAGAGTTTTATAGTTCCCACACCTGAAATTATTAGCCAGCGTCTGATCGTTTCATTCTGAGTAAAGTTACACCTCATTGATCAGATATGTTGCTTAAAAACAAACATTAAATTTGTCAATCAATTTTGGAGTCAGGCTCAGAGCCAAAGGCAATAGTATTATAAGAGAAAGCATATACTTATCTACTCTCCTCTCTTCCCTCAAAAGAAATTTCCCCTCTAGCTTTTTTAGGGTCAGTCAGTCTAGTCCCTATGATGAAAACTGCTGAACATCTTACTAAAAGATTTCATATTCACATATAAAACTGTTTCTGTATAAGTTGCATTCCAATTATATTATGATCCTAAATTTCTTATCCCCCAACTTACGATAGCTTCACCTTCTTTTTTTCCTTATTGGTCAGTTTTAAAGGTTGCATTTCTTCTTACATAATACTTAGAGACTAAACAAATTCTCCTTTTATAAAGTTGAGAAGGTGACTGAATAATTTCCATCCATTGAATAGACATTCAAGTAAACATTCATGTTAATAGATTTTAAAATTATTTTCCAGAATAAATACTAACAAACATGGCAAAAAAGATTTAAAGTCTCATAATGACCATTTTTGTCAAGAACATACTGTATCCTGGTGAGCGATGAATATATTGTATGTTCTTTTCCTGTAACTAGTAGGTTACATTTCTTATGGCAGTAGCTTTAGCTCTTAACATTGTTTAGAATTCATTTAGAAAGAAGTAAATTTCTTTGAGAATAAGTGCTTTGAAGAAATTGAAGATCTTTTTTTCATATGCTGAATCTGTGGAACTTTCAAGAGAATACCACACAGTTTTATCAGTATTGAATATCACAGTCCAGACACTATTTGAAATCAGACTTATATCCTGTGGTTTTAGGAAATTAAAATGCAGTTACATGCTGGAATGTATTCAGCCTGCTGTGAAACATGGTCATTTGAGGTTTAAATGGCAATCTGTGAGAAACGGTTCTCTTCTCTGGGGCCAGTTTTACTTTTACATGACCCAAACTTTGACTCAGAAAATAGAGCTTAATATGGGCAATAATTGTTGTTCGTCAGCATGGTGCTTTTTTCACTAAATCTTGTTTCTCTTTCCAGTTGTTGAGTAGTTAAATTACTCTGCAAAGGCACAGTTGATCACTATAGGCTTCAGTTAAACCAACTGTGGCTTCAAGGTGTGTCACTGGCCAGTGTTAAGGAAAATCACGTTTTCCCCCTATCCTTTTGTATATACTACTTTGCGGTACTGTGGGGGGAGGGATTGACAAGCTGCAATAACTTGGAAAATTCTAAAGAAATCCTTTTGTTCTTAAATAAGTACTTTGTTTTTCAATGCAGGACTTCTGCCTACTTCAAAGAAAGGGGTTCAAAAGTTTCTCAAATGATTTTTAAGTAAAAGTCTGTTAGATTTTTTAAATTAGTAACTGAATATGTATAGATTTCAAAAGTTCTATACACATATATATATACACATATCTGTGTGTATTTTTTTAAAACCTAAACGAGAATATTCTGCATCCTTACGTTGTCATTTTTACTTAATACTTTGTGTTACTTCTTACTTTTGATAAGGTAGAAACTTGCTTTTGGTAAAAAACAATTTGACCATTAATTTGGTCATAAGAAAACAAATGCTGCTACCCTGTGATGCCCAGTGTCTAATAAAGATTTTTTTTTTTTTTGAGGCCAGGCTGGTATGATCTTGGCTCACTGCAGCCTCTGCCTCCAGGGCTCAAACGATCCTCCCGCCTCAGTCTCTTAAGTAGCTGGGACTACAGGTGCACATCACCATGCCTGGCTAATTTTGGTATTTTTTGTAGAGGTGGAGTTTTGCTACGTTGCGTAGGCTTGTCTTGAACTCCTGGACTCAAGCGATTCACTCACCTTGGCCTCTGAAAGTGCCAGGATTATAGGCGTGAACCACCATGCCCAGCCAATACAGATATTTTACAGAAAAGCGTTATTATTTTTTGTAATATTTTGTAATTGGTTTAGAGCCGTAATAGATAAACTATGATTTGATTTGACTCTTAATGTTGGGCAAACATTATATTATCATTGGTATTAAAATCCTTGGTTCCAGATTTACAAAAAAAAAAAAAAAAAAAAAAAAAAAAAACTTTCTTGAGCATGTGCTGTTTCCCAAGCACTATCCTATGATTCCCCCTGTTACTCAGTTTATCCTGAAAACATAATTGAACATTTCATATTGACCCCTCAAATATTTTTTGTCACAAAAATAACAGGTAACATTTGTTTTAATCAGGATAAAAAATAATTTAAATTCAAATACTGCTCTATACTTGTTATAATACTTATTTTTAGTGTTCATTTCAAGGGGGCTACTAAGAATACTTTTTATTTCTATTTGTAATTATAGTAAGATATATATTTTACCAGAGTAGTTTACATTTCATTCTGTTCTATACATTGAAATGTTCGCAAAAAATCTTACAATTTATTTTTAATTTAGCTAAATCATTCATTATTAGTAAGGATATCAAATTTAAATTTGCTATAAAGAGACTAGTCCCTCAACGTGATTTAGTGCTTTATCAGTTTACCCAGGATAGTGAATTTCTAACACACCTTAATTCTTCCCAGCAGTTGCTAAAAATCTAAACTAATGTAAAGAAGCTCGTACCTAGTGTGAGCCCCAGAAACTCTGAGGTTCTAATCTATATTGTGTTTTTGCTGTTTAAAGGCCTCTTTCTTTTCTTCTCTCTCTACTCTGCCCATCATTCTTGCTGGCATGGTACCCTGGCATTTTTTTTATACTTTCATAGTTTCTCTAGCATATGCCCACAGAAAAAGTAAGTCCCACTCTGACCTTGATTGTTTGTGGAAGAACCAGTTCAGGAAGCATGCTGTCCTGCGTTCATTCACCTGTTTCTCCAAGCCTGGCACCACTTCCCGAGTGCTGTGTTGATGGACCCTCAAAAGGGTATACCTAAGCCAAAATGTCATTTTCATCACTGGGAAACAATGCCTAGTGAGAAAGCAACTTCCTAGGGCCCCTTAAAAAGGTGCTGCAGTAATAACTCATGACTAATAATAGTATCTTTCCTAATTATTTTAGATGCAGAATTCAGCTTTTTTTTAATACTTCTGAAGGTAAAATCGTTTTCATATCTGCATTTGAGGTCAAACTACCCACTTCAAGTTGCAAAATGAATGATGTTGCTTGCTGAATACTTAATAAACATATATTCTTTGTTGCCAATAAAGATGGTGGTGCTTGGATGTAGCCAGCTGGAAGTAGAATCACTTGTACACTATTATGTGCTATAAAGGAAACCATTGAAACAAGAAAATGTCTTGGAAATTTGGCTCCCAAGTTTGGTGAATCTGGAGAATGTATTTTAATATGGAAAATATGGACAGTCTTCTAATTTTTCAGTTTACTTTCTCTCCTCTTAAAAATATCACTCTATTGTATTATTACGATTTTTTTTCTTTTTTTGTGATGGAGTCTTGCTCTGTCACCCAGGGTGGAGTGCAGTGGCGTGATACCAGCTCACTGTAGCCTCTACCTCCCGGATTCCAGCAATACTCCTGCCTCAGCCTCCTGGGTAGCTGGGATTGTAGGTGCAAGCCATCACACCCAGCTAATTTTTGTATTTTTAGTAGAGATGGGGTTTCACCATGTTGGCCAGGCTGGTTCTCGAACTCCTGACCTCAGGCGATCCACCCGCCTCTGCCTCCCAAAGTGCTGGGATCACAGGCGTGAGCCACTGCACCCGGCCTGTATTATTACTATTTTTTTTTAGCCACTTATTCTCAAAGATATATTATGTACAATTTAGTATGGTGCTAACATGACTCTTGGTTTAAAAAGATACTAGACTTCCCTAGTTTGCGTGATCTTTTAGTGAAAACACTAAGAAACAATAATACAGGTTTTTGCTACAATATTTGGTGTGTATGACTGAAGTATAATGTTTTACTTGTTTGCATTTTCTTCTTGAAAATGTGAAAACTAAGATGTCTTAAGATAAAATTCAACAGTTGTTCTCATTTTAAAAGATTGCTTTAAAGCCAGTCTTGCAGAGAAATTTTAAAACATACTATTTTATAAATTTTTACCAGCCAGTCTTTGCTCAATAAGCCATGCATGAGCAGTGAGCTAATGGCTGAAACTTGTTAGAGCGCTGGCCAGACAGGTTTGAAAAGCAGACTTAAGATTTCCATTTAGCAACTAAGTAATATTTCTCTAATCCCTTTCTTTTTTCTTGTAGAATAGGTTTTAAAATTTCAAAGCAAGTGCCAGGCAAGGTGGCTCACACCTGTGATCCCAGCACTTTGGGAGGCCGGAGGCCAGGGTGGGAGAATTGCTTGAGCCCAGGAGTTGGAGTTTACAGTGAGCTGTGATCGCGCCACTGCACCTCAGCCTGGGAAAGAGAGCAAGACCCTGTCTCAAAACCGAAAAAAAAAAAATTTTCCCCCAAACAAGCAGTTCCTTTTATAGTTGCTCATTTATTTCATTTAATTCTGTAGTAAATTATAGAAATCATTTTAGTAAGCTCAAAAATATCGTGATGCTTTAGAGCATGTCTATAAATGTTAGTTACACTTGCTTTGTGGCATCTTAGAGTGCTGCTTCATTTGTTTGTATGGAAAAGTGACATTTTAAAAAATATTTTAAGGGAGTTGTCCAAAATGCCAATTAAAAAATAAAAATAAAGCCCATACCAGCTATTTAAGTGCTGGTTGAACTACAGAGTTTTATTGAAAATAAGATATCATCAATTTTCAGTTTTTTATTTTACGTACCATTAAAAAAAAAAAGTGCTGCCAGTTAGACTATGACTCCATCGGTTGGAAGATGCATGTGGGTTTTTGAGCTGTCGAAGTGTATAAAAGTGAGAATCTTAATATAGCAGAACCATGGTTCAGCCTGTACACTATAATACCTAGCAAAGCTATGGAGTGTTTAGGTGACTTGTTGTTTCTATTTTAAGGAGCTTTATGACATCTTAATTCTAAGCATTAAACATAATATAGATGGAGTGTGCTTTTATGTTTCAGAGTTTGAGGGTATTGAGTTTAGATATTTTATCTAAAAAATAAGATTACCACTATTGACTAGTGATAATAGAGTTCTTATAATATGCTGATCTTAGGAACAGATACTGTACTTTTAAAATTTCAAGAAAGCATGTAACTACCTCACAAGGATATTTTATTTTGATGAAAGTAAAAAACATAGGTATGAGCTGAGAGGAGTGTAAAAAGAAAGAAAGAAATTGTAAAAAACTTTTTACTACTGTATTAGGGTTCCCTAGAGGGACAAAACTAATGGAATAGATTATATAACGGGGAGTTTATTAAGTATTAACTCACACTATCACAGGGTCCCACAGTAGGCCGTCTGCAGGCTGAGGAGCAAGGAGAGCCAGTCCAAATTCCGAAACTGAAGAACTGAGAGTCCGATGTTCGAGGGCAGGAAGCATCCAGTACGGGAGGAAGATGTAGAATGGGAGGCTAGGCCAGTCTCTCTTGTCACATTTTCTGCCTGCTTATATTCTAGCTGCACTGGCAGCTGATTAGATTGTGCCGACCCAGTTGAAGTGGGTCTGCCTTTCCTGGCCCACTGACTCAAATGTTCATCTCTTTTGGCAGCACCCTCACAGACACACCGAGGATCGGTACTTTGCATCCTTCAATCCAATCAAGTTGACACTCAGTATTAACCATCACAACTACTGAAAAAGCATTAAAATTCTGTAAACATTAATGGTCTTCCTGCATCCTGTTTATAAGCAAATTTGAAATTTAAAAAATTTGTGTGATGTTAGAAGGCAGCAATAAATGTAGAAAATTAAAAACTTTGCTTAGCCAATAAATTCAGTCATCTCTGACAGTTAATGAATGATTATACATTAAATACATATAGAAGGGGGCAAAAGATGGGTATCCTAGGATATCATCAAGCTGTTCATCAGCTTTAAAATTTCCACATTTGATTGAACATTTTCGTGCCTTGTGAATTATCTGTAAATATTTTTTGTTTAACTGTGGCTTTATAGAAACACAACGTTGAATCATTAGCTTAACTGAGAAAAATTCTTAAAGGATACTTGATGCTGTATTTTGGAAACCACATAATTTGATATTCAATACAATGTCTACTAGTAATTGGAACAGCTGACTCGCAGACAGACATAATAGTCCAAGATTTAAATCATTCACACCCAACTTCATAGAAGAATGGAGTCTCTGCATTTTTTTTTCCTGCAAGGTATTTTTAAACTATTTAGATTCTTTTTTGTGGATGTTAATACTTGGTCTCTTTGCAGAAAAATAAGCTATAACCTGAAGGTATGTGAAGTTCTGTTTATTTTATAGTGTTCTTTTATGTCATGCTAGCAAAATGTTTTTAATATAAATATGGAACCTGGGATAAGATTCTTCTTCTTGTAAGAAACGTATTTTCCTAGCTGGCATTCGTTTGAAATAGATATCATTCAAAGAAATGGCTTGTTCATGCTTCTGTGCATCTTTCACTGATAATATAAAATCTGTCTGAAAATAAGAAGGGCATGTTGACAATAGGGAAAGAATTAAAGTTTCTGCTTTACTAACCCCTGTCAGAAAAGGAAAACCATAGTAAAGTTCTGAGCACTTCTCATGTTAAGGAGACTGTCTTAGCTTAGTTTCTCTCCAAAAGCAGATCTTGCAACACGGCCTTCCATTCAGGTTATTTATTTGGGAAATGGTCCCTTGGAACAGGAGTAGGGTCTAGGGAGAATAAACCAGGGAAGGAGGAAAAGTCAGTAGAAGGATGTGTTATTGTGTGATCCATCACTCTAAGGACTGGAGCTCAGTCCTTTTGAGACACCTGGTGTACATCTGAGGGGCCAAAGGAAGAAGGACTTATCTGCTGGCTTCCATTTTCCACTGGTTGATGGTATCGCACTGAGTGTTAATGCCTCTGCCCTTGAGTGTGTACGTGACAAATACAGAGCAGGCTCCTACATGTGTACCAGGCTGCTGCATCAGAAAGGTAGGAAGCAAGAGAGACAGACCTTGCCTGCCTGCCTACCTTCCTTTACAGGACGGCACCATAGTTGCGGCATGAGTCAGAAGTGAGGCTAAGGGGATGAAAGGCAGTGCCCAAGAGGTATCTAATACAGAAAAAAAAAAGTACAGACTGAGGTAGCATGTTGCCTCATGTCATTTGATCATGTCAGTTGCATGGGGCCAAGAAGAGTAAGGACCCAAAACATGGGAAGGTATTGGACTCTAAAAACAAACAAACAAAAAGCTAGCTTAATTTGAAATAGAGGAGCCAACCAAAAATAGAAACATAAATTTAAAGAATTCATAAATGCATTCACTCAGCATGTATTTACTGAGCCAGGTATTATGCTAATGGGAGGTGCCAGTCCTCAGGGAACCTAGTGATGACAGACAGTTATCAAGCACACTCAGATAAGTGTGACAAGTAGCATGTGGGAGAAGGAAGAGGCAGTGAGTCCCCATAGGAGGGTCCTCATTCCAGAATTTGACGGGGTGTAGAAGGTCAGGGAAATCTGCTTGGATGAAGTGGCCTAAGTGAAGATTTCAACAGGGGATGGAACAGAAGCACTAAGTGCTCCAGGTAGAGAACAACATATTCAGAAGGCCTGGTTGGCAAAGAGTGCAGCTGGACTTTAGAGCAGGCCAGATGCAGCTGGCTAGTAAAGGGTTTGTAAATCATGATAAGGAGTTGAGATTTTTATCCTGAAGGTAATGGAAGGCCATAAGAGATCTTAAGCACTAGTGCGCTTTGGCAGATGTGTTCTTTGACTCCACGTTGTGGAGAAAGAGTGGGAATTGGTTAAGAGCAGAGTTAAGAAGGGTTTGCATGCAGTAATCTGAGCAAAAGATGATGATGGTCTGACAGACTAGGGTGATGGCAGTGGGCAATGGAGAGGAAATGGATGGATGCAAAAGACAGTCAAGAGATAGAACCCACAGAATTGGGTGATTAATTGTGTTTGGTGGTGGGGAGGGAAAGAGTTTGTGAAGAGAGTTATGTAGGTTCTGACAGAAACTGAGTTAATGCTGACTTCTTTTCTGAAATGAGAAACAGGAGGTGGAGCAGGTTTTGCAGAGAAGAATGATGAGTTCAGTTCTGGACATGTGGAAGTAAAGGTGTTTGTGAGACATCTGGTAGAGATGTCAAGGAGGCAATTGGACATGTAGGTCTGAAACTCTGATGAAATCTTGGAAGGAGCCACTAATTTGGGAGACATGGTCCATGAGTGGCAGCCCTAAGAGTGAGTGAGATTGCCTTCTGGAGTGAAGAGCAGAGGACAGCCCCAAGGGCCCAGCATATAATGACTGAGCAGATGAAGAATTCCATTGGAGGCCAGAGAGGGAAGAGGAAGCCCAGAGTGTGGGATCAAGAAAGCCACAGGAAGCATTTTCCAGAAGCAGGAAGCAGTGACAGTGTCAGATTCTGCTGAGAGGACCTGAGAAACATCATTTAACAATCTTGGTGAAGACCTTGTTTTAGTTTTAGTGGGACTAGAATCGTGGCTTAAAAATAGAGTGAAAGTTAAGAAAGCCACCATAATGAAACTTGATTTTGAAGACACTGGCTAGAGTGGTAAGTCTGATGGAGGAAGGGGATGAGAGGTTTGAGCATTTTCAGAAGCTGAGGGAGGTCAGGGAAAGGAAAGAGTAAAGATCTTTCTTCTTTCTTCTACAAGAAAGATGAAAACACATCAGGGTCTGTGAGAAGGAATGTAGCATGAGAAAGATCAAGAACACAGATAGGAAGATTAGTTTTAGAGAGAAAGACCCTTCCTGTCTTAGGAGAGGATGAGGAAATGCTCAGTGGGAGTGAAGATAAAACGGGTGTGGCAACAGTAGGTTGAGCACTTTCTCACTTGATGCCTTTTCTCTTTCCATTGAAGCAGGTGCTGGTGAGGAGAGAGGTAAGAGATTTGAGCAGGTGTGTTAAGTAGCTGCTGAGAAGAATGAGAGATGGAGCTGATGGCCAGGCCTGGTTAAGACTAGTGGTGATGAAATCTATGTAGATGTGATGCTTCTTCAGCAGCCCGGCTTTTCCAGGGTTGGGAACTTACCAGGCCATTGCAGGGAAAGAGCAAGAATTGAAGACTTATGACAAAGAAATTGTTCTGAATTCAGTTAGGAAGGAACTGAAGAGAGGATAAATGTACCAAGATGACATAGAAAGGTCAAAGAATTGGAGGTCTCTATGAGAACTAGAGTAGTGGGGTATGTGAACAAGCTGGAAGGATAGGAAATGGTGTTGAGAGCGAGTGTCTGATTTTACTATTTCAGAGGTATGACAAGATGTGGCCATGGTATTGGGAAGCTAATGTAGGATTAAAGTGAAAGTCATTGAAGAAGACTGAGGCAGCCAAGACAACATCCACGTTTTTTAGCAAAAGCTGGCCATGGCTGGGTGCAGTGGCTCACGTGAACCTGTAATCCCAGAACTTTGGGAGGCAGAGGCAGGCGGATCACTTGAGGTCAGGAGTTCAAGACCAGCCTGCCCAACGTGATGAAACCCCGTCTCTACTAAAAAATACAAAAATTAGCCGGGCGTGGTGGTGTGCGTCTGTAATCCCATCTGCTTAGGAGGCTGAGGCAGGAGAGTCGCTTGAACCCAGGAGCTGGAGGCTGCAGTGAGCCGATGTCACGCCACTGCAGAGGAAGCCCAGAGAGTGAGATCAACTCCAGCCTGGGCGACAGAGCAGGACAATGTCTCAAAAAAAAAAAAAAAAAAAAAAAAAAAAAAGCTGGCCACATCTGGAGGTTTTTGTTTCTTGGCGCCATTTAGGTGTAAGAACGGTAATGTCCTGAATGACGATCCTTTTCATTTACCAAATGGTTCTAATGCTGCCAACCCCCAATGAACATAAAGGAGCATGAAGTGCCTCGTTTGTATCAATACATTATGGAGAATAAATAGAATACAGTTCTTTAGAGAAAGATACTTTCAGATTCATGTGATCCTTAGGGCATTAAATACGATGCACTCCATTGTTTTTTTGTTATTCTGTTTCAAAGAAAATGACTGTCTTGACCCAGTAAGATGATTTCATACCCCACTAAAAGATCACAGCCTACAATGGAAAGACACTGGTTGTCTCAACTTTTAAAGCTGTGTGTTAGGTTTCCCAATTTGTGGGTGTGCAGTTATTAGCTGTTAAACGTGAGGTTTTCAGTGCCCATGAGCATGATTTTCCTTTGCAGGAAAGATGATTCCAAGGTTTCCTTTAATTTTAGAAATTAGCATTCAGCTCATTAAAGTAACAATCTATTAAAGTAACATCTGTTTCTTCTTTAAAGGTTTAAATGCAAATTACAGATCTTATTTTCAATGTATAAGTCTTGCAAATTTTAGCAATTATTTTTAAGGAGATTTTGAATAATGTTTGCGTTTATGAAATCCTGATTAAATTTCTTTAAACATTTTAAGCTTATTTTACAAACTTAATGTATTCAGTTTCCCTCTTAATTATCTGACAAAGTATTCTTATAAACATAATGAATTACATTTATAGACACAATAAACGTAAATTTCTACTTAGTTTGAAATCACAAGTCTAAATCAGTTATTTACATAGTATTTCCTGTGGAATCACAGATTATTGTTTACATAGAAAATCTTCAAGAGTGCACTATCCAACTACTGGAACTAATAAGTGAATTTTAGCAAGGTTGCAGGATATGAAAGTTAATATACAAAAAATCACTTGTATTTGTACATGACCAGGTGTCCCCCTGCATCACTATTTGGTCTGCTCCATGAAGTTGGCATCTCTTGAAGCCAAGAGGTTTCTATCTTGACTGCATGTGTATCTCCTTAGCTCTTACGGTCTGTCCTTGATTCCTTTTTAACTCTAAAGAGATTCGAACTTGATGGAATCCTGCATTCTGTCATGTTCTTAGAATCGCTCAAATCTTAGGGATATTGGAGTTAATAGCCAGTTGAATTTTAGATATTGCTCATGACGTTTTCTGATTATTCATTTACAGCTTCCAAAATTGTTCTATTCACATTAACATTATTTATACCTAATACTTGACCATTGCTGTATAATACCAGGTAACTGGAGCATGAACGCTGAATATTTTAGTGTTTAAACTAGAAATCTAAAGGCAAGTTTTCTAGTCCCGCCAGTCATTAGCTTTGTGACTAGGCAGAACACAACTTCTCAGCCTCAGTTTCACTGTATGTGAAGTGGGAAATTCAGACTACATAAGTTAAGATCCTAATATGTTTTATGACCTCTGAATCTTTAAGATTCCTTTGTGAGAATCAAACTACTTAAAAGCTAGAATGCATTACATTACACAAATGTATGATGTATGATTCCAGAACACCCAAGTTAGTGTGTACCCACCTGTTTTCCATAACTGTGCTCAATTTCACCACACTGCCCTTTCATGCACCTTCTCTCTTCCTCACTGTTGTGATCAGAAGACAGAAGTTGCAGTTTTAGGTGAGGTCATGCGTAGAATAGTGTTTTCCAAACTCTCAACTGTAGTCCCCTGTAAGACATGCATTTTATGTTGACATATAATACTCACTTTCATGTATCTGTGCACACGCGTGCATGCGTGCACACTTACACAGCTGAAACAAAAATGTGCTAAATAGTACTCACCCTCACTCGTGTGGTACACTCTGGTAGTTTTGAATCTGTTCTGGTTTTTAATTTTTTAAAGAAATGCTGGTCACAACCCATTACATGAATTTCATGCCCAAGACCACTCACAATTTGACAAACACTAGCCTGGGAGAACTTGGTGGGGAGGATTGTCACTCCAGTTCTGCCATGAATTCTATTTTAGTGATACGGCAGTGGTAGCAGTGATTGCTGTGATTAATATGTATTGGTCAGAGCATTTTGCTAAAGGGTTATCATGTATCATCTTATTTCATCTTCATGATGACCCTCTTGCTCTTCTCTGTAAATAAATATTCATGAGGCCAATGACTGATTAGAGATAGGAGGGATTTGGGCAGGATGGTGGGGAGGGAAGATGAAGAGGGATGGAAATAAAAATACAGTTAGATAAAAGGAATAAGATCTAGTATTTGGTAGCACAATAGGGCAACTATAGTTAACAGTAATTTATTGTACATTTCAAATTAACTGGAAGAGTGGAATTGGAATGTTCCTAACACAGAGAAATAAGTGTTTGAGGTGCTGGTGTCCCGATTACCCTGACTTTATCATTCATTACACATTGTATGTGTGTATCAAAATATGACATATCCCCCTTTATGGGTATGTACAACTATTGTGATGCATCTGCAACTAATATATGCACATTACAGCTATTATGTGTGCACAAGCAACTTTTTAATTTTTAAATGAGAAAAAATGAACTAGAAGGGATTTGGGATGGGGAAGGTGTATTAGAGTATTCTTGTCACTGGAAGGACCTATGTAAATTACTAACTAGACATCTCATAGCATTGGCTAGAGACAGTTCTTTGCTGAATGACAGATAGATGCATCCAGGCTGTGGACCTGAAAGGTGAGGTCAAACTACAGAAGGTGCTGACCCAGCCAAGTTACTGTCCTGTGTGGCCATATTTGAGTGACCAGTTACTACCCTAGATACCGTCAGTGGAGGGACCCACTTTCTTAATGCTGGCGGTACTAATAAATAAAATGCCAACTTTGTACATGGCTTGCAATTTGTGTTTTATTCTTATTATGTATACACACATATTAGTTGTGGGTAAGAAACATCACTTGTAAATAGGTGAGATGACAGATTGGCTCTTTTCCTCCTCTCCTCTTCTATAGTAGATTTAAACTTAGAACTGTAGCACAGATCTTTGTGTTCTTTTTTTGTTGTTGTTTTTTAACTTTAAGTTCCGGGATGTGCAGATGTGCACATTGGTTACATAGTTATACATGTGCCACCGTGGTTTGCTGCACCTATCGACCCTTCAACTAGGTTTTAAGCCCCACATGCATTAGGTATTTGCCCTAATGCTCTCCCTCCCCTTGCCCCCCACTCTCTGACAGGCTTTATGTTCTCATAAAGGGTTTACTATCAGTAGTAATTAAGATTTTAATATTTTGTATATTTTACTGGGGTCAAATTTTGTAGTTTTATTGGTCAACTACATCCAAAGATTATGTCCTCAACTAGATAGTTAACTGAAAACTATCCAAAACTAAACAAAATTCTATTCTGTAGTATTATACAATATTGTTTATCTGTTTTAGCAAACTGCACAACTGTGTACCGTATGTTTAAAATAACTCTTTGCTTTTGTTTTCTTTGCAATGTAACTGTCTGTCTGCCAAGTGTCTGGTTTCTCCACATGTGTCTGCCTTTTGAGAAAGGTGTGACCTTACAGGCTTGTATTTGGACATACTCTAGACTGAAATACCGTGCTTATTCATTTTGTAATATAGTCAAAGATGCATTTGAGTGTGTCAGGGAAATTTCAAATTAATTCATTTCTTTTTTTAATCTTCATTTTTTTGGGGGGGGTCATTTAATTGTAAGTTGCACAGATAATTTCATCAGCACAGATAATTTCTTTGTTGAGCGAACAGCAGAGAAGTTTAAATACAGGAATCTGAGCCTTGATGTCAGGAACTTTGAGTTCTAATTTTACATTTAGATCGAAGTTCCCTTAGTAAAGAACACAGTTTCTGTCTCTTCCAGAGTAAGTTGTGAAGTGTGATGATTGCTTAAGAAAGAATGTAATGAACGTGCTCTGTAAAGCTCTGTAATAATACTAGAGCTGTTTGAACTTCTTCATTGGCATTTTTCTCACCTGCCATCTGTACTGACCTTATAAATCCAGAGCAAATGATTGCTTGTATGAGAGCTTTGATCTTCATTTTAAAGTAATGACATATAATTTCTCAAACCCTCAAATTAAACCAAAAAATTTTTTTCTAGGTTAATGACATTGCTTAATTTTCTGACCTTGACCTGTGCAAACTTTGAAGTTAGAGAGTATTGGGGAGGAGGGGGGATTAGATACCATGATATACTAACTGAATGTAAATAAGTATATTTCAACTCGCTTACCAAATTTGCATAATCATTTAAAATAATGCGTGTTTTTAAAAGTTCATGCAGTCCAGTGATTGTAAATTGAACTGTATTTTAATGTCTCTTTTTAAAAAACATCCTGTTCAAGAATCCATTATTGCGTATCCATTGATAAACCAAAGGCTCTCTTGCAACGAAGCTGATCAACCACTGTGTTATATTGTCATTTTTAAAATTAGGGTTTTGGAATATGTTTTCTTAAAACATTTAAACTGCATTCAAGATGACAAGAAAAAGTGGAAGTACCATTTAGTTCATTTTCACGTTTTGAATTTGCTGGTGTTACTAGAGTTTGCTTTTGGAGCATAGTCTTGACTTTGTAGAAACTACAGCCATTTCATAACTATGTACTTGAAAATATTTTTGAAAACAAATAATGCTTTAAAATTGTGATTTTTCAAGAAGAAGGGAGTATGCAGAGTGGAAAAAGCTGTGCTTTATAGTACTGTTTTGTTTCTAGTCACAATACTTTGTTTTTCAAAATACACTCAAGGAATAATTGGTATTTTAAAAAAATATTTCACAGAAATGTTTGAATTAAAAGGACTGTGCAATACTGCTGTATATAGGACCTTCTGATTCTGTAGTTTTCTGTTACTGTTATATAATAGGTTCAAGACTTTAAAAAAAAAGTCCCTGGATGTAAGAAGAGTTCGTAAAGGTTTGTTTTAAATGCCCAAAAGCTGGAATTTACTTAAAGTCTCAACCTTTAGGGACTTGTGAATAAATCATGTAAGCTGAGCATTGTGAAGACAGGGACTCAGTTTCTGTGTCAAACTCTGTTAGAACTGATAGGAGACACAGGAGAGAGTCCCAAGATGGGCCTGGAACAAAACAATTGTTTTACTGCTGTTACTGTCCAGAGTTTCAATGTATTGATGATAAAATTTTGCCCTATCGACTTGGTTGCTGGTTACCTTGCTTATTGAATGACAAGAAGAGCGTTTTAATATTTTTATGATAGGGTCTCCTACACCTTTTCATTGTTTAAACATTGCTTCAAAGTACACATGAAAAGTGTAGTGTAATGAAATAAAAACGAAAACCAAGAGCATTAGGTCATTTGGGGAGATTTAAATCAGCAGATAACAAATGGATTCCATTATAAGTAAATGTAAACTAACGAAAGCAGGGCAGAAGCTCTGAAGTAATGGTACATTCCTTTGGACTGGTAGCACAAAGAAGGGAGTGGGAGGGTCCAATAAAGATAAAAGCAAAACACCAAAACCTGAGTAGCTATAAGAGGTTTAAAGAAAACATTCCTTCCTCTGAGCAGAACATAGCAAAGCTTATTCTCTTTAGAACTTTTTGTGTAACACCTCAGAGAGAGAAGTTTGCTTTGTAGAAGTGGATTGCATGTTCCAACCTAGTAGTCAAAGAGAATGGAATCAGAAATCTTAGTTGATTATGCACATTGAATTTGGACTATTAACCAACAAGTTTTTTAAATAGCGGCAAAGCAATTTGTAGTTCATGGCTATCTCAAAAGTATCTGTAAATTCTGCTTAAGCGGTTGACTTTGGCTATGATTTACTATCTGGTTTGGGCCCAAATTCTTCTCACCATACAAATCATCAGTTGAGCTTTAGCAGTTACTGAAAGATATGGAGCTTGGGTATGGAGCATGACGTGACTTTGTTTCTGGATTCCTCGCCTCTCTGGAGAAGCAAACACAGACTACTTCAGGCTGTGAGGCGTGAGACAGGGCCTTTCATTCCGAATAAGTCTGGGGTGTTTTTGATGGGCCCCTTGCATTAGCATTGCTTTCTTAAGTTTTTTTGTGGTTAATTAACAAGAGTTTTACGAAGATTTCACATAATACCATTCTTGTTCTAAAAATGGATCAAGACAGCACATTTTAAAGTGATCATGACCTGATTAATTTCAACATTTATAACACATTCAGAAATGAAGAAAAATAATCCAAGAATGATTTAATTTGAGAATTCAGACGTTGAGTAATAAACATGTGGTACTAATTAACAAGAAAGTTGATAAAAGCGGGTAGTTGGCCCTGCAGATGTCTTCTGTAGCTTGTCTCTGAAGAACATGAAATGAAGATCATCGCCACAAACCACAGACATTTATTGGATGCCAGTTTGGCGCTATATCCTTGTCTTTGTATCCCTGATGTCTGGGGAATGTGGTGTCTGGGCAGTGGGGGTATACAAAGTATAAAATTCTGTTCCAGCCCTCAAGGAGTTTACTGTCATGTTGGGAAGGCTGTCCACTTATAAAATGATAAAGAACAACGAGAATATTGTTCTTACAAATGACAGGGATTTTCTGAATTTAAAAGCACCACTTTTAAATGGTTACAGTAAAGAAGAAACTAAAATCACAGTAATGGTTTACAGAAATAAAGTTGCTGAGATGTGAAACTGCATTTTTCTAAGTGTGTTGACCAAAGCGTAAAATGAATGTCACGTGCATTTTCTTTGCTGCTAATTTTTTTCAAGTATTGAGCTGTTTTGCTCATTCCATTTTAGTCTCCACATTTTGAGAGCAGATAGAAATGAATGGAAATGTAAAGTCTTTGCATTTTTTAAAAAGGACCTAAGAGTTACATTTCCTCTAATTTGTTTGCATAAAATAACTTGAAAACATTTACCATAACCATTAGCTCTGTTTATTGGCCTTTGCTCTCCGACCATTGTTTGGGATTAAAAATAAAACTAAAGTGTGTTTCATGTCTGGAGTGTGAACAAGCTTTAGGACCTTAAGATAAACTGAATAATGGCTGGTGATTCTGGGGTTAGAAGATGAATTTCCTTGTAGCCTTTCTTCCTAGATAAGTACTCCCTATGTTCATATTAGGAATGGTTCTATAATCTAAACAAACTGATTGTCATTATTTTGGCATTCAGAAAATCACTATTTAAAGTAGAGAGAGGCCGGGCACGGTGGCTCACACCTGTAATCCCAGCACTTTGGGAGGCCAAGGCGGGTGGATCACGAGGTCAGGAGTTCAAGACCAGCCTGGCCAAGATGGTGAAACCCCGTCTCTACTAAAAATACAAAAATTAGCCAGGCATGGTGGCAGGCGCCTATAATCCCAGCTACTTGGGAGGCTGAGATAGAGAATTGCTTGAAGCCGGGAGGTGGAGTTTGCAGTGAGCGGAGATTGCGCCACTGCACTCCAGCCTGGGTGACAAAGTGGGACTCTGTCTCAAAAAAATAAATAAATAAAGTAGAGAGAGATGGTTGTGTGTAACTTCAGTTACCTCAGCTTTTTGTGGCATTTTTTGAGGGATCTAATTTGGTGGTTTGTTTGTTTCTCCCCCCGCCACCCTCCAAGCCTTGGTTTCGTTCGCTCATGTGAAATGTTTCTTTATTTAGAATTTTTTTTTGCAAGCTTTTACTGGTTAAGTGCTGTTCTTGCTTTAAGGCTTCAGTGTTTTATATGCAAGATGTTTTAGGCATTCATTCATTCATTTAAGATTCTTTTAAAGAATGAATGTGTAAAGTATTATTTTGAAATTGTGAACAATGAAAGGTTCTAATAAGAGTTTTTTTTTTTTTTTTTAGTTAAGGAAATATCTTATAAATCCCCCACTTATCTTGAACAATAAGTAAGAATCAACCACAGTGAGTTATTGTTTTATTAAGTCAGGTCAGACTTATTAAAGTTTGGCTTTATTGATCAAAGAATTAGGTTTATAGCATTGTTTGAATTTTAAACCACAAAGAAGTAATTCGTCTTTAGGCTCAAAAGCAAATAGTTTTAAAGAACATGAGACATAATGAAACCTGAAAATATTTTAAATTTGTACATAAAACGCTATAGTTTTGCTTTTGTTTATAAAAATCAGCAGTATCCTGAAATACTACCTTTGCTAATCTCAGATTATTAGGGACTTTTATGTTAAAATAACTAAACTGCAAAGATATAGCCTAGTAAAAATATCCTAGATATTTTTCTGTATTTCCTTTGTGAGTTCTCTCTTTTTCTGTGCGTCTCTCAGTGTGTATACAGGGTGTATGTCTGTGTGTGTGTGTGTGTGTGTGTGTGTGTGTGTGTGTGTGTTTCTCTCTTGTCTTTCTTATTCTTAGTGTATCAGTAGTTCATGCCTTCTTATTGCTAAGTAGTATTCCATGGCATGGATGTTAGATATGTTATACTTCGTTTAGCCATTTAACCATTCACCTGTTGAAGGACATCTCAGTTGTTTTTCAGTTTAGGACTGTTACCAAAATAACTACTACAAACATTTGTCTACAGGTTTTTACATAAACTTGAGTTCTGATAAATGCCCAGCAGTACAGTTACTGGGTTGTGTGGCAAGTATATGTTTAATATTTTAAGAAACTGCCAAACTATTTTCCGGCATGGCTGCCATTTTACATTCCCAACAACAATGGATGAAAGATAACACTTCTTTCATGTTTACCCACATTTGGTTTTTGTTACTCCTTTTATTTTAGCTGTTCTAATGTATATAGTGATACCTCACGATAGTCTTAACTTGGGCCTCCCAAATGGCTACTGATGTTGAACGTCTTTACATCTGCTTGTTTGCCGTCCATTAATCCCCATCAGTGAAATGTCTCCTCATGTTCTTTGTGCATTTTCTAAATGGATTTGTTTTTATATTGCTGAGTTTTGCGAATTGTTATATATTCCAGATATGTGTCCTTTGGTAGCTTGTCTTTTCATCATTTTATCAGGGTTTTTCGCAGAGCAAATTTCCAATTTTAATGAAGTCTAGGTATCAATTTAAAAATTTTTTTATGCATCATGCATTTGGTGTTATGTCTAAGAACTCTTCACTAAGCCCTAGTTCTCAAATATTTTTCTCCTGTATTTTCTTCTAAAAAGTCTCATCATTTCACATTTTACATTTAAATCTATGATCCATCCATTTGGGTTTAAGTTTTGTGTAAAATGGGAAGTTTAGCTATAAGTTTACTTTTTTACTGGTTGATACCCAGTTGCTCCAACACTAGTTGTTGGAAAAGCTCCTCTTCCTTCATGAATTACTTTTGCAACTTTGTCAAAAATTAGTTGGCCATACTTGTGTGGGGCTATTATGGTTTGTTTATTCTCTTCCATGTATTTATATGTCAGTCCTCCACCAATACTACACAGTCTTGATTTCTGTATCTATATTTTTAAAAGTCTTGAAATTAGGGAAAAGTTATTCTCCCATTAGTCTTTGTCAGAATTATTTTCGTTATTGTAGCTCTTTTGCCTTTCCATATAAATTTTAGAATACTCTTGCTTCTCTTTGTAAAAATTCTTACAGAGACTTGATAGGAATTATGTTAAATCTATATATAAATTTGGGGAGAATTGACATCTTTACTAGGAGCCTTTGGGCCCATGAACATGGATTGTTTCTCCATTTATTTAGAGCTTTGATTTTTTTTCATCAGCAGTTTGTAGTTTTCAGCATGTAAGTTGACAAACTCAAAATAAAATAAATCTCTAAATTAACATTTATTTAGGAATCACAGAATTGCAATTTAGGGCATACATACAGACCATGGTGGTCTTCTGTATGTCCCAGGAACAAACAGAAGGTTGGGCATTTTATTAGAAAGAGAAATGTTATGTAATGTTTTGAAGAAACATTGACACTAGAAAAGCTTTTGGAAGCTGGCAATCTCTGATTGGTGAATGACAGTGGCAGGTAAAACTGGTCTTAGAGTCACAGCAGGTCGTTTCAGCAGCTCCTCAGTGAAACTGGTCTTAGGGCTACAGCAGGCCATTTCAGCATCTGGGCTTGTGGAAAATTCAATTATTGGAGCGGGTGCTATGTGCCCTGAGTGATTCCCCCCTCCCCTGCCCAGCCCCTCCTCTCTGACCTACTTAGGTATGACAAGAATGACCCAATTTGTGTAATCAACTTTCAGAGTCCTATACATATTCTTTTAGATTTACACCTAAGTTTTTTTTAAACAACTATAAATTGTATATTTTCATTTCAGTTCCTATGTGTTTATTGTTAGTGTATTGGAATACTATTGACCTTTTAAGTGCATTCACACTGTTTTGCATCTACAAAATTTTACCATCTTGCAAAACAAACTCTGTGACTGATTAGACAATAAATCTCCATTATTCCCATCTCCAGCTCCTGGCAACCACCATTCTACTTTCTGTCTCTATAAATTTGACTTCTCTAAGTACCAAAAATTAGTGGTGTCATACAGTATTTTTTGTGACTGGTTTATTTCACTTAGCATAATTTCTATAAGATTCATCCATGTTGTAGCATATGTTAGAATTTTACCTCTTTTAAAGGTTGTATGTATATATCACAAATTGTTTATCAGTTCATCCATTGGGTTGCTTCACCTTTTGGCTATTGTGAATGATGCTGCTATGACCATGGGTGTACAAATAACTGTTCATGTTCTTGCTTTGATTTCTTTTGTATATACTCCTAGAAATGAGATTGGTGGGTCATATGGTAATGCCATTTTTGATTTCCCAAAGAACATAGCAACTGCCCCATTTTACATTCCCACCAGTAGTGCACAAGATTTCCCGTTTCTCCATATCCTCACCAACACTTACAGTAGCCATCCTAATGAGTAAGAGTTGTGGGTTTGATGTACATTTCCCTAAATGATTAATGTTGTTGATCACCTTTTCATGTGCTTATTGGCCATTTGTATGTCTTCTTTGGCGAAGAAACTTAGTTCTCTAAATATTATGGATATTAATTTTATCAGATGTGATTGCAATGCAGCTAGTTTCTATGTGGTGATCTTGTATACTTTTGCTTCACTGAACTTGTGTAGTTCTTTGGAGGGTTGTTGAGATTTTCTACATAGAATATCATGTCATCTGCAAATAGAAATGGTTTTATTTCTTCCTTTACAGTCTGTCTGCCTTTTAGTTTTTTTCTTGCCTTATTGCACTGGCCAAAACTTCTAGTACTATTTTGAATAAAAATGATGAAAGGAGACACCTTACTTTTTTTCTGATCTTAGGGGGAAAGCATTCAGTCTCTCACCTTTAAGATATTAGCTATAGGGCTTTTGTAGATGTTTTTTTATCAAGTTGAAGACGTTCCCCTCCACTCCTCGTTTTCTGAGAGTTTTTATCGTGAGTGGTTGCTGAATTGTGTCAGGTGATTTTTCTTCTTTAAACTGTTAATATGGTGGATAGCATTGATTTGGTCTTTAATACTGAACCAGCCTTGAATTCTTGAAATAAGCCCTGCTGGTCATGGTGTGTAATTCTTCTGTATGTTACTGAGTTCTGTTTTCTAGTATTTTGTTAAGGACTTCTACATCTGTGTTCATAAGGGGATACTGGTTTTTGGTTCTGTCTTTTTGTACTGTCTTTGTCTAGTTTGGATTTCCTCCTCTTTTATTCTCCGAAAGGGATTGTGTGGAATGGGTTTTATTTCTTTAAATGTTTGTTCGAATTTTCCAGGCCCTTCTGGAGCATGAACGAGTGGTGGAAGCCTCATTGTCTCTATGCCATCTGGGAATGGAGGTTTTCAGATTTTTAATTATAAATTTAATTTCTTCAGTCTTTATAGGGCACTTGTCCATTTCATATTGGCTGAATTATGGCAGTTTGTGTTTTTTGAGATTATTGTCTAGGAGGTTTTTTGTTTTTGTTTTGCTTTTTGTGTAGGCCGCCCCTTTCCTGGTACTTTGGCTAGAGGGAGCCAAAAATCCCCAAATTTCGGGGATTTTTTAGTCTGTGTGTGTTGGCTTTTCAGAGTTGCCAACTTTTTCAGTGTTTTGCCGGGAATAGATGAGGCAAAAAGAAAACCCAGGGAGTTTATCACTGTGTCACTCCTCAAGTCTCAGAATCCTCAGTTGGATTACCGTCTTCTCTCACTTTTCAGAGTCTTTGTAGGGTTGTTTGATATATAATGTCCTGAGTTTCCAGTTGTACTTAGTAGGGAGGATAGGGAAAAGTAGGTCTCCCTCATCTTCCTGGAGTGGAAGGCCCCCTGTCTTATGGTTGCCTGCTAGTTAGGAATGCATAAACGATCACCCTTATTTTAGCTGTGCACGTCTGACTCCACCATGAAGAATATTAAGCATGTCGCAGATAGTTAATCTTTGAGAGCTAATTGAGAAAATCTAAAATTAATTTACTGCCTGGTAAAACTTGAACCTTATAAAATCTGATCCAAGTTTTACAAAAGGCTTATTTGTATCCTTCTAATACTGCTTACTATAATAACTTCCAGAGACATTATGGCAGGCAGTTTTAGGTTTAAAAATTCAAAGAAGAAAACCAAGTTTTACAAGAGTAAAGCTGTCAGAATAATAGAGACAATTATAATATATGATATCACCATGGCAGTCTCCTACTCCTGATCTTCTGAAATTGATATTTAAGGGACCATCAATATCTGTCTTCCTCCTTCTCCCTTTTTAACCTATTGTTAATCTATTGGTTTTTTTAGCCCCCACAGATTCACTTTATCAAATTGCCAATAAAATTAAATGGAAGTCTGCTAACGTCTAATACCAAAATAGTGAATCAGAATATTGCACTAAGATATAAAGTGACAACCGAGGTTATTTTGTATATTCTTATTGCACCTGAGTGTCATTCTGTCTAATTTGAAGCCTTAGTGGGAGCAGAAATGAAAAATCCCCACATGAATGTGGCAGTTTGGGAGTTTTCTTGCTACATTCTTGGTTTGTTAGTAATTTTCTGTCCTGGAGCATTATTTTTAAAGCCAAGTGGCAATAAATTGTTAATACACCCTTAGATTTGTGCACTGATATTTTTTAAGGCTTTGTATATGTCTGAATATATGATGCGGATTTTTTCCACATCATTATTTATCTGTAGGCCCCACTCGCACAGTCTAATTGTTCTGCAGTATATTCTGAATGTTAGCATAGTTTAAACCTCCCCACGATTTGAATATGTAGCCAGGGCTGGGAATCACTGCAGTGGAATTGAGCTTACTGTGTTTCTTACGTATTTTCTTTGAGAGTCTGAGAGTCTGGCAGAGCTTTTTTTCTTCTGCCTCCTTGACCATACATTTGTACTGAAGGGTGGATGAACCCTCAGAGGTGACTTCTCATGGAGGGGTAGGTCCTGGCCTGTGGCCAGCACTACCTGGGGGACTCTGCATCTTCAGAAGCTCCTTCCTCTGTTTCCAGCAGGAAGTGAGCCAGAGAGAACACAGTAAGCAGTGTCCTGCCAGCGACCTCCCTGTTCTGTCTACCCAGCTTTGGCCCACAGTGGCAAATGGTAAAAGCAGCAGTAAGCACTCTCTTTCAATGAAGTCTGAATGGACAGAAGTGTTGAGTTCTTGGTGGTTCTAAAAAAGTGGCACTACTTGGAGATCGACAGTAATGATAGCCCTGCTATCCTTCTTTAGCACCCACCTTATGCCAGACACTTCATATTTATTCTCCAGCACTTTAACTCTCTAGACAACAGTTTTACTAGAAGCAGCAACACATGAGTGATTATATGCTTGTTATTAGTGATGATTTGATGTGGAAAGTCACAGTTCTACAGCACATTCCAGTAAATGTGCAGGTAGCATACACATCTCTGCTCCTCACTCTGCACAGGTAAGCAGAGTCGCCTTCAGCAAAGCATAAACTCAGAAAACCTTGAGGTTCAGTAGGGAGGCTTTGGGCTCTTTTTCTGTGTAACCGATTTTAAATTTTTTAATTATGTTAGCTATTTAGACATACAATTTATGTAGTTATAATTAAGTCATACCAAAAATATTCTGTGGTTTGTTTTTTACATTAAAATTAGGATAGCTTGAAAATCATTCCCCATTGTTACCTAAAGAACTTCCTCAATCTTTTTTTTTTTTTTTTTTTGCAGGAACCGGTACAGACAAGGTCTTGCTATGTTGCCTGGGCTGGTCTCAAATTCCTGGCTTCAAGCAATTCTCTTGTCTTGGCGTCCCAAAGGGTTGGGATTACATGTGTGAGCCACTGTGCCCAGCCTTTGTAAAAATAAATCATATCTTATCATAGTTGTAGATTTATAGAAAAACGGCAAAGGTGTAGTGTAGAACATTCTCATTATCCCACACCCAGCTTCCCCTGTTGTTAAATGGCTTACATTTTTTTTAATTAGTTGACTTTTTTTTTTTTTAACAGCTTTAGGTTCACAGAAGAATTGAGCAGAAAGCTCAATTGCCCTCCGTCGCCCTTCCCTGAGCCCCCCATCATTAACATCTCACATTGGTGTGCTACATTTATTACAGTTGATGAGCCAATATTGATCCATTATTGTTAACTAAGGTCCATTGTTTGCATTAGGATATGTTCTTTTTATTTTATTTTTTTAAGACAGGGTCTTGCTGTGTCGCTCTGGAGTGCAGTGGCACAGTCACAGCTCAATGCAACCTCTGCCTCCTGGGTTCAAGCAATTCTTGTGCCTCAGCCTCCCAAGTAGCTGGGACTACAGGTGTGCACCACAGTGCTCGGCTAATTTTTGTATTTTTAGTAGAGTGGAGGTTTCTCCATGTTGGCCAGGCTGGTCTCAAACTCCTGGCCTCAAGTGATCTGCCCACCTCAGCCTCCCAAAGTGCTGGGATTACAAGTGTGAGCCACTGCGCCCGGCTGGGTATGTTCTTTGTGTTGTCCGTTCTCTGGGTTTTGACAAGTGTCTAATGACATGTATGACGTGTATCCTACAGAGGAGTTTCATGGGCCTAGAAGTCTCCTGTGCTGCATCTGTTCATCCCTCCCTCCCGCATCTCCATCCTCTGGCAACCCCTGATTCTTTTACTGTCTACATAGTTTTACCTTTTCCAGAATGTCATAAAATTGGAAACCAACAGTAATATAGCCTCTTCAGATTGGCTTTCTTCATTAAATGCATTTAAAGTTCCCCCATATCTTTATGTGGCTTGATAATTCATTTCTTTTTATTGCTGCGTAATATTCTGTCAGGTATAGTACCAGAGTTGATCTGTTTACCTATTGAAGGACATGTTTGTTGTTTCCACTTGTTGGCAATTATGACTAAAGCTGCTGTAAACATTTTTTGTGTATTTTTGTATAGACATAAGTTTTCAATTCATCTGGATCAATACCAAGAAGCGCAATTACTAGATCATATGGTTATTGCATACTACATTACTGATAATAAGTCTCCACTTTGGCGTACTTTTAGGTTTTCAATTTTGCTATCATAAACCATACCCTTAAGTATACATCCTTTTGCATATATACTAATGTTTTCATAGGACAGATTCCTAAAAGTGGGTTTGCTCTGATAAAAACAATGTGAATTTGCCTCTAAAAGGCAAATTGTACACTGTAGTATCCTGCCCTCACGTCATATGCAGTAAGTCTTCAGTTAACATCATCAATAGGTTCTTGGAAAAGGTGACTTTAAGCGAACTAATGTATAATGAAATCAATTTTATCATAGGTTTAATTGATATAAACAAGAGTTAAGTTCCTACAGAATATTTCTGGTCACAAAAGTATGACCAAATTTCTAAAAACTGAAACGCTTCTAATATTAAACATTGAAATAAATGTGAGCTATATGTACATTTAAGATTCGTAAAAGCTAGTAAGATAATTATTTACCTGTGATTCCAGTTCCAAGTATCAAGGGACCGGAGCCTATCCCCGTAGCTCAGGGCACAAAGTGGAACCAGTCCTCAACAGGACGCCATCCCCTCGCAGGGCACACGCACACTCACCAAGCTCACTCACACTGGGACCATTTAGACCCACCAGTTCACCAAATATGCACATCTTTGGGATGTGGCAGGAAACTGGAGTACCTTGAGAAAATCCACACAGACACAGGGGTGGGGGTGGGCAGATGCCACACAGTGGCCCTGGCAGGAGATGCATTTTTTTTCATCAATGTTACAGTGAAGCGGCCAGTGTAACAACTTTGTTTGAGAACCTGCTGTAGTATTATCAAGTCTCCTGAGGATTTGGAGGCCAGACTTAAACATGGTCATTGAATCTACACATGGTAGTTGAATCCACAGCATAGGTGCAATTTTCTAGGGAGAAAGTGTAGAGCAATGAGAGGAGGACCTAGAAAAGGACACTACGTAGCTTCCAACATTTAATAGGTAAAGAAGGGAGAAGTCAGTCAATGAAAAAGGATTGCCCTGGGGCAAGAGAAAACCCAGGATAAATAGTGTCAGGAAAGCTGAAGGCAGAGTGGGTTTCAAGGAGGATGACCTGGTTTTCTGATACGCTTTGCTGAAGGTGACGAAGACAGAAACGTATCCATTTTATTTGAGAACAAGGGGACAACTTTGACTTCAGTGAACAGAGTGAAGGTGACTGGGCCAAGATACACTTTAAAATAGATTGTAGAGTGAGTGGGAGATGAGGGAATGGCCATTAAGTAAATGCTCTTTAGAGAAGGAAAGAAAAATAGAATTAAGATAACTGGAGGATGAGTAGGGGATCACAGAGAGTTTGTTTGTCCCAGATGGCAGTCTTAAGCTTTTGTAAAAGTTAGTGAAAAGGAACTAATATAGAGAAAAAATCGATTATACAAGATACTATAATTTACAGAGATTATATACAGATTGGGCTGAGACCAGGAATGGGGAAGAGGATGGATTTCTAGATTGGGACTTGTGGCAATGTAAAAAAAGGAGTTTGGGAGGCAGGGCTAGGGAGGTCGGAAAGGGGATCCTCTTCAGAGATTAGAGCACCCTAAATTTCCCAGAAAATTGGGGTTATACCACAGACATGCCTTAGAGATATTATGTGTTCTGCTCTAGATCACTGCTATAAAGCAAGTCACACAAATTATTTGATTTCCCAGTGCATATAAAAGTCATGTTTACATTATGCTGTAGTCTATTAAGTGCACAATAGCATTATGTTGGGAAAAAAAAACTATCATACATAGCTTAATTTAAAAGTGCTTTATTGCTAAAAAATGCTAGTGATCATCTGAGCCTTCAGCAAATCATAATGTTTTTGCTGATAAAGAGTTTTGCCTTGATGTTGACAGCTGCTGACTAATCACAGGGTAGTGCTTGCTGAAGGTTGATATATGTCTTTGGTGTTGCTGTAAAGGAGTATCTGAGGCTGGGTAGTTTATAAAGAGGAGGTTTATTTGGCTCAGGGTTCTGCAGGGTGTGCATGAAGCTTGGCACTGGCACCTGCTCAGCTTCTGATGAGGGCCTCAAGCTGCTCCCACCCATGGTGGAAATCAGAGCAGAGCCATGGCATGTGCAGGGATCACATGGCAAGAGAGGAAGCAAGAGAGAGGAGAGGAAGGTGGCAGGCTCTTCTTACCAACCAGCTCTTGTGGGAACTAATAGAATGAGAACTCGCCTCCCCTGCTCCAGGTCATTAATCTGTTAATGAGGGATCCACCCCCATGACCCAAACACCTCCCACTGGGCTCCACCTCCAACATTGGACATCAAATTTCAACATGATGTTTGGGAGGACAAACATATGAATTATAGCAGGGTGGCTGTGGCAATTTCTTAAAATAAGACAACAAAGAACTGTACTGCATCAGTTAACTCTTCCATTCACAAAAGAGTTCTCTGTAGCATGCAGTGCTGTTTGATAGCAGTAGAACTTCTTTCAGAATTGGAGTCAGTCTTCTCAGATCATGCTGCTGATTTATCAACTAAGTTTGTCTAATGTTCTTTAAGTTTTTTGTTGTCATTTCAACCATATTTGCAGCATCTTCACCAGAGGTAGATTTTGTCTCAAGCAATCACTTTCTTTGCTCTTCCATAAGAAACAACTCCTCCTCCATGCAAGTTTTATCATGAGATTGCAGCATTTTGTGACATCTTCAGACTCCACTTCTATTTCTAATTGTACTGTTTTGACTGCAGCTTCAGTAACTTCCTCCACTGAATTCTCAAACCCCTCCAAATCATCCATGAGGTTTGGAATCAACTTCGTCCAAATGTCTGTTAATGTTGATAGTTTGACTTCCTCCCATGAATAATAAATGTTCTGAATGGCATTTAGAATGGTGGATCCTTTCCAGAAGGTTTTCTATTTACTTTGCCCAGATCTATCAGAGGAATCACTTTTATGGTAGCTATAGCCTTATGAAATGTATTTCTTAACTAGTAAGACTTGAAAATGGAAAATATTCCTTGATCCATGGGCTTCAGAATGGTTATTGTGTTAGCAGGCATGAAAACAACACTGATCTTGTATAACTTCATCGGAACTCTTGGGTAACCAGGCACATTGCCAGTGAGCAGTATTTGGTAAGGAATCAGAAAAACTGAGCAGTAGGTCTCAACAGTGGGCTTAAAATATTCAGTAAAATACGCTGCAAAGAGAACTGTTCTGTAAACAGATGTGCTGTCATCTAGGCTTTGTTGTTCCATTTATAAAGCACAAAATTTACCATAATTCTTAAGGACCCTTGTGTTTTCAGTATGATTAATGAGCATTGGCTTCAGCTTAAAGTCACCTGCTGTGAAAATCCTAGATGGCAGCTTCTTCCAGTAGAAGACTGTTTCATCTGCATTGAAAATCTCTGGTTTAGTGTAGCCACCTTCTTGATGATCTTGGCTAGATCTTCAGGGTAACTTGCTGTAGCTTCTATATTAGCACTTGCTGCTTCACCTTATACTTTTTTTTTTTTTTTTTTTGAGACGGAGTCCCACTCTGTTGCCCAGGCTGGAGTGCAGTGGCGCAGTCTCGGCCCACTGCAAGCTCTGCCTCCTGGGTTCACGCCAGTCTCCTGCCTCAGCCTCCCAAGTAGCTGGGACTACAGGTGCCCGCCACCACACCTGGCTAATTTTTTTGTATTTTTAGTAGAGACAGGGTTTCACCGTGTTAGCCGGGATGGTCTCAATCTCCTGACCTTGTGATCCACCTGCCTCAGCCCCGCAAAGTGCTGGGATTACAGGCGTCAGCCACCATGCCCGGCCGGCTTCACCTTGTACTTTTATGGAGATGGCTTCTTTCCTTAAACCTCATGAATCAATCTCTCCTAGCTTCCGCCTTTTCTTCTGCAATGTCCTTACCTCTCAGCCTTTAGAGAATTGAAGAGAGTTAGGGTCTTGCTCTGAATTAGGCATTGAGTTAAGAGAATGTTGTGGCTGGTTTGATCTTCTATCCAGATCACTAAGACTTTCTCCATATCAGCAATAAGGCTGTTTTACTTATGATTTGTGTGTTCACTGGAATAGCACTTTTTATTTCTGTGAAGAACTTTTCTTTTGTATTTGCAGCTTGGCCGTTTGGCACAAGAGCCATCAGTCTGTCTCAGCTTTCAGTGTGCCTTCATCACCATGTTTAATCATTTCTAGCCTTTAATTTAAAGTGAGAGACTTGCAACACTTAGAGGCCTTTTAGGGTTTTTAATTGGCCTAATTTCAATATTGTTGTGTTTCAGGAAATAGGGAGGCCCAAGGAGAGGGAGAAAGACAGCAGAAGGGCAGGTCTGTGGGGCAGTCAGAATACACACAGCATTTATCAATTAAGTTTGCCATCTTACATGGGCACAGTTTGTGATACCCCAAACCAATTACAGTAGTTAACATCACTGATTACTGATCATAGATCACCATAACAGATATAATAATAATGAGAAAATTTGAAATATTGGGAAAATTGCCAAAATGTGACATGATAAACCAAGTAAACACATACTCTTGGAAAAATGGCACCTATTCTCAATGCAGGGTTGCCACAAATCTTTAATTTGTAAAAACAAACAAACAAACAAACAAACCCTCAATATCTGAGAAGCACACTAAAGTCCAGCAAAATAACGTATGGTTATATTTCCTCCGGTAGAGGCTGTCTCCACAGAAAGCCAATACTATTGTAAGGAAAGTGAATTTGTATTTGCCCCTAAGATTAATACTATAATTTCTAATTTAATTTTATGCTCCAGGAAATTTTCAGAGGTATTGCTACTTAAAGGTATTTTTAGAAGTCTCTAGCTTAATTCTTTTGGAAAGAATCAAAGATCAACCCAATGCCAAATTCATTCTTTGGAAATTAGTCTTATGACTCCCTTTCATTGTAAATGGGAATTTGGCTTTGTGACCTAAAGAGGTCGCCTGTCCATTTACCATCATGGTAATAGCTTAATAGCTTTTGTGACCTGTGAAATATGGTAGAATTTAAAGCTATTGATTTAAAACAAAAAACTTATAGGCAAACTGAACATAATAGATCCTAAGATGAACTGATTCAATGTATTTGATAATTTTAAAAAAATTATTAGCTACACATATACATACTTATATTAAGTATAGTACCTTCTTTGTTCTTGTCTCAGGACTCTATCCTATTTAACATTTTTATTTTTATTTTGATAGCCACATTTCCGTTACTGTGCAACTGGTAAGGATCTCTTAACATGTCAGAAGAAAAGAAACAATATGAAAATACTTCAGTAGGCTGGAGTGATGGGAATATGTCAGAACAAAATTTAACAATGAGAAAAGTACAAATGCCATGCTTGGGTTCCAGAATACACACAAATATGAGGGAATATGATGGGAAGGTGAAGAACACAGTTTAGCACTAGCATTTTTGTATGGTTTGGCTCTGTGTCCCCACCCAAATGTCATCTTGTAGCTCCCATAATTCTCACATGTTGTGGGAGGGACCCAGTGGGAGTGAATGATTGAATTATGGAGGCAAGTCTTTCCTGTACTGTTTTTGTGATAGTGAATGGGTCTCACAAAATCTGATGGTTTTAAAAATGGGAGTTGCCCTGCACAAGCTCTCTTTGCTGCCATCATCCATGTAAGATGTGACTTGCTCCTCCTTGCCTTCCACCATGATTGTGAGGCTTCCCCAGTCATGTGGAACTGTAAGTCCAATTAAACCTCTTTTTTTGTAAATTGCCCAGTCTCAGGTATGTCTTTATCAGCAGCCTGAAAATGGACTAATACAGTAAATTGGTACCAGGAGTGGGGTACTGCTGAAAAGCTACCCTAAAATGTGGAAGCAACTTTGGAACTGGGCAACAGGCAGAGGTTGGAACAGTTTGTAGGGCTCAGAAGAAGACAGGAAAATGTGGGAAAGTTTGGAACTTCCTAGAGATTTGTTGGATGGCTTTGACCAAAGGCCCGAAAGCCATATGGACAATAAGGACCAGGCTGAGGTGGTCTCAAATGGAGATGAGGAACTCGTTGGGAACTGGAGCAAAGGTGACTCTTGTTATGTTTTAGCAAGGAGACTGGCGGAATTTTCTCCCTGCCCTAGAGATTTGTGGAACTTTGAACTTGAGAGAGGTGATTTAGGGTATCTGGCAGAAGAAATTTCTAAGCATCCAAGCATTGAAGAGGTGACTTGGGTGCTGTTAAAGGCATTCAGTTTTATAACGGAAGCAGAGCATAAAAGTTTGGAAAATTTGCAGCCTGACAATACAATAGAAAAGAAAATCCCATTTTCTGAGGAGAATTCAAGCTGCTTGCAGAAATTTGCGTAAGTAACAAGGAGTGGAATGTTAATCTCCAAGACGGTGGGGGAAAATATCTCCAGGTTATGCCAGAGGTCTTCATGGCAGCCCCTCCCATCACAGGCCTGGAGACCTAGGAGGAAAAAGTGGTTTTATGGGCTGGGCCCAGGGGTCCCTGTGCTGTGTACAGCCTAGGGACTTGGTGTCCTGCATCTCAGCCACTCCAGCTGTGACTAAAAGTGGCCAAGGTAGAGCTCAGGCTGTTGCTTCAGTGGGTAGAAGCCCCAAGCCTTGGCAGCTTCCACATGGTGTTGAGCCTGTGGGTGCACAGAAGTCAAGAATTGGGGTTTGGGAACCTCTGCCTAGATTTCAGAAGATGTGTGGAAATGCCTGGATGCCCAGGCAAAAGTTTGCTGCAGGAGTGGGGCCCTCATGGAGAACCTCTGCTAGGGCAGTGCAGAAGGGAAAGGTGGCATTGGAGCCCTCCCACAGAGTCCTTACTGGGACACCGCTGGGTGGGGCTGTGAGAAGAGAGGGTCACTGTCCTCCAGACCCTAGAATGGCAGATCTACCAACAGCCTGCACTGTGCACCTGGAAAAGCTGCAGACACTCAACGCTAGCCTGTGAAAGCAGCAAGGAGGGAGGCTATACCCTGAAAAGCCACAGGGGCGGAGCTGCCCAAGACCATGGGAACCCACCTCTTGTATCAGAGTGACCCGGATGCGAGGCATGGAGTCAAAGGAGATCATTTTGGAACTTTAGGATTTGACTGCCCTGCTGGATTTTGGACTTGCATGGGACCTGTAGCCCTTTTGTTTTGGCCAATTTCTCCCATTTGGAACGGCTATATTTACCTAATGCCTGTACCCCCATTGTATCTAGGAAGTAACTTAGTTTTGATTCTACAGGCTCATAGGCAGAAGGGACTTGCCTTGTCTCAGACGAGACTTTGGACTTGGACTTTGGGGTTAATTCTGAAATGAGTTGAGATGTTGGGGGACTGTTGGGAAGGCATAATTGGTTTGAAAATGTGAAGATACGAGATTTGGGAGAAGCCAGAGGCGGAATGATATGGTTTGGCTCTGTGTCCCCACCCAAATCTCATCTTGTAGCTCCCATAATTCCCATGTGTTTTGGGAGGGACCCAGTGGTGAGTTATGGGGGTGGGTCTTTCCCATGCTGGTCTTATGATAGTGAATGGGTCTCATGAGGTCTGGTGGTTTTAAAAATGGGAGTTGCCCTGCACAAGCTCTCTGCCTGCCACCATCCATGTAAGACATGACTTTGCTCCTCCTTGCCTTCTGACATGATTGTGAGACTTCCCCAGCCACATGGAACTGTGAGCCCAATTAAGCCTCTTTCTTTTGTAAATTGCCCAGTCTTTGGTATGTCTTTATCAGCAGTGTAAAAACGGACTAATACACAACATTTTTTATTTTTAAATTTCAAATTTACAGGAAAATGACAAGAATAATACAAAGAACATATGCATACCCTTCACTCAGACTCCCCAGTTATTAACGTGTTACCACATTTGCCTTATCACTTTTTCTGTTTTACTCTGTATTTTTTTCTAAACCATTTGAGAATAAGTTTCTGATATATTGCACCACTGTCCTTCAGTATCCCAGTGTGTATTAGCTGAAAACAAGGACACTTTTTTTTACATTACTAGACATGGCCATCAAAACCAGGAAAGTAACATTGAGATGTTACCATCTAATCCACACACCCTGTACAAGTGTTACAGATTTTCCCTGTAATGTCCTTTATAGCACAAAAATGCATACACACATACACAAGCCTATGTTACTTTTCTCTCTGTTTTTTTAGACCTAAGGTTCAAGTGAGGATCCTGTGTTACATTTATTGTTGTGTCTTTTTAGGCCCCTTTTGTCTAGAACAATACCATAGTATATCCTTGTCTTTTGTTACCTCGATATTTTTGAAGAGTCCAGTCACTTTGTAGTTTTTCATTTGTGTTCATCAAGTATTTCTTTGTAATTAGATTCAGGTCACATAGCTTTGGCAAGAACACCCTAGAAGTGATGCTGGGTTTGTATTGCATCATATCAGGAGGTATACAGTGTTAATTCATCTCTGTACTGTGACTTGAATTTTTATCACTTGGGGAAGTGGAATGTACCAGGTTTCTCCACTGTAAAGTTGATAAGTATTTTGTACATGTTAATAAGTAATTGGTAAATATTTTGTAGAAAGCTGTCCTGAGATGGTGTAAATATCCTATTGTGTCAGACTTATATCTACTGGTTTTTACATCCATTGACGATTCTTGCCTCAATCACTTATTACTGAGATGGCTGCCAAATGATGATTTTCTAATTCTATCACTACTTCTACTTTTATTAGTTGGCATTCTACAATAAGGAAAAGCAGTCCTCTTTCCCTGTTTGTTGTTTATATTGACTCACGGAATCTCATTCTAATCAATGTGTTATAAAATTGTTACTTTCATTATTTATTTTGAATGCTCAAATTGTCTCAGATTTGGCCAGTAGGAGCCTTTTCAGGGTGACTCATGTTTTCTTTTGACAAGTCCCCATCATTTTTTGAGCACTTCCTTTCTGGCACAAAATATTTCAGACTCATCTTATACTTTCTCTGACTCAGTTCTATAATTAGTCACGTCTCCAAGGAGCCCTAGTTATTTTTTGTGAAGAGTAATATTCAGAATACAAGATGTGAGTAATAAGTATGCTCATTGCTACCGGGGTTTCATTGCTTCTAAGCCCTCTCAGCAGACAGATCTAGGCAATATATGTGAGTTTATACACATACGTTTATATCTACCTGTGTATCTGTATGTCTATATCAGGGTATAAAAGTCATGGGTTTTCACCAGTATCTGGAATTTTAATCCAGCACAACAGTTTGTTCTAGTCTTCTCCTTTTCCATACTTGTAGCTCCATTCTCTGACTGAGAAATCTGGCCTCCCCATTTTCTCAGTATATTTATTTATATGCTCAGTTCCCTTGTATGTAACTAATTTCTTGACCACATGGGGCAGAATTGGCCCAGTCCTGCCAGCCTGAACTCACAAATGTCTCTTTGGCCCAGCCCCAGCACATAAACCAACTTCCCTCTCATCTTTGAGAAATCCTGTAATAGCATGTTTTAATTTACGTTTCTTTCATTATATTCTATGAGTTTTTAAGCCTCGCCTTTATTAGGATAAAGATAAACGGTGAAATAGGAAGTGTCTAAGATGAGTATTTAGGGGTCAAAACATAGAATAGAAATTTGAGAGTCCTTATTCATCATCATAAGAGATTTTATTAGCATTTTACTTGGCCAGTATTTACAGATCCTACCAGCAGTATATGTGCTGAGGTGATAAAGTTGATGTGATTTTTTTGTATGCAATTGCCTGATTTTTGCATTCTTTCTGCTTTTCTCTGGTGACCTTTTACTGGACTTTGATACCAAATGACCATAATATCAAAATTAACCTGGAGTTCTTTCTGGCTAGAATCATCTTGATAAATTATATAATTTATATTTTGTTATGTGACTTTTGGGAGCCAATGTTGTTTTTAATCAACATATCATGAGTTTAACTAAATTGCATAGATTTTTTTCCTTTGAAATATTATATTTTAGCCATGCCAGTTCAGCAAGAAAATGAAATAAAAGGCATTCAGATTGGAAAGGAAGAAGAAACACTGTCTCTATTCTCAGATGACATGACCTTGTACATAGAAAATCCTAAAGAATGTAAAGAACTATCAAATAAAATGAGTTCAGCATACACAGAAATCAATTTTATCCTACACACTTAAACAGTGAGCAATTTAAAAATGAAATTATCAACAGTTGCGTTTACAACAGCATTAAAATAGAATTGTTAGGAATAAATTTAACAGAGCAATGCAAAAATTATATTCTGGAAAATACAAAACATTGTTCAAAGAAATTACAGAAGACCTAAATAAGTGAAGAAAACATCCCATGTCCATGGATCAGGAGACTTAATATTGTTAAGATGGTAGTACTCCTCAAATTCATTTACAGATTCAGAGCAGTGATCTATTAAAATCCCAGCTGGCTTCCCTGCAGAAACTGACAATCATAAAATTCACATGGAAATGAAAGGAACCCAGGATAGCCAAAACAATCTTTAAAAAGAATAATAAAGTTAACACTATGTGGTCCTGGCATGCAGGTAGACATACAGATCTGTGGACTAGAGTTGAGAGTCCAGAAATAAACCCTCATGTTTATGGTCAGTTAGTTTTCAAAAAGGATGCCAAGACAATTCAGGGAAAAGGATACAGCCTTTCAACAAATGGTCCTGCATCTTTCAAAAAAATGAAATTGGCCCCCTACTTCACACCATATACAAAAATTAAAATGGGTTGGACCTAAATGTAAGAGCTAAAACTATAAAATTCGTAGAAATGCCAGGTGCGGTGGCTCACGCCTGTAATCCCAGCACTTTGGGAGGCTAGGGCAGGCAGATCACGAGGTCAGGAGATCGAGACCATCATGGCTAACATGGTGAAACCCTGTGTCTACTAAAAATACAAAAATTAGCCAGGCGTGGTGGCGGGTGCCTGTAGTCCCAGCTACTCGGGAGGCTGAGGCAGGAGAATGGCATGAACCCGGAAGGCGGAGCTTGCAGTGAGCAGAGGTTGCGCCACTGCACTCCAGCCTGGGCGACAGAGGGAGACTGCGTCTCAAAAAAAAAAAAAACCTTAGAAATATAAATTGGAGTAAATCTTTTTTTTTTTGAGACAGAGTCTCACTCTGTCGCCCAGGCTGGAGTGCAGTGGCGCAACCTCGGCTCACTGCAAGCTCTGCCTGCTGGGTTCATGCCATTCTCCTGCCTCAGCCTCCCTAGTAGCTGGGACTACAGGCGGCCGCCACCGTGCCTGGCTAATTTTTTTGTATTTTTTTTAGTAGAGACGGGGTTTCACCCTGTTAGCCAGGATGGTCTCGATTTCCTGACCTCACGATCCATGCGCCTCAGCCTCCCAAAGTGCTGGGATTACAGGTGGGAGCCACCACGCCCGGCCACATTGGAGTAAATCTTCATCACCTTGCACTGGGCAGTGTTTTCTTAGATATGATACAAAAAGCACAGGCAACAAAAGAAAAAAAATTGATAAATTGGACTTTACCAAAATTTAAAACTTTTGTCCTTTCAGAGACCCAGTCAAGAAGGTGTGAAGATAATTCACAGAATGAGAGAGTGTATTTCCAAATAATGCATTCAATAAGGATCTAGTAACCAGAATATGTAAAGAATTCTGACAACTCAATAAAAAGACAACCCAATTAACAATGGGCAAATGATTTAAACAGACATTTCTAAGAAGACATATGAATGGGCAATAAGCACATGAAAAGATGCTCAGCATCATTAGCTATTGGAGAAATGCAAATCAAAATCACAAAAAGATACTGCTATGCACCGACTAAGAAGGCTGCAACCTAGAAAGCAGCTAATAGCAGTGCTCATGAGGATGTGGAGAAATTGGAACCTTTGTATACTGCTGGTGGGAATGTCAAATGAGGCGGCCACTTGGGAAAACAGTCTGGCAGTTCTTCAGTATGTTGACTGCTAATAGATGTTATGGTTGCACAACTCTGTGAATACACTGTAAGTCCTTGGTTTGTATAATTTAAATGGGTGAATTACATGGTATGTAAATTATATCACAATAAAGCTGTTATTAAATGACATTTTACAAGCTTAGATATTTCTTAGTTTTCATTTTGACCAAAAATATTCCGAGTGAAATTACAACAGTATTACTTTATAGAATATGAACATGCGTAATTCTCTCAGCTGGAGTCCCAAATTAATTTCTGAGCCTCCCACCAAATGGGCTTAAAGAATGGGCTGGGAGCCTTGTTATTTCTGTCACAACTGCTCTGCATTTCTCGGCCTGTTCTTTTGCTATTTTATGCTGAAAAGCTTCCTTTCTTCTCACCTTTCCTGTCCCCTCCCTCGTAAAGATTAAAAAATTTGTTAATATCTCCTGTCACTTTAAAATATTCTAAATCATACTTGACTTTGAACTTCCAGAGTTGCGTTTTTGTAGAGTATTTCTTCCGCTGTCATTCATTTGTGGAAAATTTTAAATTATTAAATCAGTTTTGTCCAGCTATCTCCAGCCATCTGCCATTTATATAAGTATCTTCCTTGGAGTATGTAACTTGTTTTATTTATGTAGTAATGCTGTATGTAGCAGTAAATAATGAAGTTAAGAGAATAGACTTTCATTAATTTTTGGAAAGCCTAGAAGTTATAAAGTCTCTTTAAGAATAACAAATGAGTTAAATCCCCATAAGAAGGAGAAGTAAAGCTTTGATCTCTAGATTCTTGTCCTTTGAAAGCACCTGTATTGTGCATTTCATCTCCTGTGAATAAAAAGTTGGGGGAAAAAATCAAGTAGTTGTTGCCCACCAGTTTTCCTTGAAGATTAAAATTTCATGGAGTTGACAATATATTTGTATCGCTAGTGATCAAATGCTCATCTCAGAAGAGAGTTTGCAGGATTGCCTTTGGTTGTTATTGTATGAAATTAGATTGTGATACATCAGAGACAGGAAAAGTGGAAGAAGTTCTAGTTGGAACATATTTTTAAGACATCTCAGTAAGCCGAGAGTTTTTCTTAGATGAAATGGCACATGGTCCTTAATCTCCAAATGGCTTATTTTTCTGTTATCTTCAAGATCACCTAAGAAAATGCCTGTTGTGCTGTGTGGGTTCAGCTCTAGAGATTTTTGTCTACACTGATGACATTTATTAGGCAAGCAAGAAAAGATGATTATAAAGGGGTTTTGTAAGGATTTGGAGTACCTTTTTTCCTTTAGTATATAAATCATAATTTATTGTTAATGGCTTAAGTATTTTTGCTTAGGTTTTCATGTTAATTATGTAGAATATGCTAAGAATTAGAATCTGCCTTTCTTAGGAACGTAACTAAGTGAGTGTAAGACCACAGAACATTAAGCCCAGAAGACAGAAGTATGTTTTGCCTATAATGATAATCAGTAGTTTTTCAAGTTAATATATTATACCCACTGAAGGGGTAATTTGATGTTTCTTCCTTAAATTAAGGTATTGCTAGAATGTGATCCAAAACTCTGTATTTTAATATTTAAATGCATTTTATGAAATTGTTAAAACACTGGTAACTTGGATGGGTGTTTGGTGAGGGTAGGAGGAAACTGTAGAAGTGAGGGTTCTGCATGGGGGGCTGACGTCAGTCTCTGCTTTGTTTATTTCTATGTTACTTGAATTTTACAACAGGCATTACTTTGATGACTAAAAATGATGTAAAATTAAAAATTAATGTCGTTATTGAATATTCATTAATTAATTGATAACTAATTCCAAGACAGTTTGTTGAGTTCATTCAGTTTGATAGTTTTTAAAAATGGATAGTGTATCTTTCCTTTGTTTCTATCACTGTATGTCTTGTTGATCTGTGTTTCCTTTTTCTAAAGTACTGCAGTTGTAGCTTGATTTCTTTGGGTAGGCAGAATTCTAAATTTGAGTTACAATTAAAGGGTTTTTCACGTGAGAAAAGATAGGCTTAGTATTAATTTTTAAAGGGAAACTAAATGTTTTTATTTGCTTGTATGTTAATATCTGAGTATACCTTCTTGGTTGAATAAATTGTTCCTGACAGAATGTGCAAATTAAGTTTGAATTAATGTAACTACAGAATTAGATAAAATCTTACCTGAGTACTGAGGATTTTGTGAAATGTTAGAACCTGGTGTATTGGGCATTATGAACATTAACCCAGGGAAGCAGTTAGGTTTGAAGGAAGGTATGGGCAGGAGCTTGACAGATGCTGGCAACACATATTATTAGATGTTTCTGTGCCATTTTTATAGTCAAAGTGTGTTCATGGGAAAACTAAAGAATTTGGGACAGTTGACAAAATTAAGTCGTATTTTAGTAAATTAATTAAAAAGTTTCCATCAAGTTTCAGCATAGTCTGTGTGTTGGTGATAGAATTAGCACCACATTACTTGCAGTATTAAACAACAATCCTACAAGCTTCTGAAGGATTTGAACACTAAGACTAAATATAGTTGGATTTCCAAGTGATTCCAAGTGACTTGGATGCATTAACATTGAAGAGAATGAGAGGATTTTAAAATTCATTAGTATCACTTTTTTATAATTATGTATGACATTAAAAAGTGAATAGCTTCTCAATATCTGCTTTATAAGATACTTTATTATGGATTTGACAGCTTTGATCCAGAACAATTCTAGGCCTCAAAAGTGTTTTGGGTTAAAAAAAAAAACAAAAAAACTATTGAACTTGATTAATTTCTGTGCCATAACTCTATAAAAATGCTGTCAATTAATTTAGAAGTTTAGGAGACTTAATTGTATGTGTTTGTTAACAGATATCAGTGACATCATAAGCCAATTTGGAATTCAGTGGTTGAAACATAGATATTGTAGTGTTTCCCAAAAATATGACAGTGTGTAATTTTATAGCTTTTTCATGTGATCTCAATAAATAGAATGGAAGTCTATATTTTGACAAATGAAACAAAATTTCTGCTCTCCACAGGGAATACACTTTAAAATAATTGATGTAAATTATACATAATGGTAGGGTTTTTCATAATCTTGTATTTTTATTTGTATATATCATACTGGAAAAGAGTAAAAATTAAAGGATGACATTTTATTTTAGATAAAATGACATATCAGATCTCACATTCTTATTTGCTAGGGTGTTTCATTTATTGGGGTCTTAAAGTATATCTGTCCCCAAATATTTTAGGATAAAGGTTTAAACTGTTAAGCATCATTCTGTATAAATATAGACATACTTTAAAATTCCAATTTAAAAAATTCAAGGTTTTAGATTTAGAAAATTTTGTTTTGCCATTGTTCTTGCTGCTTTTTCACTTGCTGATCTCACCGATCTTCACTTTTTTATTTGTATGAGACTCTAAACATACTTGAATCTGCCTTTTTCCTGCTAGACACATTTAGATGGTGGAGATTGTTATTCATGTTGCAATGTGCACACATTAAAATATCCAAAATGGACAGCAGGAATCAAAGTATTGCCTCTTCCTTTGTTTGTCATTTACCCTGGTAAGGGATGTGATAACCTAGGACATGTTAAACATATAATTGTTTCAAAGTATGTGGACTTTCCCCTTTGGTTGGATAAAGTAATTTGTAAGAAACATAGTTTTAAATTCATATGTGTATCAGGATCTAAGCAGGAACACCAAAACCACTTCAAGTATTTACAACAGAGAAAATTTAATGCAGGGAATTGGTGATAACAGGCAGTGGTGTTGCTGAGAGCCAAGCAAGGCACAGAAAGGTGACCCAGAGATTAGCAGTAGTAGGAAGACACTGCTACCCTGTGCTGAAGAGGAAAGGGGGCCCAGGGGTCAGGGCTACCCAGAACCCTGACAACTTCAAGAGCAGCTAGAGCAGCTTCCAAAAAGCAGAGCCATGGAAGAGAGAGGAGAGGTTTGGGGGGAAAATGCCCTTGCTTCTTTATCCCCCCAGCTCCAGTCTCTTGTTACTGGCTGAACCCAGTTGGAGACCAGCTGAGCCTGCAGGAGCCAGCCTCCTGCAATACAGAGCAGAACAGGTGGAGGGCGAGGAATGGAGCTGAGGGCAAGCAGGCGCAGATGAAACAGCAATATTGAGAAGTTCCTTCTCTTGACAGTTTATGTCCATCTTCATCTTGATCTCCTTTGAATATGTCCCTGGACAAATTAACAATAGAAAACGACAATGGCACTCAGTTCTGTGGATGTGAAGGCCCTCTGGCTGGCATCGTTGATGTTCCTTTCTCCTCATCCCTCCATGCCATCCCAAGCTGTTTGTCAGTGAAAGACTGTGGTCTTCTCTGCCAGTGTAGAACTTCTTTTTGGCTAACAGCACATAATTAGCTTGTATCTCCTGCTACAAACCTCTGAACAGGCATAGAATGTAGTCATTTGGGGGAATGCCCTAACTGACATTCTCTAAGATGACTGAGATCAGCTAAGCCTCTGAAATAAATTCATATAGTAGGAACACTCTCATTTAGATGTCGGAAGAAGAGTGTTATGCCTGTCACTTTTGAAATTGAGCTTGGATGATTTCTCCTGATTAATTTATGTCCCTTTAGAGAAAGCAACGACTGTTGAGGAAGAATAAACTTTTTTTTTTTTTTGCTACAATTACAAAATAAGGGATGTAATCTAACTTAAGTATTCAGAGCATAGAGCCTTGTATGAAGTGGACATCCAGTAAAATGTTTGATTAAATTTGTAGTGAATGTACTGTGAAAAGTTGATCATTGGCTTTGGGCTTTGGGCTTTGAGAACTAGATATAGGAGTTTATAGCTGGAAGACTAAGAAATCTCCTAAAACAGTCCCGTTGATTTATAGAAAAGGAGGCTGGCATTTCTATTTTTATTTTCAGGAAATTCAAATTTAGAAAAATAAAATGCTTAAATTAACCTTAAAAACAACTATTTTTTAGATTACAAAAGTCTTGTAGAATATAAAAAAAGATGAGTTTGTGTGTGTGTCCCAGCGTGAAAGTCTGTAATTAATTCTACTCCCAGGAATTGATGCAGCAAATATTTATGGAGCCTCTACTGTGTGCTAGGTAGTGTTCTAGGCACTGGGGAAGTATTAGCAGACGAAACAGTTGAAATATTTCTTCTCACAGCACTTTATTCCTAATGGAAAGGGAAATAGGCAGTAAATATATGTGTCAGGTGGCGGTAAGTGCTATGAAGAAAGATGGAGGAGAACTAGAGTGGATTTTCTATTTTATGTGGGTCCAGGGAAGCCCTCTGACAGTGATCAGGGGAGTAAGAGGGTGAGCTGTCAGGTACTCTGGGGAAGCGGGTAATTCTGCGCAAAGGGAAGGGTTAGCAATACGTTCTATTAACAGGCTGACATATATGTCTCCAGATTTTTTATATTGGACTTTTAAATAAAATAACTATTGTTTATACTGTGCCTACTTTTGCCTTTCACTTAACAGTCTATCTTCCTTTGTCTTTTTAATAGTTGTGTATAACATTTCATTCTGTGGATATACCTTAACTCTTTACCCAGTTCTCCATCGATGGACATTCAGGCTGTTTCCAGTTTCTAAGAGAGAGTGTTGCCATAAACAGCCTCATACATGCATGGAAACACTTGTATGGGTGTTTCTCTAGGACAGTGGTTCTTTTTTTTGTTTGTTTTGAGACAGAGTCTTGCTCTGTCGCCCAGGCTGGAGTGCAGTGATGCCATCTCGGCTCACTGCAAACTCCGCCTCCCGGGTTCACACCATTCTCCTGCCTCAGCCTCCTGAGTAGCTGGGACTACAGGCGCCCGCCACCACGCCTGGCTAATTTTTTTGTTTTTTGGTTTTTTTTTAGTAGAGACGGGGTTTCACCGTGTTAGCCAGAATGGTGTCGATCTCCTGACCTCGTGATTTGCCCACCTTGGCCTCCCAAAGTGCTGGGATTACAGGCGTGAGCCACTGCACCCCGCCTGTGGTTCTTAACCCACTTTAAAGGGCTTGAGGAAATACTGAAGCTCAGGTCCCATTCAGAGTAGTTTTTGTATTAGGATCTCCGGGGAGGGGATCCAGGCTTTGGTATTTTTCAAAATCTCAGGTGGTTACAATATGTAGTCAGGCTTGAGAACCACTGCTGTAGGATTGTTCTTAGAAGTAGACTTATTGAGTCAGTGAAAACATTGTACATTTTAGTAGATACTGTAACATTATTCTCTATATTCTTTAGGATTAGGAGTGACTGCCAGTAATAGAAACCTAAGGTAATATTGGGTTAAACAAGATAGTTTATTTGTAATGTAAATATCTAGACATAGGCAACCTGGAGCTGGTATGGCAGTTTTGTTCCATGAAGTCCTCAGTTGCCCAGGTCCCTTCTAGCTTTTGTTTTGGCTGAACTGAAAGTAAGCTCTTAGCCCAAAACTCCAAGGTGGAGGGTAGGGATCCTGCCATGAAGTCCAACGTTCCAGGCAGCAGAATGAAGGAAAGGTTGAAAATCAGCAAAAGGTACAGGTCAGCTATCCTTTGGAAAAGATGCTTGGAAACTTCCACAAAACACTTCCACTTGTATCCCATTGGCCAGAACTTGGTCATGAGCCCACACCCAGCCACAGGAAGGCTGGGAAACAGGCTTTTGTCTGGGTGACCTGTGTACCCTGAAGAAAACCGGGGCTGGTTTTATATGAAAGAAGAGAAGGACAGATAGTGGCAGCCACCAACGGTCTCTTCCACGTCTTCCATGAAAGCTGTAGGAACCTGCCCTCCTACCTAAGACCATGAGGGTGCATTGTCCATACCTAGTAATTCACAACTGCAGAGTCAGCCAAAAGCTTCAGTGCAGAGATTAAAACTTCAGATAATATGTTGGTACAGGGAGAGGCAAAACAGACTTAAATCAGATGCAGGAATGATGCCGGAGAGTTGTAAACTTTATCATGTGCCAGAAAATAATAAAGGTGCAGGAGGCCAGTGTTCTAATTAGACACATTTTGTCTCTGCTTGGTGTTTCAGCTGTCATCCTGGAGGGTCTTTATCACCTTCAGCATGGCAGTTGTTACTTAATTGCTAACATACTCAAGTTTGTGTTAATATTAATGCTGCCCACCCTCACTTGAACATACTCATCAAAGATATCTTAATACATAATTTTTATATTTTAAGTTAAAAATTTTTTAAATTAAGAAATGAAGGCTGGGTACAGTGACTCAAACCTGTAATCCCAGAACTTTGGGAGGCTGAGGCGGGAGGATTACTTGAGGTTAGGAGTTCGAGACAGCCTGGCCAACATGGTGAAATCCCATCTCTACTAAAAATACAAAAATTAGCCTGGTGTGGTGGCACACACCTGTAATCCCAGCTACTTGGGAGGCTGAGGCAGGAGACTCGCATTAACTTGAGAGGTGGATGTTGCAGTGAGGTGAGACAGCGCCACTGCACTCCAGCCTGGGCGACAGAGCAAGACTCTTGTCTCAAAAAAAAAAAAAAAAAAAAAAAGGAAACAAAAAGTTTTGATATGTGACATTTTACAAATCAGTATTTTTTGTCGTTGCAGTGGATGAGGATCGCAGTACGGAACCTGACCGATTGCAGGTGTTTCACAAGAGAGCCATCATGCCTTACGGTGTTTATAAGAAACAGCAGAAAGACCCAAGTGAGGAGGCTGCTGTTCTGCAGTACGCCAGCCTGGTGGGGCAGAAGTGCTCCGAGCGGATGCTGCTGTTCAGAAACTGACCTGTTCACCTCTGCCGGGAAGTTCCTGTGTTGTGCTGATGATTTGTGCCAGGATACATATTCAGTACCTGTGGGGAAATAACTGTCACCACCCACAAATTAGACATTTTTTATTTTGACTATCTATGGCTTTTAAAAAATATTTTGTGGCAATGTATCTGTGAGAATCTCATAGTTAATATAAAGATTTTAAAACTGCATTATGACCTAGCCCCCATAATTGGGATTTATCATTTTGGAGGATTCTTTCTAGAGCAAGATACGCTCAAATTCTCCTGTTTGTATTTTGTAAAATGAAGAAGTGAATCTAAGTAACTTAATCACAGTTGTGCATTTTTTTTGGTTCTGTTAGAGAAATTAAAACAGACTGTTTCCTCAGGCCCATTTTAAACTGAACTTATGCTAGGAAACCTTAAGTATGGGGAAGGTAGAAAGTTCATTTCATCACTTAGAAAATATGTCTTCTCAAGAACAAAACTGTGCTGTTACAACTCAGTGTTCAATGTGAAATTGCTGCCAAATGTTATGTAGTTTAATAGAGAACTTGAAAAAATAAAACATTAAAATGGAGCTTGTGTTAGCATCAGGTATCCATTTGTTCAGGACAGTCCTGTTCATGTCTGTTGTCTTGGCATAGTTTTTTCCCCTAGAATATAGTACTCCCTTTTACTCTAAAAAATATCCCAGTTTGGACAATAAAATACATAATTACTCTAGTTATATTATTTGCTTTACTTCTAAAAATGTAAGAAATTGAATTTTTTTAAAGAAAAATGTTGGTTCCTGCCTTGATCTAAGTCTCATCCAAAGGAAATAAATAGTCACTAGTTTTTTATCTTACAACTCAGGACATTTGTCTTTGGTTATTAATGGAAATTAGTATGTGATTACTTTCATAGTTATGCCACAAATCACATTGAAGAAGGAATCATTCCGACCTCTGTTCCAGGACAAGAGCTAGAACAATCCATTTCTTGTCCTTTGATTTGAGAGTCACAGTCAGGGTGGCTTCTGCCACCCTTAGTAACTCAGAGCAGAGGCCAGCCCCCTCCTTCCCTCACTTTCTTTTGCTGAGTCCTTTGCCCACCTGTCAAGGTGGCAGGCACTGTGCTGGGTACAGGAGGACAGTCAGACATGTCCCTTCTTAGCTATAGTCGAGCTGTCTGGGAAACAGGATGAAAAACAGGAGGGTTATTTTCTTGTGCCCTCTTTGTCAGCTGATCCCCTCTTCTGCTACCAGCTATTTGGCCAGCAAGCCGTTTTTAGTCCCCACTTTGCCCATTTTTCTGTTTTGGTTCATCGTTTCTTAAAAGCCATGTTATAAAACATGGTAGTTTGAATCCTGTTGCTAATTTTAAACTTTCCTCTAAAATGTACTGAATTTTGACAAAAATTTGAAAATATCCTCAGCTAACTAGAATAAAAAGGATCATAAAACAATGATTTTAAAACTGAAATCTCTAGAAACTCAACATCCAAGTCAGCCGCATTTCTTCATTCAGAGTGTGTGTGTCACACCTGCCAAGGTGCTGCGTACTCTGCTAACCGAGCTAGAGTAGTGAGCAAAGCCATTTTCTCTGATCACAAGATTTTACATTTTTCTGGGATTTTGACCTGCAAAGTAGTCTCGTAAGAGCATTTGAGAGACTTACTTGGAACTGCCTTCAGAATCTATAGAGCCTTTTTTCTCTTTTTCCTCTAAAATGAAAAGAGCTTCATTTTATGATTATAACAAAAGTGACACTGTAAGCAGTTAGAACATTAAGAAGTATAAATAAAAAGTAAAAATCATCTACAACCCTACCATACTCAGAAGGAGAAAAGAACTGTCATGTATGTATACACACATACCTATGTAATTTTAATATAAATAGAATTATGTTCTACATGCTGTTTTATTTCCTCAACAGTAAATTATGGACATGTCTGAAATGTGAAATAAATTTCAAAATAAGGCTTCAGAAAGTGTAGTAAGTAATCTCTGCATTATTAAAAATAAGCAGGGTAGGGCTGGTACTTGGCTCGCTTAGCATTTGAATGTCCAACTTGGTGTTATCACTGTATCTTCCCTCCATTTGTCTTTGTGATTAGCATGTAAAATGGTATTCATAAAGATCACAACCCTTGAATATCAGATGAAGAGAAAACTTGACTCCAACATCTTACCACAACTCTGGTTTCTTCCTGCAGAATTCATTTTCAGAGGAAAATGATGAATCATCCCTGTCTGTGAACCACTGTGCTTTCCTTGAGGGTGGCATTGTAGGTTGACACCAGCAAAGACTCAGAGTGACTTGAGCATTGGAGATCCTTCTACTTGGCTGCTGTATTCATGCATTATGTTGGTTTGAGAATAGCTAGTGTATTGATCCAAGTAGTCAAAGTGTCTTAAAAGGACACCTATTTGTCCTTTTGAGCCCCAGCTGAGTGAATACTGATAGTGGACTAGAAAAGCATAGTCAAGAAAAGTGACCCACCTTGTTACTTGACCAGCAGTCTAGCTGAGAGATCTGATTTTATGTTCGTAACTTTCTGTAAAGAAAGACACAAGGACTTTTCAAAGACAGTTTATATCTTTCCAAGGCAGGAAGCTTTGCATTTGCAATCTTAGTGTTGTGTCCCTTTCTGATTTTCAAATACATCACACCTGCCTTCCTGTTTTGGGAGCAAAGATGTAATTTCAATTCCCCTTGCTACCGTCCTTATTTAAATTATTTCCATTCTAAGAGATTTTTGTTATTTTTTTAAATGTAATCTGAGCACTTTTTTGTATTCTAAAAGATAGATGATATCAGATAAATATGTTGTACATTTGATTAAAATTATTTAGATAAATATTACTATGTTGACTTTTAAATAGCTTTATCCTATTTTTCATTCATTTTGCAAATATTTGTTGTGTGTAGTTTCTTAACGTGTCAGAATCTATTATGTAAAAGAACCTTTCCAGATTTCTGAACAGTATATGCTTTGATTTTATAGGCTTTATATTATTTCAGTATGAATAAAGATAAGGAATATGAAACAGTTAACTAAAATGTATCTGTCGTTGCTAACTTGAAAAATGAAGTAGAAACAGTTGGAAAATGTTTGAATTAGAAGTTATTCAAGTGCACACTCTTTTCTAAAAGAAAGCCAATGACTATAAGGCAAAAGAAGTTTGACTGCATGTGGTATTTTTTGCTCTTGTATATGCTTTTTGAACAAGCTATTTGATAAAGCCTGAATGGAAAAAATAAAGCTGTTTCTATCTGCAGTGGCTCTTGGTGGTCATTACTTAAAAGACATATGTTTTCATCTTTAAATTCCTGAACACATTTCACCTGCTGTGAATATGTAGAAAACAGAGGTAAAACATTGGCTATATGAGTCATAAAATTTAATTTTCACTAAATGGAGTTCCAGACCATGTGGTTATCTAAATCAAAGTACGGTGGATTCCTTTCTCAGAGAGTAAAGTAAATCCCATTTTAAGCCAGAAGTCTGGATTTTCACAAGATAAATTAGGGAATAGACTTTTATAACCCAAAGGGATTCAAAATAGGACTTTATCAAATTCAAATATAATTTATCTTAGAACGTTTACAGAGAAATTTTAAAAAATATAAAGTGTGCTTTAATTGTTCATAATAGTCTGTGGTATATTTATGCAATACATTTACTAGTGTTTTATCTCTTTACAGTAAAGAGGGTCCTGGTAGGTTGGTGATAAAATGAATCCTATTTCCAAGTGATTTAAATATTAGTTACAATTCCCACTGTCATTTTTTTCCTCCAGAATGGACTTAGCCTTTTCTTAGTTGAAATGGACAGTGTTCATCAGGAAACATTTAGACAATATAGAAAAGAATACTGAAGAAAAGTAAAAACAATTTTAATCCCATCGGCAACAACTCCTGACTACCTTTCACGTTTCAGTGTAGACTAAGAATTAAAGTTGCTGTAGACGTTTTGTTTCCCAAGTTTTTATTAGAGCTTCCAAATAGCTTGCATGCATATAGAGAGCGTGGTTTCCTCATCACATCTCTTCATCTGCAATATGAAGAAGCAATTCTAAATTAAAAGTGCTGTTTTTAAAAGTTAGTATAGCAGCTCTTACATGGCATTTGTAATACCACTCGAAATGGAGCATTTCAGCCATCTTAGGGGCATTCTTGTCTGGCATGTATAAAGCAGACTGTTAGTGACTAGCACAAGTATTTTTGTTTCTTTGATCATTAAAGTTTGATTAAATGCAATATGTTTAAAAAGTGGTTTTAAAGATTTATTTATTTTGATGTTACAGGCTAGAGTCATTATAAGAAAAAGGTCCTTTGGGAGGCCAAGGCAGGAGGATTGCTTGAGGCTGGGAGTTCCAGACAAGCCTGGGCAACATAGTGAGACCCCATCTCTACAAAAACAAAATTAGCCAGGCGTGTTGTGTGCCTGTAGTCCTAGCTACCTGGGAGGCTGAAACAAGGATCGCTTGAGTTCAGTTCACAGCTTCAGTGAGCTATGATCACACCACTGCTATACAGCTTGGGTGACAGAGCGAGTCCTTGTCTCTCAAAAATTGTGCGTGTGTGTGTGTGTTTACACGTGTATGTATTTATATATATAAATGTACTCCCAACATATTATTCAATTGTGATTTTGAATGAAATTTTCTTCTGAACCTTAATTTTCCATGCTTGTCAGTCTGTGCCAGGGTCTTAAAATTATTTAACATAAGGTTTTTAAAATTTTAATTAATGTTAAATGAAAACTCATGAATACTTCATGAAATCCAATTCATCACACTTTGTTAGTTCAGTATTCAGTGAATCTGAATAGCATCTCTCAACTATTGGAGCTTTTTGATCGTGAAACAAGAAAAACAGCATTTTAGGTTTGTGAATTCAGAGCTTAAGGCTTTTAGCTCAGTCGTATGTCAACAGTTCTACATATTTGTCCAGAATATTTTAAAATATCGAGAGGTGGCCAGACTGTACTTCGGAAGTTAACTGTTGCTGATGTGAGTTACTTTACTGACCTTTAAGGCAAATACTGTACACACATATGTACATACAGCAAGAGAGCATGTACGCAGTGAAATCTCCCTAGTAATGGTAGGATGTCTCAGTTTTGATTCACGGAATCAACTTGATAAAGGGTTTGGATTTATGATTATGGTAGGAATGACACAAACTGCTAAGGCTGCCCTGTACAATAAGGTAGCTTTAGCCACATATGTCTAATTCAATTAAAATTTAAATTCGGGCCGGGTGTGATGGCTCACGCCTGTAATCCCAGCACTTTGGGAGGCTGAGGCGGGCGAATCACGAGGTCAGGAGTTCAAGACCATCCTAGCCAACATGGAGAAACCCCGTCTCTACTAAAAATACAAAAACAATTAGATGGGCATGGTGGTGGGCGCCTGTAATCCCAGCTATTCGGGAGGCTGAGGCAGGAGAATCTCTTGAACCAGGGAGGCGGAGGTTGCAGTGAGCTGAGATCGCGCCACTGCACTCCAGCCTGGGCGACAGTGTGAGACTCCGTCTCAAAAAAATAAAATAAAATAAAATGTGTCATGCTTTGGTACTTTCTTAGGTTTCTATGTGGTAAAACACTGTGGTACTATGACAGGGGAACATTTGTTTGTGGGCAACTTCCTTTGACACTTTGCGGTTTCTCATATGTAATTCCCATTGTGCAATCTAGTCCCACGTTTGATTTAAGTGCAGCTATGCCTATGTGCGTTTGTAGCATCTCATTACTATATCAGTTTCCTAAGATAACTGTTCCATTTAGATTTACAGTTAAGCTATGTACAGAGATGCTGCTTCCTTAAAGAACAATTTGAATGACTGAAAGATTAATTCAGAAATATTTACACAGGATTCCTGTTCTTTTATTTCCACTTTCAAATATTGCATCTTAAATTTTCTTCCAGGTTTCTAGTTTTCTAGTTGCATATTTATTTTATCCAAATAAAAAACTTTATCAATAACAATCTCTGAATCTATAGCAATCAAAGGATGTTCATGCATCTTACAAAAGAAGTCTACTCAAAAATCTTCAGTGACCTAACTCTGCAAAAGAAAGGTGGGAGAAAATAAATACTCATCATAACATCTCCCTTATACTGGTTAACATACAGCTGGTGGATAGTACACATGATTAAATCAGCCCAGAAGAAAGATTGGAAAGATTTATGGCTCTGCCTTTTGGAGATGTTTTATTCCTTTATTGCATTTTTTAGGGCAATTTTGATTACTAGGGTTTTTTCCCAGCCTACTTCTAACCCAAGCTGCGTGTCAATGTCTCAATCCATAGATCATATGGAATTTCAGTGGAGGCATTTCATTTAGATATGGGGAGGTTGGTCTGGACTTGCTTCACCAAAAATTGGTTGCTGATCCCCTTGGGCAGAGCTTGTGGGGGTGGGAGATTGGAAGGGGCCCCTGCTGACGGGCAGTGGCCATGGGAGTTCTGTGCAAGAATGAAGGGCAGCGCCTGCAGAAAGTACGAATGACTACTTCCAGTCTTCCTGGTTTCTGCCTGTTCTTGAGCCACGTTGCAATTCTATTTGTTATTTTACTAACAAAGCCAGGAAAATAATCAGTGTGTGGCCAGCAGTATGCAATTAATGCTTCTGCATCTACAGCAGCTGGTGATTATGCTTGAAGTATTTAATATTTCTGATAAAGTCACTAATTATTCTGTTGGGAAAGTTTGGAACTAAAGGAGCGAAGTTTAAAGGGAAAATCTGGAGACTAGTTTGGCCTTATTCTAATGAGTGTTATTCATTTCTCTTACCCATTTATTGCCTTTGTAAAGATACGGAAACTGTTATATGTCAGCATTATCGGTGTGTGATGAATTGTAGACCTCACTTATCTGTAGGCTGCTTATCTGGCCACTTCACCATCTGGAACATAGAAAAGGCAGAAAGGAAGGAAACACAATCACCGCTTAGCAGCTAGAATGGGCTGGAATTCATGCACCAAATCTCCTGCCTTATTCCTGGGAGCGCCATTAGGGCTATGTGGTATAGGAGAAAGAGCATGGGGCTTTGTGGAGATGTTTCTCTGAAGAAATTTTTGGCACCAAAGTAAAAGGAAAAAGTGAACTGGAAACAACGTGCTAATGGAAGGTTGCACATTTTACCCTGACCAGCTCTCCCTGTGCATGGCCGACAGCATTCCACCCGTGCCCTGTGGACAACCGTGGGTAGGGAGCGCTGACATCAGACCGGGAGCAACCTTCTGGCCACATTCCCCCAGCAAGCACCCGCATCCTTTTATTCACCTACTTAGTAAGTTAAAAGAAAAAGAAAAAATGTTTTGGAGAATCTGGACTTGGAAGGCAAACCAGACTAAGTTCAAGTCCTAGGAGCGCTATGAAGTGTGTGACGTTAGTGCCAGAAGGAAGTTCAGCAAACTTCAGCTTCCTCATCAGGAGTGGTGAACTGGGCAACCTGCTGCCCAGCTGATAGGAGTTGATGAGATTTGCAGGTGTAGACAGCTCAGCACGCAGCCTCGCTGCTGTTCTTCAGCCCGTTATATCTTGATCAAAGCAGGTATCAACCAAAAAAGAAAGGTCACAAGATTCAAGTTTTAACAAACATTACAGAAAAAAGGTGGAGTAAACTCTACTTAGCTAAGGTTATCTAAACAACAGGGTAGTTTCAGGCCAGTCGGAGAGTTGACTTTGGTAATGACAATGTTGAATTGTCCAGGAAATGGTTAAAATACATTTCCTATACTCTATTATAAGCAAATGTATAATGCAATGGAAATATTTCATAGTTAAAGCAATCAAAAGGTTCTCTTACAGGATAAATTACAGTTATCTGCAAAATTCACGATATCGGAACAGGCCTTCAAGACCGTGGAATTGAATCCATTTTAAATACCTGCTCACAAAGAAGACCCTAATGTCAGAAGGCTAAAAAGATGCTAATGGCTGCTGCTCTCTAATCGAATGTGGATAAACAATTATTCATAGGAACCCATTATTCATATTCATGAACAATTATTCATATTCACGGGAGCCTCACTCCAGTGGGGCCACCATTCAAGTTTTCCTTGGTATAATGGAGAAATAAAACGGGCTTGAGACCTGGGTACAATTATGCACATTTTTGTTTGTTTTGTTTGAGACAAAACTAAACGGGCTATCTGGAAAACCAGCAACATTTCACGGGCTCCGCTGATTGTCTCGCTCAGCACGCTGCCGCACGCAGTTACAGTTTAACTGATAATGACTAGACTGTTTTCATCTTGCCCCCAACTGCTCCGGCTTTTCTGCCTCCTTCTGCATCATTCTTCTGCATACAGGCGAATTCTGGAGGAGGCATCGCATCTTAAAATTGGCTTTTCACAGAGCCGCACAGGTTAGAGGAAGAGCAGCCTCAAATCAGGACATCGAAAGCACATTTTTTGGACTGGAAAAGTGGTGACGTTGGGTCCCGTGGGATGCTGCCTCAGTGGGAGCGAGAGTGGGCTGGAAGACAGTATTTGGAAATAGATCTGCAGCATTTTCCAAAAACAGGTGTTTATATAGTTAAACGTTGTTTTCTGAAGCCTCGTTAAAAGTGAATTCTGTTGTGTCCGTGGCTGTGTATCCAGCCCCTGGGTCTTCAAGCCTGGGCACGGGGAAGCCAGGGGGATGTTTTCCTGACACTGTCAGAATTGCTCTGCTCCCCATCCTGTTCCAACAGCTGCTCCGAGAGCCCCGATGGAAGCAGTTAGAATCTCAGCGGCGACTCTGCTGTCCACCTGGGCAGAGCCACTGGCTCGGATCTAGTGGAGGAGACACTGGCTGTGGCCCAACCTTGACCGAGAGAGAGCTGGCGCGGGAGGGGAGCGAGCCCTCTGCACTTCTCCCTTATTTTTAAGGGTGTTGCGTGCTCAGTTGACCCTTGGGTACAAAGTGGAGAGAAACTGGTCCCCTTTGCTCTTTCTGCCCTTTCAGTGACTTTTCCCCAAAAGCCACCAGGGGGCAGAAGAAGCCGCTTTGCTTTTTTTTTTTTTTTTTTAAACTTCTTAGCATTGGTCCATTGGGCCAATGTTTTTGATAGAAAACATTTTGACATAATTATATTTATAGCAAATAAATGTATGAATTCTATTTCCCATTTCCCACATCTTTGATTTTTTTCCAGATTTGGGTTGCCTTTGAATGAATTCTTCTGTAGCTAACTAAGGCAATTGTGAGGGGAGGTCTTCATTGAAGCAGGAATTTCTGCCAATGCATGATCTAGTTATGGGATCCCGTGTCTGATGCATCCCAGTCTCCCACGTTATTCTCTATCTTTCCAGACTTACTGGGCTGGGGCAGCCCTGGTTGTGTTTTATTTGGATTATTGCAGCAGGCTTTCAACCAGCGGCCATCCCAATCCTGTTATGCAGACGCCACCAGGCTCACCTGCCCAATGCAGCAGCCAGCAGATCTGTCTCTCCCCGGCCTAACCTCAGCCAGCTCCTCAGCCTGCCCATTGAAAGCTAAACTAGCCCACCTGGCAAGCCCAGACTTTCCTGCCAACCTTTCCCCTATATCCTCCTTCTATACACTGCTGTCTCAGGTCTTTCTTTCCTATTTCTTGATCTTCGCCAGGTCTGTTTCCTCCCCAGTCATGCTCCCTCCCCTTTAAGTGTGACCTAACCTTCTGGGTCCCTATCAGATGTCACCTCCTAACTAGCACCTTGTGTATAATATCAGGATCCCTGCCGGGCACGGTGGCTCACATCTGTCATCCCAGCACTTTGGGAGGCTGAGGTGGGTGGATCACCTGAGGTCGGGAGTTCGAGACCAGCCTGACCAGCATGGAGAAACCCTGTCTCTACTAAAAATACAAAATTAGCTGGGCGTGGTGGCAGGTGCCTGTAATCCCAGCTACTCAGAAGGCTGAGGCAGGAGAAACACTTGAACCTGGGAGGTGGAGGTTGTGGTGAGCCGAGATTGCGCCATTGCACTCCAGCCTGGGCAACAAGAGTGAAACTCTGTCTAATATATATATATATATATATATAATTTCCTACCATTGCATTTCTTTCATAAGGTTCTAGAAAACCAACCACGCAACTGGGGTCATAGGAATGGTGTGTGTTGGTCTCAGTTAAGGGAGCCAAAGAAAGGCCGGACTCGTTGGAGAAACCTGCTAGAGAAAACACCATGTGTTGTGTGGAGGCTGAATCCCAGCAACCGGGACCTCAGGCAGGGCCTGCTCCTGGAGCTGCTCGGGACTCCCTGGAAATATCTAGGAAGCTTTCCCAAGGAGCGAGTCCTAACTAGACCATATCAAGCTTTGCAGGCTCCGAACGCATTAAGAACAACAGAAACACTCGTGCAGAAGAGTGGTAAACGTGAGGTATAGAAGTGAGTTTTCCTTTGTAACCCTAGGAAAATACCAGTCTGTCTGCTTTTGAATGTGCAGCTACTAAAGATAATCTCTAAGAAATGCACCCTTTGTTCTGCCTGCTCTTTTGTTTCCTTGAAACAGACAGGTGGAAGTGAGAGGAATAGGTGCTTGGGGAGTGTTCCCAGAGGTGAAGGTGGTGCTTGCGTGGATGTCTGTGCCTAGGCAGGCACCTTCGCGGTCACCTGCTGCCAAATGAGCAGCAAGAGACAGGAGCAAATAAAGGAGCTCGTGCACAGCGGGGGGTTGACGTGCCTCCCAGCAGGAGAAGCACATGTGAGGGGAATTGTCTTGGGACACTTGGCTGTTGGTAGAACAGCTGCTTTGCATAATGAATTCCTGGCCTAATGGGTATGTAGATCCCAGCACTTGAGGCAGGACTGTTTTTGGTTTAGTGCTCACACACCAGAAAATAGAATGCGCCAATATGAATTGAAAATTCTTAAAAGGGATCAGTGTAATCCCTATTTAATTTGGACTTTTCCTCGTAAATTCATTTCGCAAATGGTAGGACATTCTACTAACCGACACAAAGGCGTTTTTCTACATGCTGAACACACTTCACCCTGGGAATAGTCCACTTGCCCCTAATTGAGATCCTAAAGGAGGGAAAAGCCTTGCAAATAAATCTCTGCAAGTGCAGAAAAGAGCTCTCGATGCCATCCAAGTGGCATGTGGAATAAAAGTTCCCTTCCCTTCAGGGTTTCACATGGCCACAGATCCTTGAAAATGTTCAGGAGGGTGAAGTGAGGCTGAACATCATTAGGAAGATATCACTGCTATTTTGCTTTACTCACTCTTAATTTCTGTTAACTCTTCCTAAATTTTATGAGACTGATGCTTTTCCTTGAAGCTCATAAGGCATTTAAGTGCAGGCCCAAATGCATGAGTCGTGCTGTTCCTCTCATTTGAATTGGGACTTGCATATGGAGATGAGTGCACAATGACGTTTGCAGAGAATTACCATATCACCCGATGGCAGAACATGCCCATTCCAATGGGCAGGCAAGGAGGGTGGTGCCAGGGTATGCTGTGGGCACACAGACCTAATACTAACCCCACACATCTTGGGTCACAGATTAACCACTCTCATAGAGGCCTGGGGCTCTCAACCTGCTTGCTGTTTGAAAGCTCTGTGCAAAACCCAAGTCACACCTATATGCTCCATGCATTCATTCCTTAACTGATACCTTCATCCACAGCTATCTGAGCACCTACTCTATGCTAAGTATTATACTTGTCGCTGAGGTTGGTATGGTTTGGCTCTGTGTCCCCACCCAAATCTCATGTTGAATTGTAATCCCCACATGTGAGGGGAGGGTCCTGGTGGGAGGTGATTGGATCATGGGGACAGTTTCCCCCTTGCTGTTCTTATGAAACTGAATGAATTCTCACGAGATCTGATGGTTCAAAAGTATGGCACCTCCCCCTTCAAGTGCTCTCTCTCCTGCTCCGCTGTGGTAAGATGCGCTTGCTTTCCCTTCTGCCGTGATTGTAAGTTTCCTGAGGCCTCCCAGCCATGCTTCCTGTTAAGACTGCAGAACTGTGAGTCAATTAAACCTCTTTTCTTTATAAATTATCCAATCTCAGGTAGTTCTTTATAGCAATGTGAGAATAGACTAATATAGATGTGAACAAGACAGATTGGAATTGCATTCTAGGGAGAGAGGGAATTTACAAGTAAAAGAATAAATAAAAAAAGGATGTTTGATTGTGCTCAGTGGTACAAAAGCCCATTTTGGACAAGGTGGTCAGGAAAGGGCTTTTTGAAGCAGTGCCAGTAAATGTGTGTTGATGGAATGAAACCATGAATACAGGAACATACAGCACTACTGGGGATTCAGAGGTGGGAGCATCATGCTCTTTGCTCTTCAGGAGTTCAGAGTCTCAGAGGATTGACTCAAAACCATGAGCTGGAATGAGAAGGGATCTAAGAGTTCAGATTAATCCTATGGATGTTCTTAGGAAGAAGGGCTGGTCTCTAATTGAAGGCAAAGAGGTCTCCTGAGACAGCTGATCTTTGACCTCAGGTCAATTTTAGGAAAGAAAGAGGCCTAGAGTGTTCCCGGCAGAGGAATATAGCCCTGCGCAGAGATAAAAAGACAGGGCATGTGTTGGGAACAGCATGAGGTTTAATTTGGCTGAAATATAGAGAACTTGAAAGAAGGTCATGGGTGCTGCGGCTGAACTGGCCAAATGGGGCATCTTGCTGAAGGTCTGCTTGTGTGGCTGGCATGCTATTGTCTGCAAACAGCTTTCTGTCTGGCAACCCCAGACATAACATTAAATACTGGTGGCAAGTTACCATGGCTGGAAGGATGGATGGTCTGAGGAGTCTCCACCATTTCCCTGCCACAGGGGAGAGGGAGCCACATACTCACCTCTCAGGATAGATGTGGAGCCCGCTGGAAACACAATCGACCAGCCCGGATGGTTTTTCACAACCCGCGAAGTTGGTCTGCTGCTTTCCCCAGAGGTCTAGGGTGGAATGTCCACAAATCCTAAGCCTTTCCCATGGGGAGAATCCAGTCTGAGGGGGAGGCCTGGCAGAAATGCAGAGGGTCCCACCAGAACAAGCCTCAGGACAGGTGCCATGAAGACAGCTCTGTGGACTCTGAGGGGTCAGATGAGGGGCTACATGGAGACCAGCACGGACCAAGAAATCATGGTTAAAAAAAAAAAATCAGTGAGGAAAGCATTTAAAACATGTTGCTGGTCGAGTGTGGTGGCTCACGCCTGTAATCCCAGCACTTTGGGAGGCTGAGGCAAGAGGATCACTTGAGCTCAAGAGTTCGAGACCAGCCTGGGTTAACAGCGAGACCTCGTCTCTACTACAAATAAAACCAATTTTTGAAAAATCAGCTGGGTGTGGTAATGCCTGCACCTGTAGTCCCGCTACTCAGGAGGCTGAGGCAGGAGGATTGCTTGAGCTTGGGAGATGGAGGCTAGGGTGAGCTGTGATTGCCTCACTGCACTCAACCTGTGTGACAGAGCGAGACCTTTCTCAAAATACACACACACACACACACACACACACACACACACACACACACACTCGTTGCAATGCCTATTTCCCTGGTTTTCCTAGAGGATTTTTAACATGCTATTTCCACGGTCATGTGGGTTTCACAAGCTGGCCCTCCAAGCCCTCTGAACAAGCTGCCTCTTCGTGTGATGTGAATTTAGCTGAGGGAGTCACTGGATTCTTCATACACCGGCATTTTCCTTTCTGGAATGCTGCCTCCTGGATTGTAAGTACAAAAACACAAAGTGAACGTGATGCAAACGCAGGAAAGAAATGTCTTTTTAACAAATCTTCGGCCGGGCGCGGTGGCTCACGCCTGTAATCCCAGCACTTTGGGAGGCCGAGGCGGGCGGATCACGAGGTCAGGAGATCGAGACCATCCCGGCTAAAACGGTGAAACCCCGTCTCTACTAAAAATACAAAAAATTAGCCGGGCGTAGTGGCGGGCGCCTGTAGTCCCAGCTACGCGGGAGGCTGAGGCAGGAGAATGGCGTGAACCCGGGAGGCGGAGCTTGCAGTGAGCCGAGATCCCGCCACTGCACTCCAGCCTGGGCGACAGAGCGAGACTCCGTCTCAAAAAAAAAAAAAAAAAAAAAAAAAAAATCTTCACAGGAGACATGCTAAGATAAAAGAGCAGAACACTGAAGGCCCCAGTGACTGAGGGGCCCGACAAGCACCTCACTTTCGAGCGGGTCCAGGTAGTGGCCGTCAAGACACTGCACCCCTCTGCGCTCCAGGATTTCTGCAACAGTGAGGCCCCTCCTCAAAAGGCAGTTTGGTTCTCGCAACCTCGCGCAATGAGGACAGGGCCAGGCATTACCCGCTCTTAGTCCTGAGCCATTCACTGGCTTTGTGCCCTTAAGAAAGTTCCTACTCCGGTCAGGTGTGGTGGCTCACACCTGTCATCCCAACACTTTGGGAGGCCGAGGCGGGTGGATCACGAGGTCAAGAGATCGAGACCATCCTGGCCAACATGGTGAAACCCCATCTCAACTAAAAATACAAAAATTAGCTGGGTGTGGTGGTGCGTGCCTGTAGTCCCAGCTACTCGGGAGGATGAGGCGTAGAATCTATTGAACCCGAGAGGTGGAGGTTAAAGTGAGCCGAGATCGCACCACTGCACTCCAGCCTGGTGATAGAGTGAGACTCTGTCTCAAACAAAACAAAACAAAAAAACAAAAATCCCTGCTCCTCAACGCCCCAGTCCCTAAAGAAGATGCTAGAACATCCACCTTCCCACTTCTCTAGGATTCTACAGGCCGATGAGTGTGTAGACACGACACTGGAAATAACCGCATATGCCAAGGTGGAGTCACACCAGGTGAAAGGCAAATGGACTCGGCATCAGACAACAACACAGTGGCCAGCTTGGTTAAGAAGGAGGCAGCGTGCTGGAGTCCCCCGCCATCCCCCCACAACCACCTTGGAAATTTGTTCCTACTCCTAAGTTTCTAGAGAGGAACATTTTGGGGAAATCTTTGATTTTACCCACCTTTTAAAAAGTAAACTTAAAAAATAGATAACATGCATGCAGAAAAATGCACACTTATGTTTACAAGTGTATGAGCTCAATGAATTTCTACAAAGCGAACGTACCCAATCCCACCTCCAGGCCAAGGTAGAGAACACGGCCATCATCCCACTCACCGCCCTCCACAAAGGGCGTCTCCGTTCAGGCTCTAGCCCCATGGTGAATCTGCCTCTCTTTGAACTCTGTATAAATGGAACATACAGCAGGCTGTCTTTCACGTCAGGATCCCTTTACTCAATATTCTGTTTGCAAGACTCCCTGTACCTTTGCTCATGTAGGATTTCATTCATTCTCATTGCTGTCTAGTATTCCATTGTGTAACTGCCACAATTTAGCCATTCTACTAGTGATGGACATTTGGGTTATTTCCAGAATGTTGGCTATAACAAATAGGTTTTAAGCATTCTTTTATACATTTTTGGAGCATATATGCTTGCATTTCTGTAGGATATATACCTAGAAGTGCCTACCACTTTTTTCTTTTTACAAATCTTTATTCAAAGATATAACACATTCTTGATATACATCCAAGTAATTTTTTCTTTTTATAAATGACAGATAAAATTGTACATATTTGTCATGTACAACATGATGTTTTGAAGTATACATTGTTGCCTACTTATTTTTTTAAGAGACAGGATATTGCTGTCTTGCCCAGGCTGGACTTGAATAGCTGGACACTAAGGATCCTCCTGCCTCACCTTCCCAAGTAGCTGGGATGACAGGCATGCACCACCATGCGTGGCCCCACCACTTTTGAAAACCTGTGATCTCCAGAACAAAGATGCCCAGACACCTCACTGGTGCACAGCAGGACTTACTAGAAATTCTCTTATGGTAATTTGTATCTGGAAAAATAGGAGAAATTACATTCACTAATTTTTGTTATAAAGATTAGCATTGACACCCACAGGCTGCAGGATAACAGACCATCGAGTGTACAATGCAGTGTAAGACATCCGAGGCTCCCTCACCCCCAGGTTAAGTAGATTTACACTTTTAACTAGATAGACCCTCACAACATGACAAGTGGCTTTAAAAAAAGTTGTGCTGGGTGCAGTGGCTCACGCCTATAATCCTAGCACTTTGGGAGGCTGAGGCGGGCGGATTGCCTGAGCTCAGGAGTTCGAGACCAGCCTGGGCAACATGTTGAAACCCCGTCCCTACTAAAATACAAAAAATTAGATGGGCACAGCGGCGGGCGTCTGTAGTCCCAACTACTCAGGAGGCTGAGGCAGGAGAATTGCTTGAACCCTGAGGGTGGAGGTTCCAATGAGCCGAGATAGCACCACTTCACTCCAGCCTGGGCGACAGAGCGAGTCTCCGTCTCTAAACAAAACAAAACAGAATTGTATACACACATGCACACACAGAGACTAAAAATAATTCTAATGATGCAAGCACAAGCAGGCAAGAAAATGACTGTGGCCATTTCTGCTCCTGGCTCTTCAAACAATTGACAACTTATCTGGCAAGAAGACCCACTGATTACAAAATAGTCAGTGCACCTTAACAACTGACCTCAGCCTAAGTGTATACTAAGCTTTGATATTTATCGCCTGGTGGGAGTTGTACATGTATTTAACATGTAAATAAACAACCGCACACGCACTGGCCGGGAAGCATGCTTGCGCTTGTCTTAGGTCAGATTTCCTAGGTGCAGAACCAGACCTGGATTCTTGGACAAGCGATGTATTGAGGGCATTCTCTCAGGAAAAGAGTGTGGGAACAGGACCAGAGCAGGGGAAGGACCTAAGCAAGGCTGTGGCCTCAGCCCGACCCTGCAGGGAGCTCGGGAGCAGACATCGCACCCCAGAGGAATGGTGGAGGTCTCCTCAGGAAGAAGTGGACCGGCCTCTTGCACTGCCCTAATCATACACTGGCTGTGAGCTGCTCCCACGATGGTGGGGCCGGGGTGCTCAGGTGTGCCTTGTAACCTCCCAGGTGAGCCTAGGGCAGCGCTCCAGCAAAAGGGGCAGCTGCTGGCAGCCAACATTCGCAGCAGCTGGGATCTGGGCAGGGCATAGCCGTGTCTACTCTCAGGCTCACCATTTACCAATGGGGTTCGTGGCCATAAAGTTCAGAGGCCACTGATAATCCAATGTCAGACTCGGGGATGAGAGCGAGGGTTGTGCTTCCTGCGGATGAGACACAGAAAACCCGTAAGCATTTGGCATGCGGCAGAGCAGCCCCACATTCCCATCGCACCCTGAGCACCTGGCATGGGCCCCCCAGCCCTCCTCTTCCACGGTCAGCAGCCATCATCTACACTGTGGTCATACCCTTGGACTATGATCTGTCTGTTCTTACATGGAGCCTCCGCAAGAGTTGCATTTGACTGTAAGAGCTAGAAGGACATGCTGACACAGGTAGGATGGTGATCTGGAAAAATTTAAAGGATGGCTTGAAGGAAGCTGTGAGGCGTTAAGCTAAGAACGAAGTCAAGGGTAAGAGAATTGACTTGGGGTAAAAAGAACACACACAGACACACACACACACGCGCGCACACACACACACACATAACAAGGAGAGGATGGGCTAGCCACCTGGAGCCAATGTGGAGAGCAGGGAAGAGGAGACCTAGTTCTCATCCTGGCTCTGTCACCAAAGAGCTGTGGGGCGTGGACAAGCGTCCTACCCTCTCCAGACCCAGCCCCAAGAAAAGCTTGACACCCAACCCCTGGATGGGGCCTGAACTGCCCATCCTGCCCAGGGCACCCCCGTCCTGCCCTGGCCCCGCCATCCATCCTTCCTGGGTGCTACTCCCTTCCCTGGCCCTGCCGGCATCTCCTCAGAGAGGCCTCTGTCTGCCCCGTCTAAAGGAGCCACTTGACCATCCTCTTTCAACACAGCAATTAGAACATTGTTTGAATTCTCGGCGTGGCCCTGCTCTTTGTGGGCCACTGTCCTTGTCTCTTTAGTCGCCAGTCAGTGAGAAAAGGGACCCCCCCGTCTTGTCTGCTGCTCTGTCGCCAGGGCTGAAACAGCACCTCGCTGTGGTAGGTGCTCAGCAAATACTTTCTGGAGGCTTCAACAGTCTTTGCTAGAGGAAAAAGGAAGATAAAAAGAAGAAAAGACTAGGGAAATTTTTAAATTATACATATACCTGGCACTAATAATACAGGCATTCTCAGCTAAGGCCACTCTTCACTTTTCTTTGAGAATATATACAGATATCCATTTTAGATCTTTTTTTTTTCTGTAGAAGTATAGAAACATGATAGCCAAGGCAATCGATTCATGTCTCAAATGATTTAAAAACACACACACACAAATATTTGTTTCCTTTAAGTTGCGCCTTTGGTCCCCCTCTCCCCTGCCTTGTAAGATGAAAACTGGAAAATCCCCACCTGTGCCTCTCTACGTGTAAGGTGACTTCTGTCTACTGCCTGGGCCTCTGAACCTGTTTGGGTGGGGCTGATACTGTGGAGTTACGAGGCCTCTCTGTTCAGGGCCCATCCCTCCAATCCGTTAGGACAGCAATCCCTGCACGCACAGCAAACAGCCTATTCCAGATGCTTTCCCCAGCCTTCACTCCAACTCTTGGAATGTGTGCTGTGGTCTGAATGTGTCCCCCAAAATTCATGTGTTGGAAACTTCATCCCCAATGCAACAATGCTGGAAGATGGGGTCTTTTGGGAGGTGTATAGGTTGTGGGGATCTCACCCTCACAAATAGATGATTGTGAAATAGCTTGATGGAAGGGGGTTGTGCCCACCCCCTTTTTTTTGTCCTTCTGCCTTCTGCCATGTGAGGACACAGTGTTCAAGGCGCCTTGATTTTGGACTTTCCAGCCTCCAGAACTGTAAGAAATAAGTTTCTGTTCCTGTAAATTACCCAGTCACAGCAACACAAATGCTCTAAGACAACGTGCTAATATGTTAAATGCATCATTGATAGGCAAGGCCTTATTGGGTCAATGGATAACCTAGTAAGTCACCAATATCAGGACTCCCAGGACCTGGTAGAGAATAAGACACTGTGTTAATGTTGTTTCCAGCACCCAAATTCCTCAGGGAGTTTTGGGGCCATGAGTTCCTACCTACACAGATCCCATTGACATTAATAAGAGACATGTGACTGAAGCCACATGCTGTGTTTGGAAATATATGAGCAGACTTACATGTTATCTCCTGGGAAAGGTGATCTTTTACTACTCTTGGAGGAGGTCAAAGAGAATCAAAACCAAATGTGTCTGCACTGCATGCAAGCTCATGTAGATATGTTTTTTAAACCCACAACTTTGCAAATGTGAATTATGTGTGATAGGTCAGAGGTAGTTAGTATAATTGAAATATAAACTTGCTGATGGCTCTATTAAGGATAGAATGCTTAGGACTTGAATAATTTTTGTACATCATGTTCTTTCCTCTCTGCTATGGCTGAAAAACATTGACTTTGTCATCAAATTATATTCTGCAGGACAGCTGGTTCCATATTCAGTTGGCAAGATGTTGCATGCACCTAAGGTGACATACATTTTCAACTTTGAAAATATACTTCAAAATCTCTTATATTTCACCTTCATGACTTATAATCATTGATTTACAGTCAGGGAATGTGCATGGGTTTTTTTTTTTTTTTTTTTTTTAACACAGTAAGGAGGGATAGCTTGCTGACCTGCTAGCAGTAGGAGACTTGATTGATTTTCTAAGAAGTGCTTCTGCTTGAAGACCCCTGCAACAAACGAATTTCATCTTGCAAAATGATGAGCTGAGAGTCCCCTGCCAGCTATGGCCAGGGAGTAAAGTACCACTCGTTAGCCTCCCCAGGATTCCAGCCTGTCGTTTTACATGTCTTAGCTATAAACTTTCAGCCAAAGTCAGGGAGCGCTTTTGGCTCTGCTCAGGGTGAAACAGTTGGCATTACACCTGCATGGGATAGCTTAGTAAATATTCCTTTATTCTGGCAATGGCCCCCTGATTTTTCTGTTTATCTCCTTCAGCAGTGTCATCTTCACTCATGGGACCACCTGGGGTTCTCTCCACCCAGTCTTCTCACCTCTGCTCCCAGCTCCACTCACCTGTTGAGCTCCTTCATCACAATGCGGTCCTCCCCGCCAGTTCTTGCTTCTTCTCTCCCATTCTGTGTGTGACACTGATTCCCCTGGTCATCTGCATTTGCAGCTTCCGTGCTATCATCAACTCCTCTTGTGTCCAACATTCAATCACTTGAAAATCAATGTCAATTTCATTTCCAAAGTGTCCCTGGCATCTTTATCCTTAGGTTCCTTGACATTGCTCAAGTTCACCTGCCCAATAGCTCTCAGCTCAGTGATTACAGTAGGCTCCTTACTGATATCTTTAGCTTCAGCCTTTTCTCTCCAGTCCAGCTGATGCTTTGCTAAATAATAGGAAAAGGATATTCCTTCCTAATATAAGAATGCTTTATTTTGCTTTTCATTGGTTTCAGATATTTCATTGACTGAAGCAGCCTTTTACTGTAAACTAAACTCTAAACTTAAATTTTAAACCTTATACCCATTAGGATGGCTACTATCAAAAAAACAGAAAATACAAAGTGTTGGTAAGGATGCAGAGAAATTGGAATCCTTGTGCATGATTGGTGGGAATGTAAAATAATGCAGCTGCTTAAAAAACAGTATGGCGGTTCCTCAAAAAATAAAAAATAGAAGTACTATAGGATACAACAACTCCACTTCTCAGTATAGACCCCAGAGAATTGAAAACAGAGTCTTGAAGAGATAATTTGTACATCCATGCTTGTGGCAGCATTATTCACAATAATCAGGAAGTGGGGACAGCCCAGGTGTCCATGGATGAATGCGTGGATGAGCAAAATGTGGCACAGACACACAATAGAATATGATTCAGCCATAAAAAGGAGGGAGATTCTGATTCATGCTACAACATGGATGAACCTCGAGGATATTATGCTGAGTCACAAAGAGACAAACACCATATTATACCACTTAGATGAGGTGTCCAGAGCAATAAAGTTCATGGAGAAACAGAGTGGAATGGGGGTTGCCAGGAACTGGCGGAGGAGGAAAAGGGGAGCTGTTGTTTGGTGGCTGTAGAGTTTCAGTATTACAAGATGAAAAAGTTCTGGACACTGGTTGCATGGCAGTGTGAATATATTTAACTTTACTGAACTGTACACTTGAATATGGTTAAGATGGTAAATTTTATGTTATGTGTATTTTATCACAACTTAAAAATTTACTTATTTATTTATTATTATTATTATTATTTTTTGAGAAGGAGTCTTGCTCTGTCACCCAGGCTGGAGTGCAGTGGCACGATCTCCACTCACTGCAACCTCTGCCTCCTGGGTTCAAGCGATTCTCCTACCTCAGCCTCCCGAGTAGCTGGGATTGCAGGCGCATGCCACCATGCCTGGCTAATTTTTTGTACTTTTAGTAGAGACGGGGTTTCTCCATGTTGGCCAGGCTGGTCTTGAACTCCTGATCTCAAGTGATCTGGCCACCTTGGTCTCCCAAAGTGCTGGGATTACAGGCGTGAGCCACCGTGCCCGGCCTAAAAATTTATTTTTAGATGTAAATTAAGCTTACGTTATGACATAGCATCCTGGTTGTCTGTTGTACTGTTTTATAAAGATGAATTTCAATATTTGGCAAGATAAGTTAACTTTGAAATGTAGAACTTGTAAAATAAAGAATAAATTCTAAAGGCAGAAATTCCAACTCTTTTCTAAGAAGGATGAATTAGATTCTGTGGAGTAAATTTATAGTATTTTAAGGATTCTTTTAGGCAAAGCTTTCCAATGGAAACTTGTTCTGTTATTAGCATGACCACGAGTCCCCGTGTTCCACGTTGCCCAGCATGTTCAGCAAGGTTGGGTGGCTGAGAACCTAGAATCTCAAGAACGTAAAGTTCACACATGCATTTTTTGTATTGGAGCACAAAAGGATTATGAGAGTAGTTAGTTACGAGAGTCTAGACCATGCCTCTGCCCATTTATCGGGAGACTTTCCATTCCCATTTCAAAGGGAGAGAAAGAATAATAAGAACCAGTGTCCAGACCATTTTAATAAATACAAAGTTCCCAGAAAGGCCTACTGTTCCAGACCTTCTGGCTCCTGCCAAATCCTGTAAAAATAAAGATTAAACTGTACAGATATTTGTTTTGTCTTGATTGCTGTTATTTTGTTTTGGTAATAAAAGTCCCCAGGCATCTGGCCTAAGAGAGAGCTGATGGCTCTAACTTTTGACACCAGCCCTCACCAGCCCCTTCAAGAAGTCACTTCTTCCTTGGCTGTATAATGCTCTCCTCTCCTTGAATCACAGACTCCGTGTTGCTCATGGGGCATGTGACACGCACTGTATTGTATTCAGCTGGCAACAGCAGGGAGCCGATGGCACTTGGCTGTCCCACGGAAGTGCTGGGTTCTAGGGTCAACTGTGTCTGGGGCTCAGATTCCTCATTGCTTTTTAAAATTTTGTACTTTTTAAATAATGTCAAGCTTTTTGAAAAACTGCAAGAATAGTAGAAAGAACCACTGCATACCTTTTGGGAAATTAAACATCGACACAATGTTGTTATCTACAAGACATCAAATTTCACCAATTTTCCTAACAATGTCTTTCGACTTTTTTTTTCCAGTCTAGGACTGTGCATTGAATGCATTTAGGCAGTATGGACCCATTCAGTTTTGACCACCAACTAAGCAAATCAGCCCGTCCCACTCTTTCCCACTTTTCAGTGGAAAAAAAAGTTGGTGATTACAGAGAATTGGAGAACACAATGAACTTATTATTAACAGCCTATATAAATCTATTATTATTTACCCTTGAAAATAAGATGAATTTAGCTGGGCATGATGACTTATGCCTGTAATCCCAATACTTTGGGAGGCCAAGGCAGGAGGATCACCTGACGCCAGGAGTTCAAGACCAGCCTGGGCAACCTTGTGAGACCCCATCTCTACCATTAATTAATCAATCACTCACTCAGATGAACTTACATATGACTTTATGTTATCAATCAATATAATAATTGAAAATAGCCAAAGGTAAATGAGAATGTTCATTTGATTCTATGTTGCTATCTATTTAAATAGTACAGCTTCACAAAGAGCAGTCCTCAAAAAAGTGTCCCTCTGCAGTAACAGGGGAGTTATGACACAAACACTTTAGTAACAGGTACAATGTCTTGTGGGTAGGCTAAAATTACTGTTGCATCACTGCCCTCAGTGGGTGATATGGTTTGGCTGTGTCCCCACCCAAATCTCATCTTGAATTGTAGCTCCCATAATTCCCACGTGCCATGGGAGGGACCTGGTGGGAGGTAATTGAATCCTGGGGGTGGGTTTTTCCCGTGCTGTTCTCGTGATAGTAAATAAGTCTCACAAGATCTGATGGTTTTATAAAGGGCATTTCCCCTGCACACGCTCTCTTGCCTGCTGCCATGTAAGACATGCCTTTGCTCTTCCTTCGCCTTCCACCATAATTGTGAGGCCTCCCCAACCATGTGGAACTGTGAGTTCATTAAACCTGTTTTTATTTATAAATTACCCAGTCTGAGATATTTCTTCATAGCAGTATGAAAATGGACTAACATAGTAGGGTTAACCAAACAACCCACAAGAAACCTAACAGTAACAAGAGAGACTAGAGAAATGGTCAGAAAAAAAGTTAATGGGCTGAGGGTGGAAGGAAGGCCTCTGAGGGTCTGTGTGAGCCGTCATACCTTATGTGACACCTCCAAGTGGAAGACTGAATTCAGCCTCTTGAAAATGTCATCTGTGCTACTATTCTCTGAAATATACATTAATTTCTCTAGCAATAAGGACTCCCAAAAGAGGAAAGTGTGAGTGTTTAGAGTTTGATGGTAAAAAGGAGGGTGTTAGAATTTAACAATTGTCATTGTAATACCCTTCTCCCCACATGTGCACCTGTCCTAGAGGGGTGTGTGTGTGTGTGTGTGTGTGTGTGTGTGTGTGTGTAGGGAGATCCTTCTCTGGATATCTTTGATCAGAGTGTATTCGTTTAGGAGGTCTTTGTATAAGATGAAATGGCAATAGCTAGTCCATCACATTGTAGGAATGTCAGCCTTATGCAAGAGTTGTGTCTAAGTTTCAAATGTTATTAATTTACAGGGATGACTGAATGATGTCAATTAGATCATTCAAGATAATCAGTGTCAGATCAGAAAGTAGAGACAAGCAGCCTTGGGACTGCTAGTTACTCCTTTAAAAAAGAAGAGAGAGAGAAAAAATTTTTTAATTACTTAAAAAAATTTTTAAATAAAGACTGGGTATCTCTATATTGCCCAGGCTGGTCTTGAAATTCCTGGCCTCAGGCAATCCTCCCTCATCCTCCAAAGTGCTGGGATTACAGATATGATAGATGAGCCACCACACCCAGCCAAGGGAAACTTTCTTTTTTTTTTTTCTTTCTTTCTTTTTTTTTTTTTTTGAGATGGAGTCTCTCCCTGTCACCCAGGCTGGAGTGCAGTGGCGCAATCTCGGCTCACTGCAACATCTGCCTCCCGGGTTCAAGCAATTCTCCTGCTTCAGCCTCCCTAGTAGCTGGGACTACAGGTGCACGCCACTGCGTCCAGCTAATTTTTGTATTTTTAGTTGAGATGGGGCTTCACCATGTTGGCCAGGCTGGTCTCAAACTCCTGACCTCGTGATCCGCCCACTTTGGCCTCCCAATGTGCTGGGATTACAGGTGTGAGCCACCGTGCCTTGCTGGAAACTACCTTAATAAAATATTTTAAACATACAAATTAGAGAGATGGATATAATGACCCCCATATACCCACTGCATAACCTCAACCATGCCATCTCAGGGCTGTTTCATTTGTTTTACCTTACTCTGACTCCTCTACCATCTCCAGAAGAATTTTGAATCAAACCCTGATGGCATATCATTTTATCAATAAATATTGCAGTATGTGTCTTTATAAGATACAGGCTGTTAAAATAACTAACCATAAAACCACTAGCACTCTTCATCACATCTCTATTTATTGCAATAACCAGTAATTCCTTAATATCATTGAATAGCCATTCAGTGTTCATATTTCAATTGTCTTATAAATTTTTTCACAAATTGTTCAAAATCAAATCCAAGTTAGGTCCATACATCATAATCAGTTAATATGGTTAAGTTTGTTTTAATCCCTAAATCCCTTATACATCATTTTTTTTCCTTGCAAGTTATTTGTTGAAGAAACCTGGTCATTTGTTCTGTACAGTTTCCAAAAGTCCAGGTTCTGCTGATTGTGGCCCCATCATGTCATTTAACATGTTCCTCTTTCCCCTGTACTTTTCGTAAATTGCTATTTAGAGCTCAAGGCTTAATTAAATCCGGGTTCAAGTTTTAAAATAAGATTCCTTCATAGATGATGTGCTCTTCCAACAAGAGTCAGAAAATAATCTGATGGTTTCTCTTTTTAGGACATTAGCAGCCATTAGTGACTGCCTGGATCCTTTATTTAATTGTAGGTTGAAAATGGCAATATTCAAATCTTATTCCATCCACACTTGAGATAATTTACCCTCATCAACTATGAGACCCCAAAGGTAGTTCATATAGAAAAGCCTTATTCTTTCTCTTCATTTAGCAACGTACAAAATAAGGAGTTGGTTATCTAGAACATCTGAAAGGTAACCAGTGAGTTTCTTTTTAAATACCATATGGTATTTTAACATAGTTTAAACATAGCTGGTGGATTTGAATCCACTGCAGTTTTTAGGACTCTAGGGATTTTACTTAACCAGATCAAATTTATGTCTATATCTCTTTTCTCCACGATGAAAAATCCCAGTTCCTGGCTGGGCACGGTGGCTCATGCCTGTAATCTCAGCACACTGGGAGGCCAAGGCGGGTGGATCACTTGAGGTCAGGAGTTTGAGACCAGCCTGACCAACATGGTGAAACCCCGTCTCTACTAAAAATACAAAATTAGGCGGGCGTGGAGGTACATGCCTATAACCCAGCTACTCGAGAGGCTGAGGCAGGAGAATTGCTTGAACCTGGGAGGTGGAGGTTGCAGTGAGCAGAGATTGCACCGTCACACTCCAGCCTGGGCAACAAGATCAAAACTCTATCTCATAAAAAAGAAAGAAAGAAAGAAAAAAATCCCAGTTCCCAATGATACCAACATAATTATTCTTTTCCTTTATCTTGTAACACACACACACACACACCAGTCTCAAAATAACAATACTAACACTGTCACTAATAATATATTTTCGGAAAAAAGTAATTCAGTTTAAGAACCTACTATGTGGAGATTTACTCTAGCTACTAAGGCTCTCCGTTGGTATTTGGGTCAATCACACATGGACAGGAACTAGGACCTCACTCAGGATTCGGCAAAGGAATGAGTTTGAGGAGTTGGAGTTGGTCTTGGCAGTGACTGCAGAGAAGACTTTGAAAACTGTGAAGCCCGGGTAGAGAGGGTCTACAGTTGTCCCTATATGTACCACTGCAATAAGACTAATGGCAAGAATCTTTGGTCACCTGTGGTCAGACTTGCATGTTAAACATTATTCTCCTTCTATGTAGCCTGGCTTTCTTTTAGGCCAAAACTAATTATATTTGAGCTCCTGGTTGGCAGATGCCGCTTCACAGGAAGTTACATCTGAAAGGAACTGCAGATTCAGGGAATATGGAGTCCAACCTGCTTATTTTACAGATGAGGAAACTGGGTGTTGGAAGGGTGTGGTGTGCTTAAGGTATGTTTTAAATGAACGTACGATGCAGTAGGAAATGCTCCTTTGGTCACCTTTCACTGAATTTGGGAGTGAGGAATCTTTAAGTCCAAATAATCTGCAAAATAATTTTATTATGACTTAGGTTAAACGTTATCATGGCTATCAGATCAGAAAATATAATGGAAATGGATAAGCAAGTCTAATGTCTAGTTCTCTCTTATGTTATCTGACCACACTCTCTAATAGCATGCATTTAAGAGTGATCAAATCACAAAATCTAGAAGATAATGCTATGCCACGTGCAGTTAATCTTTTTGATAATAAAGAGAAAGGACAATACCCTCGAAGGCACCTGAGTCAGCTTTCTGGGTTTCTGATCCCTTCCAGAAGAAATGAAAATCTAATAGAAAAAAAAAACTGTACAAAGGATTTAAACATCAATTCACAGAAAAAAATTAAATTACCAATAAGCACATGAAAAGATAAGCAACTTGACTCATAGTTGAAGAAATGCAAGTCATACCATTACAGACATACCTTTTCTCACTTGCAGAATTGTCAAAAATGTAAACAGGTGATAGCCAGTGTTAGGAATACCATGGGGAAATAAGCACTAAATACCCGGTGGCGTGGAGCATAAAACAATGTGACAGTGCGCCTCTACATTTTGACAGTATCTTGACAATCTCTCTCAAAATTCAAGATAGACATATCTTTTATAAACCAAAAATAAAATTCTAAGGCCCCTCAACCATCTGAATGGACCCCTTCTCTTGGCCAAGGGCATTCCAAAGTTAACCTGAAAAAACTAGTTCAGGCCATAATGACCAGGGGGAGCTGGACATGCTTCATTATACCTTCCTCCTTCTTGGAATTACTGATAGAACAGACTCTCTCAGTCTGATAAGAAGCATTTACAGTCTATTATCTCTGAAGCCTGCTACGTGGAGGCTTCATCTGTGTGATAAAACCTTGGTCTCCACAACCACTAATCTAACCCAGACAATCCATTCTATTGATAATAACTTTCAACCAATTGCCAACCAGAAAATCTTTAAATCTATTTATAACCTGGAAGGAGCCCCCTGCCCCCACACATGAGGAATGTGATCCCCACATATGAGGAAGCCACTTAGCAAGTGATGTTCTTCCAAAAAAAAAAAAAAAGGATTAATAAACTGTAATAAGGTAAATGCCCCTATAAGCCCCAGGCAGGTCAAGCAATACAACTTTGCCAGGTACCTCAGAAGGCCTTCCTGTACTCAGTCATGGTCACAAATGCCTTCCTCTCCCCAAAGTCACCACTATTCTTTTTTTTGTTTTTGTTTTTGTTTTTTTTTTGAGACAGAGTCTTGCTCTCTTGCCCAGACTGGAATGCAATGGCGTGATCTTGGCTCAGTGCAAGCTCCGCCTCCTGGGTTCAAGCGATTTTCCCACCTCAGCCTCCCAAAAGCTGAGACCACAGGGATGCACCCCCGCACCTAACTAATTTTTGTATTTTTTGTTAGAGAGGGGGTTTCACCATGTTGGCCAGGCTGGTTTTGAACTCCTGACCTCAAATGATCCTCCTGCCTCGGCCTCCCAAAGTGCTGGGATTATAGGCATGAACCACTGCATATTCTAACCACCATTATTCTAATTTTATAGCAATCCCCTCCATGACTTCCTATACTATAGTATTCCCCTTATTGCTTCCTTTGACCCATAACGTCCCCCTCCATACTTTGTTTTTCTTATGATTTATCTGAGTTGTCTGACAGTCAGTAGAGTTTCCCCCAGGCAGAATTTTTGCTAATCACACATGCATGATGCAATTCAACAAGTCCTCCTGTGCTCTGTGGATCCAGGGGCTTGATCAGACTCGGGTTTGATCCCTTTGGCAGACTGCAGGAGACGTGTAATGTCTTGTTTCTGTTTTGGGGATGTTAGCAGCTTCTAATACTCTATACCTGGGTCCACTAATTCCCTTGGGGAGGGGTTGCAAAATGGTGATATTCTAATTCTATCATGTGTTAGCTAGAATTATATAAGAAAATGCTTCTTCTCGCCTACTGTTACCCTGTTGTAAAGTTCACACAGGAAATGAAGGATAAATGTTAGCTCCTTTCCCTTTATTTACCAGTTTTCATGAGACTGAATTCTTTATTCTCTGAAGGTGACCAATTAGGTATACACACACACGTATATGTCTATATATTAATATATATATAATCATGAATCCATAGATTTAACGTGTTAATGAATTTTAATCCATTACAATCATTATCCTCATTAAAGCACATAGTGTCTCATCTTTGACCACTGGGAGGTTAGTGAGCATTTCTTGATAATAAATCATTCATTCATTTGCTCATTCACTTAACTTCTAGTCATGCATACATGTATTAAAGGCAAGACTGCATGATAGAACCAGTTAATGTAGAGGATAAAAACAAAGTATGGTCTCTGTCCACAAAAAGCTCACTTTCTATAACGAGAAATGACATATATACAGATTGCAACTGGAAGTTGTTATCATAGAAGATGTAGAAATAAAGACATGTAGTAATTTGGAGGTAAGGCTGCTATGATAAGTTAAAGAATCATCAAGTATCTAGGCCTCTTCTTTGCTCTGCCATCCTTGGCATGGGGATTCCATTTCTGATCTAAGACAACTGCTCCACCTCCTGCCGTGATGTCTAAATCTGTCCAGCAAGAAAGGGGAAGAGGAAAGGGATGTGTCGGTCTCCTTCTCTTTGAGGACTACACTGGGAAGTTGCACACGTCACTTCTGCTCACCTGCCACTAGCCAGAACTTAGTCTCTCAGCTGGAGCTTAGTGTCTTGGCCACACCTAGCTGCAAGGGAGGCTGAGATACATAGTCTTTCATGGGGGACCACTGCCTTTTCACTCAGCTGTGTGAAAACTGTGTAGACCACCAGTTCTCAAACTTTAATGTGCATATATAAATCACCTGGAATCTGGTAAAGTGAAGATTTGGATTCTGTGGGCCTGGGTGAATAGGTGGCTGAGGATGTTGAAATCTTGCAGTTCTTTTTTTTTTTTTTCCTTTGTCCATGAGGCATTTTATTTGTAAATATGTATTACAGCTCTAGGAAAAGAATCCCAGGATTTTCCCTCCTGTGTGTTTTGTCTTGCTTCTTTGTGATCCATGATCCCAGCTGAGATTATTAGTACAATGAAACCAAACTGGCGGGATGGAAGCAGGCTATTCTGCCATTTTTCTAGATCTCTGGGTTGCACATCAAATCTGAGGCTGATCACTCCACACTTGTTTAGCCTGCCTGTGAGGTTCATAACAATTTTCCCAGCTCTGTGATCATCAATGATTTCAAATTCGCCAATGTAACCATGCTTCATCATCACAGTGAGAAAACAGATGGTGACTTTGGAGCACAGCCTAATAAGAGCCTGGTGTTTGCCTCTCTTTTTGGCAGTGTTGATGCTCTTGAGAACATCAGCCAGGACATTCTTGCGCACCATTGTGGTGGCGCAGAAAGATGATGGAAAGAGGACAGGAGGGAAGGGCGCACAGAGTTATGGGTGAAATCTTGCAGTTCTAACAGGCTTCTGGGTGAAGCCGATGCTGTTGGTTCTTGGGCCATACTTAAGGAGACACTTGAAGAGTGTTGACAGCCTCATGGGAAGGTCCGTCTGCTTAGGGTGGCCCAGCCTTGAAGGCTGAGTGCTTGTTAACCTGTTCTCGTTGCTTATGCAGCTATCTGGGCAAAAGCCTTTGAAGAGCATTGCATCTTCGTATTAGATACAAAGATTGGCCTGGTGCGACGGCTCATGCCTGTAATCCTAGCAGTTTAAGAGGCCGAGGCGGGCAGATCATTTGAGGTCAAGAGTTTGAGATCAGCGTGGCTAACATGGTGAAACTCCATCTCTACTAAAAATTAAAAAAAAAAAAAATTAGCCGGGTGTGGTGGCACACGCCTGTAGTCCCAGCTACTCAGGAGGCTGAGGCAGGAGAATCACTTAAACCCGGGAGGCGGGGGTTGCAGTGAGCTGAGATTGCACCATTGCACTCCAGCCTGGGCAACAAGAGCTAAACTCCATCTCAAAAAAAAAACAAACAAAAACAAAGAAAAGATAATGGTCAGTGTACAAAGTGTAACTAGGAGGCTGTTTGCCTAAATTAATTTGTATATTAGCTTTTGTTCAAAATTTGGAGATTTCCTTGGGAAATAGTATTACTAACATAGTAATAATACTAATGAATTATTTTCTAAAGTCAAAAATAAATCACATTAACACACATTTCTTGGCACTATAAATATTTAGATTTGTGGTCTTCATCCAATTTTCTTCAAACACTTTCAAAAGTGTGAAAAATTATATTTTTTGCCAGTATAAATAGCATTTTTATTTCCTAGAGAAATCTAACTACTCCAAGGCCCTTGAAGTAGGCTATCTTTTACATTTTGTTAATAAAAATAGAAGCAAGGCTCCAGGAGAAACATGGACTCCTCGGCCTGGGGCAGCCACCCTTGCTGTGTTATCTTGCCTTCACCTCCATGTCTGAGCGCAGACTGAACTGTGAGCTCCAGGATGGCAGAACTGTATCCCATAGTCGAGAACAATCCTGGTCACTAGGGTTGGAGTTTGGAGGTTGGATTTCTTGATTTGTTTTGTACCTAGCAATTGGCCTGTTCTGCTTAGCCTGGCAACACCTGGAAAAGGGGCTTTGACCTCCCTCTGGCAAGGCATAAAGAGGGCTTTGTCAGAATAGCATAGGAGGGGTCAGGCGCTGTAACCCCAGCACTTTGGGAGGCCAAGATGAGTGGATCACTTGAGGCCAGGACTTTGAGATCAGCCTGGCCAACATGGCAAAACCCTGTCTCTACTAAAAATACAAAAAAAAAAAAAAAAATTAGCTGGGCGTGGTGGCGTGCACCTGTAATTCCAGCTATTCAGGAGGCTGAGGCATGAGAATCATTTGAACTGGGAGGCAGAGGTTGCAGTGAGCCAAGATTGCGGCACTGCTCTCCAGCCTGGGTAACAGAGCGAGACTCTGTCTCAAAAAAAAAAAAAAATAGCACAGGATTGTCGGGAAGATTATCAGAGGCAAGGTCAGTGAACCGTCAGGTGCTATGCAAACATAGAGCACTACTCTTGTGTAATAATAATGATAACTATTATTATTAGTTTCTGGGTATTGCCATGTGTCAGAAAACAAACGCTTTACATAATTCTCTCTTTTAATTCTCTTAAAAGTTGTATGACATAGGTGCTATTTTCATCTCTTTTTTTTTTTTTTTTTTTTTTTTTTTTTGAGATGGAGTTTCACTCTTGTTGCCCAGGCTGGAGTGCAATGGCACAATCTTGGCTCACTGCAACCTCCGCCTCCTGGGTTCAAGCGATTCTCCTGCCTCAGCCTCCCGAATATCTGGGATTACAGGCATATGCCATCACGCATGGCTAATTTTTTGTATTTTTAGTAGAGTCAGGGTTTCTCCATGTTGGTCAGGCTGGTCTGGAATGCCCGACCTCAGGTGATCCGCCCGCCTCGGCCTCCCAAAGTGCTGGGATTACAGGCGTGAGCCACTGCGCCCAGCCGTCTCTATTTTACAAATAGAGAAACTGAGGCTCTAAAAGACTCAGTAACTTGCCTGAGGTCATATGGCTGAGCAGCCAGAGTCAAGATTCAAATCTAGGCCTTCAGATTCCAGAGCTCGGGCTCTGAAATTGGACACTTGAAAATTTGTTTCTATTATAAGAACATATTTTTGAATGTGTTCAAGCTTGAGTCTGGATTTTGAAATCACAATGATGTTTAGTTTCTTTTAATATTCCGAACTGTGTCTCTAGCTACCTGGAGTGCCTCCTGGCGACTTTTAGTTCCTGGTGGCTGAAGGGCAGTCTTTGTCAATTCCTCATATGTGCATCCAAAGTGTAGGGCGTGTGCAAGCTCTGCGTCTCAGCATCACATGTGTGGGTGAGCGGAGCTTCTGGACTTTTGGTTCACCCTATGGACAGGAGAGGAGAAAAGGAATGGGGGCATGGGAGAAGGAAGATAAAGAAGTGGGGACTCACAGATGCCCCCCGCCCCTCCCTTGGAGATCAAGCAATCTGCCAGGACAATTATCTCACCCCGTCCTGTGTGTTGTAGTCCAGATAATGTTTAATTCCCCCCTCCCTCCAACTTTGAAAATCACTTACCCCACAGTGTATAAAATAGGAATGCTGTGTGCTTTAGAAAGAGGCACAAAAATGGAAAGAGAATTTACCTTACCCCCTCTGGGCATCTCAGTGGGCATTTTTAAAGATGCTTAATGAAGCATGGGGCTTCTTTGGCGATGACTTACATTCAGGCTGCAAGCTTGGGATTATTTTCTTCCCCAGCCCCTGAATAGGAGCAAGGGCACCTCTCTTCTCTCTCTCCCCACCCCCACCTGCAACTCCACACAGCTCCCATCTACCACCCCCAACCCGGGTGGCAAATTTCCCGTGGCTCCCTCCCCCAAATCAGCCTGAAAATAGCGCTCAGAGGGAGAGAAAGAGGCTTTGGGGAATGTGACCTGAGCAGTCAGCTTAGGCGAAATGTGCACAATAAACTTCTATCTGGACTGAATTGTTCTGTAAAGTGGCAATCACTTCCCAGACAGACAGGCCCTGGAGGACCCGCCATTCTGCATCTTTTAATCACGGTTGCTATGGAGAAGGCCACTATTGCATTAGAGAAAGCCCCGTAACGCAATTAACACATAGTTCAGTTGTTCCTCATCCCTTTTGGGTCCAGGGCGGAGGGGGTGATGGAGTATGGTTTTCCCTGGGGCACGAAGGAGACAGCAGGCCAAACAGGGCAGGGAGGATTCCCAGGAAGGAAACAGCAGCCCAGGACTGGGTTGTAGATGAAGGGACATCCAAAGGAGAACCGGGCTTAAAATTAACAGAAACTCGGGGTTGAGGGTTTCAAAGCAAAGCAAACTAAAATAAATAAATAAAGAAGAGCCTCTGCTGGTTACTTTTTGGATTTGGAAATATACTGAAAAATCTCTGGTGAAACGGATTTTCTACTATTTCTTATCTCAGTGTGCTGCGTTTTCTTTTCTTTTCGAGAACAGGGACAAACCCAGTAGTCCAGCCAAGTATGGTGTAGATGCAACCGCCTCTGCTGTTTTAAACTCTGTTTTGCAAGCTCATTTGCAAAACAAGGAAGATAAGTTTTTCTGCGTAACTGAGTCATCAGTAGAAGCATTTCCCAGAGTGTCCGCCTGGCTAGAAAAAGGAAATACTAGTGAAAATGATGAGTTTTCTGGTTATGAAATGGGGACTTGAGGACCTGTTTTCTAAAGTAACTGCGTTCCGAGTATTTCCCAAGAACGGGGCTGTAGCTTGATGCTTTCTCCTCGCCTCTCTCTGGCTGTGTAGAGTAAGAGACTCAAGCAACAATTTAACTCTCAATTAACAGTATTTAAAAGAAAAAAAAAAAAAAAAAGAAGGTATACTCAAGCATCCTCTTTTAAGAATCAGCGTGGAAAGGGGAGGGCAGTGGAAAAGCTGGCCTGCAAAGCAGAACGGGAGCGTATATGTCTTGTGTATAGATGTTTTGTATCACCCCTAATTAGCTAATGTATTTCTTTCCGCCGGACTCTTGGAGGAATTCTCAAGCGTGAACCCTGCCGCTCCTGGAGACCGCAGAAAAGCAAATGACACCGAATTTTCCCTTCTTAATTAAAATGTTAAACAGGGTTAAGATGCCAAGCTTCATCAGAGATATTTGTTCCCCTGGTGAACTCTGAGCCCTGCTGGGGTTCAGTTCAATGGGAGTTATTTGAGTCAACACATGTTATTAAGTTTCCAAATGTAATCAGCCCAGATATTTTAATGGAAACTTTCTCCATTCTTTTAATAAGCATGTGGTTTGGTTAAAAAAGCACTTGGGTTAGGTGCCCTGCATTGCCCTTCTGTAACCAAATCGCATAGCAACAGGCAGCTGTCTCTACAAAGCCAGGCAGGCTCCGCAAGGGGCAGCCGGCAGGAGCCCAGCCCCCAGCCCCGGTGTTTGGCCAGGCATAAATATCTTCAATGGGATTAGAATGTTTAAGGGGCTAAAGGCTGTGGGAAAACTTTTGTCTGCCATATTTATCTCTTCTGCTGTTGTGTCTTAACATTTCCACTTGGGGGACAACGGGGTTAAAAGTAAGAACAAATGTTTTGATGGGTTTATTTTGAATTATGAATCCATGGATCTACATAATTGCCTGTGGGCCTCAGCCCGCTTCTCACTGTGCCTTCTGGGGACCAGAGGATAGGTGGATAGGGAAGGCAGTGGGAATCAACACCAGGGAAGGACTTCAGCATAGAGAATTAATTACATAGGGTTGAGGGGGATGCTTCTCTTCCTGGGCAGATGCTTGGTATCTTAGAGACAGGTTTTGGGCTCTCAGCTGTGCTGCTGGGGTACCCATGATGCAAGAGCAGGTTCCAGAGGAAGGAAAGAACTGGGAGGCAGATGCTTCTGTCTCCGGGTCTGCGGCTCCACATGACTTGGGGGGATGCTGCTTTCAAGGCTGGGCAAGGTATTCCTCTTATGAGATGAACTGTGTTCCATCCCCCAAAATTCATATGTTCAAGTCCTAATTCCTGGTATCTCCGAGTGACTGTAGTTGTAGAGAGGGTCTCAAAAGAGGTAATTATGTCAATATGAGGCCATTAGGGTGGGCCCTAATCCAATCTGACCTATGTCTTTATAAAAAGAGAAAGTTTGGACACAGAAAGGGACAGCAAGGATGCATGTGCACAAAGAAAAGACCATGTGGGGCACAGCAAGAAGGTGGCCGTCTGCAAGCCACTGAGGGAGGCCTCAGGAGAAACCAAACCTGCTGACACCTTGATCTCAGACTTCATCCTCCAGAACTGTGAGAAAATCAATTTCTGTTGTTTAAGATTCCCAGTCTGTGGCATTGTGTTATGGCAGTCCTAGCAAGCTAATCATCCCCTCAAAGTCTTTTCCAACCCCACTAGAGATGTTGACAATCATGTGTCAGAAGAAGCAGGAATAAGGGCCTGAAAAGACAACCTAGGCCACAGACCAAATTCTCTCTCTCCTTTCTCTCTATCCCTCTCTGGAGAGAAACAAAAGTCACAATATTGAATGAAAGAGGCTGCCATCTAAGCAGTGTTACCGCATCCCCACACTGCACAAGTGAGCTAGGGAAATCCTCACCCCCCTGCCAAAGAGATGAGCAAAGTTTGAAGTGGAGGGGTAGGCATTCTCCAACTTTAAGCAAAGTTGATATATTAAACTTGGACTTGAAAAGAGATACATTTAAGATTTATGATTCGCTTTATAGAAATGACTCTTCACTTTGCAAAAGTATATGTAAAAAACATTAAATACAGACTCCTTAGGTATATCTAGAATTGGATTTAATGTAGAAAAATCTGGTTTGTACAAAATTTCTTTCAGAAACACTTGCATGAAGCAGGTCCACCCGTTTAGAGGATAAGGCACTGATGAGTAACCAAGATCTCTTTCTTGCATCGGTTATGGTCAGCAATGGGAGCTGTACAACCAGACACGCGACAAGTAAAGCTTAATAGATGAATAGATACACCCAAAAATATCTATACGTGTCTCTACCCATTTATAGATGACTATATATACATTTCCACACACACGTGCATATATGTGAGTATATGGATATACACAATCCATACACATGTACACTATTTCTTGTTGTTGAAATCTTCATTAAAGAACAATTTATTCAGTGCTTGCTCCATTTGCTATTGCACTGAGGTGCTTAGAATACAAAGACAACACATATTTTCTGCATCTGCACGAGTCTGCAATCTACTAAAGGATGAGCTATGGAAATAAATAACAGGTGATCTGAACATGATAGACGTTTATGCAACTGTTAGGGAAGCAGGAGCCTAGGAGAGCCAGAGGAACATCATTTTAAGTTCAGCGCTATCTTGAGACTAACTAACAAGGGGCACATTCCTCGCCAATCACGACCCAGCATCATAAGAGGTTTATGATTGAGGAAACAGCTTAGAGATACCTGCAAAGACACACTCCTACAACAGAAAGTCCAGATGTCCCAATATCCATAACAATATACGCTCTCAAGATAATTATAGTTATGCTTTGGTGTGCTGATGCGCTAACATGCTAAGGATAGTTTTCTTTAAATCAGCAGAATAATAAATTTTGTCATGCTGTCAGCCCACCCACACATAGACATAGCTTAGCTTAGCTTTCACATAGATAAGACCCCGATATAAGAAAATCTTAAAACACAAGGCATTCCCCCTCTTGCTTTGTGAGGATGCCCTACTCTGTAACTGAGCAGCTTTCAAGAAAACTATCTCTTCTCACTGTGCTCTGTGACTCACCTTGAATTCCTTCCTGCACAAGATCTAAGAACCCTCTCTTGGGGTCTGAATCAAGACCCCTTGTTCTGGCAACCCAAGCACACGGGGGATGCCCGCCCATGTGACTATTCCAGGGCTGCAATTCCAGTGTTCTCTCCCATCCACCTCTCAAGAAGTCCAGCCTCAGTGTGTCTGGGTCACCCGCCTCTTCTGACCTCCACTTTAGAGAGGAGGAAAAAGAGAATTCTGAGCCAAGATGTGGTCAAATAGATACTCACCCTGTATAAAATAGGTAGTAAAAACATGAACATTTAATAAAATATATTGCAAGTTTGTCTTAGGCTGGTAACATAAGTTTCTCTTACCTGAAACTGGTCTCAAAGAGAATCTAAAAAGCAGATAGGAAGCAGTTCAATTTTATTTCCTGCCCTTACAACCCAAAGCTTGCACTGGTCTCTTGGTTTTGGGATTCCAGTATTTTTACACCTTCCTGGAGAATGTGTATGTTTCACTCATCCATGTTCTTCCGTCTGCCTCCCCCTGTACCTGTCTGTGTTGAGATTCCTTCACTCTCCAGTGCTGTAGAAACCTCTAAGTGCCCTCCATCACCCACCTTGTTTTGTGGCCTGAATAATGGTCCTAGTGCAAAATTGCAGTGATATCATTCCCCTAATCAAGAGCCATCAGTGGCTGGACATGGTGGTTCACTCCTATAATTCCAGCACTTTGAGAGGTCAAGGAAGGAGGATTGCTTGTGTCCAGGAGTTCAAGATCAACCTGGGCAACATAATGAGACCTTGTCTCTACAAAAAACTTAAAACTTAACTGGATGTAGTGGTGCATTCCTGTGGTCCCAGTTACTTGGGAGGCTGAGGTGGGAGAATAGCTTGGGTTTGGGAGGTCGAGGCTGCAGTGAGCTGTGATCTCACCACTATACTCCAGCCCGGGTAACAGAGTGAGGTCCTATCTCTCAACAGATAAATAAATGAATGAAGAGCCATCAGCATCTTCCCATTCAGGAGTATGTGACATTTATTAGCTGCTCTCTATGTGCTAGTTGTGCATATATGAGACTTACAGAACAAAGTCCTAACTACTAAACCAGGCATTTGAGGGGCTGTATGCCCAGGACCCACCTGGCTCTCAGACACTTCAGTCAAGCTCTGTGGCCTGCCCAGGTGTCCAAGGCTTGGTCCTGGCTGCACCACCAGCCAGCACACCTCTGCTGTCACCCCCCCGTCACTGCTGTGCTCCTCCCCAGCCTAGAACAGTTTACAGTCACTGAAAAGGGAAAGGGAAGGCCATGAACCTGTTTATGTAAAAGAACAAGAATCATACAATAAGCAATACACACACCAAAACAAAAACAAAAACAAAAACAAAAAACCCCACCAACTTAGGTTTAGTAAAAAAATCTTTGAAGAAAAGTTACTAAAATGGCTGGGCATGGTGGCTCATACCTGTAATCCCAGCACTTTGGGAGGCCGAGGCACGTGGGTCACCTGAGGTCAGGAGTTTGAAACCAGCCTGGCTAACACAGTGAAACCCCATCTCTACTAAAAATACAAAAATTAGCCAGGTGTGGTGGCGGGCGCCTGTAATCCCAGCTACTCAGGGAGGCTGAAGCATGAAAATCGCTTGAACCCAGGAGGCAGAGGTTGCAGTGAGCTGAGACTGCACCATTGCACTCCAGCCTGGGTGACAGAGGGAGACTCCGTCTCAAAAAAAAAAAAAAGATACTAAAATAGTGGTAATTTTGAGGTAATGAGTCATGCATGTGGGTTTTGTTTTTGTTTTTACTACTGTGTTTCCCAAACTTTTAATAACAAATATATTTTTTAATAATAAGAAAAAAAAGCCCAAACATGCATATTCTTCAAGATCTAATCCAAATTCCACTTAAAATAGTAGAAAATGAGTATGAGCTTTTAGATGTTTGAACTGAAGTTCAGACCCTGCTACCTCGACCAAGCAGCCTCCGGAAACACATCTGTAATATGGGATAGTGCCTTATAAAATGTGGAGGGTGAAATATAATGTCCTAAACCACTTAACACATTGCTATGTAGTAGAGCAGCTGTCCCCAAACTTTTTGGCACCAGGTACCAGTTTTAGGGAAGATGATTTTTCCATGGACAGGTGAGGGGGAGAGGAGGATGGTTTCGAGATGAAACTGTTCCACCTCGGATCATCAGGCGTTAGTTCGATTCTCATAAAGAGCATGTAACCCAGATCCCTTGCACGCGCAGTTCGCAATAGGGTTTGTGCTCCTATGAGAATCTAATGCTGCTGCTGATCTGAGAGGAGGTGGATCAGGCAGTACTGCTCGTCTGCCCACTGCTCACCTCCTGCTGTGTGGCTCAGTTCCTGACAGGCCACGCGGACTGGCACTAGTCCACAGCCCAGGGGTTGAGGACCCCTTTAGTAGAGGATGAATACACTTTAATTCCCTTCTCTTTCTCTCCCTCCACAAAGCCTGAAGCCCCATCAGGAATGACTCTCATCTTACCTGTGTGTGTCCATTGTGGCTGTAGACTGCGGGCTATGATTATTTGCATGCCCTCGACTGAATGGAGAAACTGTGAATAGGGCTGGTATTTAGTCATCTCTGTATTCCTTGAAGCCCCCCACTCTTCCCATGATGGTGTGTTAAACTATTTGAGTATTTGTTACACTGGAGTAAATAATCAATCTCTGTATTGAAATGAAGAATCTACCAGAATGGTCTCAAGAATCCAAGATTCGATGAAAAACAGACTCAACCAGAACAAGAAAAACCAAATGAAGAAAGAGTAGTCATTTTAAACTCACTTTAAAGTCGTAACTATCAGAAAATTCAGAATTATGACTCCCTTTCCCACCATAACCTTTTCACATCACACATATGTAATAGAGGCAGTAAAAGTTAACACGACATTCGGTAGTACACGCTACAAACAGATTGCACGATGAGGTTGAGTTACTGTGGCAATGGGAATCATAACTTTGAATTTCCTCACTTTTATGCATTTGTAATAGCATCAGCTGTAACTATGCATTAGTGGCCCGGTTTACACTCGGAACCCAAACTGTATTTATAACAGGAAACAAGAGAAATCAGCTACCATTTACGAGGCCTTGAAACTGCCCATGACCTCTTGGGTTTTTTAGGGCTTTATCCGAGTTTTCCGAGTGACCATTATCAGAAAGACATTGGAATAAATGGGTTATTTTCCCCATTCACATAGCATTGTGCTTGGCTTTACCAAACAGTATTTATTTTTTCATTAACATAAATGCTTTTAGGGAGGGGCTGTATCACTGTAGCATTGGTGGTTGTCTGTGCCACGCAGCTTGTGGTAGGAAGCTCTGGGCTTTATTAAAATTGGGACTAATGCTTGCTGCTCATGCAACACCTGTCTCTGCGGGCTTTCAGAGAATTCCAAAATGCTACCTCTAGAAGAAGCCACCCACCCCAGAGAGATGCAGGACGTAACACCTTGGGTTAAGAGGTGGGCTGGTTTTCCGTTGCCACACCACAAAGATGTCTCACAAGACCCTGAGCTCGATTCTGTGGTTCTGTGGCCTTCAGGGAGCTCTGCGCCAGAATCCGCTGGGCCTGTGAACGGCTTCTGTCCCTCAAAAGATGTGCAGACAATGAGTCAAGGATGCCTATTGCATGACTTATGATTCTGCCAGGCAAGAAATTCTCCTGCATGCTCAACTTCATCCTCCATTCTTGTTGCAGCCCTTAATCATGAATGTCTTCTCTCGAGGTGGAGAATGGATGAAGACTCTCTTTTCAGGAGTCTTTATACACCTGAAGGTTGTTATTAAGGTTATCCTCACCATCTTCTCCAGCCTAAATCAATCCAGTATGCCTTGAACGTTTCTTCCTGGGCCTTGTTTTCTTACCCTTTGATCATCACTGTCATTTTCCCAGAGGAGGTCCAAAGAGTCCACTCTCTGGGGCGTAAACACACAGTCGCCAGAAGAGAAAGTGCAGGCTTAAGGATTGACTGTAAAATCATTTTGAGCCCGAGGTGAAACTTGTAACAGCTCCCAGAAAAAAAATTTTAAAGCACTCATCCAAATCAATATCAATAAACCAAAAACAGCATCTCTCTCTCTCCCTCTCTCTCTGTCTCTCTCAATCACACACACACACCCACACACACACGAATATTTAAGGATGGTGGAGAGATTGTGTCAGCAGGATTCTATTTATGTGCTTGTTTCTTCTGAGGAAAGTCGGTTTGTGATGAATGGTCATGAACTTGGAATGTTTTAAGCTCTTACACTTTATTTTCTATTTAGTTGCCTTTGGTGAATGTCATTTGGTGATTCCTGTCAGGGTTGCATTTTGGAAAATGGCAAACACCTCCTTGGCAATACTTTAGAGGAAAAATCTCAGCAAGTGTTGGGGTGAAGGCCAGGCAGCCGGTGCCTGTGAGCCAGCCAGTGAAGTCAGCGTGGTCTTTATTTAGGGGGACGGAAGGAGAGGCAAAATTGTTTGTTATATAAAATGCCTTTGATATTTGTACGAACTTCAGGAAGTACAGAACTAATTTCAGTAAATCCCCAAACAAGGGGGGCAATGCTGGCAGTTTTATGTTTTTTGCAGGTATGTCCGGATACGTGATTATTTTGCAAGAGGTCCCAGGAAGAGTGAGACTGGAAGAAAAGTCGGAGATTTTAGTCCCATCAGTTAAATTACCTGACATGTCAATCTCCTTTCATTTTCAGGTGGTAGCACAAGCAATGGGTGAGTGTTTTCCCGTGGCGTGTATAAAGACCAGATGAAAGTCAAAAGGCTTTCTAGGCCGGGCGCGGTGGCTCACACCTGTAATCCCAGCACTTTGGGAGGCTGAGGCGGGTGGATCACGAGGTCGGGAGATCGAAACCACCCTGGCTAACATGGTGAAATTCCATCTCTACTAAAAAATACAAAAAGTTAGCTGGATGTGGTGGCGGGCACCTGTAGTCCCAGCTACTCGGGAGGCTGAGGCAGGAGAATGGCATGAACCCGGGAGGCGGAGCTTGCAGTGAGCCGAGATTGTGCCACTGCACTCCAGCCTGGGCGACAGAGCGAGACTCCATCTCAAAAATAAATAAATAAATAAATTTTTTTTTAAAAAAAGGTTTTCTAAGAAATTTGATGAAGCTCAATATTTCTCATTCAACTCACTGGGGGTCTTTCAAGCACAAACACTAAAACCACAAACAGAGTGTCTAAGTTCTTGGCTAAAGCACTTTGGTTTTGGTAGGGGACGTAGTGATTATTAATAGGCTCTTCTCTTACTAATTCTGGGGGGACCATGGAAACCTGTGTGCTAAGAGGGCTTAAGCTATTGTATCCAGGAGTCATGGCAAATGGACTCCATCCGCTTGCTTGTTCACTTAAGTACCTTCGGACCTCAAGTACTTTTAAGGTCACAAAAACCTCTGTTGGAGTTTACTGCGGTGTACTCAGAATAAGGATTTTTTTTAAAACTGCTATGTGGATTTATCATCTATATGCTGTTTTCAGAGTTTGCTACCTTGAAATAAAGGCATATATTCAGTGAGAGAGATTTGTAAAAATAATAAAGACAAAAAGCAAAAACGAAAGCTGGGCGCAGTGTCTCATGCCTGTAATCCCAGCACTTTGGAGGCTAAGGCAGGCGGATCACCTAAGGTCACGAGTTTGAGGCCAGCCTGGCCAACATGGTGAAACCCTGTCTCTACAAAAAATACAAAAATTAGCTGGGTGTGTGGTGGTGGGCACCTGTAATCCCAGCTACTCAGGAGCTGAGGCAGGAGAATTGCTTGAACCCAGGAGGTGGAGGTGACAGTGAGCCAAGATCGAGCCACTGCACTCCAGCCTTGGGGACAGAGCGAGACTCCATCTCAAAAGAAAAAAAAAAAAAAAGATCACCAACCACATAGTGAGAGAGGAGTCATGGTGGTTGGAGATGATTCTATCTGGAATGTGCAGGGAGATGAAGCAGGATTAGATTTGATTGTGAGTGAAAGAAAAGCCCAAAGTAACATGGGTTTATATGAGGGAGGAGTTTATTTCCCTCTCCTATAAATGTCCAAGGATAGGCAATCTAGGCCGAGATGGTGACTTTATGATTACTGTGGCTCTTTCTATCTGCCAATCTTAGTTTGAACCTCATGGTACAAAATGGCTGCTCATGCTCCAGCCATCATATTCACCTATCAATCAGCAGGAAGCAGGACAAAAGAGAAAACTGCACACTATGCTTCCCCTTACACCCTGTTGGCCAGAAGTTATAGCTATAACTGGTTGCAAAGGAACCAGAAAGATGTTGTTTCTATTCTGAGTAGCTTTGCTTCCAGCTAAAAATGAATTCTATTTAAAAAGGGAGAATACCCATTCTTAAGGAGTGAGAAATATTTTCCTGAAATTTAACTGTAAATTATAGCCATACTAGCATTTGTCTAATTAAAATTTGAAAATAATAACATATTAGTAATTTATTCATGTTTACTACTCAGAGGGAACAACTTTGAGGATTGGAAAGGTATTCTTTTTTTATTATTATACTTTAAGTTCTGGGATATATATGCAGAATGTGCAGCTTTGTTACATAGGTATACATGTGCCATGGTGGTTTGCTGCACCCATCAACCCGTCATCTACATTAGGTATTTCTGCTAATGCTATCCCTCCCCTAGCCTTCCACCCACCGACAGGCCCTGGTGTGTGATGTTCTCCTCCCTGTGTCCATGTGTTCTCATTGTTCAACTCTCATTTATGAGTGAGAACGTGTGGTGTTTGGTTTTCTGTTCCTGTGTTAGTTTGCTGAGAATGATGGTTTCCAGCTTCATCCATGTCACTGCAAAGGGCGTGAACTCATCCTTTTTTATGGCTGCATAGTATTCCATGGTGTATATATGCCACATTTTCTTTATCCAGTCTATCACTGATGGGCATTTGGGTTGGCTCCAAATCTTTGATATTGTGAATAGTGCTGCAATAAAAAATAAAAAAGATACATGTGCATGTGTCTTTATAGTAGAATGATTTATAATCCTTTGGGTATATACCCAGTAATGGAATTGCTGGGTCAAATGGTATTTCTGGCTCTAGGTCCTTGAGGATTCGCCACACTGTCTTCCACAATGGTTGAACTAATTTACAGTCCCATCAACAGTGTAGAAGCATTCCTATTTCTCCATATCCTCTCCAGTATCTGTTGTTTCCTGACTTTTTAATGATCGCCATTCTAACTGACGTGAGATAGTATCTCATTGTGGTTTTGATTTGCATTTCTCTAATGACCAGTGATGATGAGCTGTTTTTCATATGTTTGTTGGCTACATAAATGTCTTCCTTTGTTTTTTAAATGGCTGCCCTCTGCCCTCTGCCAGATCTGCCCCAACAGGGACCCTGTCCTGTGGACTAGCAGTGGAAACGCCTGTATTCTGCAGAGCACCCCGCCACTCCTTCCTCCCAGTGTGGCCTGGGGCGCGCCTTCCATGTTGCTACAACCTCAGTTTCCTCTTGAATCAAAAGTGCATAATAACACCAGCCTCAAAGGTGAAGTTTCAAGTGTACCCAGTGAATGGGACTGTTCTTTGTCCTAAGACCCGGGGCCACCCTCTCAGCCTGACGGAGGCAGGATCGACGCTGACACACGTCTGAGTCTCTGTGCAGGCTCTGTGGAAGCCCACCGTATAATCCACATGACTCAGCCTCATTTGATAGAAAAGGAACCTGCAGGTGAGAGAGGTTAAGAAACGTACCCTGGGTCCCCCAGCTGGGCTGTGGCAGCCAGGACGTCAGCGCAGTTCTGATGACTCCTGGAGCCCAGGAATCGAAGCTCTCTGCTGGGCTAAAAGTAACAAGGCTTAGGTTAAAAGTCTCTTCTCACTTTTCAAATCTATAAAAAAATTTCAGAACTTTCACAATTTTTCAGCTCCACTTGGAAGCATTAAAGAAGATCTTACGGTCTCCTTGAGCATATGGCGGAACTTGTTAATAGCTCAGGATGGTGTGTTTCTAAATTTGACGTTAAGGAATAGGCGAGGATAATTACTGCTTTCCTTTTGTTTGTGCTTAAAAACACTAATTAAGGATACAGAACCATTTTTCAAGAGAACCTGTGTCTGGTGCAGCCATTTTTTTCAGCACCATTAGCTGTTTACTCACGTTATTCAGGGAATGTAGGTTTTTCTCGTGAGCCTCAGTAATCCACCTGAATGGACCATTGTCCCAGGGTGTCTGTGGGCAGCCGCAGTCTGCAGAGCCCCCTTCCTTCACTCTGCTCTTATGTGGCCGGGATCCAAGGCAGATTCATTCTTGACGTGCTAATTCCCTGACTCAGAACACGCCAAGGTGTCTGTATGTCTTCTGTCTCTTTTATTTTTATTTTTTGAGACGGAGTCTTGCTCTGTCACCCAGGCTGGAGTGCAGTGGCACAGTCTTGGCTCACTGCCACCTCCGCCTCCTGGGTTCAAGCAATTCTCCTGCCTCAGCCTCCCGAGTAGCTGGGACTACAGACACCTGCCACCACACCCGGCTAATTTTTGTGTTTTTAGTAGAAATGGGGTTTCACCATGTTGGCCAGGTTGGTCTCGAACACCTGACCTTAGGTGATCCGCCTGCCTCGGCCTCCCAAAGTGCTGGGATTATAGGTGTGAGCCACCGTGCCTGGCCTTTTATTTTTATTTTTAATATTTTTTAGATACAGGGTCTCGCTCTGCCTCCCAGGGTGGAGTGCAGGGACACAATCATAGCTCACTGCAGCCTCAAATCCCTGAGCTCAAGCAATCCTCCTGCCTCAGCCTCCTGAGTAGCTAGGACCACAGGCATGCACCACCACTACGCTCAGCTTGTCTTCTCTTTGATTGTCAGTATCTTGCTGTGACCTGGAGCTTCAGAGGGAAGCATTTCTCCCCACTCCCATTCTCTATCCAGGCATGTAATTCCCACCAGTCTTAGGAAGCTGCCTGCAGAGACAGAATGTGGGTTGTAGGGCAATGACCAGAGGGAAAGATAAAAGGCACCCATGCTGGCACAGACAAGCCTGTGAGGTGGAGACTCTGCTTGTTCATGCCAGGCCAGATGGCTGCTTCTGTTATTCCACTTCTGTTGGGGGATGCTAAGCCCCAAAGGCCATGGGGCTCTGAAGGAGGGTGCCTTTCAGCCAGGTTTTCTGCCTCAATACAGGAAAATAAGACAAAGAAGATACTTTTTGTTTGCTTTCTTGGTATGGGACCCAATAGCTTTTTCAGATCCATCGGAAATAAAGGCCTCCAGGCCTGAGGGGACTTCTGCACCCTCTCTTCCGGACACTGCCTATTCTTAGGCTCTGCTTTTCTGGCAATCGAAGAGCAGGGTCTTACCCAGCACAATACCCTCATCACACTGGATGCCTTGGAGATGTCTGCAGCACTGAACTGACTGTAGAGTGGTGGAGGGTAGACGAAGCCCCTGGGAGGAGAGCTGTGTGGCTCTCATCTAGGCTGAGGCTCTAGCTCAAATGGCTTGATTTTTTCTGCGTGACGGCCAAGCCATCTCCCCCTACCCAGACACTAGCTTCTGCCAAAAGACAATGATGCCTTAATAGTTGGGCTGGATTTCTGCTGGATACTTTTAGCTTCAGCAGTAGATAAACTATTTGCTCCATTACCTTCCCAGCCTTTGAGAATAGGACTGTCCCCATTTCAGGAACCCCATGGTAATATCATCCTCCACCCCCAGGGGGCAATCTCATTTCCTTAGTGAGGAAGACCAGAGACAGATGGGTGGCCACGCTCAGTACTAATTAAACCAGCAAAAGAGGGCTTGGTCTCCAGGGCAGGAAGAAGGTTCCTCTTCCCATTCCCTGAGGATGCACAACCCAGCTGTGCCACTCACTGGTCCAGTGACCTTTGGCAAGTCACTGAATCTCTCCCGGCCTCCATGTTCCCGTATGTAAAAGTAATAGACCCATCTCATAGGGGGTACGAAAAGGATTAAATGAGCTAATACACATTGAGGACTGAACATGGTGCTTGGCCGATAGACACGCTCAATAAATGTTATGATTATTGGAAGTCTCTATGGAAAAGCAGATCTTGGATGGATGAGCTTTGGATGTGTTCAGCCTTGAGCATGTTCTCTTAGGAATCAATGACATATTCTCCAGTAAGGCAGGCAGGTCCTGGGACTTGAATCTGTACGAAGGACCCAAGATAATGATGCAGGGGGGAGAAAGTGGAATAATAGTGGTGCCTGGGGGCAATGCAGCCAGGTGAAGATTCTACGCAGGACACTGGGCTTTTAGGACTAACTGATCCAAACTCGTTATGACTTTTCTCATTCATTCATTCACACAACAACTATTTACCAAGTGCATATGGGGGGTGAGGCACTGTGCTGAGTCCTGCAAATCCTGTGATGAACAAGAGTGGTACATTCCTGGAATGTCTGTCCTAACTGAGGAGGTGGGAGCAAGGGGAGGCAGACTGCAGATAAGTAGGTGAATACATGAACGAGATCATTTCAGAGAGTACTTTGGTCATCTATTGCTACATAGCAAACCACCCTAAAACAAAGTGGCTTAAAACAACGGTGACCATTTATTTGCTCATGATTCTGCAGTTTGGACAGGGGAATCTGCAGTTTGAGTGGGTCAGCTCACCTTTGCTCCACATGGCTTTAGCTGGGGGAGCTCAGCTGCGGCTGGAGGACTCATTTCCACAATGGCCCACTTGCTAGGTTGGTTGGCTGTGGCTGGCTGTTGGCTTGGGGCCCAGGTGGGGCAATAGGCCAGGGCCTTAGCCCTCCTTCGTGCCACCTCTCCACTTTGGTAGGCAAGGGCTTCTCACTGTCTAGGGAGCATTCTAAGACAATTATCACAAGAAACAAGAAGCCACCGAAGTATTCTAGGCATGGGAGTAATGCTGTTTGATGGGGAAATTTCAAAACTTCCCTGTTTCTTCGTTTTCTCATTTACAAAATGAGAGGCCTGTCTGAGTCACCATTAAGGTCTTTTCTAGCCAACTCACCTGAAAAAACACCAGCTCTTTGGTGTCTGTAGTTTCGGGATTTGAGCTTTTTCCACCGTCATTTCTCCCTAGGGCAATAAAGAAGCAGAAGAAGGCTTCCTGGACATTTTATGAGAAAAGGCACAAAGCCCATTAATAAAGGCATTGTCAATACATGTTCCAGGCTGGGCTGTGTGCCCCTTGTCAAGTACGCTCTGCATGAAGATAGATGTGAAAGGCCAATGCTTAAGCGAAGGCTCTTTTGAGCAAGAAGAGAATGTCAGTCATCAAGGAACTTCAGAACATACAGACCTTCTAGTCTAGGCAAGACCAACACACAAACCAAATTCCAGTGAGCTAGCGTTACCCAGTGCTCAGTGTTCTAGGGCGGGGGGCGTCAGAACAGAAGTCTTCTCTGGAATTTAATTAGATTGAGATGGTTGATATGCTTTTCAAGGAGGGAGCTGAGCATTTAAAATTATACCAAAGATATTTTTCCCGGGGTATCTGTTATGGGAGCCATGAACCTATCAAAATATGTGATAAGGAAGCTACTTGTGTCATTTTAAACTAGTTCAAACCAGCTAGGCTGCTCCCTGCTCTAAGCTGCTGGCTATCAGCTGTCACCCAGCCTGGATGTGAAACAGGCAGGTGGATAAGGAAGACATCATCTTGTTAGGATCTGCAGGAACAGGCAAGCAGAATGCCTATCATCATCACACATCTCCCAGGCAGGCTCAGGCTCCGGCATGAAGCACTGTCTTAGATCGGCTTTTTCATTTAAATGACATTTTTTTTTTTTTTGGAAAGGTTAGAATTTAATCCTCTCCCAGGATAGAGTTATTTCAGTTGCCACTGATCCTTCCGATAAATGAGAAGGGTTTCATTTTCCTTGCTACCAAGGTATCTAATTTTATAAAAGCCTTCAACAATGTAATAATTTATTGTCACAACAGGATGGCTGCGTGTAGGGACTGGTCTACTTTCTATTAATTTTCTAAATGAACCTCTTCTCAGCACTGAGAAGTTGTGCGTGCCTTTCTCTGTGGGTTTCATTAAGACCTGTTTGAAGTCATGATTGTAAGATCATTACGATGTTTTTAAAAGATAGTGGGTTTCAAAGAGTTGTACTTAGAAGACTTAAAAAGCTTCATCATCTTAATTCCTGTCCTCAGCAATTTTTTCAGAGCTATGATCTGGGTATGCAGTAATTGCTATCATTTTCCTCACAATTTCACACCCAACTTCTATTGTTCTCATTATACCTAGTGCTCTTCGGAAATGACTCATGTAATAAGAAATGTACAAATAAAAGAGAGCCTAGCATCTTCTAAGGAATCCGGAGCCACAGTAGAAGTGGCTGCATCTGTGTGCACGCACAAAAAATGGACTTTTATATATATCCTTAGAGAGGGGAAACCGAGGCAGGGGCATAGCGTAGTTTACATAACCATTTCTTACTTTCATGTTATGGTCATGGCAAGGGAAATGCCGACATGGTTATAAATTAGACATCGACAGATGAGTCAGTGAAAACTCTTGGAAATGTTGCCATCTTCGCAAGATGGGGACAGAGGAGAAGAAGGAAAAAGGAAGTCCATTCTGATCCTGAGGTAGAATTGGGGCTTTCTGCTAAGATGGAGGAGAGGGGAGGCAGGTTGAAGCAAAGTAGTCTTGGAAACAATGAAATTATTCTCACAAGTTCTCATTTACAAGGAAGTGTTATATTTGCATTATAATCATACCATTCTCAGCTCAACTCATGAGAGAAACTTCTGAAGTCTGCATTTTGCAGCAAAGTTAAATCAGAACTCAAAGACGTCAATTAACCTGTCCAAGCTCATAAGGAAAGACCACGGATGAGACCGGAAGTGGTGATATTCCTAGTCCTTGGCTTAGCTAGCTAGGGCTTTCTGCCCATGCTGGTGGGCTCTAGGGGAGAACAGGTGGTGTACATTGTATGAACTGCAGGAGCCAAGGACGTCTCTTCTCTCTTGTTGGGCCTGTGTTGATCACATTCAAGTATTTTTTTGTTTTGTTGTGTTTTGTTAAGAGACAAGGTCTCACTCTGTCACTTAGGCTGGAGTGCAGTGGTGTGATCATAGCTCACTGCAGCCCGGACCTCCTGGGCTCAAGTGATCCTCCCGCCTCAGCCTCCTGAGTAGCTGGGACTACAGGTGTGCGGCACAATGCCTGGCTATTCTTTTTTTTTTTTTTTTTTTGTATTTTTTTTGTAGAGACAGGGTTTCGCTATGTTACCCAGGCTGGTCTTGAACTCCTGGGCTCAAGAGATCCACCTGCCTTGGCTTCCCAAAGTGCTGGGATTACAGGCTTGAGCCACTGCACCCTGCCCCACATCCAAGTATTCTATAGCAAATACTTTGTTGGTTGAGCCAAATTTGAAACCCATTCAGGGCACATTCTTTCAAAGGTTTCAATTAAACCTAAGACTTTCGATATTGGAGTAGACACAACTCCCCTAGTCTAATGAGGGGTGGGATGGCAGTGTGTAGGATCCAGCACAAGAGATCGGCCTTTTGTAGAAAAACAATATTTTTGATAAAGTAGAAGCCCATCAAAGACATAAAGAGAAATTCCTTTCTGCCACTCAGGAAATTTTTTAAAAATGGAAAGTAGGAGAAAGTTGTGGAAAAATATCTTTGAGAAGGAGGAAGCTCTCTCCACTGCGCAGGCTTCCTTAAAAGCGTCTCGTACCCTTTCTGACATGCCAGCTATTGATGCTGCTGAGTCCACTCAAACCAGCCTGATTAACTGCTCTTCCACCCAAACTCCCCTCTTGGTCATTGTTTCATTTGGTCGACACTGTGGCTGTGCCCTGTGACCGCTGCATGCACGGAGCCAGTATTATAACCATCTTTTTGCAGTTTGCCCTTACGGCCTGTCACTCCCTAATCAGGAGTCTATGTTCAATGCAATGGTCTGGGAATGTCCCCCACCAAGTTGGTAGCCATATGCTTTTCTATTTTGGAGCACTGGAAGTTTCTGGTTCAGTAGTTCCCTTTTTAAAGGCGATACGATTTCCTATCATCTTAAGTAAGCTGGAAAGAATTTTTCGAATGAGAGAGAGAGAGAAAAGGCGCTATGTTGTACACGGTTGTTTTCTTTTTAAAAAACACACACTCAGACACACACAGCGAACTGTTCTGGAAACTCATGAGCTGAAGTCACAGACAAGGTCTCTGCTGGTAGAAGCCCTTCCTGCCCGAAAGGGACCGTTTGTTAATAGCTGTATTCATGAAAGTTAAAATTAAATTTCTGTGTGTTGATGTAAAGCCAGCTTTTCCCTCAGGGCTATTTATTTTAAAAATCAAAAATAGTAAAGGGTCCACAGCATAGAACATAACACAAGCAGATTGGGGTCTGTACTCTGAGCAAAGCTTCCTTTGTACTCGTCTCTGCAATTTAATGCCCTCCAGGAGTAACCTGGCAGTGTGCTGGTTTCCCCGTCCACATGTGGCAAGCTCAGGCAGTTTTTATGCTCACCTGCGAAGGCGATTGTTCAAGATTTTCATACCTGGCGTTAAAGGCTGTGATAAACAGTGCCGTCCTCAATGGATGTGCCACACAGGAAAGTGGGCTTGTAGGAGACTGTGATTGCGGCAGAATTGGTTTTGTATGTGGGATTGTTTTGCCTTTAGGGTTCGAGGTTGGGATTGATGCTGTGTTTTTTTTAAAATATCCACATTTTTTCATTAAAAAAAATTAAAATTGGCCAGGTGCAGTGGCTCATGCCTGTAATCCCAGCACTTTGGGAGGCTAAGGCGGGTGGATCACCTGAGGTCAGGAGTTCAAGACCAGCCTGGCCAACATGGTGAAACCCCATCTCTACTAAAAATACAAAAATTAGCTGGGCGTGGTAGTGGGTGCCTGTAATCCCAGCTACTCAGGAGGCTGAGGCAGGAGAATCACTTGAACCCGGGAGGTGGAGGTTGCAGTGAGCCGAGATTGTGCCACTGCACTCCAGCCTGGGCAACAAGAGTGAAACTCCATCTCAACAAAAACAACAACAAAAAAATTGAAATTAATGATTAAGAAGCAAAAGCGAAGGCTATTTCTAATAATGCCAATAAATAAAGGTAGAAAATGGCCCATACTCTTGCCAATGCAAAGGTTTAAAATCTTGATGTTTAATAATAATAATAGAGGTTGGGCGCTGTGGCTCATGTTTGTAATCCTAGCACTTTGGAGGGCTAAGATGGGAGGACTGCTTGAGGGCAAGCCTGGGCAACATAGTGAGACCCTGTCTATAAAAAAAATTTAAAAATTAGCCAGGCGTGGCGATGCACACCTGAAGTCCCACCTACTCAGGAGGCTGAGGTGGGAGGATCCCTTGAGCCCAGGAGGTTGAGGCTGCAGTGAGCTATGACTGTGCCACTGCATTCCAGCCTGGGCGACAGAGTTAGACTCTGCCTCTAGAAAAAATAATAGGAAGAAGTAGAAGAAATTTTTCTTCTCAGCTCCCTTGGTTAGAATAAAGGAGTAAGCAAGACTCCTTAAGATGTCTTTGAAAGATTCAAAAAGCCCTTTTAGTTATGGAAAAAAGAGCATCAGCAGCAGTGGGGAGCAAGATCAGTCCCGCATAGCCCTCTGTTATGCAACCTCAGCCAGCCCCCGCATAGACACAGCATGCCTGGCTGACCAGATTCTCACCTGATTTCTATGCTTGGACTTTTTATTTTTACCCAGAAGCGACCTGTAAAGCTTATGAAAGAATTTGCTCCTCTCCTTTCTCAGAAGCAAGTCATGTTCATTTCTTCCTTTGCAAATGCTAGTTAAGACATTTAACAGATGAAGTATTGGGAATCAGGCAATGTAAGAAGAAAATATTGATGAGCAAGTGTAAAGTGACTTCCTCCTGTTGGTGAGAAGCATATTTCATTTTTTTCTGGAAGAATGTATTAAATTTAAGCCGTCCCAGTAATAACTAAATGCTATCTACCTGTCAGTTGTATCAGTCGATTGCTTTAGAGTGTGGATTTCTATATTATCGCCCGTGGCTTCTCTCTAAAATCCTTTAGCGATGCTCCCACGTGGAATTGCATCTGCAAAGACCATTGACAGAGTTCTCAGCTCACAGCCTGGATACAAATACGCATGAATGAAAGACTTCTCTCTTTAGAGACTGCCTCTAAAGAACTCAGGTTCCTTACCCATGTTTTATCTAGGACTTTGCTCCAGAGCTGGGAGGGAAAGAAGAAACCCTCTTGGTGGCTGGGTGTCCCATTCTTTTGTCTCTCACTTGGGATCCATGATTAATCAGTGCATTGTACATAAGAGCGACCTCTATTTCTTTGGGCAAATGGAACCAAGTTGGAGCTGTAAAAGCAGGACCATCAATCAGTTTGTTACAATGGCAACTTTCTTGAAAGCACCTAAGCCCCGTAGGCATTCCTCCTAGTTAATGAGCAACAAGGTAGAGCCTAAATCACTGGCTTGGTAGAGGCCAAGTTAGAACCAGAAGATGGATATGCGAAAATCAGTCACCCAGAAAAATCCAAGCCACCCAAAAAAACACAACCAACTTCAAAGGCCTCCTGCCCCTTCTCTTACGCAAGGTTTTGCTGGCTGAAGCATTTGTATGAAAAGGCATCTGGTACTGCCATGAAACTAGCTGTGGAAACCTAGTTTGTGAATACTCTATGGAAAAGGATTTTCTCTTAAAAATTGTCTTTACAGCTTCTTCTTCTTGAAGTGTTGTCTGGATTTCCTGAGAGGCGATAGACAGCTGGTCAGAGCCTCCTTTTCTTCTTTTTTTAATATAATTTTTTATTTTTAATTTTTGTGAGTACATAGTAGGTGGATATATTTATGGGTTTTATGAGATATTTTGATACAGGCGTGCAGTGCATGATAATCACAGCAGAGTAAATGGAGTATCCATCCCCTCAAGCATTTATCATTTGTGTTGCAAACAATCCAGTTATACTCTTTAGCGATTTTTAAATGTACGATTCAATCATTTTTGAGGGGAGTCACCCTGTTGTGCTAGCAAATACTAGGTCTTATGCATTCGGACTATTTTTTGTGCCCCAGGGCCTCCTTGTCTAAAAGTCTGGAGATCCTGACGTTCTCCTGCCTATTCACTCTCTCTCACTCCCCGGCGTGTTCAGAACAACCTTCCTCAGCAATCCAGAAGGGGTGAGACCCCACAGGCTTTCATAGTAGATGAAACTAAAATAGCTTCTTGATGATCGATTCAAACCCCGTAGGAGTTTCTCTTTCTCTCTGAGGTGATATGCCCCCAAGCCTCTGAAACAGAAGAAAAAGGGAAAAATCAAATAAAAAAGCAAGCACACGATTCATTTGATCTTTGTATCTGTGTGTTTGTATGTATATAACTCTACTTTATTGGTCTTTTCTCACCCATTTTTTGTGGGTTTACATATGAACTATTTCATGTCTTTTTCAAGTAAATCCTTACATACTAATTAGTGTCTTGGCACACCACATACTACACTATTCTCCCCAGTGCCATCTGTGACATGGGAGTACACGTTAAACCACAACCAAAAGTCTATAGAGATTTTTTTGGCTATTCAGGAAAAAAACCAAAACCACCCCTGTACCCCTCCCCCGCCAAAAAAAAAAACCATGTATCCCATTTGAGACAAAGTATTTACCTAGAGTGATATTTATGGAATACCAAAAAGAAAATATTTTGCCTTTTAAAATGCATAACTCTTATCACGTCCTCCTTTTTACTAAAGTGATATATTTTTACCCAATGTCACTGAGTGTGTTGCTCCATGCTGGGTTTCAGGCTGATGGTAGAGGAGCCCTTGGTATGTTCAGTTTCCAGCTATGATGTGATGTTTCTGGTTTGGACCCCAACCTTGCTCGTAGGCACTGACGGTTGAGGTGACTGCTCCCGCCGTGGATTATTCTCTGAGCATCCTGTGCTTAGCCCCTCAGCATAAATAAAGCCTTAGTATCTGCTCTGCCTCTTTCAATCCTCATGTAAAATCATTCTCAAAACTCTCTATAAAGAATCCAGCTTGGCACATAGGGAGGCATTCTGAAAAGTGCAATTCTCCCACAGAGAGGTACTTACCCAGGGAAGCCAGGATCCTAGGAAGTCTATAAATAGGGTTTAGGGCTGCAAAACACCCCTTGAGATCATATGCACACTTTTGTGTGTGTATAGATTTATTTTGGTGAGGAGAGGGCTTATAGTTCTCAAAGGAGTCTGAGACCTGCCCAAAGTTCATCACTGTCACCTCAACTGGCTTCCTCCCTTCCATTTCTTTCTCTTTCCAGTCTATCTTGTATATTACATTAGCATAATCTACATAAAATCTATTTTGCATGTCTTGTAGCATACCCCAAAGCCTTTCAAGTGTCTCCTACTGATAGAACACTGTGTTCTCTTGCCCTGGCTGTCCTCCTAATGCCATCTCTCGTGGTTCTTCTCCCCACCTGCTCCTCCAGACTGTGCCACTCTTATCTCCCCAACATGCCCTGCTTGTTTGCATTCTCCTCTGCCTTCTCTCATCCCTTCCCCACATTCCATCTTCCAAGTCCTTTAAGGTTAAATCCTCTCACTAAGCTTTTCTTCGGTCAACCAACAGCATCACTCTTTTGCACAAGCTTGTGCCATCCATATGGACTTTGACTCTTCACCATAAACTCCTTTTCACAATATTTCATGCAACGAACCTTTCATGTGTATGTCTGGCCATCCGAAATGGATTGTGAATTTCTTGAAGACAAAGTTTCTCTCATTCATCCATTCATTCATTCATTCATTTGTGTGTTCAACAGACACTTATTTAGTATCTTCTATTCATGGGGAACTGGACCTGGTGCTGGGTTTGGACCTCCTCTACACAGGAACAAGCTCTACACACAGAGAACACACTCAGTGAACACTGAATGACTCAATAAATGTGGGTCAAACCAAGCCATTTTAGTAGTGCTCGAGAACCTCTGAAATGAAGACTGCACAGCCAGGGTTTCTCTGGGCTTCTGGGGCCAAAGCAGAACCTGAAGGCATGATGGTTCTTAAAATGGAACCTTCTGGAGGGTTCAGTAAGCCCCAGGCAACAATCTCTTTCCACTTCCAGAGGAGCCTGCATTCTGCTGACTCTGTTCCACCCATGGCAGGCTCCGGCTTTACTGGCTCTAGGTGTCTCCTTGGCTTTTCCTTCCCTGTGGATGGCTGAGTGAGAGCAGGATCAAAGTTCCCCCTTTCATCAGAGCTTGCATCCTACAAAGCGGAAAGAAAAAGAAAACACACCGATTCTTTCTAGCCACCCAAGCTTTCTAGCATTCTAGCCCCAGCAGCTAAACTAATATTCCTGATCGTATTCCTTCGTGGAGAAGCCCACCTCTGGAAACGGGAGTCGGAGTGGGGGACTGGCATCTAGCCAGGTGGTGGGTAGAGTTATCACACCTTCGGGTAGGCGCAGGAACCTGGTGCTGTGTGCACATGGCTTTTAGAGGCTGCTTTGAAAGTCCCCTGAGCTGTTTGTCTTGGCCAGCTCCCGGGGCAGTTGAGCATCTGCCATGAGGGCTGGAGCTGAGGGAGAAGCCAGGCTGTTAGCTTGCTTTCCTCAGCCTTGCATCTTGGTTTGGGATGGATTCCTTTGCTGTGCTCCCTTCAGAGAAAAGGGAGCGTGAGTCCCTGAGATTGAGGGGCCAGTGGCAAGACCAAGCTCCCTAAGCCACATCCTGGAGGCATCTGGGCTGGCCTCCATCACCCAGGATTCTCTTCTCTTCTTTGCTGCAAATCAGAGCACTGGCTCTGCTCGGAGGGTCCCCCAAAGCCTGCTGTTCTTCCTTTCCACCTCCTGCTCTCTCATGCCAGTAAAAACAAGAGAGGGAAACGGCTTTGATGCCGGACCTCCCTCAAGACAACTCTGTCTGCTAGGGAAGAGAGAGACTGTGTACATCTCATGTGTGCATGGTTATGCATTCTGCATATCTTTTACACATTGGGCATGATTTCTCTTGAATTTTTGGCAGAAGTCTCCTGCAGAGGTCCTGAGCAACTACCTTCAAAATAATGTACTTAAAACACACCGCAGCACTCTTTGGTTGGGACCACTGACTACATTTTCCATGGTAGAATGAAGGAAAAGTCAGATTTTACTCATAAAGTGAATCAGTGTATCTGCTCAGATAGCATGTTTAAAATTGTAGAATAATACATATGCTACAAAATTTATCATTTTAACCATTTTAAATGGAACAATTCAGCAGCATTTGGTACATTCACAATGTTGTACAGCCATCGCCGCTACCTACTTCCAGAATATATATATACACACAAACACACAGCATCTCGCTTGCTCTGTCACCCAGGCTGGAGTGCAGTGGCACGATCTCAGCTCATTGCAGCCTATGCTTCCCAGATTCAAGAGATTTTCCCACTTCAGCCTCCCAAGTAGCCAGGATTACAGGCACCCACCACCATGACCGGCTAATTTTTGTATGTTTAGTAGAGACGGGTTTTCACCATGTTGGCCAGGCTGCTCTTGAACTCCTGGCCTCTAGTGATCTGCCCGCCTCAGCCTCCCAAAGTGCTGGGATTACTGGTGTGAACCACCACTCCCGGCCTACTTCCAGAATATTTTAATCATCCCCCAAAGAAACGTGGTTCTCATTAACTAACTGGTCATGCCCTATTTTCCTTTCCCCCGCCTCCTGGCAACCACTAATCAGCTTTCTGTCTCTATGAATTTCCATGCTCTGGATAGTTTATATAAACAGAATTATACAATATATGGCCTTTTGTGATGGGCTTTTTCACTTAGCATAATGTTTGCAAAGTGTATCTGTGTTGTAGTATGTATCAATACATCGTTCCTTTTTATGGCTCAATAATCATCCTAAGTTTGGGGGTTGAAGTTATTTTCTCTCTCTGGCGCTTCTGTTCCCATTCCCACCTTCACTCTGATTCAAGACCATATGAAGCCTTGACTCATCTGAGCTTGATTCTTCCTAACTCTACCTCCTCCAACCTGGCAAGCAACCCCCAAATCTCATCCGAGCACCCCCTGCACCAGGGTCCCCTGAAGAACTGCTTAGAATTGTACGTTCCTGGCTCCACTCCACACCTGAATGGGACCCTCTGGGGGTGAACCCAGGGAATCTTCCTTTCTGACAAGTTTCCGGCCACTCAGACGCATGCACCTTCCCCAGCTCCAGCCCCAGGACTCCTCGACTCCCTGCAGCCGGGCTTCATCTCCATCTATGCCCACCAGATCCCACCCATGTTCCAGATCCAGCACAAATGTCACATCTCCTGTGATTCCTGAAACATTCTTCAACTCTGGGCCAGAAACAAGCTCTCCTAGACTGTGAGCTGCATGAAAACAGAGCTCTGGCCTTCTGTTTGTATCCCTTAAATAATATTCATCCCCACAATAGGAGCATTCACTGAGCATTGATGTGCAGGCTGTGTTCTAGCTGCAATCAATTAACTATTTTAATCTTCATGGTGCAAGTGAAGGCAATGGGATTATCTCCAAATACCTGGAAGAATGCCCTGTCCAGGAAGTGCCGGAGTGATTGTGCTCAGTGACAGACAGAGGGTGACTCCTCAGCCTACGTGATGAAATGGTGTATGAATGAATGAAGTTTCAAAAACCTGTCCTAAACCTCAATGGGGAAAAAAAGCCAGGCAGTGCTGGCAGGATAATAACCATTTAAAAACAAATGTCAGTACCTTCTAAGGAGTACATGAGTCACTCTCCACCAGGGGACCCTTCTGTCCCCACTTTTGTGCAAGGTCCTGGTACCTGAGGCTTCCCATGTGGAGATGTGCATCCTCACTTCCTGCCTCACCTTGTTCAGTTTTCTCATTGATCCTGCTGTTAAGGCAGAAGGTATGTGCCATTACAACAAAGGTGCAAATTACTATGCACGTGACTGAGTTCTGGAAACATGGGCCATGTGATGTGTGGCTCGCGTGGCTCCTGTCAGGTGGGCTAGAACTGGCCTTAGCCAGGAAAGCAAAGCTTTAGTGCAAACTTGTAGCTTTCCTTACCATGTGATCCAGCAACTCTACTCACAGGCATATACAATGAAGAATTGGAGGCAAGGACTCAGACAAGTACTTGTGCACCAGCACTCATACCAGCACTATTTGCAGTAACCAAGACACGTACTTGGTGTACAAGTACACGTCTGAGTGCTTGCTTTCAATTCTTCATCAGATATGTGACATACCCCTACAAAGGATTATTCAGTCTTAAAAAGGGAGGAAATTCTGATACGTGTGATAACACCGATGAGTCTTAAAAATATTATGCGAAGTGAAATAAACCAACCACAAAATGACAAATATTGTAAGATTCCACTTATATGAAACATCTAGAGTAGACATATTCACGGAGATAGAACACAGATTATAGTTTACCAGAGGCTGCGGGGAAGGGAGGAATGGACAGATATTGCTTAATGGATACAGACTTTCCGTTTGGGGTGATGAAAAGATTTTTGGAAAGAGATAGTGGTGATGGTTGCACAACATTATGAATGTACTTAATGCCACTGAAATGTACACCCAAAAATGGTTAAAGTGCTACATTTTGTGTTATAGACATCTTACCACAAAAAAAAAAAAAAAAAAAAAAAGTTCAGCGTTCCTTTTCGATCACCATAATAAAGTACAAAATCCTAGGGCCTCATGTCCCCTTGAATAGGGTCCATTAGGAGCTCCCTGCTGTTGAGCCTGTAATCTGTTTAACCTCCCATTTCTCTGGCCCAGCTGCTGCGGTCTGGGGAGAAAGAGATTTCTGACTTTCCCTGAATGGCCCCAGGGAGAGTGTAGCCCAGCTGAGAGGGCAGTGCGGGCCTTTCCAGCAAGCCTCAACCATTAAATGTGCCCCTAGGGCACCTCCTGCCCTGGGGTCAGAGTTCTGGCCGATTGTCGCACCATGACCACTGAAAGGCCTCCTCATTTCATTGTTAGAAGCCTCAGTAACGTTCTGCCTGTGTCCTTTTCAGACCCTGCAGAATTTCTAAAAATGAAATGAGGGAGTGTTGAACGTACATTCAAATCCAGCCCCGGCCTTGCAAATATACCTGCAATTACTTTATAGACCTGGCATGGTTAGGTGTTGAGAAACCAGCAAGGGAGGAGGGCAGGGACCGGGGAGAAAAACCTGACTTATTAACAAGGCCCTTGGGAGGGAGGACTGATGTTTTTTTCTCAAACACAACCACTATTCAGAGCATGTGGTTAATAATCTTCAATCAACTCCAGTTTATTTGCATATCAAATCAATTTTGCACGCAAAAAGCGTCCCCCATATAAATTAAATGCTCTGTCAAAGACCTCCATGCTTCCAAAAGCCTCACACACTCCAGGCTATTTGGAAAAGCCTTAGCACTAGCTTTGCTCTCCTGTGAAATCGTTTACAGATATTGTATTTTATTTTGATTAATTTATCAAACACATATGTACAGTTATTATGCACCTGGCATGTTCCAAGCTCTTTACAAATATCACCCTACTGAACCTGCCTAATCAACCTACGAGGTGGGTTCTGTTCTTAACCCCACTACACAGATGAGAAAACTGGGGCACAGGTCACTCTCAAGGTGATGGCAGGGCAGACTCTGAGGACATTTTCTTTTTTTCCCCAAAACCTCCATCTCCCGGGTTCAAGCGATTCTCGTGTCTCAGCCTCCCGAATAGCTGGGATCTCGGGCATGTGCCGCCGTGCCCGGCTAATTTTTTTGTTTTTTTTAGTAGAGACGGGGTTTTGCCATGTTGGCCAGGCTGCTCTCGAACTCCTAGCCTCAAGCAATCCAGCCGCCTTGGCCTCCCAAAGTGCTGGGATTACAGGCATGAACCACCGTGCCTGACCTTTGAGAACATTTTCTAAGCGGGCAGGTAGGAGACTAAACAAGCCCCCTTTCACGCAGAGGCTCAGCACCCCGTTTCCCCTGTTCATCGCGTTGGTGTAAGGCCCAGGACAGGCCGCCAGAGCACAGGGAAAGAGCAGGCAGGCGCAGCTGTGTCCTGGGATGTCCACTCTGCTCCCCCGTCACGCTGGCCTCCTCGGCTTCCCTGAGAAATTGTGGAGCGGGAGGTGACGTTTCTTCCCACTTGCCTTAGGAATGGATGGCAGAGGGGAGGCAGCTTTCGGAACCGCCGTGGTGTGGATTGGCAAGCGTGGCGGATCCTTCTGGAGAGCACAGCTGGGATTCCTGGTCATATCGTGTTTGAGAGCCCTTTCGGGTGACTAAAACGCCATTGCTGAAATCTGAATAAGGTCTGCGGATTGTCCCAACGTCAGTTTCCTGGTTTTGATGTTGTACTTTCGTGACGTAAGATGTAAACGTCGGGGGAAACTAGGCAAAGGGTACACGGGGCCAGTCTGCACTGTTTTTGCCACTTCCTGTGAATCTATAATTATTTTCAAATAAAAAGTTTTTTTGTTTTTAATTGCCATTGTTTGAGGCCCGGAAACTGTAGCTACTTCTTCAACTTCAGCTTCGCTGTGTTTCTCTGTGCTTGAGAGCCTGGGACAGCCGCCCAGTCTGTGGAGGGAAACCTATTGTCAGTCTCAGAGCTTGGCCCCTTCTTGGCCCCCAGCTCCCCCTTTCCCCTGGACTGGGGGTTCCCTTTCCTGCTCTCGAGCTGGGGCATTTTCAGCTGCTTTTTAAGAAGTCTGATGTACTTTCCCATAAATCTCAGGCACACTCCGCCCTGAGCCTCCCCCCTCCCTCTCCTGGCAGTAATCCTGGTGCGGGGGAGCACCCCCGGGCTTTCTGAGTCGCCATTTCCATCCCCCATTGGGCACCTTGCATATACTATTTCGTCCAGTTCTCTCAACACCAAGGAAGGGTCTAAGTGGGGAAATGTGGGTATCTCTGGGGGAGGGGAAGTGACCCCCAGGTAGAAGGAAGTACAGGGGCAAAGGCACACAGAGGCAGGATGGGGGCCCCGTATGAAGAACAGACCAGATATTGAGTGGTGCGGAAGAGGCTGCCGGGTGCACTGAGGCTGGACCAGCACGGGGAGGGAGGGGGTGCAGCCAGGCATTCTGAGAACCAGAGACACTGGCCTCATGGTAAATATGGCCGTGAAATATGGACAGACCACAGTAGAACAAAGTCATCCTTCTTCCTGCTCCAAACACTTGAGGCTGTCATCCTCTGTAGTTTCTGAAAAACTTGTGCAGTGTCTTCTCCTTTTAATGTGGCCAGCCTGCAGGGGGTGTATTTACAATCTTGGCCTGACAGCCCTTTACCTGCCCAAGACTCTGATCCTAATTTATTTCTTTCCCTCAAATCCCCAGCATTTGGAGTTGGGCCTCTTCAGAGGGGCAGCACACATGATGGGGCCTCGTGACACCAGTCATTAAATCCCCAAACCTCGTGTGCTGTGGCTCAGCTGCACAGCAGACATTCCGTGTGGATTAGATTTGGCTGGAATGCCTTGGAGTTTAGAGCCGATTTGTCACAGTGTTTCGGGATTAGGCCCCCGAGGGGCCAAGAAGATGAGCCCAGGAATTTCGAAGCCAGTGTCCAGGGCTTAGGGCATGCTGTTTCCACCTCATCCCAGGACATGCCTTCTCTCCACCTCACTCAGATGTGGCTTCAGTGTTGAGGGCTTGTTATTAACAAACCTGACATCCCCTTTCCCCTGACTTCATCCCTGCTGTCCCGTGGGGTTGTCAGGGTAACTCTGCCCTCCCCAAAGGCAAGACACACACGGAGTCCTCCCAGCAGCCCTTTCTTCTCCACTCTGAGATGTTTTCACTGCTCTTTCTCTACCTCTGCCCTTTGATCAGCAGATAATGAGGCTCCTTCTCTCCTCCCCTATCCCAGACTGTTCTGTCTGTTCTGATTTCTTCCCCACAGATGGCCAGGCAGCTTTTCAGAGGCTGTGTTTCTGAATTTTGACCCCCTCCTATCTGGGCAGATTGATTCTCACATGGCATGGCTATGTTTGGGGATAAACGTTGGTGCTTTTATTTTCTCCCTAAAAGGCCCCTGTTCTGGACAGCAAGCTCCCCGAGTGCTGGGATGGGCAGGCTTCCCTGATCGCAAAGTGCCAGGGCCTTTCAGGGCCTGCATTGAGGATGTTCTGTGATGGCTCAACGTTAGGTCTTGCTTGAACGTTCCTTCTAAAATCCTGCAGTGGCCAAATGTGACCCTGGATCTCTGGGTCTTTGCTCTGAAGAACAAAATGTCTGATAAACAGAAATCCAGTCTGGAGGAAGCAGGCTGCTGGGGGCCTGGCCATGTCCCCACTGAGCCAAGGACACACTCGGATGTTCCCACGAAGAGGAAGGGAAGGAAAAGTAGGGCCTTTAGCCAAACAGCCCAATTTCATTTAAAAACTGGTGAGAGAGAAAAGGAAGGCCATATTATCTTTTTAACATTGAAAAATTATATTATTTTTTAGAAATGGGTTCTCTATATGGCCCTGGCTAGTTTTGAACTCCTGTGCTCAAGCAATCTTTTCGCCTCAGCCTTCAAAGTAACTGGAACCACAGGCTTGGCCATCATACCGTTTTTTATATTGAGATGGTGGGAGGTGACCTCTTCTCACTAAAGCCCTTGTCTGACTGACTTCTCAGGAGTGAAAGCACAGTTTGGTAACACTACCTCACACTTAGGTGGCACTCATGTAGAGGCACTGCCCTGAATTTCTGTCATGTAGTCGCTCATTTAATCCTCACAACTACCCCATTTTACAGATGTGGAGACTGAGACACAGAGCCATGAAAACTGAGATCGACTCCTAGAGGATTTGAGCCCACACTGTCTGGCTCCAGAATTCTTCCTCTTAACCACTATGCAGCAGCTAATGATTGAATAATAATTAAATCTTTGTGAAGCTGTTATTAAGTGCTGGGCACTATGCTTTGAAATACATCGTCTGGTTTAACTCTCACACTCTTCTGGGGGAAGGTGTTTTACGCCGATTGTATGAGCACAGAAACTGAGCCTCAGAGAGGCCAGCAGTGGCCATGTGGGATTCAGGCTCAGGCTTCTCTGCTTCTACCTCCTGCTCCTTGTTTTGGGGTGATCCAGGTAGAAGGAAGGCAGGGAGAGGCAGACTGAGGAGGGGATCACCCTTGGGGCCCTGCTCTGTCCCAGTGCACCGTGCCAGAGGTGGCCACACAGTCACTCCTCCCAGAGCTCAGTCCACACCAGTCAAGGTGGCTGCTGGGCAGCTGCCTTCTACTTTTCTGATTCTTGCTGAATATCTTCCCCTGATCATCCTAACATGCCTAGTACCTTAACCCAGCATGCCTGGGCTTGACCACCACCCCCGTGTCCCACGTCCCACCCACCTTCCATCCTGCAGAAACCACTGGCTTCTTCAGCTGCACATCCTCTTATCCACCTGTATTCTCTTGGTCAAGCCTGGAACCCTTTGCATCCTCTATGGCTCCTTTTCAACCTGCCTTCAGCCCTAGTAGTTGCCAAGTCAGAGGAAAGCAACATCCTTTGGGTTGATCCATTGGGGAAAGTCCTGCAGTGGCCAAATGTGACCCTGGATCTCTGGGTCTTTGCTCTGAAGACCAAACTGTCTGAGAAACGTAAATCCACACATACACGAAGGTAAACTATTCCCTGGGGGCACACCAGCTTTGAGTCTCTCTGTCCCCCCTCCTCTCTCTATCCCCAGCTTTTATGGGCTTCAAGGGTTCCACTTTTTGGGACTGTTAAAAATTTAACTGGGAGGCCTTAGGTTGAACTGGCTGCAGTCCTGTGGGTTCCTATAATATGTAAGCAACTGAAGCCTGATGGAAACAGTAAAACAAAACTTAACTCATCAGTCACCACCAACCAACCTCTAACTAGGGACTTACCTACCATCAGAGCATATGCAAATAAGGCAAACACACAGCTGTAGTCATTTAAGTAATTTCTTTTCTTTACTTCCACATTCAGCCCATAAAAGCTTGCTGCCTGTGCTGCTGGAGCAGAGTTCTCTGAACCTCTTTTGGTTTTTTGTGCTGCCCGATCCATGAATCCTTTACTACTCAAATAAACTGTGTTACATTTTTGTCTAATTTTTTTTTAATAGGATCTTACTGGAGGAAAGTGACCCCAGCACTGGGCTGGGGAGCAGCGGCAGGACCCTGTTCTGGAGCTCACCCCAGGTGTTCCCAAGGCCTGGCTGTGTGAGTGTCTGGCTCTGTTGGTCTTGAGGCTGGATGACCCCTGCCCATGCAGGGCTAGGGTAGGAGAGGAGATGTAGAAACCTGAGAAGGGGAGGCCAGTTGGACAACAGGGCTTGCTCTGTCAACTAAGGCTGTTAGCTAAGACTGACAACACAATCTTTCACAAGTGAGGGGGGCTCAAAACAGCCATCCCATTGGGTGTGGTGGGAGGACCAGTGGATCCTCAAGACTAACCTGGAGGTTTGGTGGTTCTTCTCTTCCACGGTGGATCTCCCAGCTTGGATCCTGCTTGGATTTGGAAAACACTTGAGATCTTGTGTTACCCTCCAGCCCCAAGTGAGTTTGAAAGTTGGCTTCACAATGACTGGGAGTTTAAACTAGAAATTTCCATCTGATCTTCAGGCAAGGGATTTCTGCATCTCCCCTGCCAGACTTTATGTTAAGCAAGTAGAGTTTTGGCACAGACTTGATTTTGATGTACATGAATAGGCTTTTGTGTCATATTTATTTTGCTGGCCAAAGAAACCCAGGATTTCAGATTTTGAAATCAGGCTCTGCACTTATTCTATTATTCTACTGCTATGGATTAACATATTTAAATAGCTCTTATCCCACCACCCAAGGCAATAGGATAAAAGTTTTCAAAGGAAAAACCTAGGAGATACCAAAGCATATGCAGACCATCCTGGTTGTGGCTCCCCTCCCCAGGGGCAGTGGCCACTCCTAGTTGATTTGGGGGCATATTGCAGAGATATTCTAGACATATTCAGCTGCATTTGTAAACACACTCCTCCTCCTCCTCTTTCACCTGTATTGTCGCATATGAAACTCACAGTCCTGCACTTGATTTGTTAAGAAAATACCCCAGGTGTTGTTTCTCTCATTCTTCTTCATGGTCTATGTGACCCATAATAAACTTACGCAGTCCCCTAATAATGGACTAACCAGCACTAAACAGACATTTAGGTTGTCTCCAGCCTTTTTGAGTCCTGCTTACCTAGAAGGTAAAAGATGAGATCTAGTATGATTTAAGGTGTACTTTTCTCTTTTCTTATTCATAAGGTTGAGCATCTCTTTATATTTAAGCAAAGTCATTTGTGTGTCATTTTCTGTGCATTTGCTGGCTAAGTCTTTGCTCTCAGCTTTTTGGGTCTCCATATTAAAGAAACATACTCACATTTCCTTAATGCTGAAAACTGTTGATGTTCCAGGTGCATGTTAATGAAGGCATTCAAGACAACAGGAAGAACCCTTTGAGTTGGGAGATAGTGCTCTGAGGAGCAGGAAGGGATGACCCTTGGCAGGATTGTATAATTGACAGTCTTTTATAGGGGAAAATAATTCCCATTATCCAGGACATCTCTCAATATCTCTAAGATATTAACAAAAATAGCAGCAATTTTTTTTGAGGATCTATCATGTGCTAGATGGTATGCTAAGTGTGTTAAATGGATTATTTCCTTTGATCAGCACAACATCCTGTGATGTCAGCACTATTGTTACTCTTGTTTTACAGATGAGGAAACCAAAGCACAGAGAGGTAAACAAATAGTCTGGGGTCAAAGAGTAGCAGTCAGGATTTGAACCCAGGCCATAACTTTCATGCTGTACAGCCTCCCACGTGAGTAGGCAAGTGCTTCTTGGGCTGGTGAGCATATGAGCAGCGTTGACCCTGGAATATGGGCATTTCGAAGAACACAGTCAGGAAGAACATCTTGAGATCTATTATGGTCACGGCCACCTTTGCCAGTGATGTTCTTCCAAAGGGTGGTTTTACCTTGCACGAAGACTGCAAAAACTACCGCATTAATTATTATGAGAAGCCCTTTTGCCCAGGGCTCAGATTCGCCTCCACTCCCTTGAACCTGTTCATGCATGAGCAGCATAGGCTCCTGGAAGCTTGGCTGTCCCAGAAAAGGAATACCAAAAAGGGGGAGTGTTATCCCCTTCAGCCCCACTGGCACCCCGGCATTCCTTGGAATTCAGCATGTGGATTCATAGCTCATCATAGCAGCCTACTTGGGGGAAAAGCTTTGTAATGCTCCTCTTGGGAACTGTCCAACTCACAGACAGCTCTAAAAAAGGAGAAAGAGAGAACCCTCTCAGCACCTGCCTCTGCCTTTAGCCACTTCCTGGGAGACTTTCCAACTGCACCCAAGGTGCATGATGTCTCAGCCCCCAGTGGGGAATGTGGACCAAGGGGCTGTTTCCACCCTGGGCTTCCAGCATTCGACACGGCCTAGGGGCCCCAGAACAGGTGCCTCCACATGCGCCTCCAGCTCAGCGCTCTCCTTTTCTGTGTGTCTTGCCTCCTCTGTTCACCTCAGGCTGCGATCAGCCACAGGGAAGAGATGACCAGAATCCTTTCTGCTGTCTTCTGACACTGCCTGGCTGACCCTGCCTCACTCTGGCCTGCCCTTGACCTGGATGGGGAAATGGCTGCAGGCTGATGGGCCAGCCAGGGACACCTCTGTCCACACTGATGTGAGGCCATGTCCCATTCCCGGCTTGCTGGTTGTGTCCGAGGTCTATGCTAACTGACCACAATTTCTGCAGCCTTTCTGCTGACGGTTCAGCTCCAAGAAAGCTGTCTGGGGTAAGGAGTCTGCAGGCTGGTAAAGGCATCCTGTGTTTGTGTGTGTGTGTGTGTGCGTGTTTGTGTGTGTGTGTGTATGCAGACAGAGAGAGAAAGGGAAGGGAAGGGTACAGAATATTAAACTCAATAGAGACAGTATTCCTTTAGAATTTTTTTTAAGATAGAGTCTCACTCTTTCACCCAGGTTAGAGTACAGCAGCCTGATCTCAGCTCATTGTAACCTCTGCCTACCTGGCTCAAGCATGCCTCAGCCACTTGAGTAGCTGAGACTACAGGCATGCACCACCACACCTGGCTAATTTTTGTATTTTTAATAGAGACAGGGTTTCACCTTGTTGGCCAGGCTGGTCTTGAACTCCCAGCCCAAACGATTACCCCACTTGGCCTCCCAAAGTGCTGGGATTACCAGCATGAGCCACCACACCTGGCCTAGAATATTTGCTTTCTCTCAAGTAAGTACCTTCAGGAGGAATTTAATAGTGAATGAGGCTGGGCATGTTTTCCATCTGGTGTGTACAATGAATAACAGAGAGTAAACAAGTTGTCAGGCCCAGTCATGTGGCAAAAGGTAGTTTATCGGCAAGCTGTGGAATCAGAGTTCAGTCAAGCTCGCTCTGGGAAGCCCCGAGTCTGCTGTTCCTATTACTGATGAATTAAGTTTCTGGAAAAGAAAAGGCCTTCCTGGTTTGTCCCTCTATCTCATGACCCTGTGCAGGAACTACAACAAACCCTTTCCCACTCCCCTCCCTGACCCATTCTCTCCACCTCTGTGCCTGTTCCTGCTCTTCCCTCCACCTGAAATGCCCTTCCCATTGTCTCTGGCTGTTCCCACGTTATCCTTGCTTCAGGTCCCAGCCACAGTCCACATCTTTCTCTAGGATGGCTTCTGCACTGCTCAGGAATGAGCAGATATAAATGGGAAGTAGGCAGGGACCAGACACTAGAGATGTGGAGTGCCATGGCAGACACTGCTAATTATCTACCATTTTGTTCAGGGAGGCAACAAGTCCAACTTTTAGCTCCTGTCCCTGGCTCCCTTGCAGCTAGGGAAAGCCACGTGTCCCAGTTCTGACAGTGAGATCTAAATACAAGCTTGCACGGGGCTTTGGGGGAAACTGTTTATATGGGAACAGAATCATGATGTAGCACCCTAATGATTGAAGTCACCTACTAGAGATCTCCAAAGAAGAACGGGAAGGAGACTGGGTCCCTGAGGGCTCTCCCCTGGCCCCACCTCCCCTGGACCTGCTTTGTCAGATGGATCCAGGTTTTGTGGGGCCTGAGGCTTTTTCACTGTGGAAGGCCTTCTTTGAGGAAAAAAATGCAAAATATAAAATAAACTGGCTAAAACTTGGGAGGGGGTCCCAAAGTTTAATTGAATTTCTTCCAGGACTTCCACCTCTGCACTTCTTGAAAAAGGGAAAAAGGAAACAATTTGTTTGAGCCAAAGTTCTCAGAACTGAATCTCATTCCTGACAGTCCAGTGTTATCAGCAGTGGCTTCAAGTGCTGGCTGTTCTAAGGAAGAATAGGATCTTCCTTAGAAGAAGATCTTAAACCTGGTTAGCAGCTTAGAACAGATCCTAACCTTAGCAGCACGCAGGAGGCATTTAATGTCCTTGTTTTGGGTTGAATTCTGTCCCCCTCAAAATTGGTAGGTTGAAGTCCTAACCCCTAATAATTCAGAATGTGAACTTTTTTGGAGATCAGGTCCTTACTAAGGTAATCAGGTTAAAACGAGGTCATTTGAGTGGTCTCTCATCCCATATGACGGGTGTCTTTATAAAAAAAAAAGGGGAAATTCGAACACAGAGATTGACAAAGAGGGGATAGGATATGAAGAGACACAGGAAGAAACCAGCCACCTGCAAGCCAAGGAGAGGGGCCTAGAACATCAGCAAAGTGGATCCTTCCTTTGCAGCCCTCAGAAGGAGCCAACCCCAAGTGTCACCTTAATCCTTGTTTCCAGAACAGTGAGACAGTCCGCTCCTATTGTCTAAGCCACCCGGTCCATGGCACTATGATGGCAGCTCTAGCAGGCCGACACAGCCCTAAGACCCGGGCCCTACCAGACTCTGATCCAACCATCTGGGGTCAGCTCAGATCTGGGACTGTTTTCAAAGGCCCTGGGGTGACCTATTGTGCAACCAGGGATAGAACCGCGAACTTAGAGGATTCAGAAAGCTTCAGAGAGTAGATTGTGCTCAGACAGGCCTTGAAGAAGGAATAGGAGTTCAAGGGACAAAGAAGCCAGGAAGGTGGCCGGGCGTGGTGGTTCATGCCTGTAATCCCAGCACTTTGGGAGGCTGAGGTGGGTGGATCACGAGGTCAGGAGTTTGAGACCAGCCTGGCCAACATGGTGAAACTCCGTCTCTACTAAAAATACAAAAATTAGCCAGGAGTGGTGGGGGTGCACCTGTAATCCCAGCTACTCAGAGGGTTGCAGCAGGAGAATTGCTTGAACTGGGGAGGCGGAGGTTGCCGTGAGCCAAGATCGCACCACTGCACTCCAGCCTGGGTGACAGAGCAACATCTGTCTCTGGGCGGGGCGGTGGGGGAGGAAAGAAGCCAGGAAGGTGTTCAGGCACCATTACCAGCCTGAGCATGATGGGGTTACAGCACAAGACCTCATGTGTGCCAGGTCAGAGGGGACCTCGCGGGAGGACCCACGGCAACAGCAGAACAGTCTGGGCTTACCCAGGGAGGAGGGTCTTACCTGGCATGCAAGGGGTTTTCCTGGGCAGCAGGAGCCAGTGAAGACAGCAGTCTGAGGCCTGTGGGGATGGGAGGTGTCCTTTAGAAAGACAAGGCATCCTATTTTCTCTTTTGCTGTTACTGGATGTGCCCCTCGTCAGCTCCAGCTTCATGACAGTGGCCGTTCATGTGCTGGCCCCTCGGGAGGTGCTGGTGGCCTCGGTGCAGAATCACAGGCTGGAAACAACCGCCTTTCCTTGGAGGAACTTGCTGGGGTTTCTCGGGCACTGAGAGGTGCTTTCCTCTTGCTGAATGTCCTTCCCCTCTTGCCGAACGTCCTTCTCCTCTTGCCCTCTGGGCAAACTCCTGTAGCACCTTCAACGCCCAGCTTCTGTCACCTCCTCTGGGCGACCTGTCTTGTCTCTCCTTTGAGCCTGCTGCTGTTCCCCACCACAGCGCCTCCCATGGATCTTGCCATGGTTTGCTCCTTTGTCTTCTCTTCACTGGTCTCAAGAATGAGGACTGTCTCCTCTCTCACTCACTGAAAAATGTTTATTGAGCAACTGCTGTCTGCCGGGTCCTGCAACCTGCAGCAGTGAGCTTTGCTGATGTTCCACAGGCGGCCGTTGAATTGATGGAGCAGGAAAAAAAAAGAGCACAAGAGGGCATTGAAACAGAAGGAGCGATTTTGCATCATGACAGCTTGCAAATACGTGTTGATTGGATGGCCAGGGGGCTATTAGTATTAAGAGAATTCAGTTAAACCACAGAAAACTCTCCAAGCTGTTTCCCATCTATAAACTGAGAATAAGAATCAACTGTATTTGTCAAACGTTTCAAGGAAAGTGCACTAAGTTAACTATATTCTATCTGAGTTTAAATTCCTTCTCTGGGGGCAGGGAAGGTGGAACGTACATCTGTGCATTTGACTGATCATTTATCAGACTGTGTTGCGTGCCCTGGGACAACCTGGCGGGCTCCCTGTAGTCTGGATTTCTGGCACAGGTAGAATGTGGACCGATGGAATTGCAAGATCGGCCCTGTGCCTGTTTTAGTGGATGGTACCAATCTCCTCCTTGATTTCTTTACTCCTAACTACGGCTTAGTGGGTTAAAGCTTAATTCCTTTTCTCCGTCCCTTGACCATTCTCCGTTGCAGCAACCAATGCATTAAATGGATAGAGAAGAAGGAAGGAAGGAAGCCCAGATGCCTGGCTAATCGAGAGCAAGGAAACCAGGCATTATTAGCACCATACCAGGTGCTCTGTTCTTGAATAGGATATGGACTCTATTCTTCAGGCCATATTCTGTTAGCATCCCACAGGACTTAATTCCCTGAGCTGGTTTCTGCTCAGGCACTGGGGACCGGAGTAAGCAGATTATAGTCAGCATGGAAGAGAGGCTAGCTTCAGGGGAAGGGCTCGGCTTCCTTCTGAAAGAAAAGCAGGTGTTCCAAGAGGAATTCTGCCATTCAAGAAATGATAAATGCCTCCTTGGCAGACAGCCCACTGCAAAGGTGGGTGCTTGTTTTAGCAAAAGGTATACAATTAATAGATAGTGCTTTGAACCTAGCCCACAGGTTACAGGAACAAGCTTTTATTAAAGACCATAATGACCTCCATATTTGGCATTTACTTCTTCGGGCAGGGCCAGAGCCGTCAGGCTGCTGGACCCTGAGGCAGCCTGAGGGGCCCCTGTCCATTTACAAGGGCCTTAGACCCAGGTGGACAGACAGCAGCAGTTAGAGGCCTACTGAGAACTTTTCTTGGAAGAGGCATTATTAAATACTTCGACAAATTGAAACAGAGAGGTTCCTTTACTCCTTCACTCCTCTACTGTCATCAAAGTTATGCACGGAAGCCTGGGCGTGATGGCTCACATGTGTAATCCCAGCACTTTGGGAGGCCAAGGCAGGCGGATCACTTGAGGTCAGGAGTTTGAGACCAGCTTGGCCAACATGGTGAAACCTCCTCTCTACTAAAAATACAAAAATTAGCCAGGCGTGGTGGTGGGTGCCTGTAGTCCCAGCTACTTGGGAGGCTGAGGCATGAGAATCACTTGAACCTGGGAGGTGGAGGTTGCAGTGAGCTGAGATCGTGCCACTGCACTCCAGCCTGGGTGATAGAGCAAGACTGTCTCAAAAAAAAAAAAAAAGTTATGCACAGAAGGCTGTAATGGCCTATTTTACAGCAGATGAGATGTTTTTACAAGCTAATAAGGACACGCAAAGTTGGGGAAGAGGTGGGAGGGCCCAGGTTTGGCACTTGTGAGGAAAAGGAGCAAAACCCTGGAAAATGGAAACTTCCAGTACTCTAGCAGGGCTGAAAACTGTGAATAGGAACCACAGCATGGTAGGCAAGGGCACCATTTTGAGGCCTGCCCTTCAGAATCCCAGTGGGCCCTCAGCTGCCCACTGTAGGGTCGCTGTGGACACACAGTGCCTTCCCCGGCTGCTTCATGGAGGGAAAAGGCCAGGAACACTGGGCAAACTGAAGGCCACACTCTTAGCTTTTGTGCCTGTCCAGGGGCCAGCAGGGAGGTGGGCTGCTGCAGGAGCAATATCTCTCTGAAACTCTGAGCATTTGTTTCATTTAACGAGTGCCTGCTGTGGGCTGACCTAGAGCTGGGCGAGGAGGAAAGGACCACTCTCGAGGGGCAACAGCTGATTTGGAGAGCCAGGAGGGGTGGCCCCTCAGCCAGAGGCCGCTGCACACGAGAGGATGCCAGTTCTGTCCCACCAATTCCTTTCCTCTCCTCTTCCCATCTAATCTGTCCCCCAAATCAGACACCTTGTAAATCCCAGTTAGATCACATGACTTCCTTACTTAGAGCTTCTGCAGGCCTTCCCAGCCCTGAATCCTGGTGCTCGGGGACCTATAGGAGCTGCCTTTCCAGCTTTTATTCCTCCCTGAGTCTCATCTCCTCCTGGACTCCAGGTAAACCAGAGACTCCCATCCTCCCACTGTCCTCCCTCCCTGGGGCACTTTCCTGCCTTGGTTTTGTCCACAGCATCCTCAATGCCTGGAAACCCACCCACACCCTCGAACCACCTCAACCTGCACAGCTCCCAAGTCAAGGCCATATCCAACACCCACACTGGGCCGGGCACAGTGGCTCACACCTGTAATCCCAGCACTTTGGGAGGCCAAGGCAGGTGGATCACCTGAGGTCAGGAGTTTGAGACCAGCCTGGCCAACATGGCGAAACCCTGTCTCTACTAAAACTACAAAAATTAGATGGGTGTGGTGGTGCACACCTGTATTCTCAGCTACTCGGGAGGCTGAGGCAGGGAGAATTGCTTGAACCTGGGAGGCAGAGGTTGCAGTGATCTCATTGCGCAACTGCACTCCAGCCTGGGTGACAGAGCGAGACTCTGTCTCAAAAACAAGAAGCAAAAACCGAAAAAAAAAAAAATCCCACACTGCCCTAATTCCCAAATGGAGCCAAGTCTTCCTCTCCCCTCTCTCCTCTTCCCTGGCCTTGGCCTCTGCTTCACCCGCACTGACCGCTTTATCCCATAGTATTTCAGATCTCTCTGTCCTGTCTAATGTGCAGCCCCTGAGGGCAGTGGCCCTATTTTAAGCCCCTGCTTCTCAACCTGACTGCACATTCTTATCCCCTGGGGAGTGTTAAAAGCCTACCCCTGCCACGTCCCACACCTGGAGATTCTGACAAAATTAGTGCAGGTCTCTGGGGTGCAGCCAGGTAGGGGGAGTTTAGAGAACGCTCAACAGGTGAATCTAATATGCAGCCACGTGTTGAGAACATCTTTGAATCCTCAATGCATTGTGCTTCTCAGGTGTTTGTTGAATTGAATACAATCATTGGAACTTGAAGGTAGCGGTGGTGAATCAGGTCATAGATCAGTGCTGACCCATGGAAGTACAACATGAGCCATAAATACGAGCCACCTATGTCGTTTTCAATTTTCTAGTTGCCACATTCAAGAAAGTAAAAAGCACCAGTGAAATGAATGTGTATATCTTTTCATCCCTGTATGCGAATATTATTTCAATATGTAATCAGTACAAACATACTTGATGAGATATTGCGCATTCTTTTGTTCATACTAGTTCTTGGAAATCCTGTGTGTATTTTACACTTAGGATACATCTCAATTTGGATGAACCACGGTTCAAGGGCTCAGTAGCTTCTTGCGGCTTGGGGCTGCCATATTAGGGCAGTTATAGACCACAGACCAGCTGAATTGTGGTGTTTTTATGCCTGGAGAGCACATGTGTATTGTGCGAGCAGGCTTGCAGAGGCAAGAGAGGTGGCTTCGGCAGCTGCTATGAGACAGATTTAACACTCTTAGCCCTGAACGCCCCCCTCCCTTCTAGTTAAATCAGAGCATCTTCTTATCTTGCCTCGCTTTCCTCTTCACTCCTTCCCCATACCCGCCCCATCTGGGTCCCACATCCAAAGTAAATTTCCTCCCCTGCTCAGCCTCCTGTGACCCGGCTTTCCAGCACCCAGCTGCAGACCTGCTGCTGCTTCCTGTCCTGGTTCTCTTTGGAGAGCTGGCCGCCAGTCCCAGTGGGAGGGAAAAGGGGTGGGGAAACCTGGCCCAGAGACCTGGGAGGGAGCTGGGAGAGTTTGGAGTGTGTTCTCTCTCTCCTTTGCTTTCTCTTGCTCTCTCTTTCTGGGTCAGCATGCTAGGCCACCGACCATCCCCTCTCCCCCTGGCCTCCCTTCTTAGGGGTCCTCTTGGACCCCTAAGAAGATCTGGAAGCTGAGTAGGTCTCTGGTGGGGTTACTTGGCTGCTTGCCAGCCTCCCCAGGGGCAACCCCTGGTGGGGACATTTTGATGCCAAAATGTGCAAAGCCAGCAAGAACGGGACTATTATTAGACCTTCCCCCACCGGCCCAGTTACCGGCCACATGACTCGGCCCTTTGATGGCTCAGTGGGAGCCTCAGCCCAGCTCTCTGTGACTACTAATATGGTGTTTCTAAAAATGCCTTTCCACTGGTGCATACTATCACTGTCCTCCTGATGGTGATCTTTTGTTTCCAAAAGCAATTAATCTTCTTTGTCTTTTCTTTTTCTTATTGCATGTGGCCAGTTCCTGGTCTTTGTTGCTGTACTAAATATGTGAATTGTTTTGGAGCATGTGGTAGACGGGTTTTTATGCTCTAAGTTTTTGCTGAAAGCTGTGATGGCAGGGATGGCTAATGAGATTTTTTTTTAAGTGCTACAATTCTTAGGCATGTAGCAAGAGGTTTCACTTGAAAACTTGGAGAGATACATTGTAGATGACTCAATTTCACAGCTTCATAGCGTGCTGCAACCTGACTAGTTCTGCAGCTTGTCAATCAGAGATTTACTAAGCAGCAGAGAGGTCCTGGGGGAGGTGCTACAGGGAAGGATAATGCAGTCCCTATCTGGTTGTGGAAATAAGACACAGCGTGTAGGTAGATAGCAAGCATAAAGGTGCCCAGGGTGTATACGCTAAGTGGAGGTTCAGGAAAGCAATGCTGTTCATGTAAATGCTACTGTAGGTGCCAGAACAGGAGGGGTGACCTGTGGAGGCTCCCAGAAGAGGCAGGTGCTTGAGCTGAACAAAAAGGTAGGATGTCATAGACACAGTGGCCAGGGAAGGCACCGGCAACTCCAGCAGGAGGCTCCGTACACGTGGAGAATGGAGTATTGGGCTTTACGATGCTGTAGGTTATAAGCTTTCCATTTCATGGCAGAAGTGGTGATTCTTAGAGTCAAGAACATTGGGTTCTCTTTCTAGCTCTGCTGCTGACATCCTCTGGTGACTTTGGCCAGTCACATGACCAGCTCAGGACCCCTCTTATGAATAACAGGGCTTGTCATTTCCCTTCCCTTCTTCTGCTGCTCAGGAAAGATCAAATCAACCATTCATCCATCATCTACCCATTTAAACACCCACTTACCACACCCATCACCCATCCATCCACCTGTCCATAAGTACATATACCCATCCAATCATATACCTATCCATCTGTCTATCCACCCATTCACCTGCCTGTCTAACAATCCATCCATCCATCCATCCATCCATCCATCCATCCATCCATCCATCCAATCATCCACCTAATTATCCACATATCCATACATCTATTCATCCATCCATCCATCCATCCATCCATCCATCCATCCATACATCCATCCATCCCTTCTGTAAGTCAGCTGTGCATTTGTTCATTCAGTTTCTGTTTCCTGAGTATCTACTCTGTGACAGACACCGTACTAAGTGCTAAGATATGCAGAGCAAAAAAGCATGATTGCTGTCATCAAGACAAGCCAAGGATGAGGGGAATGATACATACACACATTTTCCTACCCAAATGATAGGGTTGCTGCCACTACAGAGGAATAAGTAAAGGACTGCCAATTTAGAGGAAGAAGGCCCTTTTGAACATGTAGTAATAACACTGTAGGCTCGCCTCCACCTGAGCACTAACCTCATGGGTATAATTACCTGTCTATCTTCTCTGGTAGACTGAAAGATTTTGAAAACAAAGGTCATATTTTCAGGACCATCCTTAGACCTTGGCAGGGGGGAATCCCTAGTCTGGGACCCCTGTTTAAGAATCCTACTCTGGGCTTCTTCAGTGGAACCCCATTCCATAGGGTGAGGAATCTGAGGCTAGAAGGACATGCGCATCTGGAGCCTCTGTCTCCTCCCCATTAGTTAGGTCCTGCCACAGAAGGCAGGGACCAACATTCTCAGCCTCAGTGGATTTAAGAAGCCTATGTCTAGGACCTGTGTAAACCTCTCCCCTGTGTGGGCCCCCTTGAGTCTAAGTGGAAGGCCAAGGGCAGCCATTTGTAGGGTGTGGACAGAAATTGGGAATGAAACTAGGCGGTCCACTTGTGTCTTATGTGCACGCAAGGCCCCATATGGTATGGTTTAGCATCGGATGGAAAGAGAAGGACAGGCTACAGGCCAGGGACAGGAGCCTACCCTTCCCAAGCCATCAATTCCAGCTCAGAACCCCAAGAGGTCCAAGAATTCCACATTCAAACATGGACTTCCAGGTTGTTATAAAGGTATATTTTTCCAGGTTTACAGAGAGAACCTATTAATTAACAGTTAAAAAAAAAAACCTTAACATATTTAGACATATGGTACATGGATCTCCTGTAGTGATCTTGCCTAGGCCTCATAAATATTAGGGATGGGACTTCATGCCTTGTTTGTGGTTGAATCATAAATTCTTAAGCACACATGGTAACTAAATGTAGTGTGTGATTCTGGACTGGACTTGGGACTGGAACAAAAAGTGCTGGAAGAGATGTAATTGGGACAGTGGACAAAATTGGAATAGGAACTGTGGATTAGATAAAACATGTAAGTGTTAAATTCTTGAATCTGACAACCGTCCTGTGGTTTCCTAAGAGGACATCCTAGCCTTTAGGAAACATAAATAGATACATGGGGGTAAAGGGTCATGATGTCTGCAACCAATAAAGAGAGAGAGTGATAAATGTGGCAAGACGGTGAAGACCAATGAACGTGGGTAAAGGGTATATAGAGGTCCTTTCTGTATTATTCTTGCAATGTTTTTTCAACTGTGAGTTTGAAATTATTTCAGAATAAAAAGTTAAAACAAACAAATAGCACATTGCCTTGGGCAGAGTAGATATTTCGTAAGTGTTTGCTGGGGTGACACTGAAGCAGGCTCTTGAGGAGGGCTCTGGTTTCAATAGTCAGCAACAGGGAAAACAGCATTAATAACACTGCCCAACAAACACAGGGGTGAACAGCATGCCTGCACTGTGCTCAGGGCTCTGCTTTATTAATTTATTTAATCTTGGTGGAAACCCTGTGTGGTAGGTGCTATTATTCTCCCCATTCCTCATACAGGTGAGAAAACTGCAGCCTAGTGAAATGAAATAACTTGCCCCAGTCCTACAGTGGTTAACAGTCTGTCTCCAGAGCTAGCTGCTCAGCACTTGTGCTTTGCAGTCTCTGATAACGTTAGTTAATACTCAGTGAGTGCTCAGTATGAAGAGTCATGGTTCTAGAACTCTCACATGTACCTACTCCTTTAATCCCCATAAACCCCTATGAGGTTACTATTATCCCCATTTTACAGATGGGGAAACCACAGCACAGAGAGGGGAAGAACCCAGGGAGCTGGAGTCCAGAGCATGTCCTGTTGAGCCATGCCCTCTGCTGAAAGTGTTCCTGGAAGACTGGTTCACATCAGGGCACAGAAAGGGAAACATAGGAGAAATGTCTATAGGAGGCCAGTAATTGGGTCTACCTGGATTGGAGCTATCCATAGGTAATATGGTGCAAGGGCAGAGACTGGGCTGGGAGATGCAATGGCCAGCTGGATCCCTGGCTGGTGGATCACAGCCCTGGGTGGTGATCAAAGCATGGGTTAGTCTGGAGGGGGCTCTCAGTGATTATCTCACAGGGCCTGTGTTGGCCACAAACCATTTGGCATCCTCAACAGCAACTCCTAGTGGCATGTGTGTATTCCAGGTGGGGTGATGTCAGTGGGAGGAGGAGGAATGGAGAAACCACAGGACCCTATCAGGATCTAGGAAGAGCCAGGCGTGCAGGAACAAGGCAGCCCAGCCTAATAAGGCAAACTTCAATACAGCCTGCCTTTTGACCTAATTGCTCAAATGTAGGAATGAATACATTTGCTCAGCCACAGCCTGTGTACCCGGGACTCAATGGTTTGGTCACTATCAGTTCAGCTGGGGCACAGGATGGTGGGTTGCTGAAGCAGTCAGCTGCAGGCCCAGGTCGCCCTGTGCAGAGAAAACAGAAAGGCCTGTCCTGTCCGCACTGGGCACCCACTCTGGGTTACTATGTTCTCTATGAGGTGCAATGCTATGGGGGCATACAGACCGGATTAGAGTTTTGTTATGGGCTGAATTGTGTCTGCCCTCAAAATTCATATGTTCAAGTCCTAACACCCAGTATTTCAAAATGTGGCTATATTTGGAGATAGAGCCTTTTTTTTTTTTTTTTTTTTTTTTGAGACAGAGTCTCTTTCCATTTTGCAGGCTGGAGTACAGTGGCATGATCTTGGCTTACTGCAACATCTGTCTCCCGGGTTCAGGCAATTCTCTTGCCTCAGCCTCCTGAGTAGCTGGGATTACAGGTGCCTACCACCATGCCCAGCTAATTTTTATATTTTTAGTAGAGATGGGGTTTTGCCATGTTGGCCAGGCTAGTCTCAAACTCCTGACCTCAAGGGATCGGCCCGCCTTGGCCTCCCAAAGTGCTGGGATTACAGACGTGAGCCACCGCACCTGGCCCTGAAGAGGTAATTAAGATAAAATGAGACCATGACAGTGGGCCCCAATCTAATATGACTGGTGTCCTTATGAGAAGTGGAAATTTGGACACAAAAAGAGACACCAGGGAGGCACATGCACAAAGAAGAGGCTGGGTGAGGACACAGTGAGGAAGCAGCCATCTGGAAGCCAAGGAGAAAGGCTCAGGAGAAATCAAATGGGCTGACACCTTGATCTTGGACTTCCCAGCCTCTGGAACTGGGAGAAACACATTTCTACTGTTTAACACTCAGCCTGTGGAACTTTGTCATGGCAGCCCAAGGAAGCGAATACAAGTGCATTCAGTGGAGAGGAGCCTGGGTGCCAGGGATTTCAGGTTATTTCATAGGAGACACAGGTGACATCTTTTTTCCATACTAGACAGGTTATGACAAAAAATGATGACTCATGGGAGATAGAATCACTGACTTCCAGTAAGTGAAGGGCTGTCATGGGAGGGGAAGGGGTCTTCTCCCTTACAGCTCAAGGGGCAGAACCAGGGCTAGTGTATTGACTCTTCAGGGAGATGTGAGCTGAGAAGTGAGGTTCCCATCACTGAAGGCACTCAAACACAGCTAATCACCTGGCAGAAATGCAGAGTTGTGTAGAGGTGGCAGAGTTCAGTAGCCTGGATCCCATCCAGCTCTAACACCTGGAGCTCTCTGCAGTGCTGAGAAAGCCCACTGGAGACAGATGTGGTTGGCCTCAGATGTCAGGCTAAGAAACTGCAGAGAGCCACTGGAGGTTTCTGAGCAGGGGAGCACCAAGATCGGGGCATGACTTAGGAGAGTCACCTGGAAGCAGTGAGCAGCATGGATTGCAGGGGTGAGAAGGAAGAGAATGGTGGCGGGGCAATAGCCTAGTGGACATAATAAGACCCTTAAAGGTTTATATGGTGGGAATGGCACGAAGAGGTTAAACGCAGGAGCTGTTTCTGGGGTGATGGACAAGATCTGGCAACTTTGGAACAGAGGAGGGCGCCAGCGAGCAGCTTCCCACACAAGAGGATGTGGCACCACTAACTCAGCTACTCCCTACGCTCCACGCATCACTCAACGCTCCAATCCCACCTTCCCACTGAGGCCTAACCTAATGGGTTAGCAGGCTCCTCGAAGAGGCAGATGCCTCAATGGGCTTAGCTGGTCAAGAGATTTCTTAGGAGCCACTCCAGTGAAAGAAAACCAGGCGAGAGCAAGGAGAGGCTGGGAGAGTCTGACGCCGGCAAAGGAGAGATGGCAGGGAGGTTAGGTGGGAGTATCTTAATCTGCAGGTGACTCTTAAGAAAGTTCAGCATGGCTGTCGGGGCACCTTGAGCCAAAGTAGCCCCGTGTCTCCCAGGAACGGGCCTCACATCCCTGCAGTGCTGTCAGCAGCCTGTGGAAGGCCTGTCCTGAAAGCAAGCGCATCTCAGAGCCCAGCAGCGGATGCTTGGCCGGTTACTCAGTTCTGAGATGTACATTTTCAGAGTGTGATGCCTGCCTACTCTGTTTAATGCTGTCACCTGCCCTGCCCTCCGTCCCTGTACCCGGGCCCCCGATGCTGCTCACCCCGGCCCTACTTTGTTCCCCCATTGCATTGTTCATATTCAAACATGATATCTAACATACTTATTGATTATGTGTATTATTCATTTTCCATCTCCCTGACCTCCACCTCCAGCTAGAATGCAAGCTCTATTAGGGCAAGGGTGTGTATTGATTTCATTCACTGATGTATCCCAAAAGCCCATGGCACTGCTTGACACATAGTAGGTGCTCAATAAATACTTGTTAAATAATTAAACTGAATTAACAGAGCTGGGGAATCGGGAAGAGGAACTAGTTTAGGAGGAAGTGTTATGAGGCCAAAGAGAAAAGTTCTGTGACCTTCCAGAAGGCATGGTTTGTAAAGTGCGGTCTCTACCCCAATTCCTCTGCTGAGCCTGGTTTCCCAGGACCAAGATACAGCCCATGTGGGTGGCCCTGGCTCCCATAGATTGAGGTCGCCCTTGCCTTACGCAGAAAGACCTGAACTAATGTACCTTTCATTGTAAAGGCCAATGGAGGTTGGGAGTTTTAATGTTACTGTTAGCAGGAGAGGAGTCATTTCTCAATGCAGTCAGATCAACAAAGGTTGCATTTTGTACCTGAAAAAAACTTTTCCCTCAAAAATAAGTTTTACCCGGAAGAGCTGGTGAAGATGAGCACTTGTGCTCCTGACAAACAGCACGACTCTTTGACTGGCACGAAAGATGGTGCCATTCACAGGATGGGAGCTGGAGGCCTCCTCTCCCCGCCTGCGAGGCTGCTCGCCGCGTGGGCACAGCGGATGTGGCCCTCCACGCTCCCTCCAGAGTCCCAGAACCCCTTCCTGCTATTGCTTCCATGGGTGTTGTTGCTGACCTGTGGCCAGGCCCCCCGGGGCCGAGTGTGGATTCCGATGCTCCTCCAGGTCACTTTGTCAGTGTTGCCCCTGGCACTGTGCTCCCTGGCTGCCCAAACAGTTGGAAGAGACGCTTTGAGGGCTGCTTCCAGACTTGGCTCTCTCCATGGAAATTCCGGGCCGCTTTTACCACCAAGCAGGCTGGCTGCCCGCTGGGCCTCCCAGCATCTTCCTGCCCTGGGAGCCCTCCTTCCTGGGGCCAATCCTCTGCCTTCACTTTCTCAGAGGCTGCAGCAGGACTGGGTATCCACTGACTCCTCATGTAGGCTCGTAAATTGGGCCTGAAGATAGGAACCATCTGGAGAGTCTGCGAGACCAGCCCTTGGAGATCCACCCAATAAACTGGCCACCCCCAGCTTGAGAAAAGTTGGGGCCAGGATAACCAAATAAAGCGTCTAGAACCTTGGACAGAATTCTGTTTGTAAAAACTGAGAACTTTTTCCAGCTTACACTAAGGCCTTCCAGAAGCTGGCCTCCACCTCTGTGTCCATATCTCCCTCCACTCCACCATCTGAGCCCCACGGCACGTCCTGTGTACACAGCACCCAGCACATGGTGGGCACCCAATACACAGGTGTGGGACAGGTGCATTCCCTTCTGCGGGGATGGACACTTCGTACCTCTCTGAATACCAGTGATCCTTCAAAACCCAGGTCCAGGACTTCTTGTATGTGAAGATTTTTGGGACATCTTTGCCCCACAGAAACTGCTCCCTGCTCTGAAATCCGGAGGCAGATGTCTGGACCCCCGGTCTGACATGCAGCAGACACTTCTTGTCATTCATTTTTTCCCACCAACATGTATTGAGCTAGTCATTACCAATGCAACGAAGCAAAAATGCTTCCCGTTGCTGCCCTGAGAGAAGTCCTCACAATAGGGTGAGTATGATGGTTAATTTTATGTGTCATCTTGGTTGAGCCACAGTGCCCAGATATATGCCCAAATGTCATTTTGGAGGTTTCTCTGAGGGTGTTTTTGGATGATATTAACATTTAAATCAGGCCAGGTGTGGTGGCTCACGCCTGTAATCCCAGCACTTTGGGACGCTGAGGCAGGCAGATCACCTGAGGTCAGGAGTTCGAGACCAACCTGGCCAACATGGTGAAACCCCATCTCTACTAAAAATATAAAAATTAGCAGAACGTGGTGGCGGGCACCTGTAATCCCAGCTACTCGAGAGGCTGAGGCAGGAAAATGGCTTGAACCCAGGAGGCAGAAGTTGCAGTGAGCCGAGATGGCCCCACTGCACTCCAGCCTGGGCAATAGAGCGAGACTCTGTCTCAAAACAAAAAAAAAAAAAAACAAAACAAAATGAAAAAAAATTTAAATCAGTGGACTTTGAGTAAAGCAGATGCCCTCCATAATGTGGGTAGGCCTCACCCAATCTATTGAAGGTCTGATGGGAACAAAGATGACCTCCTCTGAGCAGGAGGGAATTCTGCCAGCTGGTGGCCTTCAGACTTGATCCACAACATCAGGCTCTCTGGGTCCTACCCTGCAGATTTCAGACTTGCCAGCCTCTGTAACTGTGAGCCAATTCCCTAGAATAAGTCTTTCTCTCTCTATGTATGTATGTACACACATATCCTACTGGTTCTGTTTTTCTGGAGACTCCTGAGTAACGCAATGAGGAGCCACCAGTGAGAAGTGGCACAAGGTGAAAAGTGAAGGAAGAACAAAGGATCTTGGAGCACAGAGCCCTCTCACTCAGCCAGGGTCAGATGGCTTCCCAACAGAGTTCAGAAGGACACTTTGCCACCTTGCCTCCATAGGAACTGCCTCCAGGTGGGGGTTTTCTTTGCCTTCGCAAGGGAACTGCATGGAGCCCCAGAATGCTATGGTCATCGTTATTGACGACAGATCACTTTTGCAGCCAAGTCATTTTATCCGTGTTATTTCCTACCCTGCTGTAGTCAGATGTGGGAGGCAGCCAGCCTGCCTTGTGGTCATCGTTTCAGCCTGCTGAGTGCCTGTAAACTGCCGAGCTGGTTCTCCTTCCTGTGGCCAGGGGAATTGGAAATGGCTTTGTAAGCCTTCATGGACTTCCTCACTCAGCACCCTCTGCGGGGTGCTGAGGATGCTCAACAAGACCCATTCATCCAACATGTGACACTCTTCCCTCCATTCCACCCACAGCCGGAATTGAGGCCCGTCCTCAAAGCTGCTTTGCTGCTCTCTAATCTGAACCAGGTCTGAACAAATCGGCTGATGTGACACCCGCAAGTGAAAGTCCTCTTTTTCTCATAACTTAGATCCAAGAGTTGGCCAGGTGCGGTGGCTCATGCCTGTAATCCTAGCACTTTCGGAGGCCGAGGCAGGTAGATCACCTGAGGTCAGGAGTTCAAGACCAGCCTGGTCAACATGGCAAACCCCATCTCTAACTAAAAATAACAAAAATTAGCTGGGCCTCGTGGCACATGCCTGTAATCCCAGTTACTTGGGAGGCGGAGGCAGGAGAATCTCTTGAACCCGGGGGTGGAGGTTGCAGTGAGCCAAGATCGTGCCAGTTCACTCCAGCCTGGGCGAAAGAGCAAAACTCTGTCTCAAAACAAACAAACAAACAAACAAACAAACAAAACACACACACACAGAAAAAAAAAAAAACCCAGAAAAGAAAAAGATCCAAGAGTTGACCTGGTTCCAGTATTTTCCAAGATTACAATCTTCAGCCTTTCCTTTAGTTCTGCTAGAACCTCCAACTTTACAAGGAATTCCTTATGTCCATTGGAGCTGGTTTCTATGACTTGCAACCAAAGAATCTCATCTACTTTATGAATAGAGACTTGGGCACAGTAAAAAATGAGTCGGGGCAGGGAGAAGGGATCATTATATATATTGAAAACTCCTCCATGCCAGGCAACATGCCGAGTCTTGTATTTCATAGATTCCAGCATGCACATTTCTCGAACACATGTGCAGTTTAACTTTAAAAAAAAAAAAAACTGGCATGACTATATCCTAGCTGTCAGTCACACAGCCAGATGTGGCCATTACTGCTTGTGTGTGAACATCAGCACTTGTAGGGTCAAAGACTTGGACAAAAATCCCAGAGATGATAGAGGAGCACTTCTTTTCTTTCTTTTCTTTTTTTTTTAACTTTTATTTTAGTTTCAGGGGTACATGTGCAGGTTTGTTATATGGGTAAGCTCATGTCTCAGGGGTTTGTTGTACAGATTATTTTGTCACCCAGGCACTAAGCCTAGTACCCAATGGTTGTTTTTTTCTGTTCTTCTTCCGTCTCTCACCCTCCACCCTCAAGCAGGCCCCAGTGCCTACTGTTCCCCTCTTTGTGTCCATGTGTTCTCGTTATTTAGCTCCCACTTATAAGTGAGAACACATGCAGTATTTGGTTTTCTGTTCTTCTGTTAGTTTGCTAAGAATGACAGCCTCCAGCTTCATCTATGTTCCTGCAAAGAATGTGATCGTTCTTTTTTATGGCTGTGTAGTATTCCATGGTGTATATGTACCACATTTTCCTTATCCTGTCTACCATTGATGAGCATTTAGGTTCACGCCATATCTTTGCTATTGTGAATAGGAGGAGCACTTTTTAAAGAAAAGTCACGTCACTACAAGAATGAGGTTGCTATATCTCTGGCAGCCACAGAGAATGATACTGTATGGGAAAACATGAACAGTGCCAGCTCTTAGTTTAAAAGAAGATTGAGAAAAATAGGGCTCTGAATAAGAAGGTTTGGGCATACCTTAGTCAATTTAATTCATTTATATTTACCATTTCATTAAAATGCAAAAGAATGGTACATGATTTTAAAAAATCAATGTCCATAGAAGCTTAAAAGAGCTATCTTAATAAGTATACAATGGGTATTCTAAGCTAGAGATTGCCACAGTTTTTCTAGGAAGGGCCAGAGGGTAAATATGTCAGGTTTTGTGGGCTAGGCGATCGAGGGGGCAGCTACCGAGCTCTACTGTTCTGGCCCAAAGGCAACCATCCATCATGCATAAACAGACGAGCACCACTGTTTCCATTCCAGATGCCTGCATTTGTGGACACTGAAATGAGAGTGTTATATAATTTCCTTTTTGATTTTCTTTAAGGGATGGGGTCTCACTTGGTCACCCAGGCTGGAGTGCAGTGGCGCTATCGTAGCTCACTGCATCCTCGACCTCCTGGGCTTAAGTGATCCTCCGGCCTCAGCATCGCGAGTAGCTGGGACTACAGATGTGCGCCATCACCCCTGCATAATTTTTTTATTTTTGTATTTTTTGTAGGGATGGGGTCTCACCATGTTGCTCAGGCTGGTCTTGAACTCCTGGGCTTAAGTGATGCTCTTGTCTCGACCTCCCAAAGTGCTAGGATTACAGGCATGAGCCACTGTACCTGGCCAGAATTTCATATAATTTTCATGCATCACCAAATATCATCATTTTATTGTTTTTTGGGGGGAAGCCATTGACAAATATAAAAGCCTTCTTAGCTCATGGGTCATAGGATAAGCAATGGCAGGCCAATAGTTTGTCAACCCCTTTCCTAAGTGATAAGAAAGCACGTGTCATTCCTCTCTTAAAAAAAAAAATACCATCCCTGAAGGTCTGGTCTGATTGATCATAACTTTTATTTCTTAGTTCAGTATTGGGCCCCTTACAGTCAATGAAATAAACTTTACAGCAGTCCCATGAAGTAGGTAACAATCCCAGATGGTGACATGAAGACACAGAGAGGGCCGGGCACAGTGGCTTGCACCTATAATCCCAGCACTTTGGGAAGTCACGGTGGAAAAAAAATTAGTCGAGTATGGTGGCATGTGCCTATAGGCCCAACTGCTCAGGAGGCTGAAGTAGGAGAATTGCTCGAGCTTAGGAGTTTGAAACCGCAGTGAGCTGTGATAGTGGTGCTGCACTCTGGCCTAGGTGACCCTGTCTTTAAAAAACAAACAAATGGCCAGGCGTGGTGGCTCACACCTGTAATCCTAGCACTTTGGGAGGTCAAGGTGGGTGGATCATGAAGTCAAGAGATCGAGACCATCCTGGCCAACATGGTGAGACCCCATCTCTACTAATAATACAAAAATTAGCTGGGCGTGATGGCGTGCGCCTGTAGTCCTAGCTACTCGGGAGGCTGAGGCAGGAGAATCACTTGAACCGGGGAGGCGGAGATTGCAGTGAGCAGAGATCGTGCCATTTCACTCTAGCCTGGAGACAGAGAGAGACTCCATCTCAAAAAACAAAAACAACAAAACGAACAAAACAAAACAAAAAGATATAGACATATTTTGCTGCTCAAAATCAAACAGTTAGCAGGTCCAAGTTAAGTTTCAACCCTAGGTCTGATTAACTAACTAAAAAAAAAGCAAATGTGCCTCTTTCAAAGATGTCAACTTGGAGGTTATAACTAACATTACAGTCTATAGGTATAACCTAGAATAATTCTAGCTGCCTTTCATTCGAGTCTGCCTCCTTTACACAGAAGAATGTAGGAATTTAAGTGTAGTTTTGGGTAACAACAGCATGACTGACCAAGTGGGTCGTTCTAAATGAGCGCTGATGGCATGATACAGTGACTGACAAATGCTGAAGGGCTAAACTGCTCGTAGGATTTCTCAGGCTTACTGTCTTACCCACCTCTTGAATATTAAGAAACACATTTTTATGCAGAGAGAAAAATGCAGTAAAAAAAAAAAAAAAGAATCAAGTGTAACTTATAATATGTGCAACTGGCCTCGGGGGCTTCCTGGCCTCTTCATACACTTGCCTTTCCTGTAACTTGGGCAGGGAATTGCTATCCCACTTGAGTCCCCCGGAGGCCTGGAGGAGCAGAGGAGTGGAATGAGCCCTGAGGTTGATGGAGCAGGGGCTGGCACATCCCAGTGGCCCCAGAGCCACAGAAGGAATTAACAAGTGTTCTGCTTCATTTTTCCAGGCTCCGTGCTGTGGACAGGCCTCCTGGACAAGCCCTCAAATGAGTTCTGCAAATGGGCTTCCAAAATCAATAGGCTGCAAAAATCTATCTGGCCTGCAAAATCTTCCTCAGTCTCCTTCACATCCATCAATGCCCCCCTCTCCCTGGCGCAGGCATGTCCCTCCGCTCCGCACTGCTTGGCGGTCACAGCACTGGCCTGGGATCTGGCAGGTTAGCTCAAAGCTGCAAATATGGGGACCTGTGAAATGATACCAGAAGCGAGCCATAAAAAAAGCTTGAACAAACACATCTCTGTGGGAATCGTTCCGGGCCTGCTGGTGCTCGTGGCTACCCTCAGCTATTGAGATGTTGCCTTTCCCTCTTTGGGTGTGGTCCTAGAGAGTTGAATGTCTTCCAGTTACTGTTTAGGTCTTGCTTCATAATATTAACAGCTACCATTTATTGAGCAAATGCTGTGTGCCAGGCATGGTTCTCTGAACTTCAGAACCATTAGTCCTCTCCTTAAAAAACAAACAACAACAAAAAACAGCCCTAAAGTATTGGCCCTGTTTTACAAATGAGGAAACTGAGACTCAGAGAAGTATTAAACTTGCCCAAGTGAAAAATGAGCTTTATGGCTTAGCTGGGATTCTAACACAATTCTGTCTTCCTGGGAAGCCTGCGCTGGTTTCATGTTACAGAAGCAGAGACTTTGAAGAGCCAATCAAACCGAGGTGTGAAGTCAGAATCATTGCCTCTGCCATGTCCCCGCCATCATTTCTCAAGTCCAGGCTCTCTCTAAAGCCTTTATCCGTCTCCCAACAAGAGGTGAGACTGTCTATTGTCTATCCCCCGACGTGGCACACAGAAGCAGGTGTTGGTGAATTTCTGTCATCTCCTGGACCAGAGGGAGAGTCCATCACAGGAAGAGAATGAGCTGTTGGTATTGCAACTGACCCACCCCAAACACTGCCCCTGTGGTGTAGGGCTTACTAAATACTGAATCCATGAATAAGCCCGCCATTCCAATAGCCCGCTACCTCTGTCTAAGATGAGTCCAGATCACTAGGTGGAAGCACACCTCAGTTTAGGGAACTGCATCGTTAATTTTTGGAAACAGCTGGAGTTCCATGTTGAACCTGTGTATACAAAGCCAGCTCAGAGCTCCATGGTCACTTGCAATGGAAGAGAGTTTTTATTATGTAAGCAGAATGTATTTTTGAACTAACTGGTTTTCCTGAAGGCATTCAATTCTTAGGGTTGTATTTTACCGCGAAAATTATAATGGGTTATTGAGAGCAAGCTGTACATTTCTAATCTGACAGGCAATTGGAAATATGCATGCTGAGAATGAAAAGCATGTTGCCGTGTTTATGGAAAACGGAGACACTCTTGTGATTAAGGACTGCTACATGGAACTCATCGCCAGGGTTTGTCTACTGCGGTTGAGTAGAAGAAACAAAACAAACAGCTCTGGACACATGGAGAGCCATCCATCCCACCCCTTACTGTGAGGAAATGGTAGACGTCAAGCTGTGACTTCAAAAGGAAATCCCCGTTTTGTCTTGCCAATGGGACGTGAAGACTAGTTAAGCAATTACATCCAAGCTGTACCTTGATTTTGCATTCATCTGAGCTATTCGCGGAACTCAGTGGTGAGTTTTCTGGTAAAAATGGCTCTAGAATTACAAAAATTTCAGTTCACAGATACTTGAAAATGTTACATTGCAAAAAAACTCAGTATTCTAAAACTAACTGTTCAAGTTGGGAGACAGCCAAACAAAGATTGAAAACCAAGCCTCCGGCTGTTGGTAAACCCAAGGACCCTGGTACGTTTACTGCGGGATGATACTGGAGGTGCATCCAGGCTATCCGAGAGGTCTTCCTCGTGCACAGAGCTCTACTGAGCACCTGGGGAGGGGGCATGGTAGGACTGGAAGAGGCGACCTGCAGGACTGGCCCAGCTAAGTTCCCCACTTTAGCTCCCTCCCTCAAGGCCCGCAGCCACTCATCAGCATGCCCAACTCAGGCCTGCCTCAGGGCCTTTGCACTGACATTGCCTCTGCCTGGCTCGCTCTTCCCCCAGCTCCTGCTATGGCTCACTCCTTACCATTCAGGTCTCTGCTCAAATATCCTCTCCTCTGAGAGCCTTTCCCAGCCACACTATCAAATCAGTTCCTCTTCCTCCTCTCAGCCTTTGCCCGTGACCCTCTTCTATTTTTCTCATAGTAGTTGTCACAATGTGAAGTGATATTATGTATTCATCTGTGCACTTGTTTCCTTTATTCTCTGCCTCACCCATTGGAGTGCAGTGCTGTGAGAGCAGAGATCACTCTTGTTTAGGGTTGTAGACCCAGGTCTCAGAAGAGGGCTGGCTTCTGGGGTCAGGAACCCCTTTGGCCTCTGATGAAGCCCATGGACCTTTTCTCAGAATAATGCTTTTAATTTTTTTTTATTTCAATAGGTTTTTGGGGGAACAAATGATGTTTGTTCACTACTTGTTACATGGTTAACTTACATGGATAAGTTCTGAACTTACATGGATAAGTTCTTGAGTGGTGATTTCTGAGATTTTGGTGTGCTCATCACCCAAGCAGTGTACACTGTACCCAATGTGTAGTCTTTTATTCCTTCTACCCTTCTAGTCCCCAAAGTCCATTGTATCACTTATGTCTTTGTGTTCTCATAGCTTAGCTCCCACTTATGAGAACAGATGATGTTTTGTTTTCCATTCCTTACTTTACTTAGAATAACGGTCTGCAACTCTATCCAGGTTGCTGCAAATGCCATTATTTTGCTCCTTTTTATGGCCAAGTAGTATTCCATGATGTATATATACGACATTTTCTTTATTCACCTGTTGATTGATGGGCATTTGGGCTGGTTCCATATTTTTGCAGTTGTGAATTGTGCTGCTATAAACATGCGTGTGCAAGTGTCTTTTTCATATAACGACTTCTCTTCCTCTGGGTAGAGACCCAGCAGTGGGATTGCCAGATCAAATGGTAGATCTACTTTTAGTTATTTAAGGACCCTCCATACTGTTTTCCATAGTGGTTGTACTAGTTTACAGTCCCACCAGCAGTGTAAAAGTGCTCCCTTTTCACCACATCCATACTCAACATATATTATTTTTTGATTTTTAAATTGTGGCCATTCTTGCAGGAGTAAGGTGGTATGACGTGGTTTGGAGTTGCATTTCCCGATAATTAGTGATGTTGAGCATTTTTTCATATGTTTGTTGGCCATTTGTGTATCTTCTTTTGAGAATTGTCAATTCATGCCCTCAGCCCGCTTTTTGATGGGATTATTTGGGTTTTTTTTCCTTGCTGATTTGTTTGAGATCCTTGTAGATTCTGGATATTAGCCCTTTCTCAGGTGCATAGTTTGTGAAGATTTTCTCCCACTCTGTGGGTTGTCTGTTTACTCTGCTGATTATTTCTTTGGCTGTGCAGGAGCTTTTTAGTTTAATTAAGTCCCATCTATTTATCTTTGTTTTTGTTGCATTTGCTTTTGGATCATTGGGCATGAAGTCTTTGCCTAAGCCAATGTCTAGAAGGGTTTTTCTGATGTTATCTTGTAGAATTTTTATGGTTTCGTGTCTTAGATTTAAGTCTTTGATCCATCTTGAGTTGATTTTTGCATAAGATGAGAGAGGAGGATCCAGCCAGAATAATGCCTTCAGATGCATAAAATAAAACCCATAAGACTGAATAGAAAACAAGTAGATTGAAATATAATTGAAACAGTTATCAAAACATACAAAATGCGATACATGTATGTGTTCTTTTATTAACACTTAAAATAGTGAGATTCAATGTGGGTGTAATCACTATTGTAATTTCAAGGTGGTGATGAGAATAAATGCTATTTACAAGGCCTGCCACAGCTATAATGTGACGTGAAACTATCTGACAAAAGTCACAGGTACTACTAACACTACTGTGGTTTGGAGGCCTATGTTCACAATTTATGGAAATGCTGAATATTAGTTCAAGGTTACTAAAATGAAACATGTCAATTTTTTACATCCAAGTTCACAAACTCTGTAAATTCACTGACACCAGGATAAGAAACTGTATGCAGGTGGTCAGTAATTGTTTGTTGGATAAACGAAAGAGAGGCTAAAGGTTTTAGAACACATGAGTCATGCTCTCTAAGCTTCATGCACATCAAAAAGATGTAGGCTGCTTTGAGGAGCCAGGTTCTGTGCTGGGTCCTGGGGATATGGTGATAGAAAAGATACAGCCCTACTCTCAAGGAGTTTCCAGTTCTAGTTGGACAGAATACCTGTGCATAGGCAGAACATTTCAATACAATATGGCAAATCTGATGGCCTGTGTCCAGGGACTGGGCCCACACTGGCACTGCAGAGCAGGCACCTGGAGAAGAAACGTTTTGAGCTGAATGATGGAGAACAAATTACAGTTCCCCTGACAAAGGAGGGGTTGGAAGTGTGTTCTAGACCCAGAGAACAGTGAGCAGAACTCAGAGTTTTAAGAGAGCTGGGGTAGGAAGCGAGCAAAATCAACTGTGGGAAGTAACGGGAGACTCTCTCCTACCTTCCACAAATACTTATTGAGCATCTACTAAGTGCCAGGATCTGTTCCGGGGATGGGGAATTCTGTGCTGAATGAAACAGATACATGAGCCTCCATGTCCCTCCACATCAGAAATCTCCTGTGCTGCCCACAGCGGGCCCTGGCTTATTTCACCAGCAGAGTGGCTGCTCCTGAGTGTTTGTCAATGAAGGCATGATTGAGAGAATGAAATGAAATGAAGCAAGCTCTCTGCTTCCACTGAGCTTGCATTTTATTTATTTATTTTTATTTTATTTTATTTTTGAAACAGAGGATCACTCTGTCACCCAGGCTGGAGTTCAGCGGCGTGAGCTCGGCTCACTGTAGCCTCGACCTCAGGGGCTCAAGTAATCCTCCTGCCTCAGCCTTTGGAGTAGCTGGGACTACAGGCATGCTCCACCATGCCTGGCTAATTTTTTTTTTTTTTTTTTTTTTTTTTTGAGACAAGGTCTCACTCTGTCACCCAGGCTAGGGTCCAGTGGTATGATCTTGGTTCACTGCAACCTCCACCTCTCGGGTTCAAGCGATTCTCCTGCCTCAGCTTCCGTAGCACCTGGAATTACAGGCACCAGCCCCCAGGCCTGGCTAATTTTTGTATCTTTAGTAGGGACCGGATTTCACCATTGTTGGCCAGGCTGGTCTCGAACTCCTGACCTCAAGTGATCCATCTGCATCAGCCTCCTACAGTGCTGGGATTACAGGTGTGAGCCATGGCACCTGGCCTAATTTTTGTGTTTTTTGTGGAGACGGGGTTTCATTATGTTGCCCGGGCTGGTCTCAAACTCCTGGGCTCAAGCGATCTGCCCACCTCGGCCTCCCAAATTGCTGCAATTACAAGAGTGAGCCACTTCGCCTGACCGAGCTTGCATTTTAGTAAAGGGAGTCAGACAGCAAATAAGTAAGTATATGCCATAGTGTCCAACAGTGACAAGTTCTGAGAAAAATAAAATAGTAGACAAGGCTGAGGTGTCTTATGAGGACTGTGGTGTGAGGAACGCTGTAGCCCATGCATGCTAAGAGGCTTTAGGGCCGGGCGCAGTGGCTCACACCTGTAATCCCAGCACCTTGGAAGGCCAAGGTGGGCAGATTACCTGAGGTCAGGAGTTTGGGATCAGCCTGGCCAACATGGTGAAACCCCATCTCTACTAAAAAATAAAAAATTAGCTGGGCGTGGTGGCGTGTGCCTGTGATCCCAGCTACTCGGGAGGCTGAGGCAGGGAGAATTACTTGGACCTGGGAGGCGGAGGTTGCAGTGAGCGGAGATCATGTCACTGCACTCCAGCCTGGGCAATAGAGCCAGACTCTGTCTCAAAAAAAAAGCTTTAAGGGTATGGGGGTTGATGTAAGCTGCTGGTGATGCAGAGATGTTGTTATGAATTGAACTGTGTCCCCCTAAATTTATAAGTTGAAGCCATAAACCCCCCAAAGTGACTGTATTTGGAGACAGAGCCTTTAAAGAGGTAATTGAGATGAAATGAACTCATAAGGATGGGAGCCTAACCCAACAGGGCTGGTGTCCCTAAGGAAGAGGAAGAGACACCAGGGGCACGCTTGCACACACAGAAAATGCCGTGTGTGGACACAGAGATGAGAGAGCTGTTTGCAAACCAAGCAGAGAGGTCGTAGGAAGATTTTCCTTACTTTGACTTGTAAGATTCTCAAGACTGTCCCTGGTAAGTCAAGATCACAGTGCACAGATGCCACCAGGCAGGGATGGGGGTGGAAAGACCATGGGCTTGGCTTCTGGGCTTACTCACTGTGTGACTTGGAATTATGAAAGTGGATTTGCTGTAAGGCAAGGTCCTGGGAGTGATTCTCTCAGTGATTGTAGAAGAAACAATCACTGTGGATCCCCGGCACTGTAGGGGAACCCCAGAAGCTGTTCAGTCCAGCTTCCATCCTTCCATCCTGCTTCCGTCCTCCCGGGAGAAGCAGACAGGCTATGCCAGCCTATGGGACTCTGACACATTCACTCATTTGAAAAGGAATTCATGGTGCCAGTTCTGTGACAAGCTCTGTAGTAGGTGCTGCAGAAACAGAACAAAATGGACAGAAATCTCTTCTGCCTTAATGATCCCAGGGACAACCAGTTGATGTGCAGGCACACACATGACCTTGGCATTCATTTCATTCTCTCGCTCACGCCTTCATTGGCAAACATTCAGGAGTAGCCACTCTGCTGGTGAAATAAGCCAGGGCCCGCTGTGGGCAGCACAGGGGATTTCTGATGTGGAGGGACGTGGAGACTCATCTGAGCAAGAGGGCTACAAATCCACCTGCCTTCTTTGTTAAAATGCCATTCTTTTGCGACCAGCATTGTCCCCTCAAGCTACATCAGGAGAGATCAACCTTGCTGACACCTTGATCTTGGACTTCCAGCCTTCAGAACAATGAGAAGGTAAAGGTCTGTTGTGAGGTGCCCTGATTGGTAGCCCCAGCAGACTCACGCAGGGTTGCATTGTCAGAAAGCCCCAGTTGGACAGAGGCAGAGAAAGATGGGAGAGAGAGCGCGTGAGGGAGCACGGCGTGCAGTGGGAGGAGGTGGCAAGAGTCCAGATGTGAGGCCATGCCCAGGCCAGCTGGGCTCCTGTGGAGGGCGTGGGGACCAGAGACCTGCCGCAGAGGCTTGTGTGGTGGGCCTGGGATGCTGGGTAGATGGGAGGGAAGATGAGCACCTGGCAGGTGTGGATCAAGAGGCGACCAACATGCAGGTAGAAACTTGGGCTTGCTGGAGTCACCAGAGCCACTAAGTCTTCAAAGCGCTAAGATTTATCCCTTCTCCCATTTCCATGCAGACTAGGTAGTAGGAGGCAGGAAGGTCGTTGTCCTGAGACTTCCTCTCTCTGGAGGTCGGACTCTCTGGGCTCCATTGTTCCCACACAAAGGGGCAGTGATAAGTTGGTTGTTTGCCGCTTCTGGTGTCAGCAGGAGAGACTGCCTCCTTGCCTCACCCCCCATGCATGGGGCACCAGATGATGTGAGGCCTCTCAGGGCACCAGTGACTGCAGAGGAGGGATGGGTACTTGCACCTCAATCACAAAAGAGGGATTGAAGGGCTGTGGGGCAGGCTGGGAGGCGAGGACGCAGCCTGGCAGCCCTGGGCTGGCACAGGCTGCTCCTGGGCTGTGAGCAGCACAGCTGCTTCTCTGCACTTCAGAAGCACGTGTTCTGCTTCCTTGAGCCCAGGGGCCCTCGGGGGGACATTATATTCTGTTTCTAGACCTCCCATTCTGTGCTTCTGTCTTCTGGCCACCTGGGGTGCATCTGCTCCTTACCTACCAAACCACCTTACTCCTCTTTCTGGGGGAGACCAGGGCTCTGATGACCTGGTTCACACCAAGGCTAAAGCATCTAGCATTTTACGTGACAGTCTGAGGGGACAATGCTGGTCACAAAAGAGTGACATTTCTGCAAAGGGGGCATTTGTATCCCTCTTGCTCAGATGAGCCTCCATGTCCCTCCACATCCTAAATCCTCTGTGCTGCCCACAGCGGACCCTGGCTTATTTCACCAGCAGAGTGGCTACTCCTGAATGTTTGCCAATGAACCCATGAGCAAAAGAATAAAATAAATGCCAAGGTCACATGTTTACACCTGCACATCAACTGCTTGTCCCTGGGATCATGAGGGCAGGGATTTTTGTCCATTTTGTTCTGTTTCCGCAGCACCTGCTATAGAGCTTGTCACAGAATTGGCACCATGAATTCCTTTTTGAATGAGTGACTGTGTCGGCCAGACATAGCCTGGCTGCTCCTCCCAGGAGGATGGAAGGATGGAAGCTGGACTGAGTGGCTTCTGGGGATCCACCACAGTGCCTGGGATCCACCTCGTGTAGGTTTCTTCTACAATCATTGAGATAATTGCTTCCAGCTCTTGCCTTATGGCAAATCCACTTTCATAATTCCAAGTAGTATTTGGATGGCTGTCATAGGCCCTGCTCCATTTGTTCCTCACAATTACCTGTGATGGAGACAGGACTAACCCCATTGCCCCCATCCTATCACGGGGAAGCTCAGGCTTGGGGACGCTAACTGTCTTGCCCAAGGTCACACAGTGAGTGAGCCCAGAGGCCAAGCCAATGCTCTTTCTGCCCCCATCCCTGCCTAGTGGGGGCATCTGTGCACGGTGATCTTGATTTACCAGAGAGATCCTTGAGAATCTTACAAATCAAAACAAGGAAGATCTTTCTATCCAAAGAGACAAACATCCTCTTCTATTTAAATGTGTGGCTCTTGGGGCCTTTCCCCCCCTTGCTTTTAAAAAAAATTAGGTAAAATTCACATAACATAAAATTAACCCCTAAAAATGCACATTTCAGTGACATCTGGTGCATGCACTACTATGTTGTGCTATATCACACTCACATGAAATTTCAAAACATTTTCCTCATCCCCAGAGAAAACCCCTTACCCAGAGGTAGTCAGTCCTCCCTCCTCCCCTCGCCCCCAGGCTTGGCAACCACTCATCTCCTTTCAATCGCCATGGATTTGCCTATTCTGGGCATTTCACATCAATGGGGTCAGACAACCTGTGACCTTTTGTGCCTGCCTGCCTTCCTGCCTGCCTGCCTGCCTGCCTTCCTTCCTTCCTTCCTTCCTTCCTTCCTTCCTTCCTTCCTTCCTCACTCCCTCCCTCCCTCCCTCCCTTCCTCCCTCCCTTCCTCTCTTTTGATGGAGTCTTGCTCTGTCACCCAGGCTGGAGTGCAGTGGCATGATCTCAGCTCACTGCAACCTCTGCCTCCCAGGTTCAAACAATTCTCCTGCCTCAGCCTCCCGAGTAGCTGGGATTACAGGTGCCCACCACCACGCCTGGCTAATTTTTGTATTTTTAGTAGAGACGGGGTTTCACCACGTTGGCCAGGCTAATCTCGAACTCCTGACCTCAGATGGTTCACCCACCTCGGCCTCCCAAAGTGCTGGGATTACAGGAGTGAGCCACTGCATCCAGCCTGGCTTCTTTCGCTTAGGGTCATGTTTTCCACGTGTAGTGTGTGTCAGTACTGTGTTTCTTTTTACGGCTGAATACTATTCCTTTGTTTGGAGAGACCACACTTTATCTATGGTGTCTAAAAGGTTGCGTGAAAAGGTTCGACTTTCTTGGGTTATTGCCTTCTGTGGAGATGCTCTGAGACAAGTCTAAGGAATCCCACTTCCCTAAGGAAGCCCGTTTCATATCACATCCTTTGATGACACCGAGATGTCTCTGAGGAGGCAAACTGAAGGTCAGAAATGGGTGAAGACCAGCAAGTCCAGTGAACCCAAACAAGATCTGATCTACGAGGTTATGGGGGACAGCAGTCAGAATGGGAGATGGGAGACAGCTGTCTGCCCAGCCCTGCCCCAAGGTCACTGGTAGCCTGGCTGAGAACGAGCCTTGCGGGGCTTTGCTCCCTTCTCTGGAGAGAGGAAGTTAGGCTGTGGCTCCTCTCTGCTTTTCAAAACCCGAGGTTCCACCCTGTTCTTTCCACAGCACTGGTTCCTCCATGGTTAGTATCCAGGTTTGGGTTTTCCATGTTGTTTTCCCCTCCACCTGCTGTGTGGAACTTTTTAGCGCCCAATAGAACCTTCCTTAGGGGAGAGATCACTGGACTCCCGCAGAAGCCGCCTTTGAGACCGTGGGTTAGTGAACAGGGACTCCTGGGGCAATGACAGGAGTTAATTGCATCAGGTTCCTGGCTCATGGTAAGTTTTTGGTAACTGTAGCTGTTACTACTATGATACTAATAACAATAATTATTAATGTTATAATTTAGGCCATTGGAAAAAGCAGTACAAAAATGTGACTGGTTTGTTCTTGTTTGCCAGGTGAATTTCCAGCTTCCCTGGGTGGGGTTGAGATGGGAACTATGGACCTGTCTTGCTTGGACTGAAGCGGCACCATGCAGCTGGCCACCTGTGGCTACCTGGCCATGGACCACAGCGTTCCCACCTCCACATCAGCCACAGACGCAAAGAGGAGCTGGGGTTCTGCACACCAGGTCGTAGCCCATATTTGATTTGATTTAAACCAGACACAGCCCTTTCTCAGGGCTCCCCTTCCCACATCCTGTTCCCAAGTGGCTTTGAGGATGAAGCCAAGTTCTCCTTAATGATATCACAGCGGGAGTTGATTGCTACCTTGAGTGATTTGGCTGCAACAAGCTTCATAAATGAGTGTTTCTTAAACTTGAATGTGCTTACAGATCACCTGCCGATCTTGTCACAAGGTAGAGGCAGATTTGGCAGGTCCGGAGTGACGTCTGAGATTCTGTGATTCTAACAAGCTCCCCGGGGAGGTCAAGGCTGCTGGTCCTCAGATCACCCTGGCAGTTGCAGGGCCCTACACACGTTATCTCCCTGCCTGGGCTGTGTGTCGGCCAGCTCGGCCTTCATGGGGAGCTTCTAGAAAACCCCTAGCAGGGCTTCTTTACTGCCCTGTGGTATAAAAACCATTCCCTGATGACATTAGGAGAGGGCCTCCCAGCAGCTGTGACCAGCCATCCAACAGGAGGAGGGGCCATGGCCTTGCTGTGCTAATGGTGGGTGACCTGGGACAAAAGCTGGCTCTGCAGTCTATCAAGCATAGTAGTCTGAGCTGTGGCAGCCACTCCTGCCCTGTGGGCATAGCCCAGGCTGCTGGGGGACTCAGCCCATCTGCGTGGGGCTCAGGACTGAGGAGCTCCTGGGGGTTCACTAGGAGAGTGGGGGGTTTGGACCCCCTTTACTCTGCTTTAGTCCCTGCTCTCAGTCATATGTAACCAGTTAGTGTGACTTGGGGTGTCATGTTACTGCCACATAGACTTCACCATGCTGCAGGGAACAGGGAAGGGGACTAATTCCCATCCCTGGGTCACCTGGCCCAGATCCTGAATCATCTTTCCCCCCAGCCAGTGCCGCAGTGTCTACTGAAGGGTAGTCACATTGTAGAGATTACGGAGGGCACGAAGGCTTCTGGAATATTCTAAAAGCAGAAGAGCATGAATACCCGAATCCTGAGAGACTGTGGGAATGAACGATCTTCTTCCCATTGGCCATGCATTGCCTGAGGTCCACTCCCTGCCACCCCACACTCGGTACCATCCGCAGCCACGGGGCCTTGTAATTTATGACGCTAGCATTTCCTGTAGGATATGGGGTGGAGAGCCAGGAATCATATGTTTTGTCCTTTCCCCTTCTTTCAAGGGTAACAGAGCATTCCCTCCGTTCCATAATCAAGGAATGAAACCTATGTCCCTGTTTGGATTGCATGAGTTTCAAAGACACCTTTCCAGGATTGAGATGTGATGAAGCCTCCACTGGAATTTTTAAATCATGAGTGGGGGTTAAGTGGTGAGCAGTTGAAAGAATCAGTTTGCAGCATCTATAAAAGCTGCTACGTTTCAAACTCAGGGTAGAGGTGCCAGGGCCACAGGAAAGCCGTGAGAGGGCTACCTGGACAGTGGGGAATGTGTGAGGGCTTGGGGAGAGAGATGCTGGTCCCACGGGTGACGGCCGGGCGTGGTGGCTCATGCCTGTAATCCCAGCACTTTGGGAGGCTAAGGCAGGCGGATCATGAGGTCAAGAGATCGAGACCATCCTGGACAACATGGTGAAACCCCGTCTCTACTAAAAATACAAAAATTAGCCAGGCATGGTGGTGCATGCCTGTAGTCCCAGCTACTCAGGAGGCTGAGGCAGGAGAATCGCTTGAACCTAGGAGGCGGAGGTTGCAGTGAGCTGAGATTGCGCCATTGCACTCCAGCCTGGTAACAGAGCGAGACTCCATCTCAAAAAAAAAAAAAAAAAAAAAAAAAAAAAGAAAAGAGAAGAGAAGAGAAGGGGAGGGGCCAGGGTGAGGCCAGCGGTAATGAAGTGAAGGGCTTGTCACCACAGCAAGGGCAGGGTGAGGATGGTCTGAAGAGGGGACGATACCGCCTCTGAGAAGAAACTAGCTAACACCAAGAATCTCCCCTGAGCCAGGTGTGGTGGCTCATGCCTGTAATCCCAGTGTTTGGGGAGGCTGAGGAGCGAAGATTGGTTGAAGCCAGGAGTTAGAGACCAGCCTGGTCAACACAGAGAAACCCTCGTCTCTACTAAAGTTACAAAAATTAAATGGACATGGTGGCACATGCCTATAGTTCCAGCTACTCAGGAGGCTGAGGTGGGAGGAAGGTTTGAGCCCAGGAGTTCAAGGCGGCAGTGACCTATGATTGCGCTATTCCACTGCACTCCAGTCTGGGTGACAAAGTGAGACCCTGTTTCAAAAAAAAAAAAAAAAGAAAAGAATCTTTCTTGAAACGAGTGCTTTACGTGTATGTGTGTTACTCAGTCTTCACAAAGATCACACACAGGAGATGTCATTATGCCCATTTTACAGATGCAAAAACGGAGGCTCCTTGACAGCTGCAGTCGTTTAAAGCCATGGTGCAGCCACCCAGTGATAGAATGCATCTTTGGCAATCTGTTTCGCCAAGCCCTCCAGGTGACTGCGAAGCACTGGAGTGATGACCTCATGGCTGGGGTTGTGCAGTGGTAGCCATTTTTCAAAAAGGAAAAACTGCTGTTAAAAACTGAGACATACCATTGTGAAAGCTTGATAGAGAAAAATAGCAACTGATGGCCTTCTAGGAGCACCCCGTGGACTCTTCAGGCAACTGATTTCCGAGCATGGACTAAGGCCAGAAGGGCTTTATAACTCCATGGAATCTGCATGTTTAGACAGTGTACATCAGCTTTTATTGAGAGGGAACAGCTTTTGTATTTGATAATGTTCTCATAAGGTAAGCTCTTCACCTTTAAGGATTTTATTGATTCAGGGCTTTCAGAAATGCCTTGTTTTGATCTGTTGCTGTGCAGAAGCTGAGCTAGTATATAAATATGGGTAGTGTTTATTGAGTATTTACTATGTGCTGGATATTGAATGTGCATTACACGTATTGCCTCATGTGATCCTCACAACATGCCAATGAGGCAGGTATTATTGTTATTCTTATTTTATAGATGGGGACATTGAGGCCCAGAAAGGTTCAGTAACTCTCTCTTTTTTTTTTTTTTTTTTTTGAGACAGAGTCTGGCTCTGTCGCCCAAGCTGGAGTGCAGTGGCACGATCTCGGCTCACTGCAAGCTCCGCCTCCCAGGTTCACGCCATTCTCCTGCCTCAGCCTCCCGAGTAGCTGGGACTACAGGCGCCCGCCACCACTCCCAGCTAATTTTTTGTATTTTTAGTACACACGGGGTTTCACTGTGTTAGCCGGGATGGTCTCGATCTCCTGACCTCATGATCTGCCTGCCTCGGCCTCCCAAAGTGCTGGCATTACAGGTGTGAGCCACTGCGCCCGGCCACAGTAACTTTCTCTTTGTCACAGAGCAGGGGAGGGTTGGAGCCAGGAAATGAGCCCAGGTTGTTTTTTAAAAAAAAACTTTTATTATAGAAAAATTTAAACATATATAAAAGTAGAAAAAAGTTGTATAATAAACCCCCATGCATCCATCACCCACTTTGAACAAGGATCAGCATTCTGCCATTCTTGTTTTATTTTTCTTCCTCACATTTGTTGTTTTCTGGAGTATTTGAATCCTGGATACCACATCATTTCACCTGTAACTACTTTCATAAGCCTTTGTAACAGATAAGGACTTTTCTTTTTTTAATATTACTATAATAAGATTATCACACCCCCAAAATTATTCCTTTATATCCTCTAATACTTGGTCCATGTCCAGTTCCCCTAACTGCCTCAAACCTGTTCTTTTGCAGTTGTAATGTCTGAATCAGGGCACAACCACCCAATGGTGTATTTGGTTGTTGTGTTTCGTTTCTTCAAATCTGTAAGTTTCCCACTTCTTTCCCTTTGCCATTTATTTGTAAAAAGTTCCATATTCTGGATTTTGCTATTTATATCTCTGTGGTGTCATTTAACATGTTCCTCTGTCCCCTATACTTCCTTTAAACTGTGTGTTAGAGCCAGAAGTGGATTTGATTGAGGTTGAATTTTCTGGAAATAATGTTTTCTGGGCGATACTATTCCTGCCTATTGCACAGATTCTCTGGTGACTCTGTTTTTGATGATGTGAAGATTGTCCAGTGGGCCAGGTGATGTCATCCTGATCAATGCATCACACAACTCTGCTGGAGTCTTCCACTTGTCTTAGCAGCCATCAGTATGTGTGATCAAGGTGCATTATAACATTACAGACAGCAAAATGGTGGGCGTCTCATCCCATCCTTCTGGTCTGTATTCATTAGCTGACATTCTTCTCTCAAGAGTTTCCTACATCAGTGACTTGTTAACCCAGGCAGTCTGGTTCTAGACTTTGCTCTCAGAATCTATGCTTCTCATATTTTCATGTGGGCACAAATCACACTCGTCAAAATGCAGATTCTGACTCAGTAGGTCTGGGGTAGGAGCTGAGAGACTGCATTATCGATAAGCTCCCAGGTGCTACAGATGCTGCTGCTCTGCAGACCACCCTCTGAAAGGAGCCCGGATCACCTGTTTTGCCAGTTAAACTGTTCAGACTGATGCTCTCCTCTACAGCATTCTTTATGAATGGCCAGCTATCTCTGAATGGGCAGCTATTCTAATGCTAACCAGTAGTTTGACATTTTCCCTCATAAAGGCAAGGTTAGTGGTTTAAACCTAAGCATCAGGGTGTATTATTCAGACTACAAAATGTTACTGTAGCTTAGAATGTTTTGAGAAAATTTGACACATCACATAATATAACATTGAAGGTACAATTTTTATTCTTGTCTTGTGTCTCACATTTTGTCAAAAGTGAAATGCTTTTCTAAGGGAAGGCCTGGTGACGTGCCAACCACCACTTAGCATCTTCTGGTGCCAAGTTTATAGACAGCTGTGGTTCTGCCTGCCCTGCAAGGCCTTTTTCTTTCGTTGGCAGAAACTTGGCATTGCTTTGGAGGACTATCTTTCCAAGGTCTTTTGCTCTCTCTTCATCAAAGCATGGGCCGATCAGACCTTCTCTCTCCATGAATTTAAATCTTGAGTAGAGCAATGTCAGGACTGAAGATGGCTGGAGCTGATTCCTTTCAACAAGAGTGCTGAGGAGAGATTGTCTTCGATGTCCTTCCTCTTAGGTTCTGGGAGCTCCCCTAGTCACATGTCTTCTAGCCCTGACTTCTCAATCTCTTTTTAAATATGTGAAGTATCTCATAAGTTCCAAATGAGATGTTTTTCTGCTTAAGTTATCCAGAGTTGCTTTCTGTTGCTCACAACCAAGAAACCCTAGGTAGAGCCTCCATCCTAGAGCCTCAAAATGGTGTGACTTACCTGCTATTGCTGTGACAGTGGAGAGTGAGCAGGTTGACAAGGAAGCACTTCAGGCATTTGTCTTAGTGATGCCAGCATCACCAATCACCCTTTAATAGTGATCACATGTCAGAGTACCCTGAAAGCAGGAGTAAAGATAATGAATTGCAACAGGAGAACCCCTTGGAATGAGGCTTCTTCCTCTTGACTTTTCCAGTGAATTTGGTTTTATGGGAAGCACATTTTTTCCCACTGGTCAGAGGAGCTTGTAATTTTACAGGCTAATCTTGCCCTTATGGAATAGAGGAAAGGAAACAAGAAGCTACCAGCATCAAAGATTGGGTCCTGTCATGAGGCCTCAGGTACCCTCCTTTCTACTACAGCCTCCTCAAGCCCTGGGGCTACAGCTTTATCTAAGGAGTAATGACTATGATCTCAAGGAGGCCCCTGAGTCATCAGAAAAGTTATGTTCAGTATGTTCTGCTTAAGAACAGAGGGAAGAGTTTTTGGCTACAGAAGGAAGAAGGATATATATCCTCAGCCATTCCTAATGAAATAAAGTAGTCAATAAACAGAAATAAAATCACAACAAGAACAAATGTAAGTAGTAACTAAACAAGGAATTACCTTTGTATCTAGAAAAGTCATGACCAGGCTGGGTGTGGTGGCTCATGCCTATAATCTCAGCACTTTGGGAGGCCAAGGCAGGAGGAAGGCTAGAACCCAGGAGTTTGAGACCAGCCTGGGCAGCATAGGGAGACCTCGTCTCTAGAAAAAAAGTACAAAAAAGTCAGCCAGGCATGTTGGTGCACACCTGTAGTCCCAGCTACTTGGGAGGTGAAGGTGCGAAGATCGCTTGAGCCTTGGAGATTGAGGCTACGGTGAGCTATGATTGCACCACTGCACTCCAGCCTGGGTGACAGAGTGAGACCCTGGGAGAAAAAAAGAAAGAAAAGAAAAGAAAAGAAAAGAAAAGAAAAGAAAAGAAAAGAAAAGTCATGACCTTGGAAAGAACCAGAAAATTCTGATGTAGTACAGCTCCTGAATTCAAACTGCTCTCTCCAATGAAAGAAGGAATTAATGAAACTTGGAGGATTCTTACTAATATTCTTCAGTCTAGAGAAAAACATGACCTCTAGCAGAGAAGACAAGAGTAAGCAGTTCCATGAAAAGTTCAGGGGAAAGATCCCTTGAGTTTGGAAGGCCCTAAATGTCACCTGGAAACCTTAGTGGAGAAAGGAGGGGTTGCCAAGGCTTGCCATTGTTCAGGAAGCCAAAACACACAGAAGTGTGATATAGCAATGGCTGGATGGAATGAACCTTAATTTCTGACATTTAGTGGGATCCCGAGAGAGAGAGAGCAGAGCCCAAACTTCCAAGAGAAGGCTACTGGCCAAGCTCCTACTCCTGACCTGCCCCTTCCCCATTTCCTTGTCCCCTGACTTTAGAAGGGTGGAGAGTTAGTAAAATCTATCTCCACACTGTAGCCCAGATGACATTGAGCCCGAGATAAAGTGAGAAAGTTGTCAAGGAAAATCCCCCCACTATTTCAGAATAAATAGGTGTTGAGCTAGATGTAGTGGCTTATGCCTGTAATCCTAACTACTTGGGAGGCTGAGGTGGGTGGATGGCTTGAGGCTAGGAGTTCAAGACCAGCCTGGGCAACATAAGGAGACCCTGTCTCTTAAAAACAACAGCAACAACAAACAGAGTAGATAGATGTGTACAGAGCTGTACCCATTAAACTTGAACAACATGATAAGACATGGTATGACAAATATTTAAACACACTATAGAACACAATAGCAGCAGATGAAAGAAAGGAAATATTGGTGAAAAAAAAATCAATGAAGGCCTGTCCTGGACAAAAACATATTCTTCAAGAACTACCTATGAATCTTTGATATAATAAAGAACTTAATAAGACTATGAAAGATTTAATTCATAAATTAGAAGTAAGGAATAATAAGGCTAGGCATGGTGGTTCATGCCTATAATCCCAGCAGTCTGGGAGGCTGAGGCAGGCAGATCACTTGAGATCAGGAGTTTGAGACCAGCCTGGCTAACATGGTGAAACCCCATCTATATTAAAAATACAAAAAATTAGCTATGGTAGTGTGAGCCTGTAGTCCCAGCTACTTGGGAGGCTGAAGCAGGAGAATTGCTTGAACCTGGGAGGTGAAGGTTGCAGTGAGCTGAAATTGCACCACTGCACCAGCCCGGGTGACAGAACAAGACTCAGTCTAAAAAAGAAAAAAAAAAAGAGAAGTAAGGAATAATAAAGATATGACTGAACAATCAAATTATTGGCATGGAAGAAGTGCTGAAATTATTCATGGCAAACACACAAGAAAAAGGCAAAGATTACAGTAGGTTAGAGGAGATGCTAGTTATGGAGGACAAAGATGATCCAATATAATTATAATTGATGTCTCTGAATTAGGTACCCAACAAAAAAAATAGGGAAAAATATGTTCAGAGATGTAGGTCATCAGAAATAAATTGCAAATTTTTAGATCAAAGGGCATCAAGGGGAAAAAATGATATGTAATGACTGACATTAACCTGTATCCTGGTTAAGATATTGAACTTGGAGGATAAACAAAGACTCCTTCAGACTTGCAGGCTGCCTGCAAGGGAAAAAAAGTCAGGTGTCCCAGACTTATTAAGAGAAGACAATAGAGTAATGTCTAGAGTGTACTGAAGGAAAGAAAGCAAAATCCAAAAATATTAAACAGATGCAAGCTGTCATTCAAGCAAAAGACTCGCAGGCAGACACTGATACAAGAAAGAGTTCAGGGACGATAGTACCCATGTATTCTTCTGTGAAAAAGCCCTGCCAACCAAAAAGATGGATTAAAATGAGGAACTTGGGGTGGATGCGGTGGCTCATGCCTGTAATCCCAGCACTTTTGGGAGGCCAAAGTGGGTGGATCACTTGAGGTCAGGAGTTTGAGACCAGCCTGGCCAACACAGTGAAACCCCGTCTCTCCTAAAAACACAAAAATTAGCCAGGCATGGTGGCACATGCCTGTAATCCCAGCTGCTTGGGAGGCTGGGGCAGGAGACTCACTTGAACCCGGGAGGCAGAGATTGCGCCACTGCACTCCAGCCTGGGTGACAGAACAAGACTCTGCCTAAAAAAAAAAAAAAAGGTAAACAAATAAATAAATAAAATGAGGAACTTAGAAATGCAACACACTTAACCAGGGAGTGGGGAAAAGGAGAAGGGAGAACATGATGGCAAATTTCCTCTTTCTTTTTTTAAAGAATAGTAAATCAAAATTAAAACAAAAATTTGAAAAAAAGCTCATGACTCCAATGCCTTCATGATTTTTAAGTATCATTTTTCTGAACCTTGGGAGAATTTATAAGTACGAATAGTCATCTCTCAGTGTTTGTGGGGAATTGGTTCCAGGACCCCTTTGGATTTATATCAAGTCCCTGATATAAAATGGTATAGTATTTGCACATAACCTATGCACATTCTTTAAATTGTCTCTAGATTGTTTGTAATACCTAATCCGATGCTTACATCACTTCATTTGCATGGATTCAACATAGTACTCAGCCCATGGCAAATTCAAGTTTTGCTTTACAGAACTTTTTATTTTTCTTTGAGACTGGGTCTCACTCTGTTCACCAGGCTGGAGTGCTATGGCATGATCTTGGCTCACGGCAACCTCTGCCTCCTGGGCTCAAGCGATCTTCCTAATTCAGCACTCTCCCAACCTCTAGTAGCTGGCTACAGGCACGTGTCACCTAATTTTTGTATTATTTGTAGAGATGGGGTTTTGCCATGTTGCCCAGGCTGGTCTTGAACTCGTGGGTTTGAGTGATCCACCCATCTCGGCCTCCCAAAGTGCTGGGATTACAGGCGTGAGCCACTGCACCAGGCCTACTTTTTGAAACCATGTGGAATTTTTTTTTCCAAATATTTTTGATCCATGATTCATTGAATCCACAGATGCAGAACCCACGGACACAGAAGGCCAACTGTATTTGTTTTGGAAATAACAATTTATTTTAAGTTCAGAAATCCCTTCAGCTTTTTTTACCTTCCATAAAATTTAAGTTCATTTAAATTTTATAAAGAATTTAAATTCTTTTTATTCTAATATGGCATTATGATATGGTACTCGTCTGTTAATCATTTAACGTTGTATGTAGAGCCTCCTGTGTGCCAGATACTGTTCTGGGAACTATGAAACTGCAGAGATAAAAACAAGAACCACAATATTATAAAATTATTTCTGCACACTCTGTATCCTTAGAGAAATTCAGGATGATGTTCACAAAATATTAATCTTACGATTTCTGGATTGTAGGATTTGGTGTGTGTCTTTGAACATTTTATGTTGATTAAACTTTTAAAGCACTTGTATAACGCTTTTTTAACTTTTTAATTTATTTATTTTTTCTTTTTGATTTTTTTGAGACAGGGTCTCACTCTGTTACCCAGGCTGGAGTGCAGCAGTGCCATCTCAGCTCACTGCAACCTCCACCTCCCAGGTTCAAGCAGTTCTCCTGCCTCAGCCTCCTGAGTAGCTGGGGCTACAGGCGCATGCCACCACGCCTGGCTAATTTTTGTATTTTTAGTACAGATGGGGTTTCACCATGTTGGCCAGGCTGGTTTTGAACTCCTGACCTCATGTAATCTGCCCCCGTTGGCCTCCCAAAGTGCTGGGATTACAGGCATGGGCCACCACGCCTGGCATTAATTGAATTTATTTTTAATTGACACATAATAATTGTACATATTTAGGGGTAAGAGTGATATTTCCTTTTAAAAATTAATTTAATATAACACTTTTCCATGAAAAAATTATGTGTTTTCAAAACTTGAGTGCTTTAATGAATTGGAAATTGGAGAATTATTCCTTCCATTTATTAATTTTGCAGTTTTTTCATTTGTAACGATGCTGAGGCCAGGCGTGGTGGCTCACTCCTGTAATCCCAGCACTTTGGGAGGCCAAGGTGGGCAGATCACGAGGTCAAGAGATTGAGACCATCCTGGCCAACATGGTGAAACTCTGTCTCTACTAAAAATACAAAATTAGCTGGGCGTGGTGGTGCACACCTGTAGTCCCAGCTACTTGGCAGGCTGAGGCTTTAAAAGTTGCTTTAATGTGAAATTCTTTGATCACTTGAACCTGGGAGGCGGAGGTTGCAGTGAGCTGAGATCGCACCACTGCACTCCAGCCTGGCTAAACACTTTTCCATGTCTTTTTTCACTAGGAATATATTCATCTTTGTTGACAGGTCTGTTATATAATTTTCCATTCCATATGCATTTATATGTGCTCTTTCTACCTTTGCTATCTTTGACATATTTTCTCTTGGCTGCAAATGTTATTCCCAGTCTTGTTTGTGTATGTATTTTTATTATTAAAATAATCTTTTCTTCTTGCTAAGAAATACATGATCACTGCAGAAAAATCAAATCATATAAATAAATGGAAAAAACAGAATTTTAAAAATCACACAATTCCACCTATTCAGAAATAACTTCCATTAACATCTTGGAGTTTATATTTCCAGATGCTTTTCTATATAATTACCATTTGGGATTTTTTAAAACAAAAATGTCACCATACCACACTGTTTTGCATATGCTTTTCTTCACTTAGTTTATTGTGAACATCTTTCCCTGTCATTGAACTTTTTTTGAAAGTTTAATGGTGTGTACTATTTTATTGTTTGGCTCTTTATTTTTAGTTAATTCACTGTCGGTCGTTTAGATGGTTTCCTGTCTTTCACTATTATAATGTATAATGCAGTAAATGTGCTTTATAAATAAATCGTTGTGCACACCCATACTCCTTTCCGTAGGACAAATCCTAGATGTAAAAAGTTGCTGGGGCAAAAGTAAAACACATTTCAAAATGATGCTTGACGTATGTTGAAAACTGCCATCTAGAATGGCTGAGCAAATTTCAGTTCCATCAGAGGTGTATGAAAGTGTCTGTCCTTGCAACTTGCATCCTTTTTGTCTCTTAAGCCTTCGCATAGGTGAAAAGTTATGTCTAAAACTTGCTTTAATGTGAAATTCTTTGATTACTAGGGAGGTTGATTTAAAACAAATACTTATTGGTCATTTCTATTTCTACTCTAAGAACTGCTTCTTCATGCGTTTTGCAATTTAAAAAGACTAGGCATCTATTTCTTCTTGCTTGGAATAGTTATGTAGTAAAGATAGTGATATTCCTGGTTTGACATTTTATTTGAATTGTGATCTCCTTTGTGCAGAAGTTTTAGCTTTTTTTCTGCAGTCATATTTGTCCAAATTTTCCTAAGTAACATTAAGGAAGTATATACTGCAACATATAAAAGTTTCTATTTAATCACAGTGAAAACAGAAAAACGTTCAAGCCCTTGACTTCGTTTCCACCAAGGCCCCCGTTTGACTCTCAGGCACTGCTCTTTCTGTTGAGGTTTTGGATTACTCTGGTTCCACTCCAGTTTGCTTTCATCTTTCCAGCACCAGGGTATTCGTGACTTGCTATGATCCATTCCTCTTGTCTGGGGCACCTATGACTCAGCAGGCCCTGTAGATAGAGATCACACAGGGTCTTCAGGGTGCCAGGGTTTTAAGCCAGGCTGGTGGAGCTGTCCCCAGGCACCAACACGAGTCCTCCTAGATGGGCAGCCCTTTCTGGAGGTGGGTGCCTGCTGATGTTTCAGCAGTCAGGGCATGCGACCTGGGTCTGGGCTCTGGTGTTGGGAAGTGTGAGGCATGAGGCAATGCTCTGGTTCTCAGGACCTGGGAGTCAGCTGAGAGCCCTGGGCCCGAGGCCTGAGCTGGGGCCCCACCATTGACAGTGAAGGTTAAAGAAGCTTGGTCATGAGAAACAGCAACATGCTGAGTCCAGAAACCAGGGGCTGGTCAGAGTCCAGCCGGCTGCCAGAAAGGATGCTGGAGGCTAAACACAAGAGCCGCCTGTCCCTGCAGGCTTCCCCATTCTTCTTCACCCCTCCCAGGCTTGAGGCAATCTCCTCCCACCTGGGACCCCCCCCTCCCTGCCGCCCAACAGCGCTTTACCTACTGCTTTTTAGTGTGCATTGCCATGTGTTACAGTTATTGATAAACAGGTGTCATCTCCCTCCTGGCCTGCAAACCCACTGACGGCCAGTCTCATCTTTGGATCCCTTGAGCACCCAACGCAGTGCCTGCAGAATGAGGGCCTTGCAGGACACATGCGACCACACTGATGGGATGGTTACTGGATTCGCAGCAACAGTTGCTCTTGCTCCTCCTCTTTCTCCCCCTCTTCATTCTTATTTTTATTGCTCTTCTTTTTTTTTTTTTTTTTTTTTTCTTTTGAGACAAGAGTCTTGCTCTGTCGCCCAGGCAGGAGTGCAGTGGCACAATCTCTGCTCACTGCAACCTCTGCCTCGGGGTTCAAGCAATTCTCCTGCCTCAGCCTCTTGAGTAGCTGGGACTGCAGGCTCACGCACCACCACACCTGGCTAATTTTTCCATTTTTAGTAGAAACGGGGTTTCACCATGTTGGTCAGGCTGGTCTTGAACTCCTGACCTCGTGATCTGCTGCCCTCAGTCTCCCAAAGTGTTGGGATTACAGGCACGAGCCACTGTGCCCAGCCCTTTTTTTTTTTTTTTTTTTTTTTTGAGATGGAGTCTTACTCTGTCTCCCAGGCTGGGGTGCAGTGGCACAATCTCGGTTCACTGCAGCCTCCGCTTCCTGGGTTCAAGTGATTCTCCTGCCTCAGCTTCCCAAGTACCTGGGACTACAGGTGCCCATCACCACACCCCGCTAATTTTTGTATTTTTAGTAGAGACGAGGTTTTGCCAAGTTGGCCACGCTGGTCTCGAATTCCTGACCTCAGCTGATCCGCATGCCTCGGCCTCCCAAAGTGCTGAGATTACAGGCGTGAGCCATCCCACCTGGCCTTCTTCTTCTTCGTTCACACATTCCTTCAAAGTTGGTTGTATTGATCCGGTAGTTCCTCTGATTTGGAAATTGCAATTTACCAGGTTCATTGAAGAAATAGGGAAATAGCCTTTTCCCAGTCATTCACATTTGCTCTCTGTTTGCAGCTCTTGAAAGACAGCTGTTGAAAATAAACCTGGACTGTTTCTCTTCCCGCACATGAGCTCTGCTTGCCCTGTACCCTGGCACGGGTCTATACGTGCAGATGTCAGGCTGTGTTCAAAACCCGGTTCAAACAATCAGTGCCCAGGCTGGGGGAGGCTGGCCCTCACCCTTCAGTGGGCCCCCTTTGGGTCCCCTGCCCAAGGTCCTGTTGCCAGTGCCAGCATGTAAAAAACTCCATGTGTGCAAGCTCTGACTTGGGAGAAGAAAGCCAGAATATGGCTGGGTGTTTCTAAGCCCCCCAAGCTCCACACTGTAAACACAAGATGTCCTGGCCACCAGAAAGAAACAGAGTAGCATTTGTTATTCTTTCAAATGTGCCTTTTAAGCATTTGGCAAGTCATCGTATAGAAAAGTAATGTGTGCTCCAGTGAAGGAGGGCTTGAGTGAATAAAGCTGACTGTTCGCTGTCTGGCCTGGTTTGTTTGACTTGAACAACAGTCAGAGGACGAGTGCATACTTGATCTTTCTTCTAAAGCAGAGTGTCTTATGCGTTGCCAATCCCTTCTCCAGGATGGGAAGCCTGGAGAAACCTCTGTGCCTTTACCAGTAACAACAGTAACTTTTAAAGACGTCACCCAGCATGGAACCACTTTCAGTGAAAAAACTGGAGGATTCAAACTTTTCTCCTTTGTTCCCGAAACAAACTGGGAATATAGATGCCTGGCTTCTGGTTTGAGTGTGGCCAGGTTTGCAGCTGTGTTACTGTAGACAAGTTGCTTGGCCTCTCTGTGCTGTACAAAGCAGATGGTCAGATTGACATTTGTGAAAACGTTGAGATCAGGGGCAGGCAAACTATGGCCCACGGGCCAAATCCATCCCACCACCTGCTTTGGTACAGGCTGTGTGAGGTAAGAAAGCTTTGTACCTTTACAAATCACCGAAAACAAATCAGAAGATGGCTAACATTTTCTGATATGCAAAAATGATAGGAAATTCACTTTATGCTATGGGAAAGAAGCCAGACACAAAAGGATAAATACTGCATGATTCCACTGACATGAAGTTCTTAGGGTGGTCAGATTCATAGAGGCAGAGTAGGATGGTGGTTTCAGTAGATGGGGTGGAGGAAGGGGGAGTTAGTATTTAATGTGCATCGAGTTTCAGTTTGAGAAGATGAAACATTTGTGGAGATGGGCGATGGGTGATGGTTTCAAAACCATGTGAATGTACTTATCACCATCGAATGGTGTACTTATCACCATCGAATGGTAGCTTTAAGATAGTTAAATGATAAAATTGTATGTTCTTTCCATTTCACCGCAGTAAAAATATGATATGACATCAAATTTCAGCATCCAAAAATCAAGTTTCATTGGGATACAGCCATGCCCATGACATACACACATATGATCTAGGGCTGCTTTTGCTACAAGGGCAGAGGAGAGTATTTGTAACAGAGACTGTGTGGCCTGCGAAGCCTAAAGAATCTGTAATGGCCTTTGCAAGAAAACACTTGCCAAGCCCTGGTTTACAGACATAAGATATGCTGCATTATGTGAGGGGGACAACGTTACCCAGAGCACTAATTCAGAAATGGTTTCCCATATGGTTCAGGGCAGAGTTAGATTCCCAATGTCACTATCCCCTCCCTCCCTTCCTCCCTCCCTCCCTCCCTTCCTTCCTTCCTTCCCTCCTTCCTTCTTCCGAGACAGAGTCTCACTCTGTCACCCAAGCTGGAGTGCAGTGGCACGATCTTGGCTCACTGCAACCTCCACCTCCCAGGTTCAAGCGATTCTCCTGCCTCAGCCTCCTGAGTAGCTGGGATTACAGTCATGCACCACCACACCCGGCTAATTTTTGTATTTTTAGTGGAGACGGGGTTACACCATGTTGGCAAGGCTGGTCTCAAACTCCTGACCTCAGGTGATCCACCCACCTCGGCCTCCCAAAGTGCTGGGATTACCACTGTGCCCAGCCTATAGCCATCTCTTTAAAGAGATGCTACTTACTGCATGGCCCTGTGCCTTAGTTTCCCCATCTGTAAATAGGGCTAATACCCTACCTCATAGGATTAAAGAGTGGATCTGTGCAGTTTGGGATCATGAAAAAGTGCTGGAGATGGATGGTGGCAATGATTGCACAACAACGTGAACGATCTTAATGAACAAACGGTGCACTTAAAAATGACCAATATGGGCCAGGTGCGGTGGCTCATGCCTGTAATCCCAGCACTTTAGGAGGCCGAAGCAGGTAGATCCCTTGAGGTGAAGAGTTCGAGACCAGCCTGGCAAACATGGTGAAACCCTGTCTCTACCAAAAATACAAAAATTAGCCGGGCATGGTGCCGGGCACCTGTAATCCCAGCTACTCGGGAGGCTGAGGCAGGAGAATCACATAAACCTAGGAGGCGGAGGTTGCAGTGAGCCGAGATGACGACACTGCACTCCAGCCTGAGCAACAGAGCCGGACTCTGTTTCAAAAAAAAAAAAAAGACCAATATGGTACACTTTATGTTATACTCCTTTGACCACAGAATTTAAAACGACTGGATGTGTGTACAGTGCCTAGAACTGCATGTGGCATGCAGCAAGCATTCAATAAATGCAAGTCGTCTCCATAATGAAGAGTGGGAACCAGATGTTGATGCTCATGCTGTGTGAGGCTGTGTGCACTTGGGTTCCACTGGCTGCATAGTGTGTGCGCTGTCAGACCCTACTTTAAGACACGCACATCAATTGCTGAAAGCAGTCTGTCTGCCTGTGTATTCTAGTGCAGGGATTTTGTGTAATGATGAGCAGGGGAAATTGGTTGGGCACTGGGGTTTTCCTCCACACTGAAAGGAGCCATCGACGAAAGGAATATGCTTGAATTCTTCTTCCTTGATGATACCCAGGTGGCCAAAATAGGGCTTGCAGCTTCCCTAGTCCCACTCTGTCTATCCTCCCACGGTGAAAACCAGTTAGAAACAACCAGCCCCAGAGGGCACTAAATGATGAGCTGGGACTAGGGGGTGACTGGCAAGGTCCTTGCTTGATCTCTTCTAATACTATGAGCAAATAGTTTCCTTTAGAGATGATTAAGAACATTACTGTTGCATAATTAATTGTCTTAAAACCAACCATTCCACTTCATTGATTTGCTATTTTTAGCAAGATTTTCCACAGTCTCTTTGTTTTGTTTCCAAAATAATTGAGTTACAGCTAAATTAATGAGAAGTGATCATTTCATTGCTTTAAAAGGCTTACGTCTTCTCAGGGAAGCACGCGGCCCTCAACCCAGTCCTTTGTAGCACAGTCAGGACTAGCAGGGCAGGCAATAGAGTTATATAAGACTTCTCTTCAAGTAAAACTTTATCTCTGATTTTTAAAAACGTTGTAAAGAAATGTTGATGGGGAAAGCCAGTTGAAGTCCCAGCCTGGATGTATCATTCTCCAAAGAAAAGAGCCCCAGTGCCTGGAAACTGACAGAAATGAAAGGCAGGGCTGTGAGGAGAGCGTCACAATTTAAACAGGCTTTGCTAAAAATCACAGTGCACGCTGCAAAACGGCAGCTCGCATTTCAGTCTCAGAGTTTTGCTACAGTCTGTGATTATCCGTTTGAAGAGTCGGGCCATAACTTAATTCTGTAAATCAGAGCGTTCCTCAAAAAGAGACTTGGGGGGCTCTGCTGAGCCTTTTCTTGGCAGCCTGGCTTGGAAGTGGTGAGTGCCTTTTCCCCTAGTCAAAGCCATGAAGACTAAGCTGAGAGACGAGAAATTTTAGCCTGTTTAAAAGAAACTCAGTCCGTATGCGGCTGCCTGACAAGACCCAGGGTGTGCTGGAGATTTAAAAATGTGATGATCACACTTTGTTTGGGACATGAGAGCGGGGAAGTGGAGGGGAACTGGATAATTCTTTAGCAAGTGAAGGCATGTGCAAAGCATGGATCTGAAAGACATTCTGTAAACACATTTTTACAAGCAGCGTGCTGAACTGACTCATTTGGGGTGATGGGACTTGGTTGTAAGAGATTCTGTTATAGATAATACCTCTTTTAGAACCGCGGTGTGCTGGCTACCCACAATTGGCAGGGACAAGCAGAAGGGTTGAGCGGCACTCAGATGGGTCTTGGGAGAAAATGGATAACATGGTCGAAACTGGAGAGACTGGCTGGTGGCTCCAGAGCATTAAGACATGTACAAGCAGGCAGAGTGAGGGGAAGGAGGGCTTGGTATCACATAGGCAGTGGTGTACTGGCAAATGTTTAACAACTGGTTTTCTAAGAAATGTTCTAAAAAGCCTTGATTTGTAGTGTTTGCTGATTTCCATAGTGTAAATACTTCCAGAATGGCTCATTTCGAGCTATCTATGTGTCTTCCCTAAACATGGCCTTGGCAAGAGGTGCACACAGTTGGCTCCTGTGAACCAGGAGAGCCGGCTCTAGCTCACAGATGAGATAAATAGTGATTTTCCAGGATTTAAGGGAGAAATGAAAATGCTCTGGAAAAAGGACGTGAATGGGGAAACCTATCAAGTATAAATTAGGCTGAGTTATTTAGCAGGGGGGTGGGGTGCCGCCCATTATTTCTCACTGGAGGTAAGACTGGAGCTAAGACATTTCATTCAGCAGGGATGTTTGGGGGTCTTTTTGAGAGTTCTTGCATCTTGACTGGGAAAGCTAGGTCATTGTCAGTTCCTCCCAATGGTAAGCAATGTGACAGACATTGAGAACAATGACATTCAGCAAATGTTTACCTGAGAGCCATGGTATCCCACCCACTGTGCCAAGCACGGCATCTGTCTCTAAATAACTGAGTCTCTAGGAGCAGACATATAAACAAGTAATTAGGCTGTGTGTGGTGGCTCACGCCTGTAATCCCAGCACTTTGGGAGGCCAAGGTGGGAAGATCACTTGAGGTCAGGAGTTTGAGACCAGCCTGGCCAACATGGTGAAACCCCATGAGTACTAGAACTACAAAAATTAGCCGGGCATGGTGGCATGCACCTGTAATCCCAGCTACATGGGAGACTGAGGCAGGAGAATTGCTTGAACCTGGGAGGCGGAGGTTGCAGTGAGCCGAGATCACGCCATTGCACTCTAGACTCCAGCCTAGGCAACTGAGTGAGACTCTGTCTCTAAATAAATAAACAAAAAAGTAATTATACTATGATAGAGACATGAATGGGAGCAGTTAATTCTGACCAGGATGTGTCAATAATCAGGATGAACCAGTGATTTCTGAAACAAACACGCTGAAAGAAGACAGGGGAAGCTGAAAGTAGGTTGTTGGTATCACCGAAACCAGGACGCTAGCTACCATTCCTGGTATAAGAATCTACACGGTGGCCCGGCGCAGCGGCTCACGCCTGTAATCCCAGCACTTTGGGAGGCCGAGGTGGGTGGATCGCCTGAGGTTAGGAGTTCAAGAGCAGCCTGGCCAACATGGTGAAACCCTGTCTCTACAAAAGTACAAAAATTAGCCGGGCACATTGGTGGGTGCCTGTAATCCAGCTACTCGGGAGGCTGAGGCAGGAGAATCGCTTGAACCTAGGAGGCAGAGGTTGCAGTGAGCCGAGATCGAGATTGTGGCATTGCACTCCAGTCTGGGCAACACAGCGAGACTCCAACTCAAAAAAAAAAAAAAAAAAAGAATCTACATGATGAAATCTTCTACTTCAGTGCAAGAGAATCCAGGAAACACATCGTTAGCAATCACACACTGTTGTGTGGCCTGGGGCCACCTCAGAGAGGTTTTTTAACATCTCTGAAGTTCACTGCCATCCTTTGTAAATGAGGATCTTTCAGAACCTTGGTGGGGCTTAGAGGTCACCTCCTCACAGCTCTTTTCTGCAGTGTTATGGAGACAACCGCTGGTAGCTTAGCTCCCCAAGTGGGACCCAGAGCCTGGGACCAAAACCAGTGTGACCTTAAAGCAATGTTCTGCTAATAGGCAGTGTGACTTCAGGTTGCTCAGCCTATTCAGGTTCACTAGCTTCATATGTCAAATAAATATGTTGGATTTGATGATCTCTAAGCATCTCCTCTATTAAATAATAATAGCCGGGGTACCCACAACCCTTGGTTGTTGGGCTAGACCTGGTTTACGCCTGTTATTCTGTTATGACTTTTTTTTTTTTTGAGACAGTCTCGCTCTGTTGCCCAGGCTAGAGTGCAGTGGCATGATTTGGCTCACTGCAACCTCTGCCTCCCGGGTTCAAGCAATTCTCCTGCCTCAGCCTCCCAAGTAGCTGGGGCTACAGGCACACACCACCATGTCTGGCTAATTTTTTATATTTTTAGTGGAGATGGGGTTTCATCATGTTGGCCAGGCTGGTCTCAAACTTCTAACCGCAGGTGATCCACCTGCCTCGGCCTCCCAAAGTGATGGGATTACAGACGTGAGTCATTGTGCCTGGCCCTGGTATGATTATTATAGTCCCCTATTCACTATCAAAAGTGTCCCTGGTCAGCAATCATGTATATAGTCACCTTCAACAACTAACATTTTAAAAGTACTTCCTCCTTGCCAGTTTTATCAATATGATTTTATTTTATCAGTTCAGCTTATGAAGACATGTGTTTAGACAGCTTCAGGCCCCACAGACAGAGCTGATACTCACACCCAGATCCTAGATCTGTCCGAAGCCAACATCTTAATCCTTCTTAGCCACTATGCTTTGCCCCCTCTGTGTTGTTCGGTCACTCTACAAATATTTACAGAGTGTCTGCTATTCTATTCTAGTCCTGTGGTTCAGAAGAGGTTTCCAGAAACACGTTCAAAAAGCTCTGCCTACGAAGCTGGCAATTGCTAAGAAGCAAAAAGCATTATTAACTAGGTTCATGCCCACGCACACCCTGGAAGGCTTTCGTGCATGTGTGGAGCATACGAGGCACATGAGGCATCAAGGGACACTAGCAGCAAATGAGCTTTGCCTTTTCAACTCGATGCATTGGGGAGGCCCAAATAATCTGAAACATTAGCTTAAGTAAAGCACCAATTAAGTAGGTGTGTTGGGTGCAGGGCATGTTTCAGCTTGATAATTGTTCTTTATTCTGCACAGATGTGGGTCAGATTCCCAGAGATGCCCAATTCTGATGCCAAAGAAAGTCGGGAGACTCGCGAGGGACTTAAAGAGACAGCACAGCTTTTCCAGGTACAACTGGTTTGCTCCACGCAGGGACTCTGAGATAAAGAAACCAAACAAAGATCCAGTAGGAAGGAGGGAGTGAATGGTGGGAGAGGTAGGTTCTGTGTTCACCCGCGGTCATTTAAGCAGAGTCCCCTGTGTGCCGGGTGCTGTTTTAGATACTGATTTTGAGTGATGTTGATACAAGCCTGCTTTCTCATGACTCCTGATAGTTGTCCTTTATTCTAACTATTGCAGCTTCATAGATGCCGCCTTGAATCCCTACCGCTACAGGACATGGCTGACTTTTTTTTTTTTTGAGACAGAGTCTCGCTCTGTCACCAGGTTGGAGTGCAGTGGCGTGATCTCAGCTCACTGCAACCTCCACCTCCCGGGTTCAAGGGATTCTCCTGCCTCAGCCTCCTGAGTAGCTGAGATTACAGGCACACGCTACCACACCCAGCTAATTTTTGTATTTTTAGTAGAGAAGGGGTTTCAACACGTTGGCCAGTATGGTCTCAATCTCCTGACCTCGTGATCCGCCCGCCTCAGCCTCCCAAAGTGCTGGGATTACAGGCATGAGCCACCGTGCCTGGACAACTTTTTTTTTTTTTTTGAGATGGAATTTCGCTCTTGTTGCCCAGGTTGGAGTGCAATGGTGCAGTCTCGGCTCGCAGCAACCTCTGTCTCCTGGGTTCAAACGATTCTCCTGCCTCAGCCTCCCAAGTAGCTGGGATTAGAAGTACTTGCCACCACGCCTGGCTAATTTTTGTATTTTTAGTAGAGGCGTGGTTTTACCATGTTGGCCAGGCTGGGCTCGAACTCCTGACCTCAGGTGATCCACCTAGCTTGGACTCCCAAAGTGCTGGTTTTACAGACATGAGCCACTGTGCCTGGCCCATGGCTGACTCTTAATCAGCTTCCCTCAGCTAAGGGTCCCCTCTGTCTATTTCAAGGCTGGGTAAACTCCAGGCTGCTAGATCGGACGTGCTCATTATATTAATGGTGTCTGTTTCCTCTGATCAACACCATGATACCACACGGAAAGCAGGCAGGCAATTTTGGCTTGGTGCACAGATGGGACCACCAGGGCCGGGAGGGTGACGCTTGTTAGGGTTTAGCTGAGGCTCAAGTGCCATCAGTTCCAAACACGTGTGCTTTCCACAGCATGCTGAGACCTGAGGGCTGAGTGCAGCTCTTTGGAACTTAAGAAGAAAGAAGTGGGACCAAGGTGAGCAAAGGGACTGGGTGCAGAGTTCCATCTCATGGCTGCTGGTCCAGTCCATCTCAAAACCAGCTTCATCATAGAGCTGTCCTATCTCTGCCACCACACATACCCAGCTAAGAGATACTTCTTTTTTTTTTTTTAATGGCAAAGGCAGATGTCTTTGCTTAAGTTTCCTGGCAGCCCTGGCAGCTGGTTGAGACACCTCTGAGCTCTACCGCAGTTCCTGCTAAAGCCACTTGGTTGGGTTTGCAAGGCACAGCTATGCAGCTGCTCATGGGTCTGGTCAGGCTTCTCCAACCTCGGAAGTTCTGCAGGTCTTTGCAGGCTCCCTCCTCAGCTTCCCTCGGGTGCCATCCTTGGGGCAAGGGGCTATCACCATCGTCTGGGCTTGGCAATGAGTAGTCCATGTTCTGTGGACCTACACTGTAAAAAGCATGGCCCCACATCACCTGGGAACCGGTAGACATGCAGAATCTCAGGCCCCACACCAGAACTACTGAGTCAGCTTCTACATTTCCACAAGGTCCCCAAGTGCTCTGTGCACACACTGAAGTATGAATGGAGTCCTGCTTTGGGATGTGGCTGTCCACCTGCAGAAGATTAGGGTCCAAGACCAAGAAGGATGAGGCCCCTCACTAACTCTCTACTTCCATTACTTTACTTTTGTTTCTGCTTTTGCTGCAATTAATAATTGTCTTATTTATTTGTTTATTGTCTATCTCCCCCAGAATATAAATCATATGGAGGCAAAGATATTGTCTCAGTCAGTGCTGAATTCTTAGTGTCTTTCCCAGAGCTCTGCACAAGGTAGGCATTCAAAAAATATTAGTAGGTTGGCTGGTGGGTTGGATAAATGTGTGAATGAAGCAATGAAGATAGAGAAAGGGGAAGAAGGAGGGAAATAGGTAGGTGCTTTGGCTGACAAGTTGGCTGTCCTCTTCTTTAGGTCCTTAGAGACAACTCTTGTCATTCTCACTCTCCTGTGAATGTTTTGGCCCAGGTGCAAGGCTGCTGTTAGTAGCAATGTGACTGGGTGGGGTATAGAGTTGTTGCAAGAAATCTCCAGTCACCAGCACTGTGAATGGAGAATGTGGTCGTCACATTTAATTCAGCAGGGAAACTCTTTTGTAAATGAAATCTGATGCAGAAACCCAATCTAGATGATGTATGTATCCGGGGTGTTCATTGCTCTTGGATTCCAGATCAGGGGACACTGACATGCCCTGCTCAGGCCTCCCAACCACAGGTGCCCTCAAGGGGACAGGGTCTTCCTCCTGGGCCACTCTGGGCACTTGCTCTGGCATCCCTTCCCCTCCATCCTTCTTGTTCTGTGCTCACCTTTTTTAGATTGCATGGACAAATGCTCTTCTGCATCTCCTCTTTCATGCTGGGGCTTGATGGTTCATCAGAGTAATGCCAAAGCCAGTCATATTCCTGCAACAGGGCCAGCCTGATAGTAGTGGGCACAGCACCCTGAGTCCTCCCTGGAACCTAGCGACCTTCCCCAGCCTACACAAGACGGACTTTTTATCCTGCTAAACAGATAACAGCAGAAGGGTCCCTAGATCCACAGTGTGGCTGGGGGACCAGAGCCTCCTCCATAAGGCCAACCCCTCTCCAGCTGCCTCCTTGTTGCTCCTGAAGAATTACTCAATGACAGACCATGGTCAATAAATCTCTGCTACCCAATTTCGCAGATGGAAAAACTGAAGCCAGAGAAGAGCAGTGACCTGCCTTTGTCCCCCAGTGGCTGAGCTGGGGTGACAGTTGCATCCCCTGGGAGATCCATAGCTCTTACCTCAGCCCCTTCTCCAGCCTGGCCCTCTCTTTTGGCAAAAGAAAAATGCTAAGCAATGGTGAGTTACTAGACTGATGGTCCCTAGGGGCCAAGTTACGGAAGGGTGACTTGTTTTTCTCTGTGGTCAAGTGTCCTTTTACTGACAACTCTTCAGTAGTACAAAATTCAGACTTTGTATCTTAGCATGATATTTGGTGGCTGGCTCGCCAACACAAGTGTCAGGTGGCATGAAATCAAAACACAGCAGCAGAGAGCTTTGGCCCTTGAATCATTTGTTCATAAAAGATTACTTTTTCAGTAGCTGCAGAATCAAAATTGTGACTTTTTACTGATACAAGGATCACATGGTTCACTTTTTTTTTTTTTTTTGGAGATGAAGTTTTGCTCCTGTTGCCCAGGCTGGAGTGCAATGCCATGATCTTGGCTCACTGCAACCTCCGCCTCCCGGGTTCAGGTGATTCTCCTGCCTCAGCCTCCTGAGTAGCTGCGATTTACAGGCGCCTACCACCACGCCCTGCTAGTTTTGTATTATTAGCAGAGACAGGGTTTCACCATGTTGGCCAGGCTGGTCTCGAACTCCTGACCTCAGGTCATCCACCCGCCTCAGCCTCCTGAAGTGCTGGGATTACAGGTGTGAGCCACTGCGCCCAGCCACACAGGACTCACTTTTGCAGGAAGGGACCCATTCTTGCAGGGCACTGTTGTCTTCTATGGCTCTCCTCACACTTGTCATTGCTAGTTCAATACCTGTGTCCTCACCTGACTCCACACTCCAAGACTCACATTTGCTGCTGTCCCCGGGTCTGGCATACCAGGTACTTGATAAATGTTGGCTGAATGAATGAATAAACAAATCTACGATTCAGTGGAACTCCTCTGGAGTTTCTTGGTTATTTATTGCAGAGTTTGTCCACACAATGTCTTCTTATCAAATGCCTCCCAGTTACCTCCCAGATGTGTCTTGATGTGGA